>NC_000002.12:63542625-64167625 GCF_000001405.40 Homo sapiens | reverse complement strand
ATGCAAGCAGCATACCATAGCATCCACTACACCCATCTCCAAGGAAGATTTCCTGGAGAAGATGGCCTTGGAGCTGAGTCCTAAAGGACTAGCAGGAGTTGTTCAGGAGAATGCCACATACAAAAACATGGTGGGTCTGAAGAGACTGTGTCCAGGGAGGTTTATCACACCTGTGGAAGCACGTAATGCATAAAGGAAAGTAGCAAGTGCTGAGGTTGAAGAGGTGAGCAGAGGCCAGGTCCTGCAGAACCATGGCATGTTCTGCTAAGAGGTTTGGATTTTTTCCTGACGGCAAAGGGAAGGCATTCAAAAACTATTCAGAAAGAGACATAATTGGATTTGTTTTGTAGAAAGATCATTCTGGCAGCAAGTGGGGATTATGTTCGATGGGGATAAAACTGAAAGAAGAGAAGCAGACTCATTAGGAGGCTGTGACAGTAATCCCGGAAAAAAAGAATAATACTTGAGCTGACAAGTAGCAGTAATGGTGAGAATGGATGGATAGAAAAGGACAGATTCCAGGGATATTAAGTGGGTAAAACTGAGAAAACTTAAGAAATCAACTGCATGTTATGGGTAGGAAAACTTAGACTTAAGAGTGACTCAGGTTGGTTCCAGCCATTTGTTGATACAAATCTGGAGGGAAAGACGGTAATTTCAGTTTTGAACACCTTGTCTGTGGAAACTTCATGTAAAGATCTCCAGCAACCCTTTCCTGAAGCTAAGGAGAGAAATAAGAGTTGGATAAAAAGTCAGAGTCAATACATAAGTGGTAGGTGGAAGCCACAGGAATGGATGAGATCATTGGAGGAACATATACTTTTGAGTGTACAGAGACACAGGAGAAAAACAATGTTTAAGTTGGAGAGGAGTCCACAAAAAAGTACTAGAAATGTACAAAAAAGTGCTAGAAATGTAGGTAGAAAATCAAAAGGAGGAAAATTAGAAGTGAGAAGAGAGAGTATCAAAAAGTACTAAGTGCAGTTAAATGCCACTAAAAGAAAAAGGAAGACAATTTTCCAGAATATTGAGGAAGTAGAGGGTCACAAGTGACCTTGGCAAGGAATGTTTCAATGACATGGAGAAGACAGGTCATAATAAAGAGAATAAAGAAAACATAGACGAACTTTGAAGACATTCTGCTAAGTGAAACAATCCAGTCACAAAAGGACAAACTGCATGATTCCACTTTTAAGAGGCACTGAAACTTCTCAAACTCATACAGACAGAAAGTAGAATGGTGGTTGCCAGAGGCTGGGCAGAGGCGGAATAGAAAGTTATTGTTTAATGAGTAGAGGGTTTCCATTTGGGAAGATGAAAAAGTTCTGGAAATGGATTGTGGTGATTGTTGCAGAGCAGTGTGAATGTACTTAATGCCACAGAACTGTACATTTAAAAATGGTTACAATGGAAAGTTTTATGTATATTTTAGTACAATAAAAGAAAGATACTAAACAAATGAAAGAGAGATAAGAAAATGGAAGGACTGAATGTAGCCCCCTCTCAAGAAACTTGAATGGGAAGAGAAGGAGAAACAGACTAATAGCTAGAGAAGGGGATAGAGTCAAGGGGTGCATTTTTGGGAGACAGCCAGTGGAGAGGGAGATATTAAATGTACAGCAAAGAGAGATGCAGTACTGTGGGCTGAGCAAGACAAAATGATGTTGAAACAGGGCCTTGAGAGCTGCCTCTGAATCCCTTTCTAGTGAACACTGAGGGAGGTAGGATGACATAATGGAAGCATGATCATAAACAATGGCAAAAGGTCTTGCTCTGCCTAGATGAACTTAGGTTGGAAATATTTAGGAAACCACTAATGCTCTCTTTAAGTTTAAAAACAATATCCCGTTCATTGTGACTGTTTTAAACCCTGATAAGTCACCCACACAAGTCATTTAAAGATAAAATTGATCAATCACATAATGTAGTGCCTCATGTACAATGAATACAATGAACAATATTATCATTGTTTCCATCGCAATATGTAAGTTTTTATTTTCCAATTACATGTTAGATGATGTTTTATTCAAGAAAAGGAAAAAAGAATTTATGAATTTTGAAGCTCACTATCAAATTTCAAGAGAAGAATGCTGTGTAAACGTGGCATTTTTTTTTTTAATGGAGTCTTACTCTGTTGCCCAGGCTGGAGTGCAGTGGCGCGATCTCCGCTCACTGCAACCTCTGCCTCCCGGGTTCAAGCTATTCTCCTGCCTCAGCTTCCGGAGTAGCTGGGACTACAGGTGCCTGCCACCACACCCAGCTAATTTTTGTATTTTTAGCGTAGATGGGGTTTCTCCATGTTGGCCAGGATGGTGTGGATCTCCTGACCTCACGACCCACCCTCCTCAGCCTCCCAAAGTGCTGGGATTACAGGCGTGAGCCACTGCGCCCAGCCAAAACGTAGCATTCTTAATTAAATATTTTTCGAATTAAATTTGAATTTACTGCGTGTTATTTTTATGGTATATTATTTAAAATACTTACAAGAAAAATATATACAAATCATGGAATCCTTTAAGTCAAAGAAAAAAAATATTTAAATAAAAGAGTAAATTATTTTTTCCAGAGTGAGAAAAGTGGGAAGGAGTTTCTTTAGAAGCACCACATCTAATTCACGTATTTTAGGTCTGTCTAAATGGTCCCTGCAAATTATCATCACACATATGAAAAATAATGCTCAAATACTGTACTGTATTTTCTTCTGTCTAGACATAAAAGTTTAGGAATTACAAATATAGGAATCCTTAACATATCTACTCATGAACATGCACATACACTCAAAGTGCCTGTGGAAGATTTGGCTGTTGGTTATGGTTAAATGAATTTGCATAATTTCTTAGTTATATAAAGATACAAGACCAGGAAATCAGATACAAGCAGAAATGCTCTCAATTTTAGAGCCCTTACATGAATTGAGTGTTGGGCTTTCTCCAGCAACCTTTAGAATCCTGTTTCAGATACATGTATGATCTCATCATTAAAAGAAACCTTCAGAGTCATAATATGAGTCCATAATAATGATACTAATATACACATAATCTGTGCAACTATATACATTAATCCCAAAAAATAGGTAAATTTAAAAATCCTGATTTTATATATAAGAAGTATGTTACAACCACCACAAAATATATGTAACCCAAGTATTACACAAAAGCAAGTATGTTTTAGGAGCCACCACCTATATTGTACCAAAAGAATAGGCATTAGGGTATTAAGGATATACCACATTAAAAATGAAAGCTGGCATTGTCCTCTGAGGTCTAAAACATATGAACCAATTAAAAGTTGTAAGAAAAAAAGAAAGGAAATTAAAAGACTGGTCTTTGCTAAGAGGATGTCAAGCAAGCGAAGATAAGGTCTCCTTTCAGCATTTTCTTTAATAAGCAAGAAATAGGGATGTCCTGTATTTACACCATTACTGCTAAAATGCTTCCTTTTCTTTAAAGGAGTAGAAAACAAAACATTATGTTCTTTTAATGAGTCTACTATCTGAGCTTCATCAAGGTGTGCAAAGTACTATTCTAGGCCAATTACTTAATTGTTGCTTTGACAAGGCCTGTCATACCGATTCAATATTTAAATAATTACTTTCTTTTTCTTTTCTTTTTTTTTTTTTTTTGAGACAGGGCCTCATTCTGTCACCCAGGCTAATGTGCAGTGGCATGATATCAACTCACTCCATCCTTCACCTCCTGGGCTCAAGCAATCCTCCCACTGTAGCCTCCCAAGTAGCTGGTACTACAAGCACATGCCACTACACCCAGCTCACTTTTGTTTTATTTATTTATTTACTTATTGTAGAGATTGGGTTTTGCCAAGTTGCCCAGGCTGGTCTTGAATTCCTAGGCTCAAGCAATCTGCCTGCCTCAGCCTCCCAAAATGCTGGGGTTACAGGTGTGAGCCACCATGCCTGGCCTAAATAATTTCTTAGAAAATATAATTATAGGCTGGGTGCGGTGACTCACGCCTGTAATCTCAGCACTTTGGGAGGCCAAGGTGCGTGAATCACCTGAGGTCAGAAGTTCAAGATCAACCTGGCCAACATGGTGAAACCCCATCTCTACTAAAAATACAAAAATTAGCTGGATGCGGTGGCGCATGCCTGTAATCCCAGCTACTCAGGAGGCTGAGGCTGGAGAATAGCTTGAACCCGGGAGGCGGAGGTTGCAGTGAGCCGAGATTGCACCACCGCACTCCAGACCGGGTGACAGAACGAGACTGTCTCCAAAAAGAAAGAAAGAAAGAGAGAGAGAAGTAAGGAAGGAAGGAAGGAAGGAAGGAAAAAATAATTATAATAAATGTTTTTTAAAAGGAGAAATATATTCTACATTGTTGAAATACTGTCCTAGTAATAGATGATAAACTTTTTCTAACTTACATATTAATCAGTATATATGTGCTATATGAAGCCTTAAGTTGGAAGAAAGAACTTTCAAAGTAGTTCTGGCACAATGAAGCTTCAAAAATAGGTCTCTCTATGGTTTTATAAACCCAGACCATATCTCATAAAATTTCTGAGGCCAATGAGAAGGCCTATCCAAAGTCAATTACTCTTTGTTACTTAAATATTCTAAATTTTTTGGAATCCACCTTTGGAAACTCTCTGATATTACATTTGGAATCAAAGTAAAAGTAAGATTTTCCTAAAATTGTCAGACTGTTATCCCCCATGGTGTCCAAACATTTTGAAACAAAAATGAGAGTGAATGGTTTAATATGGTCTCAAAATGTAATATTAAAATTTGAACTGTCTTGAAAAATCTGGAAAAAGTAGTTGTAGCTATATAGCCTCCATCCATCCACCAGAAAAGTGCCTAGGAAGGAAATAATGTTTTTCTTTCTCTTGTACTTTAAACTACACTCACTTCTTTGATTTTTTTAAAAAAACTTCCCACAATTAGCAAATAGGCTTGGTCAAAACTAAGCCTATTGCCTAATTACATTTTTGTAATCAACATAAAGTGCCACTTTCCAGTGCACATATATTCGGATCTAAATTAAGTAATTATCTCCAACACAAAGTTTTCTTGCAATACAATTAAAATGTTAGAACTATTCAGTATCAAATGGTATTTTGCTTGAATGTTGTCTATGATCATTAACCAATTGAAAAATTCTTACTATTTTTAAATCGTTAAAATTTTTTGGCCATGCACAGTGGCTCATACCTGTAATCCCAACACTTTGGGATGCTGAGGCAGGCGGATCACCTGAGGTCAGGAGTTCGGGACCAGCCTGGCCAATGTGGTGAAACCCCATCTCTACTAAAAATATAAAAATTAGCCAGGCATGATGGCTCCCGCCTGTATCCCCAGCTACTGGAGAGGCTGAGGTGAGAGATTGCTTGAACCACAGAGGCGGAGGTTGCAGTGAGCCGATATCAGGCCACTGCACTCCAGCCTGGGTGACAGAATGAGACCCCGTCTCAAAAAGAAAAAAAAAATTTTTTTCATTAAAAATATGTCAAACTCCTAAGCAGGACATAGGACTTTAAAGTCAATGGAAGTCAGTACAAGTAACTGTGCAATCAATGAAAACATGGTTTTCTTATATTTCTAGGAAAACTTTCCAAAAATTTTTTCACAAAAATTTTTAATCCCAGCACTATGGGAGGCCGAGATGGGTGGATCACAAGGTCAGGAGATCGAGACCATCCTGGCTAACACGGTGAAATCCCGTCTCCACTAAAAATATAAAAAATTAGCCAGGCGTGGTGGCACGTGCCTGTAATCACAGCTACTTGGGAGGCCAGCAGGAGAATCACTTGAACCCGGGAGGCAGAGGTTGCAGTGAGCCAAGATCACACCACTGCACTCCAGCCTGGGTGACAGAGTGAGACTCCAACTCAAAAAACAAAAAAAATCTAAAGAATTAATAATTAATATTTGAGTTATCTGAAAGCTACCAGATAAGCAATAATTGACTAATTTTTAAATATGGAAAACAAGGCTGAGCTCAGTGGCTCACACTGGTAATCCCAGCACTTTAGGAGGCCGAGGCGGGCAGATTACAAGGTCAGGAGATCGAGACCATCCTGGCCAACATGGTGAAACCCCATCTGTACTAAAAATACAAAAATTAGCCAGGTGTGGTGGCGCGTACCTGTATGCCAGCTACTCGGGAGGCTGAGGCAGGAGAATCGCTTGAACCAGGGAGTCGGAAGTTGCAGTGAGCCGAGATGGCACCACTGCACTCTAGCCTGGTGACAGAGTGAGACTCCATCTCAAAAAAAAAAAAAAAAAAAAAAAAAAAAAATATATATATATATATATATATATATAGAAATCAAATATATTCTTCTTCAATTGCAGTGAATGTAGTTTATCTTTTTGTTCTTTTGTAGCTTAGAGAACAGAATGTATATCATGATTATCATTACGGGACCAATCATCAATACAGTAATATAGATGGGGAAAGTGTAGGAAATGGAGTTAAACATGCATTAAAGATGTAAAATATACATTGTTCTTTTAAGTAAATGATTTGTTTACTTGGCTGAATACCTGAATTTAAAGTTTGGAGGTTTTCTGAAGAACATCTCATGTCCTTTCTTTCTCACCAAAGTATACTGCAGGGGAAAATCCAATTATTTTACCTTTCTAATAGTTTGAATTCCTGATAAATTATAATTTCTTATAATTTGTAAAAACATTTAAAAATACTGTATGAATCATCATTAACACATAATCTAAGTTGTTATTAAAGGGCTGGGACTACTGTTGTTTTATTTTTTATTTTTTCTAGGAAAACATGAAACAAGGAGGGACTATTTTTTATTGGGCCCTTATTTATTTTATTAAATAAAGGTTATTTGGCCTTTATTTTTATTGGACCCTTTATTTATTGTATTAAATAAAGGTTAACACAAAATAGCATAAACCTTTATTTAATATGTCTATTTCTACTGTTTCTCTGTATTGAAAACTTTATCTGGTATCATTAGAAAATAGATATTCCACATAGAAGAATTTTCTAAGTACTTGAAACTCATTCCTTTAAATCCACAGATTAGTTTTATTTTAACCATATCTATTTTTAGACTTTAAAAATATACCATACATTACCCTGTTTTCTTAAACGGAGACTAACCAACAGAATGCAGTTGTTTCTCAATTATTAGAGTCTTAATTTTACACATTCATTATAGTGCCATTTTTATATTCAACCATTTATGCATTCAACAAAGCCCTCAATGACTAGCATAGTATGTTCAGTACTGTTTCCTTCTACACAGAGTGGCCCAGACTGAAATGTTTTTTAAGCGCCTGTGTTTGTAGTTTTTTGTTACAGCAGTGAGGTATAGTGAGAAAAATTAAGCTTTGGTGTCAGACAGACCTGGATTCAAACTCCAGGTCCACTGTTTACTAATTGTGCAATTTGGGGAAATGTATTTGACTTTTTAAAGCCTTAATTTCTTCATCTAAACAATGATGATGGTAACTTGCAGAATGGTTGTAAAGAGTAAATGAGGTAATAACTGTAAAGAGTCCAGTGCTCCCCAGTCTTCAGCTCCCATCCCTGTTGTTCTGCTCTTCACAGTTCTTGCTCCTGCCAGTTCACGGCTCTCTCTGTCTTTTTTTTTTTTTTTTTTTTTGAGTCGGTGTCTCACTCTGTCGCCCAGGCTGGAATGCAGTGGTGCGATCTCGGCTCACTGCCTAACAGGTTCAAGCAATTCTCCTGCCTCAGCCTCCTGAGTAGCTGGGACTACAGGCATCACCATGCTGGCCAGGCTGGTCTCGAACTCCTGACCTCTTGATCCACCTGCCTTGGCCTCCCAAAGTGCTGTGATTACAGGCGTGAGCCACCGCACCCGGCCATGGTTCTCTTACTGTTCCCTGTTGCTTCTCAACCGTGAAAACAGGAACCTCTGATGCTCTGTTCGTTGCTGTGTCCATAGACCCTGCTGTTTGCCAGTAGTACCTGAAAGTGTGGACACCAGTAGAAAACTTGTGTTTGAATCCTGACGCTACTACTTTCTACTGTGTGATCTTGGCTAAATTAATCAACCTCTCTCCACCTCAGTTTTCTCATTTGTAAAATGAGGGGAGTCATAATACTTACCTCAGAGGATAAAATCAGTTGCTTGTGGAATTATCCCTCACACATAGTTAACACACAATAGATGTTAGAATCTGTAATGAATGGAAAATTTTTGTTGTTTCTAATCTTCTATGGCCCGAGGAATGAAATAATCAGGTTTCTTTCAATGAGTTTAAAACATAATAAATTTTTCTATTAATCAAGTTTCTGAGCTTCAGTATATAGCTTTTTAAACCTTTTCTTTTTTTTTTTTTTTAAAGCAGCTCAGAGGTTTTACTTTGACTTCTGGGTTAGTGAGTCCTATTTTGATTGCTGGATAAAGATCTCAAGGTAATTGGGATTTTTACCACATAGAACTGCGAGATAGCCTTTTTTTCTTTCTTTTCCTTTTTGTTCTGTTTTGTTTTGAGACAGTTTCCCTCTGCTGCCCAAGTGGGAGTGCAGTGGCATGATCATGGCTTACTGTAGCCTTGACCTCCCAGGCTCCAGCAATCCCCTCACCTCAGCCTCCCAACTAGCTAGGACTACAGGCATGTGCCACCACACCCAGTTAATTGTTTTTCTTTTTTTTTAGAGGCAGAGTCTCACCACATTGCCCAGGCTGATCTGGAACTCCTAGGCTCAAACAATCCTCCTACCTTGGCCTCCCAAAGTGCTGGGATTACAGGCGTGAGCCACCATGCCTGGCTCTTTTTCTTTTTTTCTTACTATATGATTGAACTCCATTTTTTTCTGTTCCACTTGTAAAGATAGATTTGCAGTTTTATGCTAAGCCAACCAGTTTGCCTGTGTTTCCATGTACAAATGTTTGCCTTTTATTCACGGATAGCCAACCGTATCAATAGCCAAGTCCATAGTTCACCATGTTATCAGTAAAGCCGTGATATTTATAAATCTTAACACCTAACTCATTTCATAATCTACTAAAACATCAAATATTTATATTATGTATTCCATTTCCTTGTGTCAATTATCACCTATTTATCTTCAACTACTAGCCCAGTCTAATCCTCTAGCTGAATAATCTGTTGGAATTTGGAAATGGAGAGTAAAAGATGAGGGTAAATAGCTATTGTTGAGTAGTGAATAGCAACAACTTTTTTAGGATAGCAAAATTATCTCATAAACGTTACATATTCATGGTTCTAATTGAACAATGAAATCTAGCAATTGAATAAACAAATGTTTTAACTGAATCTCAAATTACAAAAGGGCTTATTTTCTTATTTTGTATCAGTTTCACTGCTCTATACCTATAGAACAAGGTTTCTATGGTTCCTTTTTATGCTTATTTATCAAGACATAATATGACCATTGATTCCAACATTAGTAGCATTCTAATGGCAATTTTTTCTCTCTGTTGTGTCAAAAGTCATACATAAGCATATGTATCTATGCTGTCATTCTCTTCTGTTCCCTGGACATTTTTGGTTACCCAAGCAATCTAAGGGACTGCTTGAATTACACATTTGTTAGGGTTGGTTGGCCAGGATTTAGGTGTAGCATGCTAGAGACTAGAAATTCTAAAACTTTCCCACACAATGGAAGACAGCTTGGGGGTGAGGGAATTCTTGGCAGTATCAGACTTTCCCAGAAGGCATTTGGCATTTGCTCAGTGATTGCAACATAGCAGACACTTTTCCAAGGGGAAAGGTGAGATGCAATAATGACTGCCAGCTAAACACCATTCCCAAATCTTAACATTACACACAGTCACTAATCTGGCCCTTTGTTACCTCTCAAAGCTGTACATGGGGACCTGTCTTCAGAGTAATTTGACATGTTCTGATTTTATTATTAAGTATCAACTAACAATGGTCTGCAACCCCTAGCCCAGGCTGATACTCCAGTTGAATAATCTATAGGAATTTGGAAATGGAGAGTAAAAGATGAGGGTAAATAGTTATGGTTGAGAAATAAATAGCAACAAATTGCTCAAGATAGTAAAATAATGTCACAAGTGGTAATATATGATTGTAATAGAAGAATTAAATTTAGAAATTGAATAAACAAAACTTCAAGCTGAACCTGAATTTATGAAAGGGCTTAGTTTCTTATTTTATATCAATCCTACAACTTTTATGAACAAAACAAGTTTTTCACTGAATTCTGTTTTATTCTTATCAATCAGTAAAACTACTTCTGAATGATGGGGCTTTCTTGGATGTCTAGTCTTCTAAGAGAAAAAAAATCACTTCTCACAAATTTCCTAAATATTAAGTCTGGTCAGTGAGAAACTAAAATGTAGGTATATATCATAGTGATGATAATCTGATTAGCCAAGTTGTTTTCTTTAAAAATACATACTCGTGGGCTTTTCAACACCTTTTCTCCCTCCATATGAAGGGACTTTTTAAACCGTCTTCGTATAGTCTTTGAAATTCTTATATCCAGATAAAACTGGTGAGTGCAAGCAAAATATCCAATAAACAAAGAATTGAGACCCAGGCTATGGCTTAAGGCATGCTGTTATAAGTTCTCAATGTAAGAACATCTTAGGAGTGGGGATGATAGGAGAGCTTTATAGGAATTATGGTTTGAGGTTGGGAAGGAGACTGGATTCTGTCAGCATAGAGATGTAAGTATTGTGGTCAAGGATCCCAAGATAGTGGTAGGATAGCTCTATGACTTGACTCCAAGAAGTATCTTAGGTTGGGTATCTGAGCTAGAGGGAAATTTTAAGGGTGAGAGTGGAACAAAAGTCAGGTGACTTATTTTCTGTTGTCATCGTCAAAGAGAATAGTAGTAGAGGTTAGAGGTTGGAAAAGGTAATTGTGATGCTAGTATTTGGAGAATATGATCTTCATCTTATGCATTTCTTGTAGTATCCCTGATAATGTTCTTCAGTCCAGCTCTTGCTTAGTAAGTCAAATACAGAGCAAAAATATATGACTACAATTTATAAAGATCTTGGGGGGCATAAAATCTATTTTCAAATGTAAGTCACAGATAATTCGTTTTTTTAATACAAATTTGATGTTGATAAATTAATTCTTCAGATCCTTAATAAATTGTTCTCTAAGGTACACAACCAGGTTGAGACAATTTCCTTTACCCATATTCTGGAATCACTTAGTCTGTTCTTACTAGGCCTTCCCATGCATATACCTTCAATTCCAGGTCAGGACTATTTTCCCTTTCATTGGTGAGGCAACGTCATTTCTGTTTGTGCCCCATCTCTACCTCTCAGCTCCCAGGTAAAACTGATTCTTGCAGTCACCTGACATCTGTATTAGGCAAGTCTCTCATTTTCCATTCATTGAAATACCTTAGAACTGCATCCTTTATCTTTATTGAGTATACAACTATCAGTCTCCTCTTTTTTTCAAATCAGGTTTTTAGTTAAACACTTTTATATTTCTCTTTCTAGAACACATGTCATTCCTACCTCTATATATTTTTTTCTCACTTTGGCAGGAATCTTTGTTAGTAAAAATGTTAGCATATCTAAAACCCAATTTATTTACATTTTCTCCTCTCACAGTGAGTTATGGTTACCCTTACATCCACACATATTTTGGGGTAGGATACCCCATCAAGCCCAAGTCTTCTGGAATATAGTCCCATCAAGTTTACTGAAGGTAGGAAGCTTATTCTTCTTTTTAGTTCCCAAATTTCAAGGCAATAGAAATAGATGATAACCTTGTTTCATATCTATACATATGTGCAGATGCTTCTTGACTTACAGTGGGGTTATGTTCTGATAAACCCATTGTAATTTGAAAATGCAAGTCAAAAATGCATTTAATACACCTAACGTACTAAATATCATAGCTTAGCCTAGCCTACCTTAATTGTGCCCAGAACACTTACATTAGCCTACAGTGGGGCAAAATCATCTAACACAAAGCCTGTTTTGTAATAAAGTGTTGACTATCTCATGTGATTTATTGAATACTATACTGAAAGTAAAAAACAGAATGGTTGTATGAGTACTCACCATTAACACACACAGCTGAAAGTACACTGGGCCTCAAGAATGTTTGAAGTATTGAACTAAAATTAATTGCTGGATGATGAGGATGCTACATCAACAGGGTCATCAATTTGTCTCTCTTCTGATGAGGCTGGAGAATCATTGGTAGAAGGCACTGGGGCAGAGACACTTGTTGATATTAAATTCAAAGTATGGTCTCTACTGAATGTGTATAGCTTTCACACCACCATAACGTTAAAAAATCATGTGTTAAGCCATCATAAGTCAGGGACCATCTGTACATATGCTGATACACATATGTACAGTTGCTACTCATCATTAATGAATTCAGTATTCGTGAATTTGCCTGATCGCTAAAAGGTATTCATAACCTCAAAATCAATACTGTTGTGGTCATTCATGGACACTCACAGAGTGGCCAAAAATTGAGTCACCTGATGCATATGTTCTCAGATGAGGTCGTGCTCTCTACCCACTTGTTTCAGCTCTCATACTGTAAATAAACATCTTTTTTGCAGTCTATTTAGTGCCATGTTTTTTGCTTTTTGTTGGTGATTTCACTGTTTAAAATGACTCTCGAGCGTAGTGATAAAGTGCTGCCTAGGGTCCCTAATCACAAAAAGACTGCGATGTGCCTTATAGAGAAAATACATGTGTTAAATAAGCTCAACAGAATAAATATATTGTAGTAGTTATAGCAATGAAAAGAAACAAACTAATCCAACAACATGAATAAATCTCACAGATATTATAGTGAGAAGCAGCTGGATGTAAAAGAGTATAAAGTTGTGGAACAGTCACTAATCTAAGGTTAAACAAAATCAAAACACTGATTGCCTCTGAAAGAGTAAGAGACACGAGACAATCTTCTGGAGAGATGAAAATGTCCTGTGTTCATGATAGCATTGTGGGTTACATTAGTATATCCATTTGTCAAAGTTGTACAACTAATACACGTTACTTCAAAAAAAGCTGTTAAAAATAACAATTGAGTTGGGGAGTGGGTGAAGGTATAGATGATGTAAGAGTGATAGACAATTGATCATTGTTGAAGCTAGATATAGAGTACATACATTATTCTGTTTGCTTTGTATATGTTTGAAACTTTCCATAATGCAAAGATTTTTTAAAAAAAGAGAGAGATAAGAGATACATCAACCAATGTCATGTATATTCTTTATTTGGATCTCAATTTTTAAAAACTGGATATTGACAGTATTGAGAAATATTTGGGGTTTTTACTTTTAGGTATGATAGTGTTATTGTGCTTATGCTTTTAAAATAAGATATCCCCCCTTTTAGAATCACATATGGATATACAAAATAAATTTTAGGGCAACTGGGATTTGTATCAAAATAAACCAGTGGAGGTAAAGATAAAACAAGATTGACAAAGAATTGAAACTATGGAAGTTGGATGATGGGTACACGGGTTTCATTAGACTATTCTTTCTCCTTCTGTGTGTTTTGAAAGTTTCTATAACAAAAAGATTTTTAAATTGTGCATTAAAAAAAAAAATATCCCATCAACTGAAAAACTCCAGGCTGGCTAAGTCTAGCCAAATGGATAGAACTGCACTTATGCTAATACTACATGATACTGATTTTATCTGAGAAGAGACAAGACGCAGGGCAGGAGCCTGAGCTGGTAACACTAGAAGGGGGCGTGGGGTGACTCAGGTTGGGAGGCTGGAGCCTGGGTGCTTTTTATGTTGACGCAGTGGGGTAGAGTTGTGAAGAAATATCCCTGAGAGGTAACTGTGGAGGCTGAAGGAGCAGGAGAAGACACAGGATGATTAAGGCAAAGCGTGAAACTGCTTGGGGGGATTATGTGACAAAATATTAAAAGCAGTACCATTCGGGAAAGCTAGTTCTGAGGAATCAGTCTCCAAAAAGGCAGAACTCAAATAGGAAAGTTTAATTGGCAAAATCCAGGATTCCTGTACTCAGGTCTATAAAGAGATTTAAAACAAAAACTGAGGCGTTTAGGGCATAACTTGCTACTTTAGTTTCTAGAGTAACTTGGAGAACTAGAGGAAACTAACGAGAAAGGATTGGGTTATGTGGGCACCCAGCTGGAGGGATGAAATAGGGAGAATTAAACTGAGCTTTATGAGTTTATATTCTTTTAATTTACCAAATTTAAATATAGTTGTTACCCTAAGCTCTCTCCCAACCCTGTTCCAGATCTCCAGGATTCTCTAACAATGTAATAAGAGTTTCTACATTACAAATCTGGAGATGGGGATGCCTAACCAACAGTATGTTTCTTTTCTACTTAAACACGAATAAAGTAGCATTTTAGAAAGTCAGATGTGTTCTTACAAGTATCCCTGAAATACTTTTAGAAAAAGAGTAATGTAGGTAGTTATGGCAAAGTGTCTGAAATAATTTTCAGAAATGAATGGTAAATAGGTTCCTACATCATGGCAGACTGAGCTAATGGAAGCCACCTTTTCTGATACGAATATGTAGAAACACTGGGTAAATATAACCACTAAAACAACAATGAAATACATAACTGAGCTTGAGAGAAATAAAAATTTCTGTTATGAGAAAAAAAAAAAAAAAAGCTGGGGATGGTAGAGTGGGGGGTAGGGAGAGACTCAAAGCCAGAAGCCTGAATATATGCCCTGGCAGCTGGTAGCCAGGGTTTTAATGCCCACATAGGGACAAGACATGTGCTCTTGCATCTGCAGTGCAGGGGCTACAACTGGGATTTCTGCTAATTCCAGGACATAAAGTCCTATAAAAGCTACATGGTCAGCGAAAAGGAGCCAGAAAAGTTTAGTCTGTCAGACTGGACAAGTACCAAAGTAGTTTGTTGTCTGCCCTGAGCTCTAGAGAGAGAAAAAGTATTCTCCTGGGAGAAATCTAAACCCAAAGTTGCATAGCTGGTGAGTGTAGGGTCTAAATTTCCATTGCCTTTGTGGTAAGAGAATCCCAAGCTGAGAAACTTAGATAAAAGCTAGTCTACATATATATATATACACACACGCATACACAGACACATATTTGATGAATGACTGGTAACTAGAATATATAAAGAACACCTGTAAATCAATAAGAAAAAAAAGAAAGACTATATAATTTTTAAATGGGCAAAACTAAACAGCCTCTTTGAAGACAGGATTTCCAAATGACCTTATAAAACATTCTTATAAAAAGTTACTCAGTTGCATGCACAATCAAGGAAATGTAAATTAAAACTACAGTGTTGGGGATGGGCACAGTGGCTCATGCCTGTAATCCCAACACTTTGGGAGGCCGAGGTGCAAGTATCAGTTGAGCCCAGGAGTTTGAGACCAGGCTGGGCAACATAGAGAGACTCTGTCTCCACAAAAAATCAAAAAATCTTATCTGTATATAGTAGCACAAGCCTGTGGTCCCAGCTACTCAGGAGGCTGAAGTGAGAGGATTGCTTGAGCTTGGGAGGCCTCTTCGCTCTAGCCTGGGCACAGAGCAGGACCCTGTTTCCAAAAAATAAATAAATACATAAAACTACAATGAGACACTGCATACTTACTAAAATGAAACCAACAGAAAATAAAATGTTGGTAAGACTGTAAACACATGAATATAAATAAGTATTGACTGCAAAAAGCAATAAAAAGTTGCTTTTCCTCTATACTAATGAATAACTATAATATATAATGCCCAGCTACATGACCAGAAACCTCCAAATGATCCTTCCTTTCTCTTTCCTTCACCTCTTACATCCAATCAATATATCAAGCCCTATTCATTTTATCTCTTGAAACATCACTGGTATCTGCCCCCTTCTTTTGATTCCCCACACTTACTTGGTTTGTCCATCATCTCTCACCTGCATTACTGCATATTCTCTTAGCTAGTCACTCTGTCAAATACTAGCATGATTTTATAGCACTCCTCTGCTTAAAATCTTTCAACAGTTTCTCATTGCCAAACTCTTTGTCATGACATGGCATATACGACTTCTATGATCTGGTCTCAGAAACTTCCTGACCTGGCCCATGTCACACCCTATGATCTGGCCATACTGAACTGCTTGTAGTTCTTTAAATGGGCTGTTACTTCACTCTTCCCATGTCTTTTTTAACATCACAAGCTCTGCTGAAATGTCTTTGTTCAGCTTGTGAGCACCTACTCATTTTTTAGCATTCAGCTCAATTGCCACCTCCTCTTTGAAATGTTTTTCTGACTTTATTCTCATGTAAAATTGATTATTCCCTTCTCTGCATTTCCCCTTTCCTAAACATCAAAAAGCTTAGGACCAGCTGGCGCGGTGGCTCACGCCTGTAATCCCAGCACTTTGGGAGGCTGAGGCGGGCAGATCACGAGGTCAGGAGTTTGAGACCAGACTGGCTAACATGGTGAAACCCCATCTCTACTAAAAATACAAAAATTAGCTGGGCGCGGTGGTGGGCACCTGTAATTCCAGCTACTCCAGAGACTGACGCAGGAGAATTGCTTGAACCCGGGAGGCGGAGGTTGCAGTGAGCAAGATCGCGCCACTGCACTCCAGCCTGGGTGACAGAGCAAGACTCCATCTCGGGAGAAAAGTTAAAAAAAAAAAAAGCTTAGGACCAAGACTAATTAATCTTTGTATCCATAGTCTGGCACCATAGTATGTGCTCAGTAAGTATTCCACGAAAGAATACATGAAATTTGAGATACAAAAATTTAAGTAGTCTATCAGCAAATACATCTATTTTAGGGATGAAAACACAATCTAAATGTTCTCTTCATGGGTTTTCCAATTCTCTCAATTCACAGTATTATTTAAAATTCCAAAATAACTGCTTGTGTATATGTTGACTGCACTAATACTGAGAATTTGTAGGCTGCATTCTTTGGTGTACAAGCAGACTCCTTTAAAACATTGAAATTTTAACTGGCTTGTCTTTGACATTTTCTAAATATATCTAAAATGTCAGAGCCAGCATTTGGGGCCTACAAATCTTTTGAGTGAAAGCCCAGGCCTTCAAATTATGTGCCATTCACAGGTTTAAAATAGGAACATGTGCTATGTTGACTATGAGCTATTTGGAGACTTTGAGGACATTAGGAGAAAATAATTTTATTTTTGGGAGAAATATTGGAGGTAAGAATTCTGAGAGATAACCTACTTAAAATCTGAATATTAAACACACACACACATGCACACACACACACACACAACTTTATCACTCTCAAATCCCAAGAATGTCAGTAAGAGTCCAATAGGCAGTCTAGGGTCAGTATAAACCATGAGAAATTTGGACTAAACATGGGAAGATATGTTCATTTGAAGTGGATGAAATATTTGCAGTGAAAGGAGAAAAATAAGTTTGCAGCAGTTTCTTCAAGTTATAAGAAAAGACGTGTATCTAATTTCCTCTTCCTCATTTACTAGCAAATTATATTTATTTCATGTTGTTTTAGAAATGACATCAATATTGTGATTTTTCCTTATGTTCTTATCCCAAGCACTGCTTTCATGTTTGTTTGAGGAAAGAGTAGAAACACAGTTTTAGTTGATTTTGATATAGTCAGATTGTACAGGAAACTTGAAGTTTACTGAGCAACATCCACAGATCAAAAACTTTTTAGAATTTAAGAGATCCAAAAAACTTTAGTCCCCCAGGATTCACTTTCTTACTGAAATGACTAGATGGCTGAATATACCAAATTGGAAACTGCAGATAAGCAACAAAAGGATAGCCCCTCTGGTGAAAGAAATGTAGGTATTTAACTAGATATGTAGACTGAGCATATGGTGATTGGAGGTGCACTCATTTTCCACGACTGAACTGTTCTGAATTCAAAGGACTGTAGATTCTGAAGAACTGTACAGAACTGTATGGTGGAGGTAAAGTCACAATTTCACAAAGGAATCTACAGATTTTGATATATAAGTGAATGTCACCATGATTTTCTACACCTGACTTTGGAGAACAAACCCGAACATATGTCTAACCTGTGGGCCATCTACCTCATTATTGTGGTTTGGTTTCAAAGTACTACATATTGACTGAACATTTGCTGCATTCCAAGCCTGGGCTAAGCACTTTACATGTATTTTCTCCTTCAAGAAAAACTAATTAAACTAATAGTAAATGATGCCCACACGAAAGATGCTGTATCCCTGGAATTTTAGTGACAAATATAGGAACCTCAGAACTATGTTGAAATGCTGGCAACACGTGGATCTACCTGATTCTGAGAAATATACTCTATTTCATGAAACTTCTATAGGCTTGTGAGTCTGATTAGGTTCAGCTATACATAACACAGTACAAAACAGCAATGTCTTTATACAACATAGAAGTTTGTTTCTTGGCTGGGTATGGTGGCTCACACCTGTAATCCCAGCACTTTGGGAGGCTGAGGAGGAGGATTGCTTGGGCCCAGGAGTTCAAGACCAGCCTGGGCAATATAGCAAGACTCTGTCTCTATTTTTTTAATATAAAAAATTTTAAAAAATAAAAACAAAACAAGTTTGTTTCTCACTTAAAAGAAGTCAGGAGGTAGAGTCCAGAGCTGGTATGTCAGCTCCATGGTCATTAGGGACATAGATTTCTTCCTTATTTCTGCTTCTCCATTCAAGCTTTTTATTCTTAAGATTTCATTTTATCTCCACTATTGACTTCTTAGCCACATCTGTTTTTTTCATTTTGACGACTGCTCTAAGGTTTAGCTTATGCATTTTTAACTCATCACGATTTACCTTCAAATAATAGTATAATACTTCATGTGTAATATAAGACCTTTCTATATAATTCCACTTCTTCCTTCCATCTTTTGAGCTATTGTTATCAAACTTTACATGTTTGAAGACTTCAGCTAGAATTTTGTCCCTTATATATAAATGCTGACAGAAATCTTTAATTATGAACCTGATAATACAGTCTTGTCATTTTTATTTTAAAGTCAGTTATCTTTTTTCAAAAAATTTTAAGTCAGGGGGAGAAGTTTTTTATAATTACTCATATATTTATCATTTCTGGCACTCTTCATTCTTTAATATAAATCCAAGTTTCCAAGAAGTTGCTTTAACATTTCTTGAGGTGCAGTTCTGCTGGTGACATCCTCACAGCTTTTGTTGTCTTAAACTTCATTTTTGAAAGATTATTTTCTCTAACTATAGGATTCTATGTGTCAGGGTGTTTGTTTGTTTGTTTTGAGACAAGGTCTCGCTCTGTCACCTAGGCTGCAGTGCAGTGGCGCATTCACAGCTCACTGCAGCTTCGACCTTCTGGGCTCAAGCGATCCTCCCACTTCAACCTCCGGAGTAGCTGGGACTACTGGCGTATGCCACCACGCCCAGCTAATTTTTGTATTTTTTTTGTAGAGACGGGGTTTTGCCATGTTGGCCAGGCTGGTCTCAAACTCCTGAGCTCAAGGGATTCACCCGCCTTGGCCTCCCAGAATTCTAGGATTATAGGCTTGAGCCACCATGCCAGGCAGGTTTTTTTTTCAGCACTTTGGAAATGCCTTTTCATGGTCTTCTGACTTGCACAGTTTCTGATTAGAAGTCTACTGATATTTGGCCGGGCGCGGTGGCTCATTTCTGTAACTCAGCACTTTGGGAGGCCGAGGTGGGAGGATCACAAGGTCAGGAGATCGAGACCATCCTGGCTAACACGATGAAACCCCGTCTCTACTAAAAATACAAAAAATTAGCCGGGCGTGGTGGCGGGCGCCTGTAGTCCCAGCTACTCCAGAGGCTGAGGCAGAAGAATGGCGTGAGCCCGGGAGGCGGAGCTTGCAGTGAGCCGAGATCGCACCACTGCACTTCAGCCTGGGCGACAGAGCAAGACTCCACCTCAAAAAAAAAAAAAAAAAAAAAAAGGTCTGCTGATATTTTGTGTTTATTCCTCTATACATAATTTGCCTTTTTCCTCTGGCTGCTTTTAATATTTTCTTATTATTGGTTTTCAACAATTTAATAGTGACGTATTTTGCAGTGGTTTTTGGGAGTGTGTGTTTACTCTGCTTAGGGGTCATTGAGCTGCTTGAATCTGTGGGTTTATAATTTTCATCAAACGTGAAAATATTTTCAGCTATATTACTTCAAATAATTTTTCTGTCACCCCTCTGACCCATCTTTCATCTGGAACTCCAATTACACAAATATTAGACACTTGGTATTATCCCATAGATCACTGAGACTCTGTTTTGGGGGGTATTTTTTCATTTTTTTTCTTTGTGTGCTTTCTTTTGGCTAGCTTCTACTGCTATGTCTTCAAGTACACTAATCTTTTCTTCTGAGTGTCTAATTTGCTCTGTGCCTAATCTGCCTCTGAGTGTTAATCCCATCCAGTGAAATTATTTCAGAAATTGTCATTTTAATTTCTAGAAATTCCATTTTTTATATCTTTGATTTCTCTCTTTCAGCATACTGAGCATACTTATTGTAATTGTTTCAACATTGTTGACTGCTAATTCTATCATCTCTGTCATTTGTGGCTTTATGTTGACTGACTCTCCTCCTGGTTGTAGATTACTTTCCTGCTTCCTTGTTATGTCCTAGTTCTCTTGCTACTTCCCAGGCATTTTCACGATCTTCCTGCCTACACCTTAAGTGCTGATGTTCTCTAAGGTGCTATTATTGACTCCTTTTTCTGCTGTGCATACTCTCCATGGGTGATCTCATCCATTGCCATAATTTCAACAGCCATTTATATGATGGTATATTCCAGTTATATCTTCTGCTGCCCAAATCTGTCTCCAGGGCACAAGAGTCATGTACATAACTGATCACTAGCTCATAAACACACAATCCAAAAATCTGGGATCCATCATTGGCTTCTTCCTTGCAGTAGACACTGTGGTCCACTTCTCAGACTCCATGCTTCTTTTTCTGAGTAATCAGCTCAATTTTCACTGGGATATTTGCACCTCCTCATCACAGCTTTGGTAGAAGCTGACTTCTATGGCTCTAAGGGTACGCACATGTCTTCATCCTAAGATAATTATCCTTGTGCCATCTCCTGGCAGCCATTTTTGGTTTATGTAGGGACATGTGACTAAATCATTGAGGCTTCTGGGAAAGGAGTTTTCTTTCCTTTACAAAAGAGCTTCCAAAAGTGAATCTTTTTCTTATTTCTTCTTGGACCTAAATAGCGAAACTTAAAGCTACACAAGTTGTTGGCAACCGTCATTTGACAATAAAGCTAACAATAAAGCAATTAAAATGAGGGAAAAAAAGTGCCTTTAATGACATCTCTGATTTGTTGAATCAGTCATCCCTATAGACTGCCTTTTTCCTGAACTTTCTAGCTAGATGGTTCAATAAATCTCCTTTATTGGTTAAGCCAGTTAGAGCTGGGTTTTCTGCTGCTTTCAACCACAAGCATCATAATTCATAACTTTACTTTTCCCTTCACCCCCAAACCTAGGCAATTAGTCACTATGTTCTATATTCTATCCCCTGAATAGTGTCTGATTACCCTCAGTTTTCTCTTCTGCCACTGCCTTACCTTAGTTCAGTCTCTCATGGTTTTTTCCCCTGTAATACTGTAACAGGTCCCATACATACCACACTCCATAGAGTGATCTTTCTAAAATGCCTATCTTATCAAAATTCCATCTGCTTACAATCCTTGTGTGGCTTCCCATTGTTTCCAGGAAAAGGTTCATGTTCCTTAGCATATTGTGCAAGATTCTTCATTACCTAAGCTGTCTCCCTTACCTTTTTCAGTGTCTCCTCTTGCCACTCCCCCAACTCCATTCTACTGCCAGCAATGCAACTATTTGCTGAACCAAAATACGTTTGGGTCTCACACCTTTAGGTATTTGTGCTTGATGCTCTCCCCAACACCACCCCCAATGCTCTCACCCACCTCTCTCTTCCTCCTCCCCTACCAAAATACACAAACATGTTAATTCCTAGTTATCTCAAGTGATCTTTGAAGCATTTCCTGATTTTGCCCACATCTGTGGGTAGCTTTGCATTTTCCTATTGTAGTACTTCTCAAATTAAGTCTATTTACCTGTCTCCTCCTTTGCATAGTAAGCACTCTGAAAATAAGAATGTTTCTTTTACATTTTTGTATCTCTATTTCTGGGGCTCAAAACAGTGCCTAGCACAAGTAGACACTCAACAAGCATTTTTTGAATGAGTGTATAATTATATAGTCTGTAGATATAAGGATTTCTGATCTTGAGACTCTCTGAAAGCCTTGCTCCAAAAGTGTGTCTGATTCCTAAGCATTAATCTTTTTCTTCCAGGGTGTGGGGTTCTAGGTAGGTGGAGAAGGAAAACAAAAGCGCTCAGGACGCGTTGCCTTTAGCTCTCCGGAGAGCCAGTAATGTGTCCTGCCTTTCTCCACCCTCCTCCCTACCACCTTTCCACACCTGGGTGCCCAAGATGGGTGTAGACTTAGCTGACCAGCCCAACAACATACTCATACCTTGGTTCAGACTTCTCTTATTACCAAACTAAAGTTGGCCAATACACATAAACAATTTTCAACTTGTCTTTTGAACGTATACTTTATGAAATTTGTATGTCTTAAAAATTGTAGGCCTTAAAATGAACGAACCCGGATTCTTTTATAGTAATCAAGTAAAATATAGGGGTCTTAATTCTGTACTTTGCCTTTGCTAATCTTAAAGTTAGATGTGACTAACTGAGCAAAGTAATTAATTACGGGACTTTGATAGTGGTGATATTCCTAAGTTTTATAACCTAATTGTTCAATTACTGGAAACAACTACATTTCGACAAGTCTTAGGTAAAGAAAATTGAATTTAGCCGGAGAAGATTCAATTGAGGGAAGTGAGGGACAGAGGTATTTGTGATTTAGGGTTTGTGGAAGATAAATTACGCAGCAGGGAAGACTGAAATATGGAGAGAAAGTCAGACCTCACTGGGTACTTATGACTGGTAAGGCTAGGAGTTGGAGGTGGAGAAAAGTAGGAAGGACCGTCTAAGGGTTGGATCCCCAACAACACCATAATACAAGACCGTCCTTGTTCAGCCAACAGCAGCACTGAACACGTTCGCTAAGTGTGTCGGTGACCATGGTAACGGTGGGAGGGGGCGGTCCAAACCTCGCCCTCGAGCATGCTCAGTGCAGAGCGAGCCTGGTAGGGTGCTGGACAACAATGAATCCCTTTTTTCTTCAACCGGAGAACTACAATTCCCAAGAGCCTTCTCGGTGCGGCGACACCGCCTTCCGCTGTGGCCCTGCCCGGTCCCCTCCCTCAGGCCCCGCCCCCCGGCTAGACCCCTCCCCTCCTTGCGAGTGTATGTCAGTGACCCAGAGGCGGTGTGAGGCGGAGGGACCGTCGGGGGGCGCCGCCGCCGCCTCCACTAGCAGCAGCGGCAGCAGCCCTAGTCCCGCGGTGCGGTCGAATTGGTCCCCAGCCCTCCGGGAGCGCACCACAAAGCAGCCCCAACGCCTCTCCCTGCGTCCGCGGCTCCTCAGCGCTCGGCTCCGTGGTCAACTTCCCCTCGCTGGGCTCGGCTGGCGGGCGCGGAGGGCAGCGGCGGAACGGCGGGCTGTCTGCTCGCGCTCCCCGCGCACAACACTTCACCCTCTCGCCTCGGGTCTCGGGGGCCGCTCTGGGATCCCGGCCACCAGCAATTGTCCGGTAAGTGTGACCGCGGGGCGCCGCGGGATGGATGGCGGCGGGGCCGCCGAGGGGCGCGGGGAGGGCGGGCGCGCAACTTCCTCGGCGGCTTCCCCGGCGGCCAGCAGCCGGCTCTCCCCGCCCGCCTGCGCGCCCCCGCTGCGGCGGGGAGCGGAGTTTGCGGCGCCTGCATCCCGCGCCCTGGCTCGAGGAAGCGCCTTTGTCAGGAACCGGCCCTACGCGGCCTCCCCCTCCGCCCGGGAGCGGGGCGCGCGGCGGCCAACTCCGAGCCCCGCGCCTGGCTGGCCGCGCGCTCCGGCTGCGAGAGGGGAGCTCTGCGGGTGGCGGGGAGGAGAGGGAAATGGGAGAAACAAAAGGGGCGGTGGGTTTCCCTTTTGTTTGTGCGGATCTGATAACTTCTTTTCCTCCCTTACATAACGCAGACTTCAAGTTAGTCATTCTTTTTATTGTTATGATTGTTGTCATCATCTCTGCGCGTCTTTCACATTTCCTTTCATCTTTGGATCTCAGAGCATTTTAAACACGCTAATTAATTTCACCCCCGGGTCCCCTAGGAAACAAGTTAATACGCCCGTTTCCCTAAGTGGGTAAACTGAGGTCGTGAAAAGCTCTCAAATTGATGGATACGCTTGATCTTCTACCGCGCCTCGTGTCTGAGTATATGAAAGCGTTTATGAGGAAGAACCCGTTCTCCAAAGCCCCGTGGAAAAGTTAAAGATGCTCATTTTACTTACAGGTTAACTGAAGTCCAAAAGATGTCTAGGTAATTGTTACGTAGTTCAAACCATAATTCTTCTTACATAGTGTTTGAATCTTAAAACCTCTAAAGACTTAGTGAAAAATGCTCCGAGTAGGGAAATTAATGTAAATCATAAACTCACGTCACCATCTACTTTTATTTTTGTACGTGCAGGTCTGTTAGAGGCAAGAGAGCAAGAAGGGGACAGAGGGCAGAGGTTTTTTAAAAATGTACATTTAACAGATTTTAATCACTACACACAAGGAAATGTGCCTTGGTTTTAACAGCACCAACAATATTCCTGTCGTTTAGTCATCAAACAGTATATCAACAAATGTTATTGAGAACTTTATTCATAAGGTGCTGGTTGTGCTAAAAACTGAAGCTTTATATATAAGAAAAGGTCATCTGTTTCGGTTCACAGGCTCTTTACTTTTTCTTACTCTGCAAAATGTTACTTTGTTTTCATTGCACATGATCTTTTGTTTCAGAAATGGCATTGTCCTTTACTGTGTCGAATATGTATTACTCTTACACTTAAGGATAAATGAATTTATTATTAAGTTTTCATAATAGGGTGAATTTAAAATATTTTAATTGTGGTAAAGGTTCACTTTATTCAGTTCTGTTTCAGTTTACGATGCGTTTTCTTTATAGCCAACAAAATATTTTCTGAGTGATAAGATTTACATGTCTCAAAACATTGTTCTTAGTGTACAAATACAGCATATGAATTCCTTGTTTTTTTTATTTATACCAACAACCTCTTCTGGGGAAAAGTCTTTAACTCTGAGGACCTTATTTATTTTGTGAGTTTTTATTTCTTCGGTACCATACTGGAAAGCACCAAAAATTTAAACCAAGCATCACTTCTACTAGCTCTTTCCTCAGGTAAATAATAATCAGAACTGTAGTAATAGTGAATAGTTTCACTTACTCTAAATTCTCTTAAATTTAATTTTGTACTATATAGTTGTCCTTACATTTTAGATTTTGGTGGTTGCATCAGAAAATGAAAGTGAGATGTTCGTTATTTTATTTTTTTTCCCAAAGCCTTCTAACCTGTTCCCTTTCTATAGTATGTTAAAAGAGATCTTGAGTTTAAAATAAATAATTGGAAAGTAGAACAGTTATATGTATGGAAAGTTGCATGTAGTGAAGTGGTTATAGTGTCTCATGTAGTGAATGTACAGGTTTTAAAGAGGAAACTATCACCTAGCTTTTTATTAGCATGGTAGAAGTGCTGTAATGTAATAGTAGTAGTATTTATTTGCTTCTAAAAAGTAAGCTGGAAATTTGCCTCAGTGGAATTTGTAGGGGGAGGGAATCCATTCTTTCCTTAAGATTGGCATTTAAATGTTCTTACAGTTGGTTATGTTGAACTTTTTCTGTGGTATTTTCAAGCCAGATTTACCAGGAACATTTGTACTTCAAGGAAGCTACTAACACTGTCTTGGCTCAGTCACTGGAATCCACAGGCAGAAGTTAGTGTTGACTGGCAAAGTCTGGCTTTGCAGGTTTCATAATTTCTTTGAGACCCCTTAAAGGAAATGACTGAAAAGTACGGGGTAGGAAGTTAGTCTAGTACTGCCAAATGCCACTGAGGCAAGTTTCAAAGGGGAAGCCAAAGGATGTTTCCATTTGATTTAAGTTCAGCCTCTTCTGGGTTGTCAGAATGTCACTTTTGTATTTTAAGAGTTCTATCATTTCAGAATATGATGTATTATGGTTTTCTAGTAGGTCAGGTGGTAAGGACTGTAGATAGTCATTATGCTTCGTGGACAACTAATGTTTTTAGGCAGAAGCTTCTATAGCTGATAAAGATTTTAAGCCAAAGACTTAGAATTGAAAACTAATATATACATACACATTTTACCATAATACATCAATGTAGACCTATCCTAGTATTTATTAGGTTAGAAAGGCTTTTTGGATTATTTTATTATACAGATATATTTAACTGTAAATATTAAAATTTCATAATGACTAATATATGATGGCACTGAGGTGGCTTTAGGAGCTCCTTTGGGGTGGGGGCGGGAAACATGTTATTCCAAAAGTTACATTTATGTCTTTGAGGACAGTAAAGCAGATTTAAAAGCCAGTGAGAAAAGGAAGAAAATCAGCAAAGTGAAGAAAACCTGATGAAGATGTTTTTAAATAATACAATGTAAAGATTGTTGGCAGCATTTATATATAAGGGACAAAATTCTAGTTGAAGTCTATAAACAGTGAATTCCACTTAGCACTTTCTGTTTATAGATTTCTAGCCATCTTTTCCAGATTCCCTCTGAATATATTACACAGGCAAAGTAAATAGAAGTCATTCTTTCAAGGGATTTGGGTTCTTGGAGATTTTTTTACACTTGTGGTAGTGGGGGAGGGGAAGTGCTTATTATATTTTCTTAGTTTTAAGTGTGACCTGTGCCATAGAATATTTCCCTAGACTAATGTGTGGGAACCTCAAGACAAGAATTATTGGTCATTGAAAGATCTGGATATGATTTCAAGTTCTGCCCCTAGGTTTTTTTTTGTTTGTTTGTTTTTTTTTTTTGCATGTTGTCTTGAGTAGATCACTTCTATTTTTCCTTCAAAGGCTGAAAATAACTGCCTAACATACTATGTTTAGTAGGTCCTAAATACTTTTTGTTGTTTAATGAATTTACAGGTAATAAAGAGAAAGCACAGTGTTTCTTGAATGGATGTCAGGGAATTTCTAATTTTTTTCTTTTTTGATAGAAAAAAGTAATCAAAACATAAACATCTGATTGGAGTCTTTCAGTTAGCTTACCTACCTTCAGAAATAAGCCTAGAGAAAGAGAGCTTCATCTGGTAGTTTAACAGAAATGAATTGTAAATGACTCTTAAGAAGAATTGACAATTTTTCGGAATGTTGTACTAGATGTTTTAGATTCTTTTTGCCACATAAACTCCACTTCAGAGAAATGGGGTTCTACATAGTACTCTTGTATCGCCCCTGTAATACCTTTACACCTCAAAATACCAGTTGCAGAAAAATAGAATGTGTTGCTGATGCCTATAAATGGGAAAATCCTGACATCTGTCTTCATCCTCCAGTTAATCTTCATGTAGTTTTTAAAAAAATTAATTCAACACACATGTAATTTACTTCCTTTTCAGAAAATTTGTTGCTAATTTTTATTTTATAATGAGCCTCTTGGGATGTTGCTAATTCTAAAAATATGTAATACCCGCGGTTTCCCACCATCTTCTGCAGTTTCTTTTTCTATTATTTTTTTGGCTACAGTTTTCTTTTTCCCCTAAGCTGTCTAAAATAAGCTAAGAAATGTTTAAATGTAGTTGACAAGAAACACAGTCAGTAATTTATCATGCTAAAATTTCAACATACAAGGTGCAATGAAATCTGTTTTAGGGATAGTACACTTTTGAAGGGGGCTAAAGCAGGGACAGCAAATAAATTTCGTTTGGGGTACCAAATCTGATTGTTTAGTGGTGGCTGCCTAGAGTGCTGTGTTTAGAAAACTGGGAGTCCTTGTTCAAACTTAGCAGGAAAGAGTACTGTGATTAGCAATTTCTGCTGTTGGTGAGCGGTGGACTTTTGGCATGGATGCCAAATACATTCAGTGTTTATTGATGCCGTTTACATGTCACAGGTCTAGATGCTGATACCTCATAGACTAAAATCTCTGCTTTCATGGTGTTTACATTCTAGTAATAAGACACAAACCATAAAATAAATAAAATACATTGCGTTTTAAGAAAAATGGCTGGGCGCAGTTGCTGACACCTGTAATCCTAGCACCTTGAGAGGCTGAGGTGGGAAGATCCCTCTTGTCCAGGAGTTCAAGACCAGCCTGGGCAACGTGGTGAGACCTTGTCTCTACAAAGAAGTTTCTTAAAAAATTAACTGGACGTGGTCCCAACTACTCGGGAAGCTGAGGTGGGAAGATCACTTAAGCCTGGGAGATTGAGGCTGCAGTGAACCATGATTGCACCACTGCACTCCAGCCTGGGCAACAGAGCGAGACCCTGCCTCAAAACAATAGAAGTTAAAAAATAAATAAAAGAAAAATGACCTGATTTATTCAAAAAATTAATAGCAAGAAATAGGGAGGGAGAACTATAAGATTAAAAGAGACTTAAGAGGCTTTTCCACCAAATGCAATGTATGAAGCTTAGTTCTATCCTGCTTTGAGCAAACTAACTGTAAAAAGACATTTATTCAAAATTGGGGAAATTTAGACTCTGGATATTTAATGAAAAGGATTTGTCCATTTTTTCAGGTGTGAGAATGTACTTTTTAAGTGTTCTTTTAGAGATGTATAATGAAGTGTTTACAACTTAAAATGTGATGTGTGGGTTTTTACTTCAAAATATTGAAAGGGAGAGGAACATAGATGAAACAAGATTGGCCATATATTGAAAATTGCTGAAGGTAGATGCTATATGGATACATGAGGTTTCTTACTTCCTCTTTATTTTTGTGTATGTTTGAAATTTCCCCTAATAAACAGTTTTACACACAAACAGGAAAATAAAGCAGGGAAGGGGAAGGGAGAATAAATGGGATATGTGTATGAGGTTCGGAGGAGGATGCAGTTTTTTGCTTTTTGTTTCTTGTTTTTTGTTTTTGAGATGGAGTTCTGCTCTCATCACCCAGGCTGGAGTGCAGTGGGGCGATCTCAGGTCACTGCAAATTCTGTTTCCTGGGTTCAAGTGGTTCTCCTACCTCAGCCTCCTGAGTAGCTGGGATTACAGGCACACGCCACCACGCCCAGTAGAGTTTTGTATTTTTAGTAGAGACAGGGTTTCACCATGTTGGCCGGACCGGTCTGAAACTCCTGACCTCAGGTGATCACCTACCTCCGCCTCCCAAAGTGCTGGGATTACAGGTGGGAGCCACCACACCTGGCCAAGATGCAGTTTTAAAGGGTAGTGAGAAAAGACTTCATTGAGAAGATGATAAATAGTTAAAGTGAGTAATGACCTGAAGGAGGTAGCACAGCAAGCCTTGCAGGTCTCCTTGGAGCAAGACATTATACACAGAGGGAATAGTAAGTGCAGTGGCCCTGAGATGGGAGCGTGCCTACAACTGCAAGAAACTACAAGAAGACAAGGGTGTGAGCCAGGCATAGTGGCTTGCACCTGTAGTGCCAGCTACTCAAGAAGCTGAGGTGGGAGGATCATTTGAGCCCAGGAGTTCCAGACCAGTCTGAGCAGCATAACCAGATCCTGTCTAAAAAAAACAAAACAAAACAAAAAAAACTAGCGTAACTAGATCAGGGTGAGCGTGAGTACATAAAATCAGCATCAGCATGGGAAAGGAAGGTTAGAGAAGACTAAATTGTGTAGGGCTGGTTATCCATCTTTAAAGGAAAAATATTTTATACACTTATCTAAAATAAGTCTTATACTTTAGAGTAGTCACCATGGAAGCTATACACTTAACAATACTAGCATTACTCAATATTTTTAGAAAAAAAAATTTTTTTTGTCGTCTAAGCCAGTTTAAGAGCCACACGTGAAAATAGCTCATTACTTTGTATTTGCTCCTTGTTTTTAAGGAAAAAAGGGGTGATTGGCCACGTGATATTTCATGTTATTTATCAGATATGACTCACAGAGGATCTTGACAGAAAGAAAATGGGAAGTAACTTGAGGCTATTTCTAAAAATCAGATCCAGTCTGAGAAGGCAGTTATTGTTTGTAAAAGTCAGATCCACCCATAGACTAAAAAGGAATTTTAATAATGTTGTGGATAATTGTAGCATCATTTGGAATAAGGGTATATAACCTCTGAGAGTGACTAGTATGGAAGGCACCATACTAATTTGGATATTTTAAGGTCTCACAAAATGCGCACACACACACACACATACAAGATCATATACAATTCTTAATACTAAGTATCAAAACAGTAATTTCAGGTAAATTTCATTTATATTCTGCATTCAAGACTAAAGGGATGGTATTTAAAACACAGTGAAATTGTTTAAGTCTTGTCGCTATGGCATACACTTGGGGAAGGAACTAAAAGACTAACACATGTTAGTGTTAAGAGATGAATCTGGTTCTTAAGTCTTCTTATATTCATGCTTCATTTCTCAGATTAGTAGTTGTTTTGAGAACATTCTGATTTACCATAAGAACTGTTTTTATTAAAAAAGGCATAGGAAAAATTGGATCTCATCTAAATGTTTAAATGCCCCCAAAAACCTCAATAAATATGGATTGTAAAAATCTACTCTCAGGACAATATACATGTAGGATTACTAATTTTGAACAATTACTATACTAGTTCATTCTTTAGAGGTACAGTTTTTCCAACCTGAGAAACTAAACATTTCAGTGATTTTTACTCTCCTGATAATATTGAGTAAAGAAAGCCATTCTTTTTCTTGTTATTTATGTCCAATGGTGGGGGAGCACAACGTTTTCATTTGTTTTGTTTTGTTTTTGAGACAGAGCCTTGCTCTGTCACCAGGTTGGAGTGCAGTGGCACAATCTCGGCTCACTGCAACCTCCACCTCCTGAGTTCAAGTGATTCCCCTGCCTCAGCCTCCCAAGTAGCTGGGATTATAGGCGCACACCACTACGCCCAGCTAAATGTTTGTATTTTAGTAGAGACAGGGTTTCACCATGTTGGCAAGGATGGGCTTGATCTCCTGACCTCGTGATCCACTGCCTCAGCCTCCCAGAGTGCTGGAATTACAGGCGTGAGCCGCCGCGCCCAGCCTCATTTGTATTTTTAACCAATCATTTAAAATGTAATGCCATGAAGTAGAACTTATGAACTTTTATTATGTAGTTAATTACATAGTGACCACTAAGAATATAAGTATATAACTGTGTAAGGAATACTTTAACAAAGCTTCCTATTTTAAACATTTTTCAGTAAATTGTTAGGAATCTAGTTCTTTAATTCACTCAGAGTTTTTGTCCCTTTAGTGTGTGTAGATGTATGTATGCATGTGTATGTATAGATAGCCAGACTCTCTTACCATATACTGCACATACTATCAGGGCTGAGCTGCTAGACTAGATTATTTAACGTATTTTAAACACTAGTTTGTTAACATGGAACAACTGAGCCCATATTTAATTCCTGGGCTTTCCATTAACTCTGAAAGTCTTTTAAAACCTTTGATTCATCTAAAAAAAAAAAGTGGCAGTGGTTTTTCATAAAGATCTTTGAACTTCTATGATGATGACCATACTGAAGTGTAACTTATTTTAGAAAGCTTTCATTCAGGCTGTTGATTTGCTGGTAAGATCATGAATCTGTTTTTCATTTCCATTTTTGTGGAATAAATGAATAACTTCTGACGGAAGAGAAAGAGAGGGAAGGCAGCAAGAGAAGGAAGGAAAGGAAGAAATTGGATCTCACAAAATAGTAAATATAAGTATGGATAATTCTCTGAACTTGGATGTGCTTAAGTGTCTATGACCTAATGAGCTAAGGCTCAGATGTGTAAATTAAGTAGAGAATAGAAGTAATAATACACCTTGCATTTGAAGAGAAGTTATTGCTTTGCAAAAGTGCATCTTACATTTCATGTTGACTTAAACCTTATGACCATGATAAAATCTATACTTAATTTTGGAAATAATAATGAGTAACAATAATTGAGAGATTATTTGAAAATTCAATCTATTAAGCTTTGTAGATTTTTACAGCAACAGGTTCAAGGTTATTCTTCTCAGCTTGTGCATTGCAAGATACTTGTAATTTCCTGCCTGTCTCACTTTCATCTATTCATTACTCTGCCAATAGCTCTCTTTATCATCCTTTGCCAGCTTTAGTCATGCCTATTGCTCTTCAACAGCGTTTTCTATGTTTGTCTGCCATTTTTATACTTATAAAGTAGACTTGGAATGAATTAAGGTTATAAAGTAGTAACCTGTGGATGGCAAGTACAATACTTTTCCTATTTGTGCCATACTTAATCTTTTTAAACTTTCCTTGCCTATTTCTGGTGTGTGCCTTGGTGGAGATCTCTCATCAGACACTAAGAGATAACTACATGACCTGTAGGATGCAATACTTTTTTAACTCAATAATGTAGGAAACAGTAGGAAACAGTTTGAGTTTAAACTCAAACTCATTGAGTTAATCCTGCATCCATCCAGAACCTACATACCTAAACTAGCAAAGTTTGATAGTAAAATTAACAGCCTAGTGGAATTTCAAAAACTATTTTCAGCTCTTGATGTTTGTTGTCTTTTCTAAAAATGTCAAACAATTGGGGACCTCATCATTACTGTAATACTAACCATATATGACCTTAGGGGAAAACTGTACTTCTGTTGAGCATCTCTTTGACAGTCAAGAGGAAAAGATAAAAAGATAAGTAATGTGGTAAAGAAGGTTATAACTTCTTCCTTCCACAAGAATGAATTATGAAGTGACTGGCCCTGATATTTTTCTAGTAACTCATTGTAGTGCTCAACATATCATTTGGCTTAATCTTTAGAAGGCACAGTTTAATTTTATTTTTTAACAATAAGTGAAAACAATTGAAAGTGCTTTGTTGGTTTTTCAAAACTTTAATGTTGAATTCCTGGTTCTTGGCAGATACTATCCGTAGTATTTCATGTTCCTCTGGGTTTATTTCAGATTTAATGAACTGCATGTACTGGAAGCACTAAAAGCTGATTGGCTTTAATTTAGACTACAGTTAGCATGATGGATTTTTCTTTGAATTGTTCTCACTGTCATTCTTTAAATTTACCATCAAAGGATCAAAACATCCAAATTACAAAACTAAGTTTATCATTCATGAGAAAATGTGTTAAATACGTATCTTTTGTAAAGTAGCGGCTGCTTCTAATTAGAAACCGGTCCTATAGACATACCTTATGTATCAAAAAGCTTTTTAAATATACTTACTGCTTTACTGTTACTTTCATTTAAAATAGGATGATTCAGTTTCTGAACTAGCCCTGTCTGTTCTCCAAAGGAACTAGGATGAATTTTGAGGAGGGGCTCTTAAACTTTGAGCAGATCTGTAACTTCATTGAGAGCAGACATTTTTAAAAATTCATCACTGACATTTATTCAACAAAAAGAAGATCAGATTTTGCTAAAGCCTTTTGGTTGTGTCTCTTTTAGAAATAACGTGTTGATTTAGTTGCATATAGTTCAGCTCTTAAGGACCAGTCTTTAAGGCTTTAGCCAGAATTTGTCTCCTAAAGCTGACTTTAAAATGGCTTCCAAAAGGATTTGCTGAGTTTCAGAACTGAGTAGGCTGCTAATGATTCAGTAGGCCCCCTCATTTTCCTCCTACTCCTTAAATTGAAGGCTCCTTCATACCATCTAGGTACCCTGAGTCATCATGGATAAACTCTAAAGAAGAATTGTCATATGGAAAAACTCTACATGAAGTAAGAATGTCAGAAAGCAGTCTGAGTCAGAGATCATTCATTGCTCACAATGATAAAATCTATAGGTTGTGGGCTTCATTTTAAATCTTTTAACATACTTCCATGTATGTCCTTATTATAGGATTATAAATCCTATAATGCCCATAAAACCATCTGAGGTGTTTATTCCCAGTTAATTTCTAATTGGTTTGGTTTTTATTATCTATTACATGAAAAGGATTTTGTATTTTTTATTGAATAAATAGAGAGGAGAGGCAATATGATACAGGATAAAAACCACTATATCAGAAGTTAGGGGACCTGGAGTTCTGGTTTATCTTCTCAATATGTGACCTTATATATTTCATTTAACCTCTTTGAGCTTGAGTTTCCTTATCTTTACAAGGTCAGTAACTCCATCACTCACACCCTCTTTGGAACCAACCCATGGCAGATACAGCTAGTAGCTGTATCTGTATCGGTATCTGTATCCCAAACCAGTTTCAGGTAACTTTTTTATACAGCACTGTCAGAAACTATATATATAATTGCCATTCTGATGAAATCTCTTTGTCATCTCAGCTATATTGGGTCTCTTCCAGCTCCAGGATTCTATGACTTTAAATAATTTGCCTATAGAAAGTCTCTCTCTTCTATCTATACTGTCTCTTCACATTGAGTGCTCAGGGTTGAAACTCACTGTATGAGCTTAAGAATTCTTTGTAGTCAGGGATAGCATGTTTATGTTTCATTTAGTGATGTTAAAACAAATGATTGAAGAAAACTCATGGGGGTACTTAAAATTCCAAATGAAATGGTAACAAATAACAATGTTTAGTGCTAATTTGATGGAAACTCATTTTAAGTTCTAAATGTTTATGGCACAGACCTCAGGTTAGTGAAATTCGAAGTGATGTATTTGTCTGGAGGGCACATGATGAAGACATAGGAATTCTAGACCAAGAAATAAAGAGGCCTGAGTTCTAGCTTTGCAAACTGTTTTTTTAACCTGGTTAGTGTCTTCATCTATTGTAATGGTATCAGACCAGTGTTTTTCATTAATGTATTATACAAATTACCTAAGGATCATATTATAATGCATATGCTAATTCAGTAAGTATGGCTGGGGCTTGAGATTCTTCATTTTTAGCAGGCTTCTGGGTGTGCTACTGCTATAGGCCATGGACCACACTTTACTTATAAAAGTACTATGCCATTTCCAAGGCTCCTTCTGGTTTAAAGGGTCTTTAAACTATAACTCCACTTCTTTTTCTCCAGCTCTTTCGTATCACTATTAAATTTGTACTTTTTGAAACCACATATTCCTAGACTTATTCCCTATTTTCTCAGTCTGAGAGCTCCATTAATTTTGTTGTTTTTCCCTTTCCAGAATGAACTTGACATAGGTGGTCATTCAAGTTAAAGCTAAGGTAGTATAATAGAGTCTTTAATAAGAAGAAAACTTTATTCAGATGCCTCCCCCACTAATTGGTAGCTCTTTTGCCTTGGACAGTTGACTCAGTTTACTTAATCTCAAGGTTCTGAGAACAAGCCTCACCGGGACTTATTAAATCCCTTATCCAAAATGCTTGGGGCAAAAGGTGTTTTGGATTTCAGATTTTTTCAGATCGTGGAATATTTGCATTATACTTGGAAGAGCATTTCCTTTGAGAGTTGTGTTAGCACTTGAAAAGTTTCAGGTGTTGTAGCATTTTGGATTTCAGATTTTCAGATTAGGAATGCTCAACCTGTATCTTCCTGGTAAGGTTGTTGAAAGGAATAGAGATAATATATAAAGTTCTCAGCACGATGTCAAGCATAAAGTAGGTACTCAAGAATTGGAAGCTATTTTTATTATTTCTACTGGCATCCTGACTTGGTCTAGTGGAAAGAGAAAAAGGAGGGGGAAAGATCTGTTGCCAATTCAGTACCTTTCTCTGTGAGCCAATTTAAATTTTCAACTGCTTATTAGACATATTAACTAAAATTCTTCAAACTTACCATAGTGAAAAAGACCTCTGTTTTCTTTCCATATCTGTTCTGCCTCCTACAATACTGGTAGAGATTACTGTTTCTGGCTGGGTGCAGTGGCTCATGCCTGTAACCCCAGCACTTTGGGAGGCCAAGGTGGGTGGATCATTTGAGGTCAGGAGTTCGAGACCAGCCTGGCCAACATGGTGAAACCCCATCTCTACTAAAAATACAAACATTAATTGGGCGTGGTGGTGTGTGCCTGTAATCTGAGCTACTCCTGAGGCCGAGGCAGGAGAATTGCTTGAACCTGGGAGGTGGAGGTTGCAGTGAGCCAAGATGGCACCACTGCACTCTAGCCTGGGCAATGGAGTGAGACTCCGTCTCAATTTAAAAAAAAAAAAAAGAGAGAGATTACTATTTCACTCTCTACATGCCGGTTAGGATCCTGTCGTTTCTGCCTTTGTTTCTCGAGTACAGTTGGCCTTCTGTATCCATGGAATCTGCATCTGAGGATTGAACCAAGCATGGATCAAAAATATTTGGAAAACAAATATAATAAAAAATAACAATACAACAATAAATACAACTAAAAAGTACAGTATAACAACTATTTTCATAGCACTTACATTTTATTAGGTATTATAAGTCAGAGGTCCCTACCCCCAGGGCATTGACCTGAACCTATGTGTGTATATATATATGTGTGTATATATATATATGAATTGCTAGAACTTTTTGACCCCTGAGAGCTTTAAGAATATATCAAAATTTAAAATTTGGCACTACTTTAACAAATTTAATATAATATCTTATTATTAATTTTCCTATTAGCTTTAGTAATGAAATTTGTTGATAGCTAGTTTTTTAATGTCTTAAGCAAACTGTGCTTTTGGACCAAGAAATTCATAAAGAACCATGAAAACGAAGGTTCTCTCCTAGGTACTCAGGGCCTCAGGGAGAGATAGGAGTAAAGGGTTATGAAGGGCAGTAACAACAGAGTCTTTATGTGTTGATTTCTAGAACTGATTTTAGTCTGAAAATGAAAACCCAGTTCTTACCAAAAAGGAAAATAAGTTACCCATTGTGTTTTACTCTTCCTTTTTAACACCCAAAGTATGAAATGAAATAAAAAATAATACATTATGGCTTCTAATATCATTTAGATAGATTCTTCTATTTCCTGTGTTATATTACTGTGTATATGAATGAGCACATCTGTTCCCAAAAGGCTTTAACATTCTATAGTCTCTAGGAAATTTTATTTTTTTCTTCAAAATTTCTTGAATAAATTTTATAGAAATATGTATGCTTTTTTATGCACCAAATTAAAATGAAGATTTCGTAAGATCTAATTTAGCAAACTTTTTAATGTCTTTCCCTTATTTCTTCAATATTAAGTGCTGCAAAATGAGCAAGACAGTTTCTCCCTTGGAGGAGTGTTCAGCTTTAATAGAAGATAGCACAGGGTCATATGTAACTATAATATAAAACTGGATAAGGCCCATAAAAGAATTGCAGATAAACTATGGGAGCTCAAAAAAGATTATACCCAGTTTAGGGAATAAGGAAAAACTTTCAGACTGGGAAAAGAACATCAAATGGGCCTTGAAATACTATTAGAATTTTTTACAAGTGAATAGTGATAACGTTAACAACACTTGTTTGCTGAGTATTTATTACATATTCAGTTTCATTTTTTTCAAAAATGTCTGATATATGAACGTAGCATAGTGGCATATGCCTGTAGTCCCAGCTACTCGAGTGGCTAAAATGGGAGTAACCCAGGAGTTTCAGACTAGCCCGGGCAATACAGCCAGACCTTATCTCAAAAGAAATTCTTTTTTTGATATATGTGATATAGAGAGTAACAACCATGTCACTTTAAATTGGGGGGAAAAGTTGGGAAGAATCTGGAATTATGGTGGATTCAAAAGACACATGATTCAAAATCTCAAAATCAAAAGTCACATAGCTTATTGGGACACATCAAATGAGAAGCTTTCTACTGCAGCCACCACAATAATTTTTCGTAGTATATACTAGAGTTGAAAATCATTTCTAACAAAAATTACATTGTGTCTCTGGAGAGGTAATCAGTGATTTGCATGAAAACTTAATAGTACATACATTGCCTTAAAAAGTGCTACTTTAATCTTCTATCATTTAAGAAATTCCTGTGACTTTATGTGGATCATCAATACAAGCAATTGTAGACTATATTCTATTATACATATTCTAGAATCAGCAATGTATTTATTTGTTTGGTGTTTACGTAAGTCTTAGTGTGTTTTATAAATAATAGGAGGGTTTGTTTAAAGTGGGCTTTTGAAGATACAGTGTGACTTTAAAAGAATGGTCTTAGAAAACTTATAAATAGCCTAAATATGTACTGAAGAACATTTCATAATCACAAAAAAAGAAATAATATATCTCATGAATTATTAAGAATTTGTTTTTTAAATAAAGTCCTCTTTTTGAAAAGGTATTAAGAAGAGGAATTAGACAAAACTTGTTTGAATATGGTTGTAATTGCAGTTTACTGAGTTATATATAAAAAAGCCCAATTAGTTTAAACAAATACAGTATCTGGGTTTATGGTATTCTGAGCCTCGTATTTTTTCATTGAATGTCAGGGGTATATTAAAATGCCTCCCTTTATGTTTCTATACAAAAGATTGTTCTGACAGTAAGTTTAAGTGATTTTCACAACTTATTGCTGTCTAAAAATTTCCCTTGACTTCACATTTTGTTCTGAATATGTTGGTTTCTTTCCTCCACCCACACAATGTTGAAGGCAAGGGAAGCAAGAGTTGCAAAGTAATACAGTGAATTTGAGAACCCTGGCTTTTTTTCAAAACAAAATAAACCTTTATTATAAGATTGCTTTTTATTGATACCAAAAAAGGGTGGCACTTTGGCAAATGGTCAGTAAGTGTATGAATAGCCTAATTGATTTAGCTGGAATGAATAAGAAGCTTTGCTATTTGTCCTTGTAGATAGTTGGCTCAGTAAACATTGTGATGGTGATAGACCAAATTTTCCATGGTGAAAGGTAAAACAGAACAGCAACAAAAAACTCATCAAACTTATAGATCCAAATATCAGCAATTTTGTGTCTGTGTCAAGGTCTTCAAAGAAGGAGCAATGTGTTAATTAGGATCTCATTTGAATTTCTATAGTGAAAAAATAATCATTTTAACTTACATAAAACCCAAGAGTTTGACAAATGTTACTATGTGAAAATATTAATAGAGGAGATCCTTGCTGAGAATTTAAATCTGCATGAAATTCATAGATGTGTGTAGAAATTTAAATTTATCATACACTCCGCAGTAAATGCCAATAAAGGTGGATGGCATAATTAGGACAAAGATAACAGTAGAAGCAAAATAAGAATTTTTTAAAAACCTTATGGATGTCACATTAGTCTGACTCAGTCTGTAACTCTAGTTAGAAATGTAAAATTTTAGGGATTTTTGGGCTACTGTAAGAAAAGAATCTGCTTTGGGGGTGGGATGTGAGGAGAAAGAAATGTTTGTGGCAATTAAGATGTATATAGTATATTTAAGAAGTACATTTGCAATTCTAATCACTTAGTTCAAAAGGAGAAAAATATATCATGTGTAACTTTATTTACTTTTAATACTATTATTATTATTACATGATTGAAAATAGAAAATCTTGAAAAATTCTAGAGGGTAAAAGTGTTATTTCTAATTCCATTAGCTCCTTTTAAGATAGGAACATTTCATATTAGTCTCCTAGCACAGAATCTGAACCATAATAGGCACTCCATAAATGTTTACTGAACTAACCTGAATTTTAGAAATATCAGGGTGCAAAGCAGAATTATTTTTCTAGGCTTTAAAACTATACCACTGCTCCTTACCCCTGTACACACCTTCGAATCTCAGTTTTGATACAAATAGGTTCTCAGTTTTGGGTGTGAAGAAAACTGGTTGATATTTTTTTTTAATCTACTAAATGTTGGCCAGAGCTGAAATTGCCTGAAAGGGAACTTGATTTAGCAGAATTCCTTCTTTTCAGAAAGAAGGACTTAGACTAAATTATATGAACGGGAGGAGCCTGTTTTTATCTGAGATGGTTGATTGGAAAAAGAATAGATAAACTAAGGTGGAGAGTTGATTTGAAAAAAGGAAAAAAGATAGTCCTGTCTAGTGGTCAGTCCTAACAGTGTGGTTAAAGGGGAGCTAAATTTCAACTTTCAGGGGTCAGCTGAGACAACCACCTAGATTTTCCAAGTTAGTTCCAATTTCAAGTACAATAATCCTTTGACAACATAGAAAAGAATTATAGTTAGCAAAATTGCAATTGTCACAGTCAAGGTCTTGTTGGTAATAGAGGGTTGGGGAAAAAGTTAAAACAGCATTAAATGAATATATTTTTAACATAACAAAAGTTCCCAGAAGACATCCACTTCAAATTCAAGCCATATTCATCAATGTTAAAAACCTTACTCTTCTCCCTGATAGTGTGAGGAAAAATAAAATAAACTTAAAATAAAAAACAAGAAAACCTCACTCAACATTGTTTGAAAAACATAACTGTGATGTTATGATCTACTAAAGCATGGTATCCCAACAAATTTCATACAGAATCATGCCTGTCTGAAACTTTACATTTTTTGTAGAGACAAGGACTCACTCTGTTGCCCAGGCTGGCCTCAAACTCCTGTGCTCAAGCAGTCCTCCTGCCTGGGCCTCCCAAAGTTCTGGGATTACAGGTGTGAGCCACCTTGCTCGGCCTCAAATAAACTCTTAATGGCTTGGAATTTAACAGGTCTTGTGCTTTCATTCTCCTTTATTTTGTTGTTGTTGTTTAATAAATATCAGCACAAGTGTTATTTAACAACCTGGACTTTTACAAATTAATAGGCGTTAAGGGAATCTTTTCTTTGGTCTTGGTAGTCTATCCATCTTTCTAAGAGTATAAAGAGATTTTTCTTTACTATACAGATGTAAAGAGGAGTTAATAATTGTCATACTTTTTGTTTTTTGATTCAGCACTTCCTAACAGTCACTGAGCTTACAAAGCCATGGTTCATGATTTCCACAAACTTACTTTTTATTTATCTCCTAACCAAACTCCAGGGAACCTACTGACTTACCCTTTCCTGAGAACACAATATACTTTTTACCCCTTGTCTTTTTTATCTTTATGCGATTGTTTCTTCCACCTAAACTGGTTTTTTTTTTTCACTTATCAAAGTCCGGTCTGTCTCTCAAGGTCCAAATTGAATACCTCTGCTATGAAGCTTCCTCTTGTTCCTCTTCCTCCTAAGTAATAACACTTTTCTTTGAAGTCTTACGGTATTTATGGTCTTTTGCATTAATATGATATCTGTTCTATACTGATTTAATTTACATCCTTTTTTAGTAAACATAAGTAAACAAATGTTTGGTATAGGGAGGCATACCTTTTGCATTAGTTTGAATACTCCCATAACTTCTGACCTTATAGTGAATGCTCAGTAATATTTGTTGGGTTAGTAATTGTGTTGTTGGTGACTCTAGATGCACTAAATTAAAAGTAGGGAGACCCGCTGGGCACAGTGGCTCATGCCTGTAATCCCAGCACTTTGGGAGGCCAAGGCAGGCAGATCACGAGGTCAAGAGATCGTGACCGTCCTGGCCAACATGATGAAACCCCGTCTCTACTAAAAATACAAAAATTAGCTGGACATGGTGGTGTGTGCCTGTAGTCCCAGCTACTTGGGAGGCTGAGGCAGGAGAATCGGTTGAACCCGGGAGGCAGAGGTTGCAGTGATCTGTGATCGTGTGACTGCACTCCAGCCTGGCAACAGAGTGAGACTCCGTCTCAAAAAAAAATAGGGAGACCACAGCCCTTGGTTTAAGAACTGCTCCAACATCAAAGCAAATTAAACTGCAAAGAAAGCTCACAATGGTTATTAATAGAAGAAATCATTAATTAGCATTTTATGGAGAGTATAGGTTGAATATATCCCTTAACCAGATCCTTGGGACCGGAAGTGTTTTGGATTTTGGAATACTTGCATATATATTATGAGATATCTTCGGGATGGGACCCATAAAATTCATTTATGTTTCATATACACCTTATACAAATAGCTTGAAGACAATTTTATACAATATTTTTATTAATTTTGTGCATGAAAGTTTGTGTTAAGTACTTACATGTGGAATTTTCCACTTACGATGTCGTGTTGCTCAAAAATTTCAGGTTTTGGAGCATTTTGCGGATTCAGATTCGGGTTGTTCAACCTGTACTAATCTAGGTACTTCTGTGGTGAAGGGATATCATCATCTGTTAACCTAGGTATATTAGTTATTAGAAGATTTTGACTTCTAGCTATTTAACCAAATAGAACTATTAGCTAGCTAGAGGGACAGGCTAGGTAATTAATTAAAACATTGGGTATTTATATTAAATACCAGGCATTGGATTAAATACCAAATCTGTTGGTTTGGTAATGTCTTTGTCCTCAGAGGGATCAAGTGAAACTTATTGGTCATGGGATTATATTGAGCTATGTATTTGAATATTCAGCTTACTTCGATGCTGTTGCTGTGGTGTAATACAAAAATCTATTTGGTCTTTCTACCACGCTGTCTTCCTGGCACAGAGTTCCTATAATGCTGAGAATTTTTTTGAGTGATAGGATGTCTTTTATTATTTATAACAACCCCCTTTCTGATCATAATAGGTAACTTAGGGTGGGGCCCTGAGATGGCATCAGGATGGGGCTGGTCGCCAGAAGGACCAAGAAATTAAGAGGGTTGGGACTTTTGTCTCACCCAGTGACCTCTGGGAAAGGGACAGAGGCCTGGAGATTGAGTTTTTGGGTTGGTGAACACATCAAGTTGCTGGGAGGGTGGCATTCCTGGACAGGGCATGGAAGCTCCACTGCTCTACCCTCCCCGCGCCCCCGCCCCCACCCCCACATACCTTGCCCTGTGCATCTCTTCCATTTGGCTGTTCCTGGGTTGCATTCTTTTTAATAAACCAGTAAACATAAAAGAAGTGTTTTCTTGTTCTTCTGTGAGCTGTACCAGTAAATTATGGAACCTGAGGAGGGGGTTGTGGGAACCCCCAATTTATAGCTAGTTGGTCAGAAGTCAGGTGGTTTGGGACTTTGATTGGCATCTGAACTTAGGGGAGTCTTGTGGCATGAGCCCTTTAACTTGTGAGATCTGACACTAAAGGTAGATAATAGTGTCAGAACTGAATTGATTTGTTGGATGCCCAGTTGGTGTCAGAATTGGAGAGTTGGTGGTTGATGTCAGAGAGAACACTCATTGAACATGATGCAAGATTATCAGCAAAAACATAAACAAAAAAGCACATGTTTATGATTAAAGCTAGTCTGAAACAGATTATGAGATTTAAAATTCCAAACCTAAGTGTCAATTTCATAATTTCTGGTACAAAAAGCACTTCATTTGGGAAAGCTTTCAGTTTTGCTTGTGAAAATTTATCTTGTAGAATGTTCAAATGATTAGTTTCCCTCAGTTTCTCTGGCCAAGAAGTAGGAGTTAACAGTATCTAGAATTTTTAAAATTTATGTAGGTTATAAAGTTGCATAAGATCGGTAATATATTTGAATTCCAGAGGTATGTGCCAGCTTCCAGTGAACCTTGAGTCTATAGCAGGCTTTTGTTTTTAATGTGCTAGAGCTTTATTTGCTTGCTTGCTTGCTTCGCTTTATTGAGGTATAATTTTTATACCATTTATGTAAACACTTAAAGTGTACACTTCAGTGGTTTTTAGTATAGTCTCAGAGCTGTGCAGCACAATCAATTTTAGAACATTTTCACCCGAAAAACAAATCTCATGTCATAGCCTTTAGCTATCATTCCCCAATTTCCTATTTTCTCCCCTTTCTTTCCCCTCCCAGGCAACCACTAATCTACTTTCTTTCTGTCTCTGGATTTGCCTTTTCTGGACATTTCATATAAATGGAATCATACAATATGTGATCCTTTGTGACTGACTTCTTTCACTTAGCAGAATGTTTTCCAGGTTCATCCATGTTGTGGTATATATCAGTAATTCATTCCTTTTTATTGCAAAATAATATTCCATTATATGGATATACCACATTTTGTTTATCCGACTGTTGATGGACATTTGGGTTGTTTCTACTTTGGGGCTATTATGAATATTGCTGCTGTGAACATTAATGCACAGTCTGTGTGTGGACATAGGTCTTCATTTCTCCTGGGTATATACCTAGGAATTGAATTCCTGAGTCACATGAGAACTTAATGTTTAATCTGGAGGAACTGCCAGAGTGTTTTCCAAAGTAACTACACCATTTTACTTTCCCACTAGCCATGATTGAGGACTCCAGCTTTTCCACATCCTTACCAATATTTGTCATTATCTGACTTTTTGATAATAGCCATGGGTTTGAAGTGGTCATTGTGGGTTTGATTTGTATTTCCCTAATGGCTAATGAGCATCTTTTTATGTACATATTGGCTATTTGTATATCTTCTTTGGAGAAATAAATGGATCTTTTACCAAATTTTAATTTCATTTATATTTTATTGAGTTATGAGACCTTTTTAGGTATTCTAGATATAAGTCCTTTATCAGATACATGATTTGCAAATAATTTTTCCCATTATGTGGGTTACCTATGGCAGTACTTTTGATACCTAGCTTTCTTTTGTTCGTTTAAAGAGACTGCCAGGTAAACACAGCCCACAAAGTGGGAGTATGAACAGCCAATTTAGGAAGGCAGTGCTCTATCTGGTGAGCAAAAAGAAACAAATCTCCATGGTATGCCTTTCATTAAATTTTTGTCTGATTTTCAGCTTTTTCTTTGTGGTATAAAATTATAACAACATATAGAAAAGAGTGGAGCTAAAGTTGAACACTTGGCCATCTCCTGTAATAATACACAGTACAAGGTAGGAGTTACTTATTGGCTGACTGCTCTGTTCTTTAGTGCTTGTGGTATTGCCTCCAAAATTAATGAAACAGACGCCAACATAGGAGTCCCAAGATCAGTTAGCAAGCTGCACTACTTAGCCCTATGACTGTCATCAAATAACTTACCCTCTCTGAATATAGATTTTTCTCATCTATTATAAAATGAAATTGGAAGGAAAATTGAACAAATTGCACAGTATATTCTTTAAGGTTCTTTCCAGCTTTAAAATGTAATTATATAATACAGTAATACAGTGATTATTTTTCTTCTTAAACCTTGTTGAAAAATCTTAGGCCTAATGTACATTTTCTCAAAAGGATTGGAGTTAGATGGATTTGACAAGTAAAAAACTGGGCATGTTTCGATATTCAATACAAATGTACTGTAGAATAGCAAATGCCATCTGCGTGAATTTGCATTGTGGGATGGAGGAACGTGACCTAAGAGTCACCAGTGGAGTGGAACTAAAGGAAGAAATAATTTATGCACCTGCTGAGGGTGTGGCTAGAGGTAAAGGGACTGTGACGAATGAGTCCTTGATTGCCTTCTTGGAAGTATTCAGAGATCATTAAAGAAGCAGGACGTTCTCAGAGGTCAGTGTGTCCAAGGGTGAAACAAAAACCTAATAAGAAAAATAGGTCCGTAAGAAAAGAGACATCTGAAAAGGCCTAGAAATTGTGAGGTAAGTACACTTTGTTTTGTTCGTTTTTTTTTCTGGAGTTTTTTTTTTTTTTTTTTTAAGTTTCAGAGTACTGAAAGTTTATCATTTTCCCTGAGCTCAACTGAGGTAATTGCTAGAGGTTCAGACATCGTAGAGGAAAATACGGAAGTTTAAGACTTTTGTAAGCCAAGCAGGATATGGAAGAGTAGGGGAAAGTCATTGAGATTCAGGTTCATTTGCCAAAGTTTGGTAACTTTGATTCCCACCAAGAACACTACTTCAGGTTTTGGTTATGTTTTGTTTTTGTATTTGACTGGCCTCCATGATGTTATTAATTAAACATCATTGTAAAGAAAGCATATATGAGAAGCAAAAAGAAAGTTGTCTTTTTAAAAAATGTAGTTTTGAAAAGAAAAGCTTAGAAATTTTATTCTAACCCTTTTTTCTTTATGAATACGATTATTTGTCCCATTATAAAAATAGGTCATTATAATACTCTTTTTTTTTTTTTTTTGAAGACGGAGTTTTGCTCTTGTTGTCCAGGCTGGAGTGCCATGGCGTGATCTCGGCTCACCACAACCTCCGCCTCCCGGGTTCAAGCTATTCTCCTGCCTCAGCCTCCCAAGTAGCTGGGATTACAGGCATGTGCCACCACGCCTGGCTAATTTTATATTTTTAGTAGAGACGGGGTTTCTCCATGTTGGCCAGGCTGGTCTCGAACTCCTGACCTCAGGTGATCCACCTGCCTTGGCCTTCCAAAGTGCTGGGATTACAGGCGTGGGCCATGGCACCTGGCCAGCTCATTATAATACTTAGAAAATATGGAGATTTTATCTTTAATGTCTTTTTAGAACTTTTTAAGAAAAAAAATATTTCCTCAAGAGATTATTTGATATAAACACAGATCTTTAAAGACATAAGGAATTTTTATACTCTCAGTGCTCTGTTTTTAATCATTAAGATGTTAATGATGATATAAGGACTATTGATATCTTGGTTTCCCTAGGATTAAGCAGGAAATATACTTCCAAAGTTAAGAGAGTTGGTATGTTGGTCCAAAGAATGGCAGGACCTCAGGTTTTGTTATGGAATCAAGTATAAGACATTGAGAGTCAGCTACAACTACATTCTATTTAGTATGAATATTAAATTTGTCATGTCCGGCTTCTTGAGCAATCTCATCAGCCCGGAATCACATGACAAGGCAGGATCATCAAACAGCAAACCCTAGAATATGCCCCGATCATTTTTGCAGGTATGTTTCCTGGACTGAACAGGTATCAACATTGGATATAAGCAGCCTACCTGCGCAGATTTATTTCGCTGTAACCTAAGTGGGCCTGCTGCCAGCACAAGGAGCAAAAGAAACATTAAACAGATTTACAGAACTGCTTCAGGGGATGGGACAGTTACCGAATGCTGGGAAGCAACAGAAGTAAACTTGTAGCTGTGTGATAAAGGGTGGTTCATTTTGTGCCAAGGCATTAAGTTACTAGGTACTATTATAGTGATGTTCTCTTAAAAATGATAGCCTTACTGTGAACCAGAACTATTGTCCTGTGGACACATTGTAAGAAGGCTTTGCAGATAAACTTAGCACCACCAAAAGTATTTTTATACTACTTTTTTAAAAAAAGATAACAATGTATTTATAGGTGGGACTTTGAATGATTCCAATTAAGATCACCAAGGACACTTACTGACTCTCCAGTCAGGTTTTATTAGCAATGTATCATTCAGTATAGTGTAATTGAATTAAGGCTGAAATTGTCTGGATAGCCATTTACTTAGGTGGCTGTGAACTATGGGTATCAATACTAATTTTAGGGCTCTGCTGTAATAACTAGTAACTTTTTACAAAAGGGTTGAACACTTTAGGGCTACTAAAGAACTTTAATAAAAGAATATCAAGCATCTAGACTCAAGTTGAACTTTAATGGGTGGAGATTATCGATGATTTGCATGGGCAAATTATTGAACAAGTATGAACAGCATTTACTTGTGACTTAATTTTAGTATTCTTTTAAATAATCTTAAATGTAATTAATCAGGTTCGCCTTTGGCTATTTGGAGGATTAGACTAGCTCTATGTGTAACCATTCACTATAAGAAAACACAGTTCTTTTCCTGAGACAGCATATGGGGAAATTTGGAGTAGCAGGCAGTACTTTCTAGAATGGAATTTACAAGTGGGATAATCTGAGAACAGCACATGTCAGTATGTAGGTGCTTTCCATAGCTATTTGATTAAGCTTGTCCAATCCCAGCTTACCTCTGGCTACTGCTGTAGTTCCTCCGTATTCATGAGCATCAAATGTATCTAATTTATTTTAAAATTGTAAAGAATAAAGCTGGAAATAAACAAGTGTGATCAATTGAAAATGTGATTGAATGTTCACCTATTTTTATGCCTGGGATAATATAGTATTTTATAACCAGACCACAAAAATCAGTTTCACTTAATAGTGCTAAAGGGGCTTCTTTCTTTACATATGAATTGTATTGATTTTTGTGTTTTTTTTAAATGGAGTGTTGCTTAACAGATTGAGTACTATACTAAATCTGTAAAAATAGGTTTACTAATATGAAAAGGTGCTTCAGTATCATAGTTATACTTCTGACATTTATAGAATATGTAGTTAATTCAGGCTGCTTTTTAAGAAATGGAATATCATACTCTTTCTGGAAGTACCTTACTCTATAACTTGATATTAAGCCTGTGTTAAAAAATTGCTCTGTGCTTCCTCTTACTTCTGTTTCTTTCCTTTTGGGCCACAGACTTCCTTAGGGAGGAGGTGAGGGAGAAGTGAATTCTCACTTCAGTCAATGGAATCTAGAATTATGTAGTGTTTACCTATTTTGCGTAACATAGGCCCACCTACACACGTTACGAGGTGCTTAAGTGAAAGAACTGTGAACAGACAGCCAGCTATTCAGTGTGTGGTTCCAACTGTAACTGGCAGATGCTTTAATACAATCTGGATTTTATTTTTCTGTGAGAAGGTTTTCTGTATAGCTTGTGGTGCTAACGATGAAACAGAGAGGTATGTGTTCTGTGGCTTCATTTTAAGTGTCACATTGTCAATGCTTCAGGTTAAAGTAAGCTTGCAAAGGGAATAATTTGAAGCATAATTCATCAGATCTTTTCTATTTAACTTTTCACATTTATTTTTTCATATTCAGTTTTAGGAAGTATGTTGTATGGATTACATTTCCTTCCATCTTAGGGAAGAAGTTAAATAAATCTCAAGCTCCAAGGCTTTTGTGTTCTTAGAGAATATTTACACTATGAATCTCATCTCTCATCAGCCTTAAAGCCTAAGAAATATCACTACAGGTGTATATTGCCTGTTGATTATTGGTTAACAGAGAACTGAAAGCTGTTCATTTTTAATATTTTTGCAATCAAGCTACAGTACTTAGGGCTTTAAAAAAAAAAACAAAAACATATTTTAGAACTTAATGTTGTTCATTGCTTACTTTTCCGTTACAAATTTGAGAATTATGTTGTTGTTTCGTAGCCAGAATGGTGATGCTGTCATTGTACTTTAGTTAGCTGTAGACAGCTTATTCAGAAGCATAGTTTTTCAGCCATAAATCTTTTCCCAAGATCTTCTCAAGAAAGAGATCTGGACCTTTGAGACAACTACAATTTAATATTTAAATATTATCATAAGGTGGGAAAAATTATGAAGAATTTGTTAAAAATATTGACAGTCATACTTTGTAGAGATTTTAAGTAATATTTCTACCTGAATATTCTGTTTGTTCTTCCTCTGATATGGTTGGGAGAGATTTAATAATTTTAGGTCTGATAATTGATTAGGGGGAGTCTTCCTGCTAAAAAATGAATACTTGTTAGTTTCCCAGCAGTGTTCTTTTTTGAAACATTTTATTTTCACCAGAAGAAAAAGTATAATTGAACTTTTTTTCTTTCTATAGGAAATTCATGAAAAGCTTAATCTGATTTCTAGAATACAGACATGCGCTGCTCAGTAATGTATGATTGTTTTGGATCCAGTTTTCTAATCTATTTGTGAGAAGGCAGTATTCATTCTCTTGTGTAGGTATAAAATGGATGTTAAGTTAGTGATGAGAAAAGTTGTAATTTTGGGGAGAAAGTTGTTCATAATAATTTACCTAATTGGGGTATTTTTAATGTGCTAACATAACAATAATCAAGAGTGGATAAAGAGGGAATTCATAGAAATATCCCAGCTGTATATATTTATTGTTTTCTTAATGAAAAGGGTTAAATAAGAATATCATACTGAGTGATTTAAAATATTCACTCTGTTTAAACAAACAAAAGGGCCGGGCACGGTGGCTCACACCTGTAATCTCAGCACTTTGGGAGGCCGAGTTGGGCAGATCACGAGGTCAGGATATCGAGACCATTCTGGCTAACATGGTGAAATCCCGTCTCTACTAAAAATACAAAAAATTAGCTGGGCGTGGTGGCATGCACCTGTAGTCCCAGCTACTTAGGAGGCTGAGGCAGGAGAATCGCTTGAACCTGGGAGGCAGAGGTTGCAGTGAGCTGAGATCGCTCCACTCCACTCCAGCCTGGGCAACAGAGCAACACTCTGTCTCAAAAAAAAAAAAATTATTGGGAAAACATTATGATTTGGTTAAAGAAAGATTAGATGCTACTTTTGAAAACTTTTTGTGACCCAAAGAGAAAATTAGAACTCTCATAAGATGAAACCTTTTTTCATTAGAGTAGTAATAATTGTCATCTTTTAATAATGATTTCTCTCTATTAGTAGTCGACTTTACTACAATATTGGAGACTTATTTGTAATTTGAATTTTCAACTACATTTTTCTGTTTTCATCCCTTTTGAATGGAGCTTATAATGGAATTTCGAAACTAAAAGGCTTAAAGTTAGCTTCTCTAAAAGAGCAGAGAATATATGCTCTATTTAGATATTTGATTTAGATGTAGTTTTCCCTCCCCATGGAGAATCAAACATTTATACAGCATTCTACCTTGAAACTAAGTGCAATGTTTCTTGAGGTCTTTGATTGTATTTCCAGGTCTATTATATATTAAGAGTGGTAAAAAAAAAAAAATAGAACTTACTTCATTGTATCAAAAGTTATCTACAAAGAACAGATTATAAACATTTCTTAAGATACTGAAAAATATGAATCTCTGAGAAAATAATTAAATATTAAGTGATGGAGCAGCATCACCATAAATCAAGCTTTTGATTTAAAGGGAGAGAGACTTGCAACTCTTCCTTTCCCTTAAACAGTTAGAGGCCACTGTAGGAGTATTAATTGGCATAATTTCAATATTGTGTCCCAGGAAATAGGGAGGCTTAAGGAGAGTGAGCAGAGATGGGAGAAACAGTAGAGCAGTCAGAACCCACTCAGCATTTATCAATTAAGTGTACCACCTTATATGGACACAATTCAGGGCACCCCCAAACAGTTATAACAGTAACATCAAAGATCACTGATCACAGACCACCATAACAGATACAATAGTAATAATAATAATGAAAAAAGTTTGAAATATTGTGAGAATTACCAGAATGTGACACAGACATGAAGTGAGCACATGCTGTCAGAAACTTGGCACCAATAGACTTGGCCATGCAGGGTTGCCACAAACTTTGAATTTGTAAAAAACACAGTATCTGCGAAGCACAGTAAAATAAAGCAAAGTGCAATAAAACCAGATGTGCCTGTACTTTAAAACTTTAAAACTCAATTGTTTCAGCAATTCCAGAGTGCTCATTTGTAACCTTAGTTTTATTATCTGTAAAATGTGGGTTATAATAGTTCCTATCTCATAAGGTTGTCCCAGAGATTAAATCACTTAATACATGTAAAGTGCTTAGAACAGTGCTTGGCACAGAGACTGAATTCAGTGTTAGCCATTATGAAAAGGGACTACCAGTGTGGGATGCTGACTTTAGAAAATGATAGGATTTCCCATGAATATCCTTTTATCTCATGTTTTTGTTCCAAATAACTGCCAAATCCCACTGAATTTGCTGCTTTATGCAGAATTTTATTTGGGACTTTAATGGTTAAACCTAGAGGACTTTCTAGTCTTGCTTTGTGAGGATCATTTTGTCATTTTAGGAACTTTGGTAATCTAAAATTGTTGAATACAAGCTAAGAATGGGCACAGACAATAAAACTGTTTGGGTTCTTAGTTGTGTGTTTAAAAATGTATTTTCTAGGTGTGGAGAATTAAGTGATTATTTGTGGGTAAGGTTGCAAGACTATATAAACAGCTCTCCTTCCACAATCAGGGAGCACGTGACCCTGTCTGTTCCTAAACTGTCTGGACTCACTTCTAATGTGTATGTTTTTCTTCCTGGTAGTACCAGGAATTTACCTTTGTGAAATACCCTGATTTTCCACCCTTAGGTTCCTTTCTGTCCTCATTTTTAAAATAAGCACACAAAGTCCACTTTATTTACTGAAATATTTGTCGTTGGTCACTACCAGGAAATGGTTGACAAATACAATGAACATTGAGGAAGTGACAAAGGTTCAGATAATCTCAGCACTACTCATAATTGAATAGTTGTTACTAATCTATGCTGAAGTATAACTTTTTTACAGTTTATTTTACATGTGAATACATTCTAGTCTTCTAAATGGTCCTGTAATAGGGTCTTTTAGTCTGTTTAGGAATTAGCCCCATTCTACCTTGTCTAGGGTGTGGAGTAATGACATTAGAAAATCTGGACCACTTTACCTCTGGTAGCTTCAGTTTCTCCATTTATAAAATGGGGACAAATGATTGTACTTTATAGTTGTAATAGAAATTAAATGGGGTAATGTATGTTGAGTTAACATGTGGATCTCAGTCCTAGCTCTGCCAGAGTTCTTTGGCCTTCAGTCACTGGGCTTTTCTGACCTACTCAGTTCCCTTATCTGGAAAATAGAGTTCAGACTTTCCTACCCAATTCACAGGGCTATTATGGGGGTCAAATAAAATAATCTTACGTGAAAGCATTTGGCTAATTACCATTCTATGCAAGTTCAAGATAGACCTTACCCCAAGGTTGATTCAAATTGACACCCTCTGTTGACCTAAAAGAATTCTCCCATGCTTGCCAAAACCTGCTTTTAATTTTTCTAAATATGGGCCCCTTAGTCCAGAAGATACTTATCTAGCCTCCAAAGATTTGCCTTTCTCTAAACAGCAGGCTACCCAGCAGTAGCCTTATAGCTACTTCTGTGGCCACTCCAGCTCTAGTCGCTTTCCTTCAACCATTTGAGAGAGGTAGCCACAATATTAAAATATTTTAAATGTACAGAAACATTAATCATTAATTGCCATCAAGGCAAGATTCTCATTCTCACTCTCAGCCCCTATCAATTCTAGTAAAATACTGAAACTACACCCGCCTTCAACTACACGGCCTTTACTAACACAAGTCTTAGTATAAATAACCTTTTATTATCAGTATCAGTATAATGTTAGTAAGCAAACATTAAGTACCTTACTGTGTGCCAAGAAGTATGCCAAAAAAAGGGGAAATTTCCATCCTAAGAACAATGTATGTTGTCTTCAAGATTAGAGCAGTGGTTCTCACAAGGTAGGGGAGTGAGTAGTGGGGAGATAGGAAGTTGAGGCATTTTTAAAGTCACAACTAGAATGTTCTACTGGCATCTAGGTAGAACAGAAAGGCCAGAGATACTGCTGAACCCCCTACAATGCACAGGCCAGTGCCCCACAATGTCAAAATGTCAGTAATGCCCAAGTTGAGAAGCCCCAGTTAAAGGAACAAATACTGTCCCTAGGAAAGATGTTAACTCCTTTTCCATCAGGATGAAATAAGTTATCCCTGTAGGTGATATACTATCAGCATGCTATTTGGCTTCTCTAAGAGAGGAGGGTGGGAATTTACACAGGTGGTGTCCTGTATCTTGGGAAGGGGAACATAGACTTCACTTCCTCCACTGCTGTGTTGAGAAGCTAAAAGACACTAGCAGAAAGTAGTAACCTCCAACTACTACTGCACACCATTATTTCTCCTTTTATGTAAAAATGCTATGTGTTACTCCTGCTGGTTGCAAAAGAATGAAGAAGGTGATTAAATTTTCACTCTTATCAAGAAACTGCTATGAATTAAACTCCAGTCATCAGCTGAATTGGTTTCATAAAATGGTTCCACCGCAAACATACTAAAGCAGTTCTTTCTGTTTGAGTCATCCTTTTGAAATCAGCCACAAGGAAACTCTAGTATAGATGGAAATCTGTTTTATCTGAGATAATATATGCAGTCCACATTGTTTTTCATCATAAAAAAATGTTATAACATTTTCATGTTTTAAAACATTTTCCTTTTTTTCTCAGTACCCCATTATGCCTACCCACTTGCCCACTAAAATAGAAGTGCTCAGAAGATATGTAAACAATCTGCATAAGATTTGTTTTGTCCCTTGCTTAGTATTTGTTTTGCTTTTTTTTTTAGGGCAGGAATTTTGTACTTGTGTTTAGTAGGTAGTAAGCAAAAGGCTGTGTGTGATGTAAATAATGAAAGAAAACATTTGTTAGGTTGAGAGACAAAGATTGATTTCTCAGTTTTTCTTCTTTAGGTGAAACTGACAGATATTATACAAAGTCTTTCCTTTGGGAAGACTTGATATGAAAATAATTGTATTTCACTGGCCCTTAAAAAGGAAATGATTAGAATGTTTAACAGTCAAATTAATAATACTATTCCTAATAAATACATATTTTATGAGTAACTTTTCATGTTCTCCCAGCCCACAAAGAAAATAACACTATTCCAGAATATGTTTATTTTAAAATTTTTTTTTAACTCTGGAAGTTTAGTTCCTGCTAATGAGAGCAACATGCTTTCGAGTATCAAGCAAAGTTTCAAAGTAATAGATAAAATAGAAGACAGTTTTATTAGGAAGATTTTCTTTAGCATTTCTTCTAGTCTTGAGTAGAATTAATGGTGCTATTTCATGTTCTTGGTGCTAGATAACATTGGGATAGGGCTGAATACATGAGGTCAAACTAACTTAATTGAAGACCAACAAATGAAGCCAGTAATCGAGACATTCGGATGTTTTTTATGTACATACTCATTTAAAGTTCTCAAGTACATGACTTCAGGAATTTTTTTTTTTTTTTCTTTTTTTTTGAGACAGAGTTTCTCTCCGTCACCCAGGCTGGAGGATCACAGCTCACTGTAGCCTCAAACTCCTGGGCACAAGTGATCCTCCCACCTCAGCTTTCTGAGTAGCTGGGGCTATAGGTGCATGCCATGACATTTGGCTAATGTTTTCTGTTTTTACTTTTTTTTTTTTAAATCTTTTGTAGAGACGGGAGTCTTACTATGTTGCGCAGGCTGGTCTCAAACTCCTGGCCTCAAGTGATCCTCTCACCTTGGCCTCCCAAAGTGCTGGGATTACGGGCATGAGCCACCATGCCCAGCCTAGGAATTCATTTTGAAGAATTCTTTTACTCAGATTTTAAAATATAGAGAGAATATATAAAGACAGTGAGTAGGAAAGCATTGTCTAGGTACTGGTCTTTGTTAAAGAGTATAAACCTTTGGGAAGATCATGAATCTTTCTTCAGAGAACACATAAAAAAAAAAGTTCCAGGAAGAATAGCTGTCACAGCATTTTATTTGCAGTTTAATAAGGCCAGTTGTATATTGATTGATTATATGCCATTTTTAAATTTTGAAAACTATCTTGGGTCATTTATGTATATAAATAACTGGTACTACAAAAGTGTTTTATTTTGGGTTTAGATTATCAAATACAGAAGTAGAAGCCAAGATTGAATGTGTTCCTGTGATTGAAACTTTGATGTCACTGATAAAATATCCCCAGATAAGGCCTTCTAAGAGATCTAAGCAGAGTAAGAATATGTCTGATTGGAAATATATTGTTTTTCTTGGCTAATTTGACCAAGGGCTCTAGAAATTATATGGAGGGTATATGCCAGCCGTACTCTTGTTTTTTAGTTTCTTGTCTAAGCAAAAAAATTGTTCTTTTGCTATAGACGCAATAGAACTAAATCTATAGTGTTATGCACGTTACTTGTAAATTCTTATGTCAGGACCAAATGGTCGCTTATATTTTTTCCAGCTCCCAAATTCCCTTTATTCCACTTTAGTCCCTTCATTTTCAGAGATGAGGAAACAGATTGCTTTGTTCAAAGACAGCTAGAACTAGAACACAGGCTAATACTTGCTAGCCATGTGATATACTAATGTCAGCCAAATACGGGCATTTACACTTTCAGATGTTTGCCATATCTGTGCACTTACTAATTCTATTTAATACAATTTAAATTGACTCCTTTAAATAAGCTTATTTTAAAGGAAATTTTTTGCTACTATAAATAGAAAACCATTATATCCTTTAAATAGTAACTCTAAATAGGAATTCAAAACAAAGCAACGTTATTAAAATTTAATTTAAAATTAATTTAAATTTAATTGTTATTAAATTTTTAATTATTGCTGTTCTTCGTCAGAAATGTGTCAAAGCATTGTTTTCATGTTTGATGTCAGTTCCTTAATTGTCTAAACAGAAAAAGCACAGCTAATGCCTCTAGTTAAGCTTCTGTATAACTTTTTTAAATGAAATGCTTCTTAGAGGGGAAATGAGAGGGCATGAATACATGTTTATATACTAAAGTATGATTTCATGTATATCAGAAGATCTTATTATATGGAACCAAAATTATTCTTTGGTTGATTTAATTGTTCTTGAAACTTCAGTTTTTACCTTGAAGGTTTTAGTTAGCTTAGCATAAGTTTATTTTTCTAAATAAGGAATCTGATTGCCTCACAACTCAGATGTATCACAGTTATGGTGAAATAGCAATATATTGGTTTCTGTAACCTTTTAAATACCGTAATGAATTAAAATCTCTTCAGCAAAAGCAAATATATCTAGGGTGACGAGAGGTGTTTTTAGTGTATTTGAATGATGGAAATGTTTTTCTTAAAATATTTCTGAAGCATTTTTTAAAATAATTTTTTGAATTTATTGATGATAGTAGTTGTGTGTTAGTGTGAATGACTGGTCTAAATGTGTATGTCACTTCCAAGGGATTAGTAGGGGTCAGAATGATTTGTTTTATTCATTGACTTTTCCTTTGACGTGTTCTTATTCATTGGGCTACATACATTCCCTGTTGCCTTCTCACCAAAAGTGCCACTACACAGGCTGTATTTCATTGTACTGTAGAAAAAGACAAGTAGACCTTTTTCATTCATGAGATTCCTATGAAATCTGTTGGTGGAGGTATAAAATGAGGAGACTTTTATGGGCTAGCTAGTAGGAGTTTTGCTGTGAAACCTTTGTAACAGGTCTATCAGGAACTAGGGAGAGAAATAAATGCAGGAAATACTTGATCCCATTAAACTGAGGATGAAAAAGACATGATAATATTTTGGGGATTATTTATTGTGTGATTTTCCGGCTGATCAGAAGTGTTAATTTTTTGTTATACTTGTGTCAAATACATATATATATATATATTTTGAAATGGAGTCTTGCTCTGTCACCCAGGCTGGAGTGCAGTGGTGCGATCTGGGTTCACTGCAACCTCTGCCTCCAGGTTCAAGTGATCCTCCTGCCTCAGCCTCCCGAGTAGCTAGGACTACAGGCACGTGCCACCACGCCCTGCTAATTTTTGTATTCTTAGTGGAGATGGGGTTTCACCATGTTGGCCAGGCTGGTCTTGAACTCCTGACCTCAAGTGATCTTCCCACCTTGGCCTTTCTGAACTATTTCCTTTACACACATTTAGAACTACATCTAACTGTATTATAGTTTTCACTTTCACCATCAGACAAAATTCAGAAGATTCAAGAGAAGGAAAGTCGATTGTATTTACTCATATTTTTGCTACCGTGTTTTTACATCTCATATTTTAAGGTTCTTTTATTTATTTATTTTCTGTTTAGTTAATTTCCTCTAGCCATTCTTTATTTATAGTGGGTCTGCTGGTAACAAATTCTCTCAATTTTTCCTCGTCTGAGAATGTCTTGACTTCCCTTCCATTTTTGTCAGCACCTGAAAAATACTATGCCACTATCTTCTGGGTTCTGTGGTTTCTGATGAGAACTCCACTGTCAGTCTAATTGTCGTTATAAATGCAGTGTTCTCTCTCTCTCTCTGCTTCCAGGATATTTTTTCTTTTTTTTTTTTTTTTTTTTTCTTGAGACGGAGTCTCACTCTGTCGCCCAGGCTGGAGTGCAGTGGCGCAATTTTGGCTCACTGCAAGCTCTGCCTCCCGGGTTCAAGCGATTACTCCCACTTTAGCCTCCCAAGTAGCTAGGACTACAAGGCACACCACCATGCCTGGCTAATTTTTGTATTTTTAGTAGAGACGGGGTTTCACCATGTTGCCCAGGCTGGTCTCGAACTCCTGACATCAAGTGATCTTCCCGCCTCCGCTTCCCAAAGTGCTGGAATTACAGGCGTGAGCCACTGCTCCCAGCCTCTTTATTTTTTCAGCTTTACTCTTTCTTCTGTCTTTTTGACATGTGTGTCCAGTGACACACGTGTTAGATTTTGCTATAGTCTCACGCACGGGTCTATAAGGCTCTGTTTTTTGTTTCATTTTGTTTTTCCTATTTTCTCTCTATTCAGATCGAGTAATTTCCACTGTTCAGTTTTATCATAGCTGCTTTTAAATCTTTGTCAGGTAATTCTGTCATCTAAGTTTTGGCACCTATTGATTATCTTTTGCATTGTTTTTGTTTTTGTTTCTGTTTTTGTTTTGAGATGGAGTCTTGCTCTGTTGCCCAGGTTGGAGTGCAGTGGCACTGATCTCGGCTCACTGCAACCTCCTCCTCCCGGGTTCAAGTGGTTCTCCTGCCTCAACCTCCTTAGTAGCTGGGATTACAGGCATGTGCCACCACGCCCGGCTAATTTTGTATTTTTAGTAGAGACCAGGTTTATCCATGTTGGTCAGGCTGGTCTCAAACTCCCAACCTCAAGTGATCCGCCTGCCTCGACCTCCCAAAGTGCTGGGATTACAGGCGTGAACCACTGCACCCAGCCTATCTTTTGCATTGTTTTAAATCTTGTTCTTGCTAGGATGAATGATTTTCTGTTAAAACTAGATATTTTCATATTATGTTCCTAGGCTCTGGATATTATCTAAACCTTCTGTTTCCACTGGCTTTTATTGACACTGCTTTGGCAAGGTCATAGGGGGTGCCTCATTACTGCCAGGTGGACATAGAAGTCAAGGGTCCCTACTCAGCCTCTACTGATGCCTCAGGAAGAGGATCCTTCTTGTTATTGCTGGGTGGGGGTGGAAGTCTAGCTGACACCTACTGAGGTAGGTGCTGGGGCATGCCCGGCCATCAGGGTGAAAGTCCTGGCTCCCTAGTTGGCCTACTTTTACATTGCCCTAATAGGGCATTGGAGCTCCTCACTATGGTTTATGAGCTGGAAGTCAAGGCTCCTCACTTAGCTTTCGTTGGTGTGGGTGGTGGTGGGGCAAAACTGTTTTCTGGGTTTGGCTGGAGTGGAGCAGTTACTGTCAAAAGTTTTCTGTCTTGCCAGGCTGTCCCTTTCTTGTTTCTTTGGCTAGAGAGAGCAAGCTTTTGTTGTGGCTCTTTTTGTCTGTGCCAGTTGGCATTTCCAGGTTGCTGCCTTCTTTAGCTCCAAGTCTGGGATATATTAGGCAAAAAGAAAACCCAGAGAATTTACACCACCGTGTCATTCCATGGGTCCTGAGGTCCCTTACTTAGTCTGCCTTCTCTCCACTTTTCACAGTCTTCTCATGTTTTGTATATAATGTCCAGGGTCTTTAGTTATACTTAGCAGAAATAAAAGGGAAAAGTATGTCTGCTCTATGCTTCTGTAAGTGGAAGTCTTCAAATTTGCATTTTTGATTCCTTTAAACAGTTTTGTAAAATATATAATCATTATTGGGCAAAATGTCCCATAAAATGTATATACCTTGTGATGGTTTGCATAATATTGTGTTCAAGAGGACTGCTGAAAAATAACATCTTTATTTAAACTGAAACGAATTGTTCACATTATTAATGAAAACTTTTCCCCTCTAGGAAATAATGCAAAAGGTGTCCCAAGGCTCCTGACCAGTGAACAAAGATTTGAGAAAGACAGCCAAGCTCATGTTTTCTCCTGATCAAGAAAATCATCCATCTAAAGCACCAGTAAAATATGGTGAACTCATTGTCTTAGGGTAAGGTTTCTCCATTTGATGACACACACAGTTTAATAATATATGCTAACTTTGGCATCTAGGCTAAAAGTACTTTTTTTTTTGGAATTTATATCTTACCTGCTTCCAAAAAGAATTTAAAGCTACAGGTAATGTTACCAAATCAAGAAACTCTTTTACTTCTCATATTCATGCCATCTTTTAAAAGCACTCAAATATGACATAAGCTTTGTCTCACCCTTACCCACAGAAAGGGCAGAGTTTCTCAAAGATGAAATGGAAAGTCCGGGCATGGTGGCTCACGCCTGTAATCCCAGCACTTTGGGAGGCCAAGACAGGCAGATTACCTGAGGCCAGGAATTCGAGACCAGCCTGGCCAACATGGTGAAACCCCATCTCTACTAAAAACACAAAAATTAGCCGGGCGTGATGAGGCATGCCTGTAATCCCAGTTACTTGGGAGATTGAGGCAGGAAAATTGCTTGAACCCTGGAGGCAGAGGTTGCAGTGAGCTGAGATCGCGCCACTGCACTCCAGCCTGGGCAACAGAGTAAGACTCTGTCTCAAAAAAAAAAAAATGAAATGAAATGAAAAATGTTATTTATCCACTGTCACAGTCATTCCATTTGTCTTCCCTATCCCATGTTTTGCCTCAGCTGACTTTACCAAAAATTCCCTTTCCCTTCCCTGCTTTAAGTCATTTCATGTAGGTTAGTCTTCATTTATTCTTTTGCCTCTCTACAGTAGTTATTGCTTTGTGCTGTACATTTGGGTTAAAGGAGTTGTATATGTGTATGGTGACAGCATAATGCCTCTGAAGCCCAGGACCTAGCTACTTCTTAGCTCCTAACGTAATTTCATCCATGTAACTCACAGAAATAGAATCTGAAGATTGAGGAATAGATGATTCTGTTATTCCAAATTATTTCAATTTATTCCACTTAAACTTGCCATTAACTATCAAAATGGAGACACAGTATTAGCCTTTCCTAACTAGAGATCTCAGAAACTAGAAAATTGCTCATTTTAGGCCAGGTGCAGTAGCTTATACCTGTAATCCCAGCTTACAGGTGGGAGGCCTAGGTGGGCAGATCACCTGAGCTCAGGAGTTCGAGACCAGCCTGGCCAACATGGTGAAACCCCATCTTCACTAAAAATACAAAAATTAGCTGGGCATGATAGTGCATGTCTGTAATCCCAGCTACTTGGGAGGCTGGGGCAGGAGAATCACTTGAACCCAGGAGGAGGAGGTTGCAGTGAGCTGAGATCAGCGCCACTGCACTCCAACCTGGGCAACAGAGCAAGACTCCGTCTCGAAAAAAATGAGAAAAAAGAAAATTGCTAATTTTATTTTCCCCCTACTGTTTCCCTCCTTTTGCCTAAAAAGCAACTCTAGATATTGCGGTATGTTTGAGAGTCAGGTTGTTAAAGTGAGAATGCGTTGTTTCAGTTGAGATAGTAAGAGAAACTGGGGAAATCATATGGAGTTACTGAGCTTGACTGGATGTTAGGAATCCTAGAATCCGGTGCTTGTTCAGCACTGCTAGCTGTGTGACCTTGGGCAAGTCACTGAACCATCCTGGGCCTTAGTTTCCTTGTCTGTAAAAATGACAGATAAGATCATCTAAGGCCCTTTGAGACTTAAAATTCTTTTCTCAGAAACAAAGCTTTAAAAGATCATAAATTTAGCATAGTAACTACAGTATTAGAACTTCAAATCACATAGATTTTAATGGTATCAATGACAAACAGCTCTTAACTACCAAAAACTTTTCCAGATTAAATTCTTCTAGCAGGAAATTTGAGAGTCATTTGAAGAATAGTTTAATATTTAGCTTAGGGTTTTAAACCGCCAGTCTTAGCCTATGGGTTCCTCAGTTAATCATTAGCAACAGTAATTGTCTCTGTGTCTGGTACTTGGTGTCTTAAAATGCAGATAATTTTTCTTCTCAACCCTCTAGAAGTGAAGCTGGACAAGGTTTCATGCTGTTGCTGCTTAGAAAAGAGCTTTGAACTACAGGAACGCAATGTGGGACTAAAGAGCAAGATCCAGAAGTGGGATGAGTCATGCAACTCAGAGGACAGTAGTGAAGGGGCAGTGAGGAATCGACAGAGGGTCTGGGGGCAATACAAAGCCTAAAATAGCTAAAATAATTATTAGCTAAGGGGCTGTACTTTGGACTTACAGCAAGGCTAGCAACATTACCAAGGGCTTTCTCCAATACAAAGTATTTTATTTTTTATAAAGGGTCAATGTAGTTTCTATATATGGCAGTCATTGAGTAAACTCTCTTCTCAGCTTTAAAACATTCTTCCTTGCCAGCCACAATTACAGGCCATTTTATAATCACTTCCTCCTCCAGCCTCAAAACTGTCCCTGTTCCCTGCTTCCTTTCCCCCTAGATTGACCAACTACATATGGTAGATCATCAAACCCAAGATTTGTCAGGGGGCGGGGGCAGGGGAGGTGGACGGTGAATGAGGAAAGATTATTATTAAGCTACTGCTCATGCCTCAATGAAGCAGTAAAGAATGACATAACCACATGACAAACATACTTAAATTCAAATTCTGGCTTTGCCAGTGTCACTTCAGAATATAATTCTTCTGAGTCTGTTTCCTAATGTACAAAAATGGGGACAGTGATTTCAATCTAGTAGAATTTTTGCAAGGGTAGATTTAGTGAGGTGATGTGTATGGGATAGCATTCAATAGTGCCTGGTACATAGTAAACACCCAAATATTTTTATTTTGTTTTTAACTTGTTTCCATTGGTTTAGTACTTGCTTACCTTTAGGATGTATATGTGTGTGTGTGTGTATGTGTACATGTTATGGAGAAATGGTCATAAGATCTGAACAACAAAAGTATGTTTACTACTTAGCAAACATGTCTGTTGGACAGGTTCTGCTAACATAATGAGAGTGCATTTGTACATTCAGGTAGCTAAGACTTAACAAATCTAAAAATTCCTTACTTCAAAAGTTCAGCTATTTAAAGTGTTTGGTTCACAATTAAAGGAGATTGTGTTTTAAACAATACATACTGTACTTTTTAAAGGTTGTATTAGCACATGCAAACAGTTCACCTTAAAAAAACAGAATGAGTCATAAGGAGTCAGACATGCCATTAATCAGCTCTTAATTATCTTCCATAAAAGAGGGAAGGAAAAAAATAGAGATAACACGAATCTGTGTATAATCCAAAAGGTTCTCTGTGACTTGGAATGAAGCCAGAAAAAGAATCTCATTTTGTTTCACACACTGGCACCTGGTATGGAGATCAACAGTTGCTCAAAGGAATTTTAAATAATTATAATGTGTTAATAGATAATTAATTGGGAATTGATTCTGCAAGGCAAAGTCAAACATTTGTTTTATAATTGTGCAGTTCTTGCAAGAGATCACCTATACTTTTTTTCCCCCATCAGGTATAATGGGTCTCTCCCAAATGGCGATAGAGGAAGGAGGAAAAGTAGGTTTGCTTTGTTTAAAAGACCTAAGGCAAATGGGGTGAAGCCCAGCACTGTGCATATTGCTTGTACTCCTCAGGCTGCAAAGGTAAAAAAAAAAAAAAAAAGCTACATAAATTAACTTGGAGAATTTGAAAGACTTTTATGTGTTGTTTGTATTCTCTAGCATTCCCCTTACATTTCTATTTCAGAAATTGCCTTTTGTTTGGATTGGAGAAGAGACTTTGGAGACATGGTATTTGAAGAGCTGCCATATGGAAGGGGAATTGGACTTTTAAAAAAAAAATGACAAACCAGGATCAGTGGGTGGAAATTAGAAGGAAACACTCTGTTTCCTTATTAAAAGAGGTGGGATGGGGGACAGGGCTTTATCTAGTACTTAGAATTATGCAGCTGTCTGCCCTGAGAAGTGGGAAGTTCCCACTCTGTTACTAGAGGGGTCTCCCTGGACTGGATGAAGAATGTGATGTATAATATGTGTATTCAGGTATTAGAAGCACATTTGGATGAGGTAATTTTTAAACTAAGGGTCTTTACTTAAGATTCTTTGTATTGGTTGTATTCATTTTTGGTTTATAACTTCATATATTTGAGCATAGTACCTTGCACAAAGTAGACCTCAATAATTATTAAGTTGAATCAAAGCTATGAAGGCAATATCCAACTGCATCTACAATATAACTTCTCAACCCCCTAGCCTATTTCATGCTTCTAGCCCCCTTGTATTCTTCTAACAAAATTTCCAGAAGCTGGACCACCATTTCAGGATACTTGGGCTTTTCCTAGAGTGACAGACAAGGAGGGGGAATTTCACATCTTTATATTTTCTGTGAATTCATCTGCCTCCAATTTTATAACACTGACTTTGTGTTACAAAGAATTTAATATTGTAATGAGCAAATAAGAAAAATTAGAAAGAGTTCTTTGACTCCTGGAAGTACCTGTATCTTTAGCTAAGTAGCCCTAGGATGTACATTAATATTATACCATCTGAAGCATATCTTTGTAAATTAAATAAACAAGAGACAGAAAAATTGGCATATGATGTGGTTTTAGGTTGCAGCTTCAGTGTCTGAAGGTAATTGGCTTTTCAGCTTTGTTTTATATCCAGTTTGATTTGTGAAAGAATCCTTAGGCCTTGACTAGGACTCCTCTGTTACTATTTGGGAGCCAGTTGGTGCAGAAAAGGGACAGTTTCTTTTTGCTCCTTTGGCGAGAAGGAATATACTAAGCAGGTGGTGGAAGTAAACCTCAGATTGATTGAATCTGAGGAGCTTCTTACAGTAGCTCCCCCCGGAGTGCTCTTGACATTTTGGGTATGCCACTTTTTCATTGTTCAGTACTTTCCCACATACTACAGGACATTTATAGGTCCTTCACCCACAAAATGCCATTTGAGCCTGCAAATCCTCGTAACAGCCAAAAAATGCACAGCATATTTTCAGATGCCCCTTAGACTGCTAATACTACCTCTGGTTGAAAACCACTATCAGGGAAAATATTTCTAATCCCTGCCTCTGTAATACCATATTCTGTACTTTTCTTCCTATTTTACTCTGCCATGCCCTCATGTTTTCATTGTTATCTCTTTTTCATCTTTCATCTTTACTAGGCAATAAGAATCTTAGGGATCACAGATTGACTCTTGGCTGGGTGCGGTAGCTCACACCTATAATCCCAGCACTTGAGAGGCCAAGGTGGGCGGATCACTTGAGCTCGGGAGTTCGAGACCAGCCTGGGCAACATGGTGAAACTCCATCTCCACCAAAAATACAAAAAATTAGCCAAGCGTGGTGGCATGCCCCGAAGTCCCAGCTACTTGGCAGGCTGAAGTGGGAGGATCACTTGAGCCCGGGAGGCAGAGGCTGCAGTGAGCTGAGATCATGCCACTGTACTGCAGCCTGAGTGACAGAGTGAGACCCTGTCTCAGTTTAAAAAAAAAAAAAAAAAAAAGATTGACTCCTCCTCTTTAAATTTTGGAGGAATGTATTTGTGAGGTCATGATGAAAATTAAGCATTTAGTCTGGCAGTCATCTGGGATGAGTAGTTAAAACCCTGCGTTCTAGGCCAGTGAGACTCAAACGTAACTTGACATAGTTTTTATTCTCAGTCTTAGAGTAGGTTTAATAACTAACAAACAAAGATTACAATTTCAAAGCACATAAAAACCAATGTTTTAAAATCTCTTTAGCCACTAAGAATTAATTTTCAAAATACTGAGTAATTGTTTCATTGAAAAGTGAGCTGTTTAACGGGGCACAGTGGCACATGCCTGTTAGTCCCAGCTCCTTGGGAGGCAGAGGCAGGAAGATCACTTGAGCACAGGAGTTTAAAGCTGTAGTGTGCCATTTTCCTGCCTGTAAATAGCCACTGCACTTCAGCCTCTGCCACATAGCGAAACCTGGTCTCTTAAACATATATATATGTATATGTGTGTGTGCGTGTGTATATATATATGTATATATATGTTTAAAACTTGTAAAACAATTATATAGTATATATGAATACCTAAATGTGTAGAAAGAAATATGTAAAACATGCATGTAAATGATCTACACTGCATTCTTGAGGTTGGATACCTCTGTAGAGAAAAGGGAACTGGGAGAGACATGTAGGCAGCCTCAATTGTATCTGTAGTTTAATTCCTTAAAAAAATCAGACGCAGGCCAGGCACAATGGCTCACGCCTGTAATCCCAGCACTTTGGGAGGCCGAGGTGGGTGGATCACGAGGTCAGGAGTTCGAGACCAGCCTGGCCAACATGGCAAAACCCCGTCTCTACTAAAAATAAAAAATTAGCCGGGCGTGGTGGCATGCACCTGTAATCCCAGCTACTCAGGAGGCTGAAGCAGGAGAATCACTTGAACCTGGGAGGCGGAGGTTACAGTGAGCCGAGATAGCACCACTGCACTGCAACCTAGGCGACAGAGCGAGACTCTGTCTCCAAAAAAAAAAAAAAAAAAAATCAGAAGCAAAAGTGGCAGTATTAAGCTTTGATAAAGCTGAGTCGTTAGTATAATCTCTTCTATATTTGGAAATAGGGTATTTCTGTATTCTCTTTGTATATTTGGAAATTTGACAGTCTTAAAGCTGTTGTTTTAAGGCTTTATCTATTACAGATTAGTTGCAAATTGAAACCAAGTAAAAGCTTATGATGCCAAACTTCTAATTAAGAAGGATTTTTTCATTTAGCTTCTTTGCTGTATATAATTATTCTCTTCTTTGTGTCTGTTTTATGCAGCCCATTTCTACTTCCTTTGTGTGATGACTAGATTTTTCCCCTCCTTTGATATTATCTTCAACTCATATACATAGAAAACACTTGAAAACAAAACTGAAAAGTTCTTTTTAGCAATGTTTTTAGTTTGAGATAAATCAGAAGTACAGTCATAAGCATTACATCCCTTTCCTTTGGTAATGTTTAATCATTCTATGAATGTTTCTTTTGTTTTTTTTTTTTAAATTTTTTTCTTTTATCTCCTGGGACCAAATCCCAAATGCATTTTTCTGTATCTCACCCAGCATATGGCCAACATTTGTCATCTGTAGAGTCACAAAATGGTTAGAAAACCAGTTAACTTGGCTTATGAGTGAACTTTATAGCTCTCTGAATGACTTCAAAAATAAGATTCCTCTTATTTTGCAAGATTTTCTTATCAGAGCAGTACTATTGTTTTCTGTTTTTATGTGGGATTTGGTTTTGATTATAATTTAAAATACTTAATAAGGGAGTCTAGTGGTTTGATAAAAGAAAATTATGGGCCGGGCGCAGTGGCTCACGCCTATAATCCTAGCACTTTGGGAGGCTGAGGCAGGCGGATTGCCTTAGCTCAGGAGTTCAAGACCAGCCTGGGCAACATGGTGAAATGCCGTCTCTACTAAAAATACAAAAAAAATTAGCCAGGCGTGGCAGCGTGCACCTGTAGTCCCAGCTGCTTGGGAGGCTGAGGTAGGAGAACCACTTGAACCTGGGAGGCGGCGGTTGCAGTGAACCGAGATTGCACCACTGCACTCCAGCCTAGGCAACAGAGCAAGACTCTGTCTTTAAAAAAAAAGAAAGAAAGTTATGTTTTTATTCTGTAACTGCTTCTAAATATTCTTCAGTACCCCATTCAACCCGAGAAACTACTGTCACAGCTGACAGGAGTTATTAACCTCTCTAAATTTCAGGGGGAAAATGTATAAATATGTCATGTATTTGATAAATAGTTTTCCCTTTTTTTAATGAAAAGATTATCTGATTGGATTGACCTGCCTACTAATTTTTGCTATTAACTTTTTCATTCTTAGGCAATAAGCAACAAAGACCAGCATAGCATATCATATACTTTATCTCGGGCCCAGACTGTGGTGGTTGAATATACTCATGACAGCAACACCGATATGTTTCAGGTATTACAACATCTTAAATTTTTTTTCTTAAGAAACGAAAAAGTTAAAAATCTATTGTTGGTGACTTTTGCTGAGGTCAGAGGATTATCAGATTTTTATATTGTATTTTATTAAAATATAGATTGATTGCTAACCCTTATAAATAGAAGTCAATCTAGCATGGTTGAGATGGGCTCCAGAATAAGAATTACTGGTAAATATTACATAACCATTATATGCCTCAGTTTCCTCCTCTGTAAAGTGCAGATAATAGACTCTCCCCTATGACTGTTAAGAGGCTTAAATGATCTAGTACATGTAGAGTACTCAGCACTGTGCCAGGCACTTAGTAAAAACACTTAGTGAATAGTAGCTATTATCCAAAAAAGAAAACAGTAAATACTCTGCATACATTTATGACTTTTTCTACCACTACCTCCCACCTTCCTCTCTAGACAATAAACAATCCAGGCACTTGCTAACTATTTGTATTATCTATGTGAAATCAAACCTTTTTCTCAGCATGTATTTGGTCAATGCTACTCATGCAATAAAAGTATTTTTCTCTTACTTTTTGTACCAATCCAGTGCTGATATTTTATAAACTGATAGATTTTAGGACAGTCAGTTCCAAAGATGTAAATAGAATCCTTGATCTTCTCCCTTAATATTGAGCTCTCTGAAGCTTAGGCTTTTTAAAAACAAACTTAAGTACAACATAAATTGCCTGATAATGTTGCTTTTATAATTATTGTCACATTGACTTCCATTTTTCTTTATTTTACAAGGCAAATAAAAGTGAAAAGACCTGGAAATATATTTAATTTCAGTCAATAGTGAAATATTTCTTTGAAGCCACTCCCTCTGCCCAACCCTTTTAATGAGATGAGATACTGAATTTCTTTTCTCTAGTTAATATTAGAATGTGGGCATTTATTATGTTTTCCTCACTTTTACCAAAAATAAATAAGATCTTTAAGGAAGATTAATGTTTAGATCCAAGAAAAACCGAACACAAAGCTTTAGGATGATTTTTCACATTTTGTTTCACTGACAAGCAGTGAAAATGAATGAGCTTAGCTTTTTTTTAAAATCAAGATGCTACTAGGCCTGTAGTCTCAGTTACTCAGGGGGCTGAGGTGGGAGGATAGCTTGAGGCCAGCCTGGGCAACATAGTGAGACTTCGTCTCTTTAATAAAATATAGATAAATATATATGTGTGTGTGTGTGTGTGTGTGTGTGTGTGTGTGTGTATCTCCAAGATATTTGGTCACAGGCTAGAATTTTAGCTTCAGAAAGTACGTTATATTTATTTGTTTACCGCTTATCTTTTGTAGATGAGGTTAACTGAAATCTTGTGAGTTAAAGATGATAGAGTTACTTGGGGGCAAAACTGAAATTAAACCAGGCATCCTGAATTCTGAAACAATGTCTTCACCATCTAATGAAGGCCCTTGAATAAGTTTTAACAGTTTGGGTTTTGTCTTTTTCATAAAGTAGAGAATTTTCCCCAGTATCATAAACTGATTATGCCCTTTCTACAGGTATTATACCTTTGGAAAATCCAAACATTTCTGCATCAAAAAGACTGTGATGTATCAGAAACTACCTTGATAAACTAGCCAGTCTTTGAGGAATTGTACTGGAAACATTCTAGGATTGTCTACCCTGTAAACTGAACAAGAACATTTATTGTTCAAGTCATCAGATATTCCAACTCCAACTCTATGCCTTGTTTGTCACTATGAAGTACATAAGGGAGACATTACAAGCTGATTACATGCCTAGGTGCTGTACTGACCCTGTAAATCTTAAGCACATTGATTGTGTTGAAGAAGGATGGAGAAAAGACTTTACACTGGTGCCTTTTCATGTAGATCTTTTTATCAGGTTAAGTAGGATTTTTGCCAGCAACCGGTAGAAAAGCATTCTAGCAAAAGAGATGGCAAAGAAGCAAAGAAGTAGTACACAGTGTGGTGAAAGATTGACGAATAAGCTGTTGTAGCTTGTATACACAAATAGCAGGAAATTCGGCTGGATTGGTAGATGGGAGGCAAATCTTGAGTCAGTTTCTAACTATTATCAGAAATAATAAACTACAAATTTTGGATAAGCTATAAGGAACCATTGAGTTTTCTCATGAGGGTAAGGGAGAGTAACAAAAGAGCTGTATTTTTAATGCTAATAATAGCAGGGGAAGAATTATTAACAATCATATTTTGGCATCTGATCACATTCATGGTGGTTTTTTTCTCTTTATAGATACTTAAGTTTCTTCCTTCTCATTGTCATTACAAATATTGCTTCAGTGTCTTAAATATTCTCTTCCAAGACCCAGTTGAAATGTCAGCTCTCTGGAACAGTCTCTTTCCAAATAAGTGCTACTTCTGTTGATTCTGAATATTAGTTCAATCCTTGGCCTATATCTTTTAGCTTTTAAAGAGCCTTTTTATTTGGGGGAATATTTTTTGTTTCAAAGATCTGAGGCCATTTAAGGTATCTTTATTTTTAAGAATAAAGAAAAGGAATATCCAATCTTATATTTGTTAACTAGTTTCCCTCTAAAACTATCCAATCTAAATAAAAAGACTTTATACTTGACAGTTGGACAAAAACACTAAAGAGGTTTATCTGAAAGTGTGCCGATATGAGGAACTTGAGGCTAAAATATGTAAAGAATGACTTTTAAGAGTCTTTATCTTTGTAGAGGGTCAGTATTTTTTCTCAGTACCCACATTCTTCAATTTTATGGTACTACTTTATAACAAATACATTCATGAACTGATAATTTCCAAATGTTTGCTTTAAAGCCCCGTGACACTTGTCACTTTTGTCATCTCCCCATTGATTTCCTTTTTTCTTTCAACTTTCAAAATGAAATTAACTTATTTACTAGCTAGTACCTCTGAAGATATTTTTAAATCTCTGACACCTCACTCATCCAGAACTCTTATCTGGGAACCTTGTCTCTCTGAAATATCCCTAAGAACCAGGAAGAGTATATATATAAAATAAATGCCACAAAGTTGATGTAGTGAAATTCCTTTTCTATTCTCCCTAGAGGATCCCTTAGGCTCTCACCAGAACCTTTTGAAATACTTTTCTCTGAAATAGGTTATTTGATTTCTCAACCCATAACAGAGTAAGAGTAGCCAGTTAAAAGAGGGGCTTGTTGCTGGAAACAAGCATGACCAAAAACAAGGAGTGATAGCTGACAACCTGACAGAAAAGAAACAAGAAAATATATGAAGTATACATAAGACCTCAAAGCAAGGCTGTGTAAGCCCTTGACATAAGGACCAGCAGCCTTGTATACCTCTTGTAGCACCTGAAGACATCACTGCATTTCAGCTTAACGTAAGTGGTATTTATAGTGTAATGTTCTGCAGTCATCCTAAAAGATTTACTTATATATGTTCACTATATTCTGTTAAATAAGGTAGAATATCTCTTTAAATATCTCTAAAGAGAAAAAAACTACATGATACACATATTTCCATCCAAAAGGGTTAAAATTAAAATCTGCAGCCATCTAGAAATCTCAGCCGTTCCTGAATTCTTCATTCCCTAAGGGTTTCGTATATTATTGTAAGTTCTCATTTAATTCCATGCTCTAAGTGATTACTTCATCAGAGACAGTCTGACTGATTAGTTTTCAAGAGTATAGATGCCCCCAGCGTTAAGTATGGTAAACTTCAACTTTAGAAATTTCAGAGACCTAATGTTCTCTCCTTATTGTGCCCTTCTTGAATGGATTTTCCACTGTGCTCTTTGAATGGGTTTATAGGTATTTTTTTTTTTCCCTCAGATTGGCCGGTCGACTGAAAGCCCCATTGATTTTGTAGTAACTGACACGGTTCCTGGAAGTCAAAGTAATTCTGATACACAGTCAGTACAAAGCACTATATCAAGATTTGCCTGCAGAATCATATGTGAACGGAATCCTCCCTTTACAGCACGGATTTATGCTGCAGGATTTGACTCATCAAAAAACATCTTTCTTGGGGTAAAAAGCTTTTTTTCTAAATGATGCTTTCTTTTATACTAGCTTTCATTCCAAGTTACAAGTTACAAGTTGGAAGCTCACTGCTATTATTTCTACTAGGAGAAGGCTGCCAAATGGAAGACATCAGATGGACAGATGGATGGCTTGACCACTAATGGTGTTCTTGTGATGCATCCACGCAATGGGTTCACAGAAGACTCCAAGCCTGGAATATGGAGAGAAATATCGGTGTGTGGAAATGTATTTAGCCTACGTGAAACCAGATCGGCTCAGCAGAGAGGAAAAATGGTAAATACTGAATGGTATTTTCTTAATTAGCTACAATAAACACATAGGATGAGTAGAACTGAATGCATTACATACATTCCAGAAAACTCTTAAATCTATTGCCAACACAGAATACTAAGTCTATCAAACACTGACTACCAAATTCTATACTAGAGGACAGTCTCTTTAATATTTCGTTTAGTAGCCGGGCGCGGTGGCTCACACCTGTAATCCCAGCACTTTGGAAGGCCGAGGCAGATGGATCACCTGAGATCAGGAGTTCGAGACCAGCCTGAGCCACATGGAGAAACCCTGTCTCTACTAAAAATACAAAATAAGCCAGGCATGGTGGCGCATGCCTGTAATCCCAGCTACTCGGGAGGCTGAGGCAGGAGAATAGCTTGAACCTGGCAGGCAGAGGTTGCGGTGAGCCAAGATTGCGCCATTGCACTCCAGCCTGGGCAACAAGAGCATTTTAGTAAACTCTGGAAGTTCATTCTTCTGTCATATCATGTTAATATATTTTAAAACCTAAGCTTTCTTAAACTAAACAGCACTCCCTCTGATCTTTTCTGTTGCCATCTGTATATCTTAAACCATATTTACCTCATTAAAAATATTAGACTTATTGATTAGCCAGATGTTTTAATCATAAGTTGTCTTTACCATAAGGCTAAAAAGAAATATGTTAATGTTTGATATTTTATCCTTGATTTTCAAACTTAACATTTTTCATAACTACTGTCAGTTTCTTGAATATTTAGTGAAAATCCTAGGAAACCTCATTTCTTGAGTAAGGAGTACTTAAAACCAAAACACTTATGTAAAAATCCAAAACAGAGTGGTGAATATGTTTTTCAACTCTTGTCTCCTCTAGGTGGAAATTGAAACCAATCAGTTACAAGATGGCTCGTTAATTGACCTCTGTGGTGCAACATTGTTATGGCGTACTGCAGAAGGCCTTTCCCACACTCCTACCGTGAAGCATTTAGAAGCTTTAAGACAGGAAATCAATGCAGCACGACCTCAGTGCCCTGTAGGGTTCAACACACTAGCATTTCCTAGTATGAAGAGGAAAGACGTTGTAGATGAAAAACAACCATGGGTATATCTAAACTGCGGCCATGTACATGGCTATCATAACTGGGGAAACAAAGAAGAACGTGATGGAAAAGATCGTGAATGTCCTATGTGTAGGTCTGTTGGTCCCTATGTTCCTCTGTGGCTTGGATGTGAAGCTGGATTTTATGTGGACGCCGGCCCTCCAACCCATGCGTTTAGCCCGTGTGGGCATGTGTGTTCAGAAAAGACAACTGCCTATTGGTCCCAGATCCCACTTCCTCATGGTACTCATACTTTTCATGCAGCCTGTCCCTTTTGTGCACATCAGTTGGCTGGTGAACAAGGCTACATCAGACTTATTTTTCAAGGACCTCTAGACTAACAGACCATTGTCTTGCAGGACTACATTATAAATTTATAAGCTAAGTGAGTTGGGTTTTCGAACCTGTTGTCCACGTCACAGTTTTTCTGCTCTGGTCATTTGCATTAAGATGAAGAATTTTTTAAAACATTTATAATAAATAGTAGCAATTTCTGAGCAAAAATCTGGGAAACTCAAGCAAAGGAATTTCTGAAAGTATCAGTCTTCTGAATTCTGAGTTTTGAAAATATATTTTGAGGAGAAAAAGACATAGTCTAATTTGATGCCTTCCTTTTAGTGTTTTTGAATCACCTATCCTCAGTGCTGAAATTGTTTTGTATAACTGAGGGTACTGTTGGTTCAAACTATGTTAGTTTACAGTTTGTTGCAAACATTGTAAAATACAGCGACATGTATATTAACTTTTTTCTATTTATCTTTATTATAGAAAATACCTTAGAATGTTCTTGATAGAGTAGCATGGTAACGATGGTGTCACACCCTTGGTGTGAATGGTAGCTTAGTGAGCAACCTAGCTCAAGGATTTGCAAAGTTAGGAAGAAGGACGAGAGAGCCTCTCTCCCCACCCCAATCTAAATATGGAATTTGGTAAATTAGAATACTTTGTAATTTGTAAGACCAAATTCATACTAATTACCCGCGTGAAAGGTGTTTGTTTTTAACAACATTGAAGATAATCAGGAAAGATTTTTTCTTAATGTTTCTCTCGAGCGTAGTACTATAACAAAAACTTAATGCTAAGAAACATTTTATATGCTCCTTTGGATATGCAATTTAATCTAGATTATCTATTTTTCTCCCATGATAACTAATCTGTTTTTAGTATCAGCAGCATTTGGCAAGTTTATTTTTTGGATATAAACTGTGGTTCATCTGTTCACTGTTTCTAGAAAAAAATCATTGCCATAAGAAAAAGTATAAATTAGCAAGAAAGGAGAGTGACTTGATTTGCTTTTGGAAAAAGAAATGCTTAATTAATTATTCTGTATTTGGCCTTATTCGGGCATTAGGAAATCTAGAGATCTAAAGGGTTGAATGACAATAGTGCCCCCGTTTTTAGCAGACCAGCCTTAACTCTGGGTTTGAATCCTAAGGAGATTGCCACAGTGAGACTTAAGGAAATGTTTGGTTGGCAGATGAGCACCAATGACTGCAGCGTGGAGTGACGCACTGCATGGTCTGTTTATTCTCTAATTCCAATATGTCTTTTGCTTCCAGAAGCAAGAAAAGTTTCTTCTCTCCCCTCCTTCCCACCCTTTTTTCAAAGGCACCACAAGTATAGACAGTTGCACTACATCAAATCTTTTTTTGACACTTGTAGAAACCAGTACACTTTTAGATTAGACAGTATCTTCTTTTAATATTTTGATTTGTTTTCCTTTAGTTTGAAAAGTTGTATAATACTTAACTGACTGTAGCAAAGTTTTATATGTGGTAGCATACCTTTAATTTATCCTATTACAAAACTGTTCTGAATTTTCTTTTGGTTTTTAAAAAACAAAACTTGTTGCTTAGAAGCCATGAATTATTTTATTTTACTTCAACTGTCGAAACTTCCTTGTTTTAAAAAATGATCATTTGGGTTCACTCAGGAAATGCATGTCAGGAAACTTGTATTATAAGTTTATTAGTTGTGATGTATCAGTAACTGCTGTTACCCCTTTTTCAAAGAAATGTAATTGATTTTGAAGTTTTCTAGATTGTCACATGCTTTGTGACTAATGCAAGAAAGCAAGTCCTGTGTTGTATTTGTTCTAGTCATTTTTATTCAGGCTATATATTGTAGCTTAATTTTTATTTGCAATTAATTTATTTAAACTAAGTAAATACTTTTCAAAATACATAATTGAATTCGTCTCTGTGAGTTCATTTTTGCATAATCGAGAATGAGAAACCAGAAGTGAAAACTGTGAACAACTCTATTCCACACTCCAAAAATACTCATTTGAAATAGATGAAGAGTTTGCATTTAATGTAACACTTTAAAGTATCTGGTTCTTTTTTAAAAGCATCTCTTACTAATAAAGGAACTTTGTTAGTGGTTGAATAATTGAGGCCTTTTCTAAGTTAAGCCTTGCTAGGGAGTTGGCACCTGTAAGTTGCATGTTAGACTATTTAAATAGTGGCTTCGTAACCATAAAAGTTGCACGTCCTTCCCAAAGTTGCCTGCATTTTCTTCTAACAGGTAAAAACAATCTCTTCTAACAGGGAAAAACCTGGCTCATTTTCTATCAAATTCAAGTTTTAAAAATTCAGGCAATTTAAATGATCAGTTGGGTGTTTGCTGTTCAAGCAGAACTGTTATTTTGTCATGGCCTAATAGAACACTTTTACTTAGTTGTATTAAGGGAATGTCAGTATTCTGGCCAAGGAGGAGAAAAAGTTGTATTTAGGTCTTCTAAATGCATTCTCAAGAAAGATAATCTTTATGGCTTAACTCTTTTATCAAAGTAATCTTTATATTTAAATGCTACTTAATTTGTTCAAGGAATTAAATTTCCCTTTATCTAAAATGTTAGGGTAATGAAGCAAGACATGAAGGGAAGCCATTCAGACATCAGAGTTCTTTTACTAGGTTATCCTCTTGCAACCTTCTTTGCTTACTTCCCTCATGTAAAAGTCTTCTAGTACATGTAAAGCAGGGTAGGAATAAATAATAATGTAAGTATGTAATTACTTCTTCTTTTTTTTTTTTTTTTTGAGACGGAGTCTCACTCTGTCGCCAGGCTGGAGTGCAGTGGCGTGATCTCGGCTCACTGCAAGCTCCACCTTCCGGGTTCACGCCATTCTCCTGCCTCAGCCTCCCAAGTAGCTGGGATAACAAGCGCCCGCCACCATGCCCAGCTAGTTTTTGTATTTTTAGTAGAGACAGGGTTTCACCATGTTGGTCAGGATGCTCTCGATCTCCTGACCTTGTGATCCGCCCACTTTGGCCTCCCAAAGTGCTAGGATTAATTACTTCTAACATTTGAGTGTCCCACTTCACTCTTCCCGTCTGACCCAGACTGAGGGCACTGGTGAAAGTCCACTTATTATGTCTCTAAGGTTATAAGCTCAACATAACTCTAACACTTTGGCCCTTCGTTGCAATGGATCATCTTGTGCTACCACTTCTTTTTTTGTTTAAGACAGGGTCTTGCTCTGTTGCCGAGGCTGGACTGCAGTGGTGCAATCACAGCTCACCACAGCCTCAACCTCCCAGGCTCAAGCAATTCTTCCACCTCTACCTCCTGAGTAGCTGGGACTACAGATACACACCACCATTCCTGGCTAATTTTTTTCATTTTCAGTAGAGACGCCGTCTGACTAGATTTCCCAGGCTGGTCTCAAACTCCTGCTCTTAAGCAATCCTCCTGCCTCAGCCTCCCAAAGTGCTTGGATTACAGGTGTTGAGCCACCACACCCTGCTGTGCTACCACACTTTAGAGACCACTGGTTAATAAACCTATGTTCCATTCCCTTCTCTGTTTTCTCTAAGCACTGCCCTATAGCAAATCAGAACAGCAAAACTCTGCATCACTGAACTCTGTTATTCTGTCTGTCACCCCCACTTTCAGAATTACTCTTATATAAGTATTCTTTAATGTTTTATCCTCAAATTTTATCTACTTTTTTTTTTTTTTTTTTTTTTGAGACGGAGTTTCATTCTGTCGCCCAGGCTGGAGGGTAGTGGTGTGATCTCGGCTCACTGCAACCTCTGCCTCCCGGCTTCAAGCAATTCTCCCTGCCTCAGCCTCCCCAAGTAGCTAGGATTACAGGTGCCGGCCACCACACCTGGCTAATTTTTGTATTTTTAGTAGAGACGGGGTTTTGCCATGTTGGCTAGGCTGGTCTCGAACTCCTGGACCCAAGTGATCCACCCACCTCGGCCTCCTAAAGTGCTGGATTTACAAGCGTGAGCCACCACGCCCGGCCTCTGCTTTCTTAAAACAGATTTTTGTATACCCACTGTGTGCCAAGCCCTGTCCTAAACCGGGTGATATAGCAGGAAAAAAAAAATCCCTGCCTTCATCGTGTTTGTATTCTAGTGTACAAGATAGAAATAAGCAAGAAAAAGTAAATATATGTATATATACAATATGATAGTGAACTGTGCTGAGGGGGCAAATAAAGTAGAAAGAGGAGATGCAGATGCAAAATGTCATATGCTGGGGCAGGAGGAGAAGTGTTTGCAATATCAAACAGGAAGGCTAGGGAAAGCCCCACTGGGAAGGTGGTATTTGAATAAAGCTCTAAAAGAGCTGAAGAGAGAAGGGAGTGGCCACTTAGAGGGGCATTTAGGCAGAGAGCTCTACAAGGCCCTTGCAAGGGCCCTGAAATAGAAGCATGTCTGGGATATTTCTACAATAGCAAAGAGGCGTGTGATGCCAAGTGGTATGAATCAAGGAAGAGTAGCAGGTAAGGTCAAAGAAGTAAAACGACAGAATTTAAGTGACAGATGGGGATGACAATAGATTATGGAGAGCCCCCTGGGATTTATGGCTTTAATTCTGAATGAGATTGGGACATTGGAGGGTTTTGAGCAGGTGAGTGACTTGATGTGACATATTTAATAGGATCTGAATACACTGAAGGTGGGATCAGGGAGAACATTGCAGTAATCCTGGAGATAAATCATGGTTTGGATAAGGTGGTGGCAGTGGAGGTGGTTTGAAAAGTGATCAGATTCTGAATGTGTTTTAAAGGCAGACCTGACAGCATTTGCTAGCAGATCAGCTACAGGGTTTGAAAGAAGAGGGATCAAGGATGACTCCACTCAATCAGCCTCAGCAACTGGAAGGATGGAACTGCCATTTGTTGAAGTAGAGATTATAGGAAGAACTGTTTAGGGGATGAGGCTCACTGGTGGAGGAATCAGGAACTCCGTCCTGAGTGTTAGACTGAGGCACCTGTCAGACGACATTTGCCAAAGGAAGGACAACTCCACTTATAACTACTATCAAAGTTCTCAACCATTATGATCAGTGTTCTCTGTATACCCCACGCTAGCTTAGAAACAAACAAAAAAGTATCCCTCCTGATGAATGGTGAATTTCCTTTCATTGAAATAGAGAGTTGGGACACGTCTCATGGTTCTCTCTTTGCTTTGGCTTCCCTCTAAGGAAATGAAGTTTTGTTTTCAACTATAATCGCTTCATTTAGCGAAAGCATTCTGATAAAGTTTTTCTTCCTCCTCGCCATATACACCTTTTTCCTTGGCTCTTGCCTTTAAAAAAAAAAACAAAAAAGAGTCTTCAGTTTTCCTGAATCTTAATATTTTGCTGCTTCAAATCCTTTTTGGCAGTGGCAGAGCACAAGTTGTGCTTTGCTTTTAAAGTTTTTGAAAAAATATTTGAGTGCTTATGGAAAACAGAATTCTTAAACCTATAAGTTCAGATTTTAATGTCCAGTTTCCCTGAAGGAAATAGGCCTGTATTTGATAATTATCAACAAAAAAAAGTAATAAGATCGAGTTTTCCAGGCCGGGCGCGGTGGCTCACGCCTGTAATCCCAGCACTTTGGGAGGCCGAGGCAGGCGGATCACGAGGTCAGGAGATCAAGACCACGGTGAAACCCCGTCTCTACGAAAAATACACAAAGTTAGCCGGGCGTAGTGGCGGGCGCCTGTAGTCCCAGCTACTTGGGAGGCTGAGGCAGGAGAATGGCGTGAACCCGGGAGGCGGAGCTTGCAGTGAGCCGAGATCACGCCACTGCACTCCAGCCTGGGCGACAGAGCAAGACTCCGTCTCAAAAAAAAAAAAAAAAAAAAAAAAAAAAGATCGAGTTTTCCTAATAATCGCCATAAAATACCATGTCCATGCATTGTGTTAGATGATGGAACAGGAATGTTGGGTTATTTAGGTTGACATTAAATTGTCAACTCGGCTATGTGTGTGAATATTAAGCCACAGCGTACAAGCATTCCTCACAGCTAACATGTGCGTGTATGCTATGTGTCAAGCACTATTCTAAATGTACCCTACTAGGAATATTACTGATATTATTTTAAAAATCAAAGCATCCCTGTGAGGAACCAACTGTTAGATTCATTTTACAATGGAAACCAGCCATAGCAATGTAACTTGCCCGAGATTCACATGTCTTTTAACTGGGGGACTTGGAATTTGAACTTTGGAAGTCTCACCCAATTTGTGTGTACATAATCGCCACATTTTGTTGCTTCCCCATTTTAATGATGGAACACATTGAAGGAATTCTTTTGCGAGTTGGTAAATAAGTATGATTTCTGGCACATGACAGATATTCGAAAACTATTTCTTGGATGATTGAACAAAACTGAGAACTCTGGACCTTTAAGCTACTTAATACTGAGTAGAAGCATTAATAAAAATAGTCAGAAGAATAAAGGTTACATACAAGCTATTATTTGATCAGAAAATATGCTTTCATTGGCTGAAAAATAGGAAGGGAAAAGGTGAAGATACTACAAAAAGTGGCACTAACTGGAAAGTTGACAAGGCAACAAGAAGAAAATCGATGGTGCCAGAATAGAACAAAAGGATTGCCCTGGAGGAAAGAGAAGAAATATCAATGACAGCCAAAAAGGATGTCATCCAGACATTCAAATTTTTAAGAACCTATTTTAATGAGGAAAGGCACAACAAGCAGCCAATATTTAAAGGGAAAATTAAGATTTCCTGAAGTTATATCGTATTACTGTATAACTATTAATAAAAATAATAAAATATAAACTAGAGAGGATCTTGGACATCAAGTTACAGATGAGGAAATGAAGGCCAGGATGAACTGATTACTGATTGACAGATCTGGTATTAGAACTTCCATGCCTATGTCTATCCTCCAAGACTCAGTTATATTTCCACGTTTTGTTTGTTGAAGCAGAGGTAAGAACATTGCATTTTAAGTTTTTGTTTTTAAATTATAAGTGTCTGCAGAGTAAAACTATCAACTCTTGTTGTCATGTAAACAATGATTCCCAAATGTAAGGAATGATCTGCTTCAGATTTCATTTAACTAAAAGGCTGCTTAGTTTGGAAATGAAAGACAAAAGCAGGGAAAGAGAATCGAGAGTTGTCCAGTAGACTCACTTACAGTCCTTTGGTATGCTATATAAATCATTATAAATCATTCAGCTAATATGAGTGCTCATTCAATGACAAGGCTCTTATTTTACTCTACTATTTGTTATGGAGTTAGGACAGTTATTTTGCCTAGCATACCTCTGCAGGAATGCAATGTATTCAGATACTGTTCACTTTCAATTGGCTTGTCAAATGACCTTTGGGAAATTAGTTATTTGAAATGGAGATGGTAATGTTTTATTAAAATGTTAAAATCACTATACTATCAAGCAATTCAAAAAAATCTTTCTCAATTCACAAAGTAGTTGAACAATAGTAACCTGAACCATAGCGACCATAAAGTTGTCTAAATTTGGGGCCTGGCGCAGTGCCTCACGCCTGTAATCCTAGCACTTTGGGAGGCCGAGACGGGGGGAGGGTCACCTGAGGTCAGGAGTTCAAGACCAGCCTGGCCAACATGGTGAAACCCCGTCTCAACTTAAAAAAATAGGAAAATTAGTGAGGCATGGTGGTGGGCACCTGTAATTCCAGCTACTTGGGAGGCTGAGGCAGGAGAATCACTTGAACCTGCGTGGCGGAGGTTGCAGTGAGCCGAGATCACACCACTGCACTCCAGCCTGGGCGACAGAGCAAGACTGTCTCAAAACAAAAAACAAAGTTGTCAAAATCTGGAATCGTGAGGGGCAGGAGTTGAATTGGACCAGGTGTATAGGGACAAGAGAATGAACGGTTCACACAGGCTGTCTGCTATCTACAGCCAGGAGCTCCCAAAGTAGTATGGGCTCAGGTGGCAGCTGCGGAGGGGTAGTGGGAGGAATCCCCTACTGCGAGTCTTCCCAAGTTGTTTTGCACAGGGGTTGGGGAAGAGAGAACAAGCAGTTTTTTGGAGATTGGTCTCTCTCCCCAACTCCCATCTCCCTCTTTTTCTCTGTCTCCCTCTCCTCTCTCATAAACACACCCACCAAAGAAATCCTCCAAATTCTGGAATAAGTATAGCTTCTCAAGGTGACTAGGTTGAAAGAAACAGTGTTCACTTGAGTGTGTAAATTCTAACATGTTTCTTAGTGTCATTTCTATATTAGTCATACTGCATGAATGCAAATGTTGATTCTATTTTTCATTGATTTTATTCAAAGAACTCAACTGTGACAGGAATCCCTGAATCAAGTATACTATGCAAAGTTGGTATCTTGTTGCAAAGGTAATACAACTGTGAAGTGATACTTGTTATGATGAAATTAAAGTCAAAGATATGACTCTTGGGATGTAACCTTTTGCAGAGAAGCATTAAAAGAATGTTATTCTGCTTTGGTATATGCTATAGGACTTTTAAAGTTTGAGAGTTAACAATCAAGAGTTTCTTTGCAGCTGCTTTTATGGTTTCATTATTGCTACTGATTTCAAATATAGCCGTATTTATTTACCAAAGTGTTTTAATTCCTCTTTAAATACAAAAGGACCATTGAAAATGTTGTCTGGGTGGAATTTCACAAATACAAGGAATTCTTCAGACAAGGCATGGGTCCAAGCCTTAATCCAGTCTGGCCTCAGATACCAGTCCTTAAATGTTCCTTTATCAAAGTAGGTAACAATGGGCAGTTATTCACTGTAAATAAACTAGGGACTGAGTGAGGGGAGTTAGAAAATATCAAGATAAGCAGTTTGCCCTTCGGAGAGGACTCAGTTGTACTGAAGCCAGCATTTCCTATCATTTTGTAACATACTTTTATTTTTAACTCCTTGGCTCTGTGGTCATGAATCTCATTACCTACCATTCTATGGGAACAAAGTAATTCAACCCTTTGGCATCAATGAATTAATACTTCTTCTACCCTATTTTAGTTCCTTGGGTCTTTGGTGGTGGCCCTATGTATGGAATTAGACTTGCAACAGTAGATGGTCTCAGACTAACAAATTTACAGCCTCTTCATTTTGGGAGCTCAGTGGGCTCTTTGAAATAAAACAAAATCGGAGCTTTTTTTTTTTTTTTTGAGATGAAGTTTTGCTCTGGTTGCCCGGGCTGGAGTGCAGTGGCGCAATCTCAGCTCACCACAATCTCTGTCTCCCGGGTTCAAACAATTCTCCTGCCTCAGCCTCCCAAGTAGCTGGGATTACATGCATGTGCCACCATGCCAGGCTAATTTTGTATTTTTAGTAGAGACAGGGCTTCTCCATGTTGGTCAGGCTGGTCTCAAACTCCTGACCTCAGGTGATCCACCCAACTCGGCCTCCCAAAGTGCTGGGATTACAGGCGTGAGCCACTGTACCCAGCTGGAGCATCTTAAATGTATTTTAAAGTTATCCTCAGTCTAAGGAGCTTTTTAATCATTCAATGGCTAATGGAAAGGATAATCCAAATTATCTGTAGCTGAAACACTTTTGAAAGGATATATAGTTTGGAGGACAGAGTACAGAGCAATGACCCAACATATCAAATTCTCTAACAACAAATTCCAAGGAATTTGTTCCTATTAGCTTGCATTGGAATGTAATTCTGTGTTGATCTGTGACACTAGTTCAAACATCTTTTTGATCTGCAAAAATGTTTTGTCATAATGGGAATTAAAATAGAAAGTTGATCTTCACCTTTTCATTCATTCCCTCATTACGATGAGTTAAGCCTGCTGACCAATGAAATGTCCTACAAAATAGGAGCAACATGAGCAAAATAATTGACATAACAAGGAGAAATACACACTTTTACTCTGAGAATATTACATTAATTTGACCTTTGTCATTATTGTTGTTTGTTATGACTGACATTTTGGACTGCTGATTAACCTGGATTTCCAGATATCCTTGGCTTGTAAGTACATCTGTAACCACAGGACCCAGCATCTACTAGAGAGGGTTTGCAACAAGAAGCTCATACCTCACTGAGTGAAAATATTTCAAAAACATCTATTTTGTCACTTTGTTTCTTTAAAGTTTCCCTTTATGTGGAAAGGTGATAAAAGGCTTTATTTAGAGAACTAGGTATAATTAAACAAAAGGGAATCTTATGTAGTGACACTATTTTCCTGGCTGGAAAAAACACATTGACTCTTAAGGTTCTTTATGTGCTTCTGTTTGCATGGTTCATTTCCAGCTAACACAGCATTTCTGAAATGCCAACATTTGCTTTTTGTTTTCTGGTGTTGTGTCTAAGCAAACTAATATGGGTGCCAAGAAGATAATGCTGGGTTTTTAATGGAATGCCAGATCATCAGTTCTTTTTGAAGTGGGGTTTGAGTTAGTTATTATGTTAATAAATCTAAATTTTGATCCCCTTTGTTGACCAATTATTTTCTCCTGAAGAAAAACTATCCTATGACCAGCAATCTTGCACATATATATTGGGGCTAATATATACTGGAATGAATAGATAAAAGAGTGTGAATAATGCAATACATCACAATCAATCTGATTAGAAAAACAGCTCAGAGCAAAATTATCTGATAATTTAAGATACCAAAATTCTTTTTTTTTTTTTGGTATTTGTATTGGAATTTAATTATATATTGACCCATGACAGCTTTCCATTAGCCATTACCAAAATCTCTTTTTTGGTATTTTAAATTAGTAGCATGATTGGTACCTGTATGATTGGAAGTTAAACTATCAGCTGTTATTCTGCTTCTTAAAGGCTAGGGGGGCTTGTCAATAGAGTAAGGGTCTCCCTCTCTTAAACGGAGGTCTGTCCAAGAGAATAAAATACTTACAGGAGACCTGAGGAGATTATGAGAAATAAGATGTCTTGCATACAGTCAGCCTGCAGTTAAATATTCATTGAATATTTGAGCAGATTAGAACTGGAGCCTTCATCCTTCATGTGTTGAAGAACTATTTTTAATTTTCTAGCAACCTTAAGATCACTGGATAGGAGAGGAACTCCACTCTTGAGTGGAGAAGTAAAGTAGGAAGAGTCTAGACTGACAGTTGTGATAAGCCTTTTTCTCTCTCCTTGTCCTGTGGGACTCCTGGGGAAACCTCAAACACAGAGGCCTGTTGACAACTTAAATTGGAAAGCAAGAGCTGATTTTAATTTGATCTTTTTTTTCTGCTTGAGTATCACAATTTACAATGCTCTGGTAAAATTAGTGATTTTTTAAAAAATCATTAAAGATGTCTAGAGGGGAATTCTTTCTTTTCAGTCACCATGAGAGTGGTTGTTATATAGAATATTTCTTAATTGCCTGACTACCCAGACATGTTTATCCACTAGGAAAGTGAAGCATGTATTAAAAACTGAATACCTACTTTGGGTTCATTTATTCAGTAAAAATATATTGAGCTGAGAGGCTCTGGAAATACAAAGATGAATAAAATAGACATGGTCCTTACTCTTACAATGCTGCAGTCTTGCAGAAGGTAAATAAGCAATTACAATATGGTGTAAGTGCTATAGCAGAAGGAAAGATCTTTGGAGAACAATTTGGAAGTTCCTCAAAAAACTAAAAATAGAACAACCAGATGATCCAGTAATCCCACTGCTGGGTATATACCCAAAATAAAGGAAATCAGTATATTGAAGGGATATCTGCACTCCCATGTTTACTGCAGCACTGTTCACGATATCCAAGATTGGAAACAACCTACATGTCCACCAACAGATTAATGGATAAAGAAAATGTGGTCCCCATACACAATGGAGTACTAATCTGCCATAAAAAAAGAATGAGCTCCTTTCATTTGCAACAACATGGATGGAACTGGAGGTCATTATGTTAAGTGAAGTAAGCCAGGCACAGAAAGACAAAGTTTGCATGTTCTCACTTATTTGTGGGAGCTAAAAATTAAAACAGCTGAACTCATGGAAATAGTAGAAGCATGGTTACCAGAGTCTGGGAAGGGTAGTGGGGATATGGGGGAGAAGTGAGGATGGTTAATGCGTACAAAAAATAGAAAGAATGAATAAGACCTAGTATTTGCTAGCACAACCTGGTGACTATAGTAAAAAATAATTGTACATTTAAAAATAACTAAAATAGCAAAATTGGATTGTCTGTAACACAAAGAATAAATGCTTGAGGTGATGGATACTCCATTTACCCTGATACAATTATTACATATTAACACGCCTGTATCAAAGTATCTCATGTACCCCATAAATCCATATACCTATTATGTACCCACAAAAATTAAAAATTAATTTTAAAAAAGAGGAAGAAGACCTTTGGGAGCACATAGAAGGGGCACTGAACCAGACTCTGGAAATCAGAGAAGATGCTGTAAAAGGAAATGTTTGGAATCAGGGACTTGAAGGAAAAGGGAGATAGCTAAAGATGGGGGCAGAGTGGCAGGTGGGGACAGTGGGAAGAGGATTCCCAGCAGAAGGAATGTCTTAGTTTTTGCAGTGACTCAGCACCAATAGAGAGTAGTGCATACTTGAGAAAATGGAATTGAATGTGGGTAAATGGAGAGTAAAAGGAGGTGAGTGGCAAGAAAAGAGGCCAAAGACACAGGCAGAAGACACATGGACAGGCTTTTGTAAGCCAAGTCTAGATGTTGAGCTTTATCCTATGGGCCATAAGGAATCAGAGAATGGTGTGATTAAATCTCAATGCTTCAGGCCAGGCGCGGTGGCTCACACCCATAATCCCAGCACACTGGGAGCCGAGGCGGGTGGATCACCTAAGGTCAGGAGTTCAAGACCAGCCTGGCCAAGACGGTGAAACCCTGTCTCTACTAAAAATACAAAAATTATCCAGGCGTGGTGGCGGGCACCTGTAATGCCAGCTACTCAGGAATCTGAGGTAGGAGAATCACTTGAACCTGGCAGGCGGAAGTTGCAGTGAGCAGAGATCACACCACTGCACTCCAGCCTGGGTGACAAAAGGGAAACTCTGTCTCAAATAAATAAATTACCACGTTTGAAAGATCACTGTGGCTGTACTGTGGAGAATGGGTGTGGAAGACTGGAGGCAGAGAGACAGAAAGTTATAGAATAGCCCAAGTGAACGATGATGGGGAACTGGAATAAGGGAAGTAGCAGTAGGAATGGAGAGAGATGAATGGGTCTGAAACATATGTAACATATGTAAAAGTAAACTTGGCAGGGCTTTATGATTGTTTAGATGAAAGTGTATCCGTGACAGGCTTAGGCAATTAGATGGATGGTGGTTTTGATATAGGAGTTAAAAAGAAATTATTTAGGCAGATAGTGACAGTAAGAAAGTCCTAGATAAGGTTTTCCTTTTAATGAAAAGCAGCCCACAAATCATTTTCTTTTCTAACAGAGTGCAGCCTGTAAAATAAAGCTGCAGACATACAAAGGCAAGCTGGAAGCTTGCACGGGTGAATGCCGGCAGCTGTGCCAATAGGGAAAGGCTACCTGTGGGTTGGCATGTTCAACATGGCGGCTCCATCTTCCGTTTTTCTTGCCGACCACATGTACAGTAAGGAGCAGAAAACATGGCGCCGGCCAAGTAGAAAATTCCTTTGCATGATACGAGGATTAGGGTGGGGTGATTAGGATTAGACTGAGATTAACATTTAAGGGGTAGGATGAAAGAAAAGAAACCCATAACAAAGACCAAGGGGAAGAGCTGTCAGAAAGAAAAAGAGATAGAAAACCAGAAGAGATCAATAGCACACAAGCCAAGAGACAAGAATCATTTAAGGAGAGATGGTTTGCGATGTCACATTACTGAGGAGCAAAGTAAGCTGAGGACTGAGAAATGTCCAGTAGATTTAGCTACAAGGGAAGTTGGCAACCTTGACAGCATTTTCATGGAGTGACAGAAGCTGAAGCCATACTTCAGAAGTTTTGAGAAGACCCTTAAGGATGAAGAAGTGGACTCAGAAAAGTCAAGTAGTTTGACTATGGTTGGGAAGAAAAGGAGAGGGAGAGGGCTCACTGAAGCTTCCACCTCCTGGGTTCAAGTGATTTTCCTGTCTCAGCCTCCCAAGTAGCTGGGACTACAGGCACCTGCCACCACACCCGGCTAATTTTTTGTATTTTTTAGTAGAGACGGGGTTTCACCATGTCAGCCAGGATGGTTTCGATCTCCTGACCTCATGATCCGCCCGCCTCAGCCTCCCAAAGTGCTGAGATTACAGGCGTAAGCCACTGCGCCCAGCCTGAAGGGGTAAGTTCTTATCTAATGGTTTCTTATATGTTCCCTCTGAAATAAGCAGAGGTCAACTGCTGAGAAGTGGGAGAAGGAGAAGTGAAAAGTTTGAGGAGCATAAATGCCTGAAGTGGCTACCAGAGAGAATTGGAGAGACTGCTATGCAGCACTGAGGGCCCAGTTGAGGTTGGTGAACATACCTGATATCGGAACTGATCTGCTTAGTCATGTAATTTGATCATCAGCATTTAGAACTCCCCATATTGGAGTGTGAGACAGTTAGATTAGCCCAATATTATCATATTAGTTGTGTTTGGCTACAAATGACAGAAAAGCCCAAGTAAGAATTGCTTAAATGGGAAAGAGGTTAATTGCTCTCTTACATAAAAATCCAGGTAGATGAATAAGGCCAGAATGGAGGTCTATGATGTCAGGAATCCAGATTATTTGTAGCTCCTTGCTTTGTCATCCTTGGTGTTTGGCTTCTATGTCATAGTTCAATACAATTTCTCCAGCTCCATTCATTTTGTTTGCATTCAGCCAACAGGAGGAAGGATCAGAAGAGGGGCATATATGAAACTGCCTTTGCAAAAATTATAACAGTGAGAAAATATGACAGTAAAGGATATCTGACCTAACCCGACTCCATCTTGCCTTTAACCTCCAAGCTGCCTGTCAGGCCTCTAAGCCCAAGCTAAGCCATCATATCCCCTGTGACCTGCACGTACACATCCAGATGGCTGGTTCCTGCCTTAACTTATCTTATCTCTGCACCCCAATCCCTTATTTCCGTGCCCTGACCTCTTTGCGCCTCAACCCCTTATTTCTGTGCCCCGACCCCTTTCCTGCTTTTCTGGAGGGTAAGAACCCCCAAACCCCTTCCCTCCGTGTCTCTACTCTCTCTTTTCTCTGGACTTGCCTCCTTCACTATAGGCAACCTTCCACCCTCCATTCCTTCGTCTCCCTTAGCTTGCGCTCTCAAGAACTTAAAACCTCTTCAACTCACACCTGACCTAAAACCTAAATGCCTTATTTTCTTCTGCAATGCCACTTGACCCCAATACAAACTCGACAGTGGTTGCAAATAGCCAGAAAACGGCACTTTCAATTTTTCCATCCTGCAAGATCTAAATGATTCTTGTCGTAAAATGGGCAAATGGTCTGAGGTGCCTGACGTCCAGGCATTCTTTTACACATCGGTCCCTCCCTAGTCTCTGTGCCCAGTGCAACTGATCCCAAATCTTCCTTCTTTCCCTCCTGCCTGTCCCCTCAGTCCCAACCCCAAGTGTCGCTGAGTTTTTCTAATCTTCCTTTTCTACAGACCCATGTGACCTCTCCCCTCCTCCCCAGTCTGCTCCTTGCCAGGCTGAGCTAGGTCCCAATTCTTCCTCAGCCTCTGCTCTTCCACCCTATAATCTTTTTATCACCTCCCCTCCTCACACCCGGTCCAGTTTACAGTTTCATTCCGTAAGTAGCCCTCCCCCACCTGCCCAGCAATTTCCTCTTAAAAAGGTGGCTGAAGCTAAAGGCATAGTCAAGGTTAATGCTCCTTTTTCTTTATCAGACCTCTCCCAAATCAGTGAGCGTTTAGGCTCTTTCATCAAATATGAAAAACCCAGCCCAGTTCATGGCTCATTCGGCAGCAACCCTGAGACGCTTTACAGCCCTAGACCCTAAAAGGTCAAAAGGCCGTCTTATTCTCAATATACATTTTATTACCCAATCTGCTCCTGACATTAAATAAAACTCCAAAAATTAAATTCCGGCCCTCAAACCCCACAACAGGACTTAATTAACCTCACCTTCAAGGTGTACAATAATAGAGTGGAGGCAGCCAAGTAGCAACATATTTCTGAGTTGCAATTCTTTCCTCCACTGTGAGACAAACCCCAGCCACATCTCCAGCACACAAGAACTCCAAACACCTGAACCGCAGCTGCCAGGGGTTCCTCCAGAACCTCCTCCCCCAGGAGCTTGCCACAAGTGCCAGAAATCTGGCCACTGGGCCAAGGAATGCCCACAGCGCGGAATTCCTCCTAAGCCGTGTCCCATCTGTGCAGGACCCCACTGAAAATCGGACTGTTCAACTCACCGGCAGCCACTTCCAGAGCCCCTGGAACTCTGGCCCAAGGCTCTCTGACTCCTTCTCAGATCTTCTTGGCTTAGCAGCTGAAGATTGACACTGCCCGATAGCCTCAGAAGCCTACAGGACCATCACAGATGCTCTAGGTAACTCTCACAGTGGAGGGTAAGTCTGTCCCCTTCTTAATCAATACGGAGGCTACTCCACATTACCTTGTTTTCAAGTGCCTGTTTCCCTTGCTTCTGTAACTGTTGTGCGTATTGACGGCCAGGCTTCTAAACCTCTTAAAACTCCCCAACTCTGGTGCCAACTTAGACAATACTCTTTTAAGCACTCCTTTTAGTTATCCCCACCTGCCCAGGTCCCTTATTAGGCCGAGACACTTTAACTAAATTATCTGCTTCCGTGACTATTCCTGGACTACAGCTATATCTCACTGCCGCCCTTCTTCCCAATCCAAAGCCTCCTTTGCGTCCTCCTCTTGTATCCCCCACCTTAACCCACAAGTATAAGATACCTCTACTCCCTCCTTGGCGACCAATCATGCACCCCTTACCATCTCATTAAAACCTAATCACCCTTACCCCACTCAACGCCAATATGCCATCCCGCAGCATGCTTTAAAAAGATTAAAGCCTGTTATCACTCGCCTGCTACAGCATGGCCTTTTAAAGCCTATAAACTCTCCTTACCATTCGCCCATTTTACCTGTCCTAAAACCAGACAAGGCTTACAGGTTAGTTCAGGATCTGCGCCTTATCAACCAAATTGTTTTGCCTATCCACCCCATGGTGCCAAACCCATATACTCTCCTGTCCTCAGTACCTCCCTCTACAACCCATTATTCTGTTCTAGATCTCAAACCTGCTTTCTTTACTATTCCTTTGCACCCTTCATCCCAGACTCTCTTTGCTTTCGCTTAGACTGACCCTGACACCCATTAGGCTCAGCAAATTACCTGGGCTGTACTGCCGCAAGGCTTCACAGACAGCCCCCATTACTTCAGTCACGCCCAAATTTCATCCTCATCTGTTACCTATCTCGGCATAATTCTCATAAAAACACACGTGCTCTCCCTGCTGATCGTGTCCAATTAATCTCCTAAACCTCAATCCCTTACAAAACAACAACTCCTTTCCTTCCTAGGTATGGTTAGTGCGGTCAGAATTCTTACACAAGAGCCAGGACCGCACCCTGTAGCCTTTCTGTCCAAACAACTTGACCTTACTGTTTTAGCCTAGCCCTCATGTCTGCATGCAGCGGCTGCCGCTGCTTTAATACTTTTAGAGGCCCTAAAAATCACAAACTATGCTCAACTCACTCTCTACATTTCTCATAACTTCCAAAATGTATTTTCTTCCTCATACCTGACACATATACTTTCTGCTCCCCGGCTCCTTCAGCTGTACTCGCTCTTTGTTAAGTCCTATAATTACCATCGTTCCTGGCCTGGACTTCAGTCTGGCCTCCCACATTATTCCTGATACCACGCCTGACCCTCATGACTGTATCTCTCTGATCCACCTGACATCCACCCTATTTCCCCATATTTCCTTCTTTCCTGTTCCTCACCCTGATCACGCTTGATTTATTGATGGCAGTTCCACCAGGCCTAATCGCCACATACAAGCAAAGGCAGGCTATGCTATAGTACAAGCCACTAGCCCGCCTCTTAGAACCTCTCATTTCCTTTCCATTGTGGAAATCCATCCTCAAGGAAATAACTCCTCAGTGTTCCATCTGCTATTCTACTACTACTCAGGGATTATTCAGGCCCCCTCCCTTCCCTACACATCAAGCTCGAGGATTTGCCGCCACCCAGGACTGGCAAATCAGCTTTACTCAACATGCCCCGAGTCAGATAACTAAAATACCTCTTAGTCTAGGTAGACACTTTCACTGGATAGGTAGAGGCCTTTCCCACAGGGTCTGAGAAGGTCACTGCAGTCATTTCTTCCCTTCTCAGACATAATTCCTCAGTTTAGCCTTCCCACCTCTATACAGTCTGATAACAGACCAGCCTTTATTAGTCAAATCAGCCAAGCAGTTTTTCAGGCTCTTAGTATTCATTGAAACCTTTATATCCCTTACGGTCCTCCATCTTCAAGAAAAGTAGAACAGACTAAAGGTCTTTTAAAAACACACCTCACCAATCTCAGCCACCAACTTAAAAAAGAATAGACAATACTTTTATCATTTTCCCTTCTCAGAAGTCAGACCTGTCCTCAGAATGCTACAAGATACAGTCCTATATAGACGCTCCTTTTTATTAGGCCCCAGTCTCATTCCGGACACCAGACCGACTTAGACTGTGCCCCAAAAAAACTTGTCATCCTATCTTCTGTCTAGTCACACTCCTTTTCACGCGCGTCCGTGTGAAGAGACCACCAAACAGGCTTTGTGTGAGCAATAAAAGCTTTTAATCACCTGCGTGCAGGCGGGCTGAGTCTGAAAAGAGAGTTAGCAGAGGTTGGTGGATTATCATTAGTTCTTATAGGTTTTGGGATAGGCGGTGAAGTTAAGAGCAATGTTTTGCGGGCAGGCGTGGATCTCACAAAGTACATTCTCAAGGGTGGGGAGAATTACAAAGAAACTTCTTAAGGGTGGGGGAGATTACAAAGTAACTTCTTAAGGGTGGGGGAGATTACAACGTACATTGATCACTTAGGGTGGGGCAGAAACAAATCACAATGGTGGAATGTCATCAGTTAAGGCTATTTTTACTTCTTTTGTGGATCTTCAGTTACTTCAGGCCATCTGGATGTATACGTGCAAGTCACAGGGGATGCGATGGCTTGGCTTGGGCTCAGAGGCCTGACACTCCTATTCACCATTCTCAACTACTCATACATGCCCTGCTCTTGTTTACACTGCCGGTTTACACTGTTTCTCCAAGCCATCTCAGCTGATATCTCCTGGTGCTATCCCCAAACTGCCACTCTAAACTCTTGAAGTAAATAAATAATCTTTGCTGGCAGGACTATGCTGAATCTCCTTAGGCACTCTAATCAGATGTCCTGGGTCCTCCCAATTCTTAGACCTTTTATACCTGTTTTTCTCCTCCTCTTATTCCATTTAGTTTTTCAATTCATACAAAACCGTATCCAGGCCATCACCAATAATTCTACACGACAAATGTTTCTTCTAACAACCCCACAATATCACCCCTTTACCACAAAATCTTCCTTCAGCTTAATCTCTCCCACTCTAGGTTCCCATACCGCCCCTAATCCCGCTGGAAGCAGCCCTGAGAAACATCGCCCATTATCTCTCCATACCACCCCCAAAAATTTTCACCGTCCCAACACTTTACCACTATTTCGTTTTATTTTTCTTATTAATATAAGAAGACAGGAATGTCAGGCCTCTGAGCCCAAGCTAAGCCATCATATCCCCTGTGACCTGCATGTACACATCCAGATGGCCGGTTCCTGCCTTAACTGATGGCATTGTCTTGTGAAATTCCTTCTCCTGGCTCATCCTGGCTCAAAAGCTCCCCTACTGAGCACCTTGTGACCCCCACTCTGCCCGCCAGAGAACAACCCCCCTTTGACTGTAATTCTCCTTTATCTACCCAAATCCTATAAAACAGCCCCACCCTTATCTCCCTTCTCTGACTCTCTTTTCGGACTCAGCCCACCTGCACCCAGGTAATTAAAAGCTTTATTGCTCACGCAAAGCCTGTTTGATGGTCTCTTCACAGGGACGCGCATGAAACTGCCTTTGTTCATTCCTGGGCACAGGCCAAACTAACTTTGGGAGAAATTTAGTTTATAGTTTAACTTTGAAATAAAGATGATAATGAAACCATCTTTGCAAAAATTATAACAATGAGAAAATTAATGACAGTAAAAGATATCTAATTGGCCAGGCGCAGTGGCTTATGCCTGTAATCCCAGCACATTGGGAGGCCAAGGCGGGCAGATCACAAGGTCAGGAGATTGAGACCATCCTGGCTAACACGGTGAAACCCCGTCTCTACTAAAAATACAAAAAAATTAGCCAGGCATGGTGGCAGGCGCCTGTAGTCCCAGCTACTCCGGAGGCTGAGGCAGGAGAATGGTGTGAGCCCAGGAGGTGGAGCTTGCAGTGAGTCAAGATCACATCACTGTACTCCAGCCTGGGCTACACAGCAAGACTCCCTCTAAAAAAAAAAAAAAAAAAAGAGATCTAACCAATCCCCATCTTTCCTTTAATCTCCAAACTGCCCTTAATCATTCCTGGGCTTGGGCCAACCTAACTTTGGGAAACATTTAGTTTATAACTTAAATGATAATAGCCCCTCCCCAAATCTAAACTGTCTTTGTAAAGCTAATAAAAGACCACCAGGGTAGGAGGATATCAGGAGCATGAATTCTGCTAAGGTGTCTATGTAAACAATTACCAGCCATTATTCCAGAGGTCACAAGATTTACAGCTTCCTCAATTACTCCTGCAGATAACATCACTATTGTAGAACCTAAGATTGGCCTTTTGAGATGTCTTTTCAGGTTTGCATTTCTGACCACAATGGCTCCATGCAGACCCATCAAGCAGTCTTGTGGCCTCACCTGAAAGAAAACTATTTTCCACATCCCTATGATTGCATCCCCAACTAATCAGCAGCACCCATTCCCTGGCCCTCCAAAGTATCCTTGAAAAATTCTAGCCTTGGAATTTTCAGGGAGGCTGATTTGAATAATAATAAAACTCTGGTCTCCTGTTCAGCCAGCAATGTGAATTAAACTCTTTCTCTATTGCAATTCTCCTGTCTTATAATTGGCTCTATCTGGACAGTGAGCAAGATGAATCTATCAGGTGGTTACATATGCCACTTCTACTTAAATCCATTGACCATAGCTTAGTCCCATGGCACATCGAGCCACAAGAGAAGCTGATAAATATAGTCTTTATTGTGGATGACCATGTGCCCAGTTAAATTTCTGAGGTCCTATTTTTCAAGGGCAAGAGAAGGGGAGCCCCTGGGAGATACTAAGAGTCTGTCAACCTAAAGAAAGAAACTGAGGCAAAATTAATATAGGCTGAGAGTTTGTTTGGCCCAAGGTTGAGGACTGCAGCCTGGGAAACACTAGGAAGTGCTCCAGAGGAGAAGGAGAGGCTCAAAGTCTTAAAGAAAAAAGGATGAACCAGGAGAGGGGGCAATTTACAAAAGTTTTTGGTCAGGAATTCTCACTGGTTTACAGAAATAACATTGATACGTGATTGGCTATACGTTGTTGTACAAAAGGGTATGAGTTATGGTGTCCAGCATATGGCATTACTAGATTAATTTATAGCTATTGCTGGAAACACTCCATCTAGAGTCCATACAGCAGGCAACTATGAAATGATTACTAAACTCAAGGGCACAGCTGAGGGGGGAGATGGGATGTGACTGTCATCATATTTCAATGCCTCTCTGTTCCTGATCATTTAAAGGAGGCTTGCATTCCTCAGATTAAGTTTCTTTTCTTTTTCATTTCCCCCTTTTGATCAAAAATCTTTTTTCTTGAAAGCATTGATGATCAAAGTCTGAGTGTCAAAGTGTTCCTTGTCACTGGGAAGACTCATTCCCATATAGTCCTGTCTTACATCAGAGATAAGGAGGACACATCTTAGGGAAGAAATCTTAAGAGCGCCCAAAAGCTGAATTGTGATAGAATCAGAGACTGGCAAGAGACCTCAGTCAAATCATTGATTTATATAGCTATTATCACTTGTTGAATCATCTTTAGTCTTTGGAATATCATGATTTTAATTTTCTCAGAAATAAAACAATGAGAGATATATAGCATTAATAATTTGAATACTAGAAATATAATGTGCAGAAGGATTATAATCAAAAAGAGAATTCGGATGACAGAACAATAACAAAAAGAAACTATTCCATTAGGGAGCCAACTAAAAACATCAAGAAGAAAATTAAATCCAGGGTGTTTTGTAAGAGTCTTGTTGTAGCCAGAAAACGATTCCAAATTCAATCCAAATTTTAGGTGAACAATAAAAAGTCAAAAACAATGGTCAGGGCTAAAATCTAACAGTAGGCATACTATTAAAATACAATTTTTCTCTTCCAGTTCCCCCATTTTATCAAAGATAAATCATAGTAAGACCAATTTACTTGTAAAATAAGTTTTAGTCTTACTATACTTTGCCTGATTATTTACATAAAGTTCAACAAGAATACTGATTGGCCATAGTCTCCTTTTAAATTGGCTTTGCTGGAACATTTGCATAAAGAATTAGACTTTTAAAAGCCTCTTGAGGCTACAAAGCCAAGCCAAGAATTCACCATCAGACTATGCCTGTAATACCTGTACAAATCAGGTGAGTTCCTTTCTTCTCAAGGTCTCAAAATATCTTGAAGTTCCTGGGCCTGTCAGAAAGTGACATTCTTTACTTACCACAAGGTCAGGAATCTTGTAAGAAAACTGTGTAGGCAAGGTACCAGGTCAGTCTTTTTCTAAGTCTATTGGCTTTCTAAAGTCAATTTCGATCCCTCAAAGACTGGTGATATCTAAAATATATTATTCCAGTCAACGCCTTGGTAAAATTACCAGTGTCTCCAACTGTGTCCTGTTACAAAAAAAACCCCAAATTCTTATTGAACTTATGCAAATTACTATATTGCTAGAAAACAAGGATATTCATGAATAGTTTCTGAATTCCAGAGAAGACAGGTAAAGAGAAAGGTAAATGTCTCAATTTCTTCACAAAAGTATACATTACCTGGCCAGGCATGGAAGCTGACACCTGTAATCCCAGCACTTTGGGAGGCCAAGGCCAGTGGACCACCTGAGGTCAGGAGTTCGAGACCAGCTGGAACACATGCTGAAACCTCATTTCTACTAAAAATACAAATATAAGCCAGGTGTTGTGGTGGGCTAATCCCAGCTACTTGGGAGGCTGAGGCAGGAGAATCACTTGAACCCGGGAGGCAGAGGTTGCAGTGAGCCAAGATTGTGCCACTGCACTCCAGCCTGAGTGACAGAGCAAGACTCCAACTCAAACAAACAAAAAAAAAGGTATACTTTACCCGATTGCTGTTGGCCATAAATAACTCAAAAGCTAATATATCTTGACTCTGGAAAACAAAACATAAAAAGAATCAGCAATTTTTTTTTTTTTTTTTTTTTGAGATGGAGTCTTACTTTCTCTCCCAGGCTGGAGTGCAGTAGCGTGATCTTGGCTCACTGCAACCTCCGCTTCCTGGGTTCAAGCGATTCTCCTGCCTCAGCCTCCTGAGTAGCTGAGATTACTGGAGCGTGCCACCACGCCCGTCTAATTTTTTGTATTTGTAGTAGAGACGGAGTTTCAGCATGCTAGCCAGGATGGTCTCAATCTTCTGGCCTTGTGATTCACCCACCTCAGCCTCCCAAAGTGCTGGAATTACAAGCATGAATGAGCCACCTTGCCTGGACTTTTTTTTTTTTTTTTTTTTGAGATGGAGATTTGTTCTCGTCGCCCAGACTGGAGTGCAGTGGCTCGATCTCGGCTCACTGCAACCTCTGCCTCCCGGGTTCAAGCAATTCTCCTTGCCTCAGCCTCCCAAGTAGCTGGGATTTCAGGCACCCACGACCATGCCTGGCTAATTTTTGTATTTTTAGTGGAGACAGAGTTTCGCCATGTTGACCAGGCTGGTTTCAAACTCCTGACCTCAGGTGATCCACCCGCCTTGGCCTCCCAAAGTGCTGGGATTACAGGCATTAGCCACTGTGTCCAGACATAATCAGCAATGTTTTAAACAAAAGGACATGAAAATAATTTCACTACTCCATCAATTCAGTCCCATGAAATTGAATCTTGTTCTGCTTAATGTTGGGTTAGCAATCTTCGTGAACCTGTCAGGTTTATATTAGAGTTCTGGAAGTTTTTTTGTTTTTTGTTTTTTGAGATGGAGTCTCGCTATTGATGCCCAGGCTGGAGTGCAATGACACGATCTCGGCTCACTGCAACCTCTGCCTCCAGGGTTCAAGTGATTCTCCTGCCTCAGCTTACCAAGTAGCTGGGATCACAGGTGCCCACCACCACACCCAGCCTGCCTCGGCCTCCCAAAGTATTGGGATTACAGGCATGAGCCACCGTGCCCAGCCTCATGTCTTTCTTATAACCTTCCTTATTAAAAACACATCTTACTTTCCTGCTATATTCTGTATGTAGAATTGTTTTCCTTCTTTAGTTTTAGTTACCATGTGTTAGAATTTTAACTCTTTGTAACCTTAATTTATGGTGAAAATCTAAAAAGTAAGCAATTTTTAACTCTCAGTCAAGTACCAACTTGAATTTATGAATCTTTGGAGATGGAGTCTCGCTGTGTCGCCCAGGCTGGAGTACAGTGGTGCAATTTTGGCTCACTGCAACCTCCGCCTCCCGGGTTCAAGCAATTCTGCCTCAGCCTCACGAGTAGCTGGGACTGCAGGTGCACGCCGCCACGACCGGCTAATTTTTTGTATTTTAGTAGAGACGGGGTTTCACTATGTTGCCCAGGATGATCTTGAACTCCTGAGCTCAGGCGATCCACCCGCGTCGGCCTCCCAAAGTGCTAGGATTACAGGCGTGAGCCATCCCGCCCGGCCTGAAACTTAGGCTTTTCTAATCGAACAATTTTTTAATGTGGAACAGAACATTTTTAGTGTATCTAAATACCTTTTGTTTTCTGAAGTTAAAAGCATGTAAGCTTAAACTCATGATTAGTAATTAATGTCTTAGCATTATATCTTATTTGTGGATGATTTAGATTATCATATGCAATGAATATCATTTAGTTTAGCAAAATTCTAACGCTATAGCTCAAAAAGATTTGAAAACCCTTTTCAAGTAAACATTTTATAAAACATAATAATTATTAAAAGTTCATTTATAAATTTCTACCTCATTTACATCTATTTTATTTATTTATTTGTTTTGCGATGAAGTCTCGCTCTTGTCCCCCACGCTGGAGTACAATGGTGCGATCTTGGCTCACTGCAATCTCTGCCTCCCGGGTTCAAGCGATTCTCCTGCCTCAGCCTCCCGAGTAGCTGGGATTACAGGCGCCTGCCACCACAACTGGCTAATTTTTGTATTTTTAGTAGAGACAGCGTTTCACCATGTTGGCCAGGCTGGTCTGGAAATCCTGACCTTAGGTGATCTGCCCGCCTCGGCCTCCCAAAGTGCTGGGATTACAGGCATGAGCCACTGTGCCCGGCCTATTTATTTTTAACAATCATGTTTGGAAAATTTTACAATTGGACAAATCTATCCATTTCAAGTTAAATTTTCTATTCACCATTTTTATGATTGGGCAAGAATCTTAAAGTTAAATATATATATATTTTGTTGCTAACTCAGAAGACATAGTTGTTTTTATTAAACCAACAATATTAAACTAGCCTTATTTACCAAAAGAGTTACTCGAGTCAATGGGAACTTTGGAAAGCATTTATTTGGGCTTACTAATTTCTGAGTGCTCATTTATGTATAAGTGCATTTGGTATCATGAAGACAATATACAAACACATGGATGTGCACAGGTATACATGAAATACAGACAAAGGGCCAGGTGCAGTGGCTCACATCTGTAGTCCCAGAAATTTGGGAGGCCAAGGTGGGAGGACCGCTTGAGCCCAGGAGGCGAAGGTTGCAGTGAGCTGAGATCTCACCACTGCACTTTAGCCTGGGTGACAGAGAAGGACTCTGCATAAAAAAGTCAAAAAGGCCAGGCACAGTGGCTCACGGCTGTAATCCTAGCACTTTGGGAGGCCGAGGTGGGTGGATCACAAGATCAGGAGATCAAGACCATCCTGGCTAACACGGTGAAACCCCGTCTCTACTAAAAATACAAAAAATTAGCCAGGTGTGGTGGCGGGCACCTGTCATCCCAGCTACCCGGGAGGCTGAAGCAGGAGAATGACATGAACCTGGGAGGCGGAGCTTGCAGTGAGCTGAGATCACTCCATTGCACTCCAGCCTGGGCAACAGAGCAAGACTCCATCTCAAAAAAAAAAAAATTTTTTTTAAATATTATATAGATTTGATTTTTTTTTTTTTTTTTTGACAGAGTCTTGCTCTGTCACCAGGCTGGAGTGCAGTGGCATGATCTCGGCTCACTGCAAGCTCTGCCTCCCGGGTTCAAGCAGTTCTCCTGCCTCAGCCTCCTGAGTAGCTGGGACTACAGGCGCATACCACAAAACCTGGCTAATTTTTGTATTTTTAGTAGAGACGGGGTTTCACCATGTTGGCCAGGATGCTCTCGATCTCCTGACCTTGTGATCCACCCACCTCGGCCTCCCAAAGTGCAGGCATGAGCCACTACACTGGCTTTTTTTTTTTTTTTTTGAGATGGAGTCTCACTCTTGTCGCCCAGGCTGGAGTGCAGTGGTGTGATCTCTGCTCACTGCAACCTCCGCCTCCCGGGATCAAGCGATTCTCCCGCCTCAGCCTCCTGAGTAGCTGGGATTACAGGCGCCCACCATGACATCCAGCTAATTTTTGTACTTTTAGTAGAGACAGGCTTTCACCATGTTGACCAGGCTGGTCTTGAACTCCTGACCTCAGGTGATCTGCCCCACCTGGGCCTCCCAAAGTATTGGGATTATAGGCATAAGCCACCACGCCTGGCCTATAGCTTTGATTTTTAAAAGGTTTGAAAGTATCTTTCTCAAGTCAGTGTCACTATAGGATTTATCTGGGTAGGTACAGCAGAATGGGGCTAGGAAGTAAATGACATTGTCAAGAGATTAGTTAAAAGTAATACATAATAGGCTGAGCAGGGATCTAAGTAAAGATAGAAGGGAGTCAATAAAGATTAGGAAGGAGCCTGAGTAGTCTAGTCATTTTTGTTTAGGTGTCCATCCTGCCCCAGTATGGCTTATGTACCTAAGGGAAAACAAACTCCTGTTTCAGAAGTGTGCCCTGATGTTTTAAGTCAGTGTTTCTTCATAGAGGCACTATTGGCATTTTTGGCAGACCAAAATTCCACACGACTGTCCTGTGTCTCCCCTCCCCCATCCCTCTTCCAGTAAAAGCCAGTGGTACTCCCAGTCAGAGCAACATTTCCAAATACTCTGAAGGAGGCAGTGCTGCTCCCAGTTGAGAACCTCTGATCTAAATCAGTCATCATAATCTCAACTCCCTTGTCACTGTAATTGGCTCAAAAATGGATAACTTAGTTCAGAGCTAAGCAAATTAGCACATGGCATTCCCCTAGTCACCATGATTGGTTCAGGTTGTTCTAATTAATGAAAGGCCAGGATTTTTGTTTGATGGTTAAAGACTCACTCCTCAGTTCCTCTGGACTTAATGCAGAAGCATGCAGGCTCAGTTGCTGCTGACCTCCAGCCTGTATAACCACGAGGGGAGCCAATCCCAGAATGAAGCTCACGTTGAGGGTGCGAGAGTAGAGAAAGAGAAGAAACAAGGCCCTTGGTATGTCTGTCTGGCAGGTAACCCAAGGCCTTTGCCACTGCTGAATTTTCAGTTACTTGAGTCGGTAAATGCCCTTAATGTTTAAACCAGTTAGACTTGAGTTTCCTGTAGCCTGCAAATGAAAACATACTACTTAAAAGAGGGAAGCAGAGGGAGGTTGAGTCAAGGGAGTGAAATACGGGGAAGGATATAAATGAGAGTAAGGGATACAACAGATGAATGAAGAGGCTTATGTCTTGGGTAGAAACTGAGGAATACAGGGACAATAGGTATGCTAAGTTTGGCTGGATGCGAGATTTTACAAAAATTAGTCTGGTCTCTTAGACTGGGGGTTGGGGTAATCAGAACAGTTCTAGTATTGTGTTGTGATAACCCAGTGAGGTTTGTATTACTCCAATGTATAGAAGAAGAAACTTGAGACCCACCCAAGTACCTAAAGCTAGTAGCTGGCAGAGGTAAGCCCTAGCAAATTTGATTCCAGCACCTAAGTTCTTTCCACTGCTTCCCCATTGTTATGTGATGCCAATGGGGTGGAAATAACCAGGGTGAGAACAAAAAACCCTTATTAATCCTTCCCACACCTCAATCCAGGATGAAGGGCAAGACCAAATGGGTCAGTGGGATTGTTTTCCCCTGTAAAAGCGATGGGCCACCTGTAGGGTCGGTGGTACAGTGTTTGGAGTACCATGCACAAATGGGTCATGGGCTCGCTGGAAAGGCAAGACAGACAGCTTACCCAACACCTACACAAATGAAGGGAATAACCACAAGGTACACTGAGGAGAAGTGGCTCAAAGATTCTGGTGAGATGAAAACTATTTAAGGTTAATTGCCAAGCACTGAATATCACATTCTGTGCATCTGCATGCTTCTCATTTCAGAAACTTATTTTTCCCCTTTTAATTTATTTTTGAATAGTTCATGCATGCATATGGAAAAAATGCAAAAGGTACAGAAAACGTTCCATGAGAAATAGGTTTTTCTTCCTTCTCTGTCCCTCAGTTATCTTCCCTGGAGGTAACTACTGTTGACAGACTCAATCTTTCCCCTCCGTCTCCTTCCTCCCCCTCTCTCCATTAGAGGCAGGGGTATGTCAAGCTGAGTTCTCTTTATTTGGTAGCAATACAGACCTTCCTAATGTAGCAGGGTTTAAATGTACTCACTAAAAACTAGATTTACAAAAAAAAGCAACTTCATTGTCGATAATGATTTCTTGCTGGAAAGCCCCCATTCCTAACGTAGGTGGAAACACTTGATCTTGCCAATTAAAGGTAACACAGTCTCTTTACGTTTACAACAGTTTTCCTTGGAAACTCACTCAATCTTTCAAGGTTTCTCCCTGATCCAATGGTTCTCCTCTCCCACTTCTCTTTCTTAAGATGTCATTCGGGTCTTGAAAAACTGGCAGAGCAAGTCTGTCTGCCATCATCCAGGCTCTCCCGGCCTCCCTTGATGAGGAAATTATCTCCGGCTTTTGGGCCTAGAACCATTTCCACTACTGACAGCCACGGCCCCTGCCATGGCTCTCAGTGGCAAGGACCATAAGCCTCACAACTTCTTGGCCCAAGGGCCAGGCCTCTTCCAGCCCATTCATCCCATTAGCCTTTATCATTCTACCACTGGATCTCCTAAAGACCATGCATGACCCCAAAGAACAGAAATCACTATCTCAAGCTACTTCTCTGTAGTTACCCCGGTTCCAAACAGAAAGCAGGATACATGCCTCCTCTTCTTTTAGTGCACCCTCCACTCATCTGGGGCAACCCTGTGCTGGTACTCTCTGAATGTCCCAAATTCCTGCCTGCTGCTTTTTTTTTTTTTTTTTTTTTTTTGGGACAGAGTCTCGCTCTGTTGCCCAGGCTGGAGTGCAGTGACGCGATCTCAGCTCATTGCAACCTCCGCCACCCAGATTAAAGCAATTCACCTGCCTCAGCTTCCCGAGTAGCTGGGATTACAGGTGCCCGCCACCACGCCCAGCTAATTTTTTGTATTTTTAGTACAGATGGTTTCACCATGTTAGCCAGGATGGTCTCGATCTCCTGACCTCATGATCCGCCCACCTTGGCCTCCCCAAGTGCTGGGATTACAGGCGTGAACCACTGCACCCGGCCTCTGCCTGCTGCTTTTATCTTCCCTTCCAGTCATGAGAAAGTGGCTCTGACATCATATCCTGTGTTCTTCTTGGCTGTATCTGTGATCTGTTCAGGGGCACTTTTCCAAGTTCTGCCTCACTAGCATATACAAATACATTTTTTTCTTTCAACAATGTCTGGTTTTTGACACTCAAAGCCCTTGATTTCAAACTATTGTTTTGCTATGAATTAATCCTATTTTGAAATTCTAAGCTAAGGGATGACTTATCCAATCTTGGCTGGGTTTTTTTTTCTCCCTGTGACTGAATGCATGCCATTGACTCAAGGGGGAAGCCATGGAGACAAAGACTTACTGGGCAGGCAAATACACTGATTTAACGTCTCACAAAGGTTATCTCCATTACATCAGCATAAGGTTCCCAGAGCCAGCTGAAAGGAAACCAACGTCAGTGTGGCAAATGCTACTGAGTTTTCACATTGTAACAGGGGGTGCAACCGCTGCATGGGAAAATTTCACGGTCCTGAAAGTGAACATGATCAGAATTGAACTACTGATTCCATAACTCTCCAGCCAATTATTGAGGTGCAAACTTGAGTCATTCTGGATTCCTCTCTTTTCTTCACACCTCACATTTAATCCATCTGCAATCAGGGCATCTAATGGAAAGAGGAGCCTTTTTCTAATTTTCACAAAGGCACCGTATGAGCCGGTAGTGGCCTGTTGATGAAACCCTAGGCCAAGCTGCCAGTGTCTGTCACCCGGACTTCTGCCATAGGCTCCTCCCAGATCTCCCCACTTCCGTGTTTGACCTCCTACAATCCATTCTCCACAAAGTAGCCAGATTAAATACAAATGAGATCACACCACTTCCCAGCTTCCTTTCTTTAACTCCTCCTCCAGCTTGTCATCACTCTGATCCGGCTCTGCTTCTTTCATCCTGGCTCCTGTTCAGCCTTATCTCCTTCCAAGCTTTCCCTCTAACTACTTGCCTGTAACCACACTGCCCATCTTGTTGCCTTCAAGTACACGGTACACAAGGCTTGTTTCTATCCCAGGTCCTTTGCACTTACTGTTTCTTTGCTAGCAGAGCTCTTCCCTGGATGCTCACACTGCTGCCTCCTTCACAGCCTTCAGGTCTCAACTCAGATGTCACTAAGCAGCCAAACCACACCCCAGGTACCAACTACCATAGTACTCCGCTTTATTTTCTTCATAGTCCTTAGTTCCTGAAATTGTATTATTTATTTGTTTGTTTACATGTTTATTGCATATCCCCCTTCCCTTAGAATGCAACTGCCTTAAACAGGGACTTGTTTTGTCTTTTTCAGCACTGTGTTTCTAGCATTAAACAGTTGCCTGGCACATTGTTAACACTCAGTAAATATTTGTGGACTGAAACCAACTAATGTCAACCAGGGGAGGGAAGGAGGAAGACAGTATTTTTTAGCTGCACAAGCACCAGTGGATACCATTTTATTTCTTTGCTAGGGAATATTAATTTCCATGTCAGGAAATCATTAAGGTTAATGTGGCTTTCTCGTGAGATACTTAGCTGCGAGACAGAACTAACATCTATATTTATGTCACAGAAAAGCAGTTTTTTCAAATAATCAAGTCAGTCAAAATATAAATTGTTAGCCTTATTTGCCAGGTACAAAATTTGACTGATTTGCATGTATGTTGGTGTGTGCTTAACCTGCTGCAGATCACCTGCTATTTTAGGGTGCCCTGATTGCTAAAAGTTGTTTACTTGATTTCTTTCATTTGAAGTGTGGCTGAGGAGGCAGGCCTGATCAGAGGCAAGTGGTCTAAAGAGAGACAATGTGAAAGATTTGTTTGGGTGTGCTATAAAATAACCACCAACAATCTTTAGGTCTTTCTTGGACTTTTGAGACTGAAAACTAAGCTCTCTTTGATAAGTGCTTTAAAATTTGAATAACTGATACACTGGAAAGTCCTGAACAGCTGTACAAACACTGAAGCAAGGACTTTCAAATTCTGCCCTGGGTGCTGGGCATGGTGACTCACACCTGTAATCCCAGCACTTTTGGAGGCCAAGACAAGAAGATTGCTTAAGCCCAGGAGCTCAAGACCAGCCTGAGCAACATGGCAAAACCCCATCTCTACAAAAAATTAGCTAGGTGTGGTGGCACACATTTGTAGTCCCAGCTCTCTGGGAGGCTGAGGTGGGAGGATTGCTTGAGCCCAGGAAGTTGAGGCTGCAGTGAACTGTGATCATCACATCACTGCATTCCAGCCTGGGTGACAGAGTGAGGCCCTATCTCAAAAAAAAAAAAATAAATTAAAAAAAAAAATCTGCTCTGAGTTACATGTTTTGAATAAAGGTGCAGAAAAATTAAGCCTCATCTTGATGAGAATAAACAAGATCAAACATCCTTCTCCATCCCTGGTTCATAGTGTCCACAATTTCTATCATTAGAGCTCTATATTTTTATCCTGGAGTCCTTTTTTAAAATGCGTCTATTCCTGGCAATATATTAGACCAATTCATGAAGACACTGAAACCACTTAGATCCATGTTCGTCCCTATTAGCCCTGAAACAGTAAGAAAGAGATGCATCAGGGGAGGCTAGATGTACCAACTCTGACTTTGCCGAACCTAGAATGGACCCAGTACAGTACAGTAGAGTACAGTAGTTGTTGAGCCTTTGGATAATGATATTGTGGAGCAAATTATAAGTTTTGCGATGTGAGTTACTTAATCTAAGAAAATAGATTTTTTGGCCGGGTGCGGTGGCTCATGCCTGTAATCTCAGCACTTTGGGAGGCCAAGGTGGGTGGATCATGAGGTCAGGAGTTCAAGACCAGCCTGGCTAACATGGTGAAACCCTGTCTCTACTAAAAATACAAAAAATATATATATTAGTCAGGTGTGGTGGCACGTGCCTGTAGTCCTAGCTACTCAGGAGGCTGAGGTTGCAGTGAGCCGAGATCGTGCCACTGCACTCCAGCCCGGGTGACAGAGTGTAACTCCATCTAAAAAAAAAAAAAAAGAAAATGGATTTTTTAAAGTTCAAATGTTGCTATGCAGTATAAATTTTGATGGATTTTTTTTTCTAGTGAGGGTCCCAACAGGCAACAGATGACACACTTGAATTAGGATAATTTGAGGAGAGTTTATTATTATTTTCTATTTATTTTTCGAGACAGAGTCTTACCCTGTCACCCAGGCTGGGGTGCAGTGGGAGAGAGTTTATTTTTAAAGAGACTATTTACAGGAGAGCTGGTGGGGTGTAATGGAAACATAAGGCTAGTCTAGAAACCAGGGGTTAGAAGCCTCAGAATGGCTTATACCCTTAGGCCCTAAGGAGTGATGATCAGAACCTGGAAAGGGAGTGTCATTTGGAGGAGACCACCTTGAGAGGAGCAGTGACCTTTACTCAAGGGACACAAGGCCGGGCGCGGTGGCTCACGCCTGTAATCCCAGCACTTTGGGAGCCGAGGTGGGTGGATCACAAGGTCAGGAGTTCAAGACCAGCCTGGCCAAGTTGGTGAAACCCCGTCTCTACTAAAAATACAAAAAAAATTAGCCAGGCGTGGTGGCACGTGCCTGTAATCCCAGCTACTCCGGAGGCTGAGGCAGAGAATTGCTTAAACCTGGAGGGGTGGGGGTTGCAGTGAGCCGAGATTGCGCCACTGCACTCCAGCTGGGGTGACAGAGTGAGATTCCATCTCAAAAAAAAAAAAAAAAAAAAAAAAAAGAGTGATCAAGGGACACAAACAGCTAGAGTCAACCTCTCTAGGAAAAAGCCAAGGAAATAAAAACTTTGATCTTGCACTTCTCGCTTTTCTGCCAGAGCTCCTCATTGGCCAAAACTAACTTGAAGCCAAAGGGAGATGGAGCATATTCACATTAGTGGGGCAGAGGGGGAGGTAGAAAAGGGTGGAGAGGAATCTGGAGGAGCATAATGACACCCCCATTCACTCCACAAGAAGCGCTGAGGAAGAGCCATCCACATCTCTCCCTTTCCCACTGCAAGCTTTCAGAGTGAAGCAGTCTTGGGCTGGAAGAGTGGAGAGGATGTATCCTTAAAATCAGATTTGGAGTATTGATTAATATCTTACCAGATTTGGAGTGTGTGTATTTATATATATATGTGTATATATATACGTGTGTGTGTGTGTGTGTGTATGTGTGTGTGTGTGTGTATATATATATATTTCTTTTTTTTTTTTTTTTTTTTTTTTTGAGATGAGAGTCTTGCTCTGTTGCCTAGGCTGGAGTGCAGTGGTGTGATCTCGGCTCACTGCAACCTCCACCTCCCGGGTTCAAGCGATTCTCCTGCCTCAGCCTCCTGAGTAGCTGGGATTACAGGTGTGTGCCACCACGCCAGGCTAATTTTTGTATTTTTAGTAGAGACAGGGTTTCACCATGTTGGTCAGGCTGGTCTCGAACTCCTGACCTTGTGATCCACCCACCTTGGCCTCTCAAAGTGCTGGGATTACAGGTGTCAGCCACCGCACCCAGCCTGATTAATATCTTACACTGGACATTCTAATCTCCGTATCAAGACTGTGTTTGTAATTGAAAGTGATAGTCTATAGTGATAGCAATCATTATAAGCCAGAAAATTTAAGGGCTTGCCAGAATTTTCATACTAGAACATATCTATAGATGTCTAGATAGATAGATGGATAGACTTTATATATGCAAAGGGAAAATAGGGACAAAAATAAAGTTGCTTTTTTTTTTTTTTTAATTGAGACAGGGTTTTGCTCTGTCACCCAGGCTGGAGTACAGTGGCACAATCTCAGCTCACTTGGCTCACAGCCTCGACCTCTGGGCTCAAGTGATCCTCCCACCTCAGCCTCCTGAGTAGATGGGACTACAGGCATGCACCACCACACTGGCTAAGTTTTACATTTTTTTGTAGAGACGAGGTTTCACCATGTTACCCAGGCTAGTCTTGAACTCCTAGGCTCAAGTGATCCACCCGCCTTGGCCTCCCAAAGTGCTACAATTACAGGCGTGAACTGCTGTGCCCAGCCTAAAGTTGCTTTTTTATTACATCAGAGAATTCTTATTCAACATAATGTTTTCCAACTTTCTCACTTTACAGGCAATGAAACTGAATCCGAGAGAGCTTGATTCACATACCCCATCTCAGCAAGCCACTTCACACCAAAATCCAAACTAGAAGCATAAATCGAGGCATCTATAGGACATGCCACTGTGGGCTTATGCAAGAAGTTAGCACTGTTGCAAATTTCAAAAAAGGTCTAAGGCAAAATTTTAAACAAGGTCTATGAGCTATCTTTGCTGTATCGCTTGGCAGCAGACATTACCCTTAGGTCGTGTGGTATCTGGTAGTTGGAGAAGTCTCACTGGCCAAGCCAGGCTTCCTTGTTACAGTGACTTATACCTCTCCTCTGAGGTTTAGACCTTAGTTCTGTGATACAGAAATTCAATTTCATCTTTTCACCCAAGAATAATCAGGTTCCAATGAATTGATCTACTTGTCAACCTCACAAACAGAGTTACTGGTAAATAAAAATGTTCATTCAATTATGCTGAGAAATGTTACTGTCAAAGAAATAAGACTGATATCAGCTAGTCAGCATATTCTCTGGCTGAATTGTTTGGAGGGAAAATATAGATAAATCAGACATTCATTTTCATTCTCAAGAAAATAACTTCAAGTGTAAGTCCCACTGACAGTGGGTCAAAGACATAAACTTCACACATAAATGACAACATATAATAACAATTTGCTTTACTAAGCATATGCTCTGCATTTTTTTTTTTTTTTTTTTGAGATGGAGTCTCGCTCTGTTGCCCAGGCTGGAGTGCAATGGCGCAATCTCAGCTCAGTGCAAGCTGCACCTCCCAGGTTCATGCCATTCTCCTGCCTCAGCCTCCCGAGTAGCTGGGACTAAAGGCATCTGTCACCACGCCCAGCTAATTTTTTTGTATTTTTAGTAGAGACAGGGTTTCACCGTGTTAGCCAGGATGGTCTCGATCTCCGGACCTCGTGATCCGCCCGCCTCGGCCTCCCAGGTTCAAGCGATTCTCCTGCCTCAGCCTCCTTAGTAGCTGGGATTGCAGGCATATGCCACCATGCCCAGCTAATTTTGTGTTTTTGGTAGAGATGGGGTTTCTCCGTGTTGGTCAGGCTGGTCTCGAACTCCCAACCTCAGGTGATCTGCCTGCCTCAGCCTCCCAAAGTGCTGGGATTACAGGCGTAAGCCACAGCGCCCAGCCATGCCCTGCATTTTTACAAATTCCTTGGTGTTTTGAGGTGCATCCTCCATAGTGTGGTAAAACCTTGGCATCATAAAACTTTGGTTAGACAGAAATTAATTAGAACACTTCATTTAAAAGAATTTCTTTGATGCATCAACTTCTTTCCTCTCAGCTCCAAATCTCTGCACTGCTCTGTTCTGTGATGCTGGAGCTGGGCCCTGTAAACATTTCTCCTTTGCAGCTGGCAGAATGTTAAGCTTTGTCTACAGGGCTGGGAGGCCACTGCAGGAGGAAAGTGCTTCTCTCTTCTTTGTTCCCATGTGATTTTCCTTCTCTTGGGGTACTTGGCAGCCAGTGGGTGCAGGAATCCCAAAAGTGCTCAGCTGCCCAGGGAGTCTCACAGGCAACCCGGAAGGTGGTTTCTTGCATCCTGACGCTGACTTGCAGAACCTCGGTGAACTTCTTTACCATCTAGGAGGTGATAGCTACATCCGAGTGAAGTGACTCCAGTGAAGTCAGTCTTGAAGAGAGGGCTCTTCCGAATTTGTTCCTTCCTTGGGTACTCAGCCATAGCCCTGGGGCAAGCATTCTCAGTGGGGGTGAAAATTGGTTTTTGTGGGGGTAGGGAGTGTGTGTGAAATAATCTTAGGTTATTCCTCCAAAGGGCCACAGTAGACACACAGATATACTGTGTACCTGTAGAATTAAGGTTTCATGGGGATGTAGGGACAGGTGGTGATAAGGGGCAAAAAATATCTAAAAATATCTCCTTACAGGGGCAAATTTCTTTTTATAAGTTGAGAAACTCTGGTCTAGAGAGTAGCAGCTGCTCTTTATATCCACCATTCTTGTATTCTTAAGAGTTATGTTTATCCCTTAGTAGTTAATCCCATTTCTAGTTAATATACTTTCAATTTTCCCTGTTGGACTTACTGTGTGATTGTCTTCTGGCTGGACCTTGACTGATACAGTGCACTTGACTTTTATGGAAAAAAGGCAAATAATAATTGAAAATATGCTAAAATCAAAGGCTTGAATTTTTAAAATTCTAGGACATTGTCTTTTTTTTGTTGTTTTTGAGATGCAGTCTTGCTCTGTTGCCCAGGCTGGAGTGCAGTGGCATGATCTGGGCTCACTGCAACCTCCGCCTCCTGGGTTCAAGCGATTCTCCTGCTTCAGCCTCCTGAGTAGCTGGGACTACAGGCACTTGCCACCACCCCCAGCTAATTTTTGTATTTTTATTAGAGACGGGGTTTCACCATGTTGGCCAGGATGGTCTCAATCTCTTGACCTCATGATCTGCCCACCTCGGCCTCCCAAAGTGCTAGGATTACAGGCGTGAGCCACCGTGTCCAGCCCTCTAGGACATTTTCTATAGCCTGTAGAGCTCAATCCCCAGCTACTTACATCTTGCACAGTTTGGAATGATGACATTGGGACCATGACAGATGATGAATGGCCAAAGTTAGGTTGCTAGTCTGTACTAGCCTTTCACTAGTACAATGCATTCTATATGGATACTGAACACATTTTTCGTTTATAACTATTTTATAAAGTTCTTATAAATGCTAAGCTCCATAATAACAATAATAATAATAATAATAATAATCATCATCATCATCATCATCATCATAACTAACATTTATTGGGCACTTACTATGTGCCAGCACTAATCTAAGCTCTATCACTCTGGTAACAGGGCTGCAAATGAATGGGAAAAAGCTGAAAATACATAAGCCAGGAAGCCAGTTAGGAGGTTGCTATAAAATTCCAGGTATGAGATGACAGTGGCTTGGACTAGGGTGATAGCACGGAGATAGCATGCTGTTGGCTTAGTAAGGCCCAGAGCAGAAAGAGCTTTCTATCCTCTTCAGCCACAAAACAGTCTGTAGCAGAGGGGTCATTCAATCCACTTACCAGAGAAACAGGGCTAGAGAAAGAAACAAAATTTATTTGTTAAGTTCCTATAATATGGCCAGTACTGTGTTACACAACATTAGGGGTACCAACAATAATCATATATTTATGAGTACCTTATGACTTGGTATACAGCTATAAAATGATAAAGCTAATAGAAGAATATATAGAATATATGTAAGACTTTGGAATGGGAAAGAATTTTGTAAATTAGACCCAAAAAGCACAAGACATGAAATTTTGACTGCACGAAAATTACGGATTTCTGTTCAGTGAAGCCCATCATAAACAAACTTACACAGACAGAGGATAGACAGAAAGAAAACATTTGGAAGATATTTCACGCCAACAAGGAATTCAAACCCAGAATATACAATAGTGCTCCTTATCTGCAGGGGATACATTCCAAACTTTGCCAAGTGTATGCCTGAAACTGTGGATAGCACCAAACCTTATATATACTATGTTTCTTTCTTTTACATACATACCTCTGATAAAGTTTAATTTGTAAATTAAGCACAGTAAGAGATTAACAATAACTAATAATACAATACAACAAATTATAATAATATAATAGCATTACTACTCTTGCAATTTGTGGCCATTATTAAATAAAATAAGAGTGACTTGAACACAAGCATTGAGATACCACAAATTATTCTGAGAACCGGCAGGGCTACTAAGTGACTAAGGGGTGGGCAGCATGTGGTTACATGCTAGACAAAGGAATGATAAGGGCCTTGGGCAGGATGGAGCAAGATGGCACAAGATTTTATCTCACTAGTCAAAATGGCATGCAATTTAAAGCTTATGAATTGTTTATTTCTGTAATTTTCCACTTAATATTTCTGGACTAAAGATGGTAGGTAACAAAACTCGGAAAGCAAAACCTCAGATAAGGGGGGACGACTTTATAAGGAACTCCTATAAATCAGATAAAGTACCCAAGAGAGACATTGACAAAAAGTATGAATAGCCAACTCTCAGAAGTGGAAAACCAAATGCCTAAGAAGGATTGAAGAGAAGTTCAGTGTCACTAGTAAACAGAAGAATGGAAATTAAAACTATTTGACATACCGCCTTACATTACACCCAATAGATTTATAAAAATTAGAAAGTTGGGAAATCTTGGCAATCTTGGCAAAGGTGTGGGAAACAAAAACCCTCATGTGCTGCTGCCGGGAGTGTACACAGATACAGGTATCCTAGAGAGCACTGTGGCAGTATCTCTGTGTGTGTGTGTGTGTGTGTGTGTGTGTGTGTGTGTGTGTGTGTGTATTTGTGCGCATGCGCACATGCACACACGTGCATGCTCACTGACAACCTACAATCCAGGAATCCCTCTCCACACAGGTTCATGAAGAAATACACACAAACATGTCTATCACAGGATTGTTTGTGGTACAAGAGAGTTCGGGGCAGTCTGGGAGTCCACCACTAGGGGCCACAGATATGTTAAGAGGATCAGATGATCATGACATGATCATGACACATAATATGGAATCTTATGCAGCAGTTAGAAGAAATGCGCTAGCTGTGCATAAAGGAACATGAATAGAGCTTAAAAACAGCATTGCATCAAAAAGCAAGAAACAGAATGAGAGCCATTGAACATTACAGATTTAACACATATATTCATAAAGCAGCATTATAGAAAAAACAACCTGGGGGTACACTCATATCCAAACACTTATTAATACATCAGAGTGACTGCCAGTGCTGGCAATCAAGGAGGAAAACAATGAAGTAAAATAAAACAAAAAGGTCCTCTCATGGATGATCACATACAGTGATCTGAGGAAGGCGATTAACTCAAATCTTTGCACTTTAAGTCCAAAAGAAGAAAAAAGGAAAGATCTAAATCCTATCTTCCTTTCTTGAAGCTTTTTCATCCCATAAATGAGATGCAACATCTGATTTTTGAGATAATCCATGTAAACATCTGTGCAACTAGCAACTCAAGGATCATCCATCTAGCTGGTTCTTCCGGGTCTCTGGGGACACTTGAGCAAAGCACACATCCATGAGATGCCAGAGGGTAGAAATAAAACAGAGTGAAGGATACCCTTGTAAACTCAATTCCATAAACCAAAGCCTAAATACGGCCTCATTTATGAAACTAGAAGTGCAGTGTAAAACCAAGAATAAAGAGATTGCAGTGTCAGATCAGTGACCCTAGCGTGGTTATTTCCATCAAACAAAATGGAAAGTTATCTAACAATGAAGCACAGAAAAGAGAAAACAAACAGGTAGCTCTGCGTCATCTGCAAAGACAATGTAGTTGGTAAAGTCAGATTATTTGGCATAATCAGGCAATATAAAATGTATATATGTACATATATATATATATATACAATTTTTAAAGTGAGTTGATCTTAGGATTTTGTTCACTTCAAATTGCTTTCAGCCAAACAGGAAACACAAAAGAGCCCGGTTTGATTCCAGAACTCTTCCTTTTTAAGGCTGCCAGGTCTGTCCTCTTGCAGGGAATGAAAGTGAACAAGGCTGAATATTTCTCTGTGTTTCTGAGAAGGGCTTGTCTGACCCAAGTCCTTGCACCTGCATGCACCACCTGTGGCATGAGTCTGTTGCCCTTTTTCAGTTTGTTCTTTCTTGTCTCCAACTGTCTGCCTAGACAGATGACTGCTGGTAATTCACATGTTTTTCCTTCTCCTTAGCTTTAATACTATAGCCACTCCACTTAAATTACACTCCAAGGTAAGCAGGAATTGGTTTTAAATGGAACCCTGAGAGATGGGGAAGTGAGGAAGGTGGGGGATGACTTCTTGATTCCTTGGTGCTGTATTATCACTTGATTCTTCCTCTGAGTTATCTTTTGTACTTAAAATTCCTTTATTTCGCCATTAAAGTGAGTGAGCCTATAAACTGTACTCACTCTGGATACTTAGGTATTTGAAAATGTTTTTGGCTACCATTTCATTTGGCTAGCATTTTATAGTGGACTCACCTACAGATTTAACTAAAAGTCTAAGATACCCTGTAGCAGCACATCAATTTAGGGAAAACTAGCTTTAAAATGTATAGAAACTTAAGAGTACATAACTTTAAAAGTATATAAAGACATACTACTAAACTAAAACGATCACAAAATCTTAGAATTTTGTAGGAGAAAAGAACCTTAGCAAGCACTGACCAGTTTTCAGCCTCTTTTTTTTTTTTCTGCCTCCATACTGCTTATATTTGCAAATTCTCAGTAACATGGCTTCTACTTAATGAGTCTCACCTGGGAGAACAAACATGCACTGTAGCTTGAAAAGATCACCTCTCTCTTTCCCCATGCCAAGTTTATTAGTTTTCAGAGACCATTTGTTGCTAATTGATGATAAAAGTAATATTGTGATTCATGACTTTCCCTGTTTTTTATCTACCAGCCTGTGCCTCACTTTGAACTGTGCGACATAAGACAGGACCGTGGCTGGGCACGGTGCCTTAAGCCAATAATCCCAGCACTTTGGCAGGCCAAGGCGGGCAGATCACGTGAGGTCGGGAGTTCAAGACCAGCCTGACCAACATGGAGAAACCCCATCTCTACTAAAAATACAAAATTAGCTGGGTGTGGTGGCACATGCCTGTAATCCCAGCTACTCAGGAGGCTGAGGCAGGAGAATCGCTTGAACCTGGGAGGCGGAGGTTGCAGTGAGCTGAGATGGAGCCATTACATGCCAGCCTGGGCAACAGAGCGAGACTCCATCTCAAAAAAATAAAAATAAAAAAAATTTAAAAGACAGGGCCATGAACACAAAACAACTGTGTCTCCATCTGCAGAGAAGCACTGAGTATCTGGACATTGTTTAGTGTCCTTTTTAACCTTATAATTAAATTCCACACTTCCCCTGCTATTGTTTAAAGTATTTAGCACTCAACCAAATGTATTTTTATTGGCTATTAGTACTAAAGTAGTTACTATCTTATCAAAAGCCTATTAACAAAAGCCAAGGCACAATTTTTTCCCATGCAGTCTCTGGCTTTGATTTTTTAAAAAAAATTTTTTAGACATATTCATGTAGAAAAGTTACAGAATACGGATGAATAGAAAAACAGTTTTTCTTAATCTCACCACCTAGAGAAAAGAGCATCTCCCATGTACACTTCTAGTCTTCATTTTCATCTTAAGAATATTTTACTTAAAAAATGTCACCCAAACAGACTTGTGTCTACAAAGGTGAGCTTCTGAGAAACCAACTTCCCTTGTGCAGCAGCAGACTCTGCTTTAGAGGGAAGGAAGCGGCTCACATCCTGACTAACAGGGGGTCATTGTTACTCTCTCAGAATTGGCATAATGCCTTCTTCTTCAGCCAGAAAGACAATTATGTGACAGAAAATCTAAGAGGTGGGCCTGCCTTAGGGAAAAGTGGCTTAAAAGCAAATTTGACTCACATAAAGAGAGTGCTAGGTATTTTCCTTGCTTGCTTTCTCTGTAATTGTTACAGCCCAGAAAGACATGGGTTTGAGTCCCAGTTATTCCTTACAAGCCAGGTAACCTTGGATAAGTTACTAAAGTCCCTCTCTGCTACAGTTTCCTCATTTGTTAAATAGGAACAATAATAGTACCAACTTGACTGAGTTCTTGCAAAGACCAGCAAGTTACGTAGGGGCCAAGGGAGAGCTTTCCTCGTGGCCCTCAGAAGGTTTGCTGAAAAACCAACTCAAAAAAGGTAGACTAATTGGAGAAAAGACATTCAAATTTATTTAACGGGAATACACAAGAGCCTTCAGAATGAAGACCAAAACACGCAGGGGAAATTGTCATTTTTATGCTTAGGTTCAACAAAGTATGGCCAGCTGTATAGGAACATGACTGGACAAAAAGGGTAAGATCTAATGGCCGGAGTGGGGAAACCCAGCAAGGCCTGTCCGTCTAGATTCTTCTTGGCGTCTCTGAGCACGCATTCCTTCCTTCTGGGTGTGGGACAGGACCCTCTCTGGAACCAGGGTCTTATGTCCTACAGTCAAATAAGGGAGGTCAGATAATTTCTTCATGGCCAGTTTTTATACAGAAAGGTGGAGGGAAAGTTAGAGTAAAATTGTAGGTTTTATGACTAGCTTTGGGTAAAGGGGTTCTGGTTTCTATGACCCACCTTCGGGAAGAGGGATTCTAGTTTCTGCGGCTGGCCTCAGTGGAGAAAGGATTAAGAGACAGGAGGGCAGGAGAAGGTCAAAGAAAAACTTCTGTTTCTGAGGTTGCTTTCTGAGGTCTTTGTTTTAGGGTATTGTTTTCCGAGCCCAAACAGTTCAACAGAGTTTTTAGTGCCTGGCCTGCAGTAGTAAAAAGGTTTCAACAAATGTCAGCAGCGTTACTGTGGTTGTGGATCAGTATGAGGATTATATGAGATACTCTATTTGAAACTCCTGCCACACTTAGGAATTAGTATTTCAATAATTAGCATTACAGGGAGGGTTTGTTCTTAACTACTCACCTTTTCACTTGGCCACACTCCCTGTTTTTTTCTTCTAGTCCACTGCTATCTGGTAGCAGTTTCTGTGATGATAAAAATGGTCAATTATCCGTGCTGTCCAACATGGTAGACGCTAGTCACATGTGGCTGTTGAGCTCTTGAAATGTGGCTAGTGCAACTTAGGAACTGAATTTTTCATTTCAATTTTAATTAATTTCAATAGTCCCACCTAGTCCCTTGATTTCTGTCTGCTCCTATCCCTGTCTAATCACCCATATTTCCTTTAGGCATAAAGTAGATTCATCTATAGGGACTTCGGTCAATCTCTACTCATTTACGCTAAGTTTTGAATAATGTTTTCTACATAGCACTTTATTGATAAATTATACATACAATCCTACCATTAAGAAATCAGAAACAGACCTGGCACAGTGGCTTATACCTGTAATCCCAACACTTTGGGAGGCCGAGGCAAGTGGATCTCTTGAGGTCAGGAGTTCAAGACCAGCCTGACCAACATGGTGAAACCCCGTCTCTAATAAAAATACAGAAAACTCCTATGGGCATGGTGGTGAGCGCCTGTAGTCCCAGTTACTTGGGAGGCTGAGGCACGAGAATCACTTGAACCTGGAAGGCGAAGGTTGCAATGAGCCAAGATCATGCCACTGCACTGCAGCCTGGGTGACAGAGTGTGACCTTGTCTCAAAAAAATTAAAATTAACAAAAAATTAAAAAAGACAAAAAAGAATTCAGAAACAAATTGGATGTATTTCCAGCATCAAGCTTCTCCACCAAGTCTGCCTTTCCTTTTATTAAGCACTTTGCAAATTTGAATGCAAGTAACTGAATAACCTTAAGAAAACCATTTGGCAGATTAGTTTAAAAGGCTGCGGCCAGGCGCAGTGGTTCAAGCCTGTAGTCCCAGCACTTTGGGAGCCTGAGGCGGGCGGATCACGAGGTCAGGAGATCAAGACCATCCTGGCTAACACGGTGAAACCCCATCTCTACTAAAAATACAAAAAAATTAGCCGGGCATGGTGGTGGGCGCCTGTAGTCCCAGCTACATTGGGAGGCTGAGGCAGGAGGATGGCGTGAACCCGGGAGGTGGAGCTTGCAGTGAGCCAAGATTGCGCCATGGCATTCCAGCCTGGGTGACAGAGCAAGACTCCATCTCAAAAAAAAAAAAAAAAAAAAAGGCTGCTTTACACATCTGGAATGGAAAGGGGGGTACTTCTGCTATCAAATGCCCTCCTTCACAAAATACAGCAGGATAATTGTTGATCTGCTTCAATCTGTGTCTCCCTGCTCCAATCCGTGTCTCTCTGTGGGCCCTTGCTCAGAGATGCCATGTGGTGTCTGAACTTGACCAGACTCCCTGAGGGCAGCCACCAGTTTCTTCAGAGGCAGCAGCTGTGGGATTGAGCCCCAGAAGTGAGTTTACACTCCCTTTTCCAGGGCTTAGGATCTCTGCTTCTCTTCCCTCTGTGATAAAGCCAATTTCAACTTCAGGGTCAGGTAATCACTTGACACGTCTATCAAGGAAAAGCAATAAAACCCTAAACAATTTTGCATTAGATCAGACTAGCTCTGTCTTCTCTCCCAGGGAAAGGCTGCCACCTGCTGTAAAACATCAGCACTGGGCTTTTCCAAGGTCACTGAACAACCACTTCCTCCCATACAAAATTAACGAAAGCACAACCACACTTGCCTTCACCTCTGCATGTCAAGAGTGTAAAGAGGAGGGCAAACCAGGAGGCACTGATGTAGAACAAGAGGCAAACTCATGCATATGAATAGTGCCCAGAAGGAACTGGCATAGCCATAACTCTGAATAAAAGAGCAGCCTCTCTTCAGCAATTAGCAACAAGGTATCACAAATTAGCTAATTCATAGTAACCTTTAGGAAATCTCCCATGACAGCCTCATTATTTCCTCCATCCTTCTAGTTCTGTGTACCTTTATGTATTCTCCACGCCCCTAGCAAGACAGGCAGGTGAAAGGATTTGATCATTTTCAGGACAGCATTCCTGAGCCTTGTTCCTGATTTCCTACAAAAATCCCAAATTGCAGCCGGGCGCAGTGGCCCATGCCTGTAATCCCAGCACTTTGGGAAGCCGAGGCAGGCGGATCACCTGAGGTCAGGAGTTTGAGACCACCCTGGCCAACATGGAGAAACCCCGTCTCTACTAAAAATACAAAAATTAGCCAGGTGTGGTGGCGCATGCCTGTAGGCCCAGCTACTTGGGAGGCTGAGGCAGAATTGCTTGAACCTGGGAGGTGGAGGTTGCAGTGAGCTGAGATCGCACCATTGCACTCCAGCCTGGGCAACAAGAGCGAAACTCCATCTTAAAAAAAAAAAAAAAAAAAATATTCCCAGGTTGCTCCTTGGGATTTTTGCAGGAGGCCAAAAATGGGAGCAGGCCTAGCACAGTGTCTATCTCATTGCATAAAAGCTTGAATTGTTTGTTTGTTCTGTCTTTGGTGGGGACAGTGTGCCCAAGAAAAGGAAGAACATTTCCCAAACTCAGAAAAAAGAAAGCAAAGGCATTTGGGACATGCCACCCCAAAATATGCTACTTTGGTATACTAATTATTTGAAGCTGAAGACACTTGAAAGACAGCAAATGCAGGGAGAGGCTTTCTCTGAACTCTCCCTTACCTGCCTGAAGACAGATCCTCCAAAATGAACTCAGTTGTCATTAATTCCCCTCTCTGGTAGGTTAATCAACCAGGAAGATTGACTATTACAACAGGACAGAAGATTAGAAGTGGACACCACTTCTATTACATCTATAATAGAATGTAAGAGTTTGCTACAAACGATTCCATCTCCCTAAGGGCTCATTCTTTCCCCCAAATTATTTACCCTCTCCTAAGTTGTCCATATCCCTCTTCTTCTTTCCCCTACGAAGACAGTATAAGCTCCCAAATCTCACCACTTTTTTGGGTATTCATTTTTTTTTCTCTTGTGATGCCCCATCCATGCAATAAATTTGTATACCTTTTCTCCGGTTAATCTGCGTATTGTCAGTTTGTTTCACAGACTCAAATTTTAAACCTAGGAGGGTAGAGGAAAAGTCTTTCCCTCCCCTGTAAAAGCAAGAATGAGGTGCTAGTATAGGGCCCATCATTTTATGCCCCAGAGCCTCCTCTTCCTTCTCCATTCTCCACTCCCACCCTGAGACCATTCACCATCCATCAGCTACTGTGGTCTACCCCCCAACACAACTTTTAAGAGTAGGTTTTGCTTACCATTATCTTCCTGCAAAGGGTACTCACGACTCTAAACTCCTCTCCCTGAATTGTGCCGTTGTATCTGGGAATTTATCAAACTTCAAGAATTCCTTAGGGATTCCAATGTTGAGTAAACTCAAATATAAACAAGCTGACATTTACAACTAAATATCCAATATCCAAAAAGTTTACAATATAAGAAAATAAGGCCAAACACCAATAACTTCTAAGCAAAAATAGCCGAAAGACAAATGCCTTGCTGCCTGGTTTTTAGCCTTGTAGAATCTGTGGCATTGTTATGGTTGATACAATTGTAAAATATCTGCAAAACATTTGCCAGCCTCTTGATGAAACTGAGTTATTTTCTTCACTGTAAACCACGGGAGAGCCCCAGATTGCCACTCCAACATCTCCTACCTGTATTCACAAACAGGAAGATGTAGGCTATGAAAGCAGGAAAGGACAAGAATATTTTTGTTGGTGTAAGAGAAGGCTTTTTAAAAGTTGCCTCAACAGCCAAAGAAATGAAATGAAGCCTTGTATTATCTGATCCTTCTACACATTTGTGTGTGTGTGTGTGTGTGTGTAGTTTTTCAAATAACTTTTTTTTTTTTGAGGTGGAATCTCACTCTTGTCACCCAGAGTGGAGTGCAATGGCGCGATCTCAGCTCACTGCAACCTCCGCCTTCCAGTTTCAAGCGATTCTCCTGCCTCAACCTCCCGAGTAGCTGGGATTACAGCCGCCTGCCACCACACCTGGCTAATTTTTGTATTTTTAATAGAGACAGGGTTTCACCATGTTGCCCAGGCTGGTCTCGAACTCCTGACCTTGTGATCCGCCCGCCTCGGCCTCCCAAAGTGTTGGGATTACAGGCATGAGCCACGGTGCCCAGCCTCAAGTAACTTTTAAGGCAACATTTTATTTAAAATTCTGCCTCTTTAACTTTCATTTTTTTTTTTTTTTGCTTCTATAGTTTTTTATTTGCATTCATTTAACACACAATTTTATAATTTACACATTTTTAATGTCTTGAATTATTCCTTTGAGTTGTTATATAAAAATTTACCTAGTTGTTGAAGTTTAGTTTCCTATGTTTTTCATTTTAGTTCATACTGAAATAAATATGTTTGTGGAAAGTGCTTTTCTCCTTACTGCAAGTTAATCTACAATCCATTACAGTGAAGAGCATGTGGCAATGCTCAGCAAATATTATAATTTTGTATAATAAATTATCAAGAATGAGAATATGGGGTAAAACAAACATTGAAACAATTCTGGTGTAAAAAAACAACATCTTGATACAGATTACTAAATAGCTTTCTAAAATAATTCTACTTATTTGCTATGTCAACAGATAAGTTGTTTAACACATTATTTCCATCGATACATCTTTTTAAATCTTATTCATTAAGAAGAGATTAAGGTATGACAAGAATACTGGTTAAATCAAAGGACATAGAGAGTATGAATGAATATGGAGAGTGTGGGTCACATTTTCAATTTTTTTTTTTTTTTTTTTTTTTTTGAGACACAGTTTCGCTCTTGTCTCCCAGGCTAGAGTGCAATGGTGCGATCTTGGCTCACTGCAACATCCACCTCCCAGATTCAAGTGATTCTCCTGCCTCAGCCTCCCAAGTAGCTGGGATTACAGGTGCCTGCCACCATGCCCAGCTAATTTTTGTATTTTTAGTAGAGATGGGTTTCGCCATGTTGGCCAGGATGCTCTCGAACTCCTGACCTCAGGTGATCCACCTGCCTTGGCCTCCCAAAGTGCTGGGATTATAGGCATGAGCCACCTTGCCCAGCCTCAACTGTTTTTAAAATCTTGACTATAGTTTAATTTTTCATTTAAGTCCGCATTCTAACTTGCAGGGCAGAACATGTAATGGGATCAGTTAACCATCCCAATTTGAACATCTTAAATCTTGGATCGGTTTTAGCCCAAAGGACCAAAGTGGGTTTGAATTTGTTATAAGGTGAATTTCCAGCTAGCAGGGAAGGACAAGAGGCCACAGAACTTGGCCATTCAAAGTGTGGTTTGCAGACCAGCTGCGCCAGCACCACCTGGAAGCTTGTTATTAGGTTGGTGCAAAAGTTATTGTGGTTTTTGCCATCAAAACCGCAATTACTTTTGCACCAGCCTAATAGAAATGCACAGTCTTGGGCTTCAGCCCAGAGCAACTGAATCTTAATCTGCATTTCAACAAGAGCTCCAGGTGCTTCTTATGCACATTGAGTTGGAGAAGCCACCTTCTAGACAGTGAAAATTGCTACTGCCAGTTGTCTAAGGGCTTTAGTAGAAAAGATAGTTCACCATGAATATTAAAACATGAATCTAAAGGTAACAAAAAACCTTCTATAATTTTAATTTGGCTGGTTCTTTTGAAAACATTCTTTATAGTATAGTTCGGCTTTTAAAAAAGTCAAATATAGGCCGGGTGCGGTGGCTCACGCCTGTAATCCCAGCACTTTGGGATGCTGAGGCAGGAGAATCGCTTGAACCTAGGAGTTAGAGGTTGCAGTGAACTGAGATCGCACCATTGCACTCCAGCTTGGGCAACAAGAATGAAACTCCGTCTCAAAAAAAAAAAAGTCAAATATATTATGGAGAGTTTTAATACAAGCTTCTTTTATTTAAACCATCCTAGCAGATAATGGATTATCTGATTTCTAAAACCAAGCTCCTCAGGACCTAGAAGAGAAAGCTTGGCAGATCAGGAACAAGAAAGTCTGGGGAAGGATGGGTATATGTGAATAGGCACAAAGTGGGCATGAAGATTACATGGTAATGCCTACCAGCAAGCACCATCTACCACCAAAGAGGCACTAAACAACCAGAAGTCAAAATGACACGGCTGGTTGACTTCAGCTAGCTTTCATCATCAGCATCTAGTGCTAATATGTTATATACAAACAGTGTACATGGCCGGGCATGGTCGCTCACGTCTGTAATCCCAGCACTTTGGGAGGCCAAGGCGGGCAGATCATTTGAGGTCAGGATTTTGGGACCAGCCTGACCAACATGGTGAAACCCCATCTCTACCGGAATACAAAAATTAGCCAGGCATGGTGGCAGGCACTTGTAATCTCAACTACTTGGGAGGCTGAGGCAGGAGAATTGATTGAATCCAGGTGACAGAGGTTGCAGTGAGCTGAGATCATGCCACTGCACTTCAGCCTGGGTGACAGAGCAAGACTCCCTTTCAATAATAATAATAAATAAAAATAAACAGCGTACCATCGTGGCAGAGTGCAGGGTATGAAAGGTCTTAAAAACATGGGCTCTTGGGAAGTCGAGGCTGCAGTGAGCTGTGATTGCACCACTACACTGTAGCCTGGATGACAGAGTGAGACCCTGTCTCAAAAAACAAACAAAAAAAGGGGCTCTCTATGGGGTCAGCTGAAACATTAGTTGAAACTGCACCACAGCCCAACTTCTGCCTCTGTCCAATTTTGCCTCTGCTCCATCCCTTCCACAGGTGTTAATCCCAAGAGCAACCCCTAATATGTTTTCTACATGATAATCTCCTTGGAGTCTATTTCTCAACTGACAATGCCAAGTGTTAATAATGATGTGGTACAATTGTTAACAACTGTTAACTCACATACACTGTTGGTGGGAATGTAACTTCGTATAACCATTTTAGAAAACTGAAAGAATCTACTAACACTGAATATAGGAATACCCATGATCTGGTGGTGCAACTCCTACAACAGAAATGCAGACATATGTGCAGCAAAATATTTGTTTAAGAATGATCATAGCAGCATTATTTTCTTTCTTTTATGCTTTTTTTTTTTTTTTTTTGAGATGTCCAGGCTGGAGTGCAATGGCTTGATCTCTGCCTCCCAGGTTCAAGCCATTCTTCTGTCTTAGCCTCCTGAGTAGCTGGGATTACAGGTGTGCACCACCACACCCTGCTAATTAGTAGAGACGGGGTTTCACCATGTTGGTCAGGCTGGTCGCGAACTACTGACCTCATGATCCGCCCGCCTTGGCCTCCCAAAGTGTTGGGATTACAGGCGTGAGCCACTGCACCTGGCTGCAGCACTATTTTCAATGGCCAAAAAAGAAAACAACCCAAATACCCATTAACAGTAGAGTTAAAATCTATGGTATATTAATACAATGAAATACTCTAGAGAGTCTTCATAGCATATAGATAATCTACATACTAGATTATAGTAAATACGGTATGTATGAACAAACCACTGCTACACATGACAACATGGATAAGTCTGACAAACAAAATGTTGAGTAAAGTGAGCCAAACACCAAACAATGTGATACCATTTATATATGTAAAGTTTGTAATGCAATTCTATGTACATAAAGTTCAAAAATAGGAAAAACTGATTCAAACTGATAGAAGTCAAGATAGTGCTTAACTTTGAGTAGTGACTGCAAGAAGATGAAAAGGGGGCTTCTAGAGTGTGGTAATATTCTATTTCTTAATATGGGATGTGGTTATATGAGTGTTTTCATTTTGTGAAAATTATTTGAGCAATATAGATATATTTTTAGACAGGGTCTTACTCTGTTACCCAGGCTGGAGTGCAGTGGTGCAATCGTAGCTCATTGTAGCCTCAAACTCCTGGAACTCAAGGGATCCTCCCACCTAGGCCTCCCAAAGTGCTAGGATTACATGCATCTGGCTGAGCCATATATTTTAATGTATATATTACACATCAATAAAATGGCCTTACCTGTTAGAGAAACATTAAAATATTAATGAATGAAATGGTATGATACTTGAGATTTTCTTAGAAAACTTCAGAAAAATAATTAGGCATGGGATAGATGAAACAAAAATATAGACTGCTAATAATTCTTCAAGCTGTGATAGTTACATGAAAGTTCACTATTCTACTCTCTCTACTTTTGTGTTTTGGAAGAATGTTTTTATAATAAAAAGCTACAAAAAAAACCCACAGGTACAATTTTAGTCTTAGTGTAGAAAAGGACATAAAACCCAAAAGTCATAAATGAAAAAAATGTTGATGGCTTTAGCATCCATTCCAGCTCCCTTCCTCCCTGCCTTCCATTGTAAAGGCTACAAAGTGAAATGTTGGCATTGCTAGCCCCCTGGCACTGAGCCTGTCCATATGACCCTTAATGCTAGTTAATGAGATTTAGGCAGAAATATATTCTGCCTACATACATAAGCAATACAAATCAAAATCACAATGAAGTGCCATCCATTTTTCACCTATTAGATTGATAATGATAAAAAATTTGTCACTCCCAACTGTTGTTGACAGTTTGAAGACACATTCTTCTACACTATTGGTGGAAATATAAGTTCATATAAAATCCCTTGGAAGAGTAATTTGGAAGTATCTATCGAAATTTTCCTGAAAGCAACAGCAACATTTGAATGGTAAGAGCAAGAATGGAAAGGAAACAACAGATATGAAGCCTAAGTAGAGTCTAATTTAATTAATTTGTTGACTGAATATGGAGGAAAGGGTCAAACATTACTAGGGGCATTCATAGAAATAAGGAAGTCATACGCACTTGTTCAGGCAAGCACTTAATAATTCAGTTTTTCTGTTACTGCACAATGAAGACAATTTTTTAAATTCTCTCTAGGTCCAGAATCTAGATGTTAATACATATGTTTATATAGAAGATTTGTAATTTCATCAAGTATTAATCTAGGAACTCAAAAGGAAGGAAACAGAATGCCACTTAGCCTTAGCTACAAGTAGGACCTACTCATAAAGAAAACACACTTCAGCTCTCCCTCTCCCTCTCCCTCTCCCCCTCCCCTTCCCCCTCCCTCTCCCTCTCCACGGTCTCCCTCTCCCTCTCTTTCCACAGTCTCCCTCTGATGCCGAGCCGAAGCTGGACTGTACTGCTGCCATCTCGGCTCACTGCAACCTCCCTGCCTGATTCTCCTGCCTCAGCCTGCTGAGTGCCTGCGATTGCAGGTGCGCGCCGCCACGCCTGACTGGTTTTCGTATTTTTTTGGTGGAGACGGGGTTTCGCTGTGTTGGCCGGGCTGGTCTCCAGCTCCTAACCGCGAGTGATCCGCCAGCCTCAGCCTCCCGAGGTGCCGGGATTGCAGACGGAGTCTGTTTCACTCAGTGCTCAATGGTGCCCAGGCTGGAGTGCAGTGGTGTGATCTCAGCTCGCTACAACCTCCACCTCCCCGCCGCCTGCCTTGGCCTCCCAAAGTGCCGAGATTGCAGCCTCTGCCCGGCCGCCACCCCGTCTGGGAAGTGAGGAGCGTCTCTGCCTGGCCGCCCATCATCTGGGACGTGAGGAGCCCCTCTGCCTGGCTGCCCAGTCTGGAAAGTGAGGAGCGTCTCTGCCTGGCCGCCCTCCCATCTAGGAAGTGAGGAGCGCCTCTTCCCGGCCACCATCCCATCTAGGAAGTGAGGAGCGTCTCTGCCCGGCCACCACCCCGTCTGGGAGGTGTACCCAACAGCTCATTGAGAAGGGGCCATGATGACAATGGCGGTTTTGTGGAATAGAAAGGGGGAAAAGGTGGGGAAAAGATTGAGAAATCGGATGGTTGCCGTGTCTGTGTAGAAAGAAGTAGACATGGGAGACTTTTCATTTTGTTCTGTACCAAGAAAAATTCTTGTGCCTTGGGATCCTGTTGATCTGTGACCTTACCCCCAACCCTGTGCTCTCTGAAACATGTGCTGTGTCCACTCAGGGTTAAATGGATTAAGGGCGGTGCAAGATGTGCTTTGTTAAACAGATGCTTGAAGGCAGCATGCTCGTTAAGAGTCATCACCACTCCCTAATCTCAAGGACCCAGGGACACAAACACTGCGGAAGGCCGCAGGGTCCTCTGCCTAGGAAAACCAGAGACCTTTGTTCACTTGTTTATCTGCTGACCTTCCCTGCCAAATCCCCCTCTCCGAGAAACACCCAAGAATGATCAATTTAAAAAAAAAAAGAAAGAAAACACACTTCAAATAGTGGTAAAAGACTTTTTTTTGCCTGGCCAACTGGCAAAGTTTTTTTTTTTTTTTTTGGGACGGAGTCTTGCTCTGTCACCCAGGCTGGAGTACAGTGGCTCAATCTCAGCTCACCGCAACCTCTTCTTCCTCAGTTCAAGTGATTCTCCTGCCTCAGCCTCCCAAGTAGGTGGGACTACAGGCGCCCGCCACAACACATGGCTAATTTTGTACTTTTAGTAGAGACGAGGTTTCACCATATTGGCCAGGGTGGTCTCAAACTTCTGACCTTGTGATCCGCCCATCTCAGCCTCCCAAAGTGCTGGGATTACAGGCATGAGCCACTGCGCCTGGCCAAAGATTTTAAAAAATAACCTAGATTAGCAAAGATGCAGAGAAATGGGTACTGTCATATACTGCTGGTGGGAGTGTGAGTGATTACAACTTTTGGAAGACAATTTTACAGTAGATAGCAAAAACTTTTTAAAAATGTTAGGTCTTTTGATCCAGCAATTCCAACTCTATCTGAAAAGTATATGCAGATATGTTTAAAATAATTTTTTAATCAAAGTAATATATGCACATCGTTGGGTTTTTTTGTTCTGTTTTGTTGTTGTTTTTAGAGAAAAGGTCTGGCTATGTTGCCCAGGCTAGCTTCAAACTCCTGGGCTCAAGAAATCCTCCCAACTAGCCCCAGCCTCTCCAGCAGCTGGGAAAACAGGCATGCACCATCATGTCCTGCTTGCACATGGTATTTTTAAAATTAATTATTCTGGAAGATTTAGATGGGAAAGCAGTGTACCTCTGCTCCATTTCTTACCCATACTGCTCTCCAATCTGCCACTTTCAAGAACGTTTCAGCCATTTCATCTACTACTTACGTCTTTGTGTTTAAATAATTTGCTCATTCAGGCTTTTTCTTGATTTATCAACTTAAGACATTGTCTATAGACATCCTGTTAAAGTAGTTGAGGATTTCGCTCTCTTATTCAATCTCCACTTCCTTTCCCCACTTCCTCTCACTATAGCTTTATCATAATCTTTAAATGTCATAAGGCAGGACTTTTTGGTAAAAACAAAAACTTTTTTTCTTAGGGCAAAAGTGTTTTGATTAATTTGGTAATAAGTATTCACATAATTATGACTATGTAAAGATTTCTAAATATCAAAGGGCTAGCAATATTTTTTTCCAAATCTCCAAACATAAAAACATCCAACAACCTAGCAGTTCCATTTTTTCTCAAGACCTTCCTCTCATATCCCTCTAACTCCTCATCTAATCAGGACGACTGCTCCATAGACTTGGGGCATGGTTGTCATTCTAGGACTTCCCCTCACTATCCTCTGTGTTAGCTCTCTCATTTCCTGGACTACTTTTTCTTTCTCAGTTTACTCTCCAGTATTCCTGAAATAGACATTTCCTAAGAAAAGGTACATATAGGTAAAATTTTGAGTCCTTGAATCTCTGAAAATGTCTTTTTTTGAGACAGGGTCTTACTCTGTTGCCCAGACTGGAGTGCAGAGGCACGATTATGGCTCATTGCAGCACCCATCTCCCAGGCTCAGGTGATCCTCCCACCTCAGTCTCCAGTGTAGCTGGGGCTTCAGGTGCACGGCCCACCATGCCTAGCTAATTTTTTTTTTTTTGTATTTGTAAAGACACGGTTTTGCCATGTTGCCCAGGCTGGTCTCGAACTGCTGAGCTCAAGCCATTCACCAGCCTTAGCCTCCCAAAGTCCTGGGATTACAGGCATGAGCCACCACACCCGGCCAAAATGTCTTTATTCTATCCTCATACTTTATTGGTGGTTTGGTTGGATCTAAAATTCTTAGCTAAACCTAATTTCTCTTCAGAATATTGAAGATAATAGTCCTTTGCTTTCTAGAATTCAGTGACAATATTGAGAAGCATGAGGTTATTGTTTCTCCTTTCTTTTGATCTGATCCTTTTTCCTCTCTTTGGAAGCTTTGATGGTGTTTATTCCCAGTGCTGTAGTTTTTTTCTTCTTCATTTTTGTTCGATACTCTCTGGACCTCCTACTGGCTAAACAATAGAATTTCTGATTGATTCTTTAAGTCTCTTACCTTTTTTCTCCAGTGTTCCATCTCTTTGTTTCCTTGTTTGACTTTCTGGGAGATGTCATCAATGTTCTCATGCTTTTCTTTTCTGCTTTTAAATTCAGTGATTGTATTGTAAATTCCCAAATGCTTTTTAAAAATAATTTTCTTCAGTACCCTGCATCATCTTGGTTTCCTCTGAGTTCCTTTCTGGTTCGTTTGTTACCTTTGATACTGTGAGCTTTTCCCAATTACCTGGTGATTCTTGGGTTTTTGTTCTTTTTGTATGTGCATTTACATGACAGAAATAAACTAAAAAGATATATTGGAAGGCCTTGCTGGAGTGAGGAGGACAGGTCAAATGGTGGGTTTCACTTATGGTGATCGGTTGGTACACCAGCCTTTTTATTGGCCGACTACCAAATGTCAGTATGAGAGAGTAAAGCAACTTAGTTTCTCCACAGAAGAAACTAAATTCTCCCATCTTAAGTTGCATTTTGTGAGCAAGGTGTAGAAATGAGTCTGACCGTCCACCGTTCAGCCAGAACATTTAGGCTGATGCAGCCAAGGTAATTCAGATTAGATGTCTGTAACATGTACATCTGCATTAAAAAATAGTCTGAAAGTACGTATACCAAAATGTTAAACTAGTTATCTCTTAGTTGTGGATTCATGGGTTATTTAAATTCTCTTTTTTTCTTATCTAAATTTTCTAATTTTTCTACAAAATTAACTATTTGATTTTTTAAAGTATTTAAATAAAATCAAACCATAAAAAACACCCAATTTCTTAAATGGACAAAAGATTTCAACAGATATTTCATCAAAGAAGAGATACAGATAGCAAAATAAGTACATGAAAAGATGCACAACACCTTTTGTAATTAGAGAAAAACAAATTAAAACCACAACGAGATACTACTATATACTCATTAGAATGGCTTTTTTGAAACAACGCATATACTACCAAGTGCTGGTAATGGTGTAGAGCAATTTTCATACGTTGTTGATGGGAATGCAAAATGGTACAGCCACTTTGGAAAGCAGTTGGCAGTTTTCATGAGGTTATACACATACCACATGGCCAATAATCCTACTCCTAGATATTTACCAAAGAAAAATGAAAGCATATGTTCATACAAAAAACTGTACGTGAATATTTACAGTAGATTTATTCATAATAGCCAGAACCTGGAAACAACCCAAATATCCTTCAACTGTATGATATTCCTTTGATATTCCATAGTATGAATATCTCCATACTATGGAATACTACTCAACAATGAAAATAAATGAACTATTGATACATATTACAACAATATGAATAAATCTCAAATGCATTATGTTAAGTGAAAGAAGCCAGACTCAAAAGGCTGTATTCTTTCTAGTTCCATTTATATGACATTCGGGAAAAGCAAAACTATAGGGACATAGGACAGATAGGTGGTTGCCAGGGGTCAGGGACAAAGGGACAAGCTAACAAAAGGACAGTATGAGAGAATTTTTTGAGTGATGGCACTTTCTGTTTCTTGATTATATGACTCTATGCATTTGTAAAAACACATGGTGTCATGTGCTAAAATGAGTGACTTTTACTGTATAGAAATTTTTGGGGCCAGGCGAGGTGGCTCACACCTGTAATCCCAGCACTTTGGGAGGCCGAGGTGGGTGGATCATCTGAGGTCAGGTGTTCAAGACCAGCCTGGCCAACATGGCGAAACCCCGTCTCTACTAAAAAATCCAAAAATTAGCTGGGCATGGTGGCAGGCGCCTGTAATCACAGTTACTTGGGATGCTGAGGCAGGGAGAATTTCTTGAACCTGGGTGGCAGAAGCTGCAGTGAGACGAGATCACACCACTGCACTCCAGCCTGGGTGACAGAGCGAGGCTCCATCTAAAAAAAAAAAAAAAAAAATAAGAAATTTTAAAAAATACAAATATAAAAAACACTGCGTATTAAAATTACAACTTACAAAACTCTTAAATTAGAAGCTAAATATTTCAGAAGGATCCTATGTATGGTTCCTCTAAATAGCAAGACCCCTCTGGCATTAAAATATAATGAAATTTGGCTGGGCGCGGTGGCTCACGCCTGTAATCTCAGCACTTTGGGAGGCCGAGTCAGGTGGATCATGAGGTCAGGAGTACGAGGCCAGCCTGGCCAACATAGTGAAACCCCGTCTCTACTAAAAATACAAAAATTAGCTGGGTGTGGTGGCATGCACCTGCAGTCCCAGCTACTCAGGAGGCTGAGGCAGGAGAATCACTTGAACCTGGGAGGCGGAGGTTATGGTGAGCCGAGATCACGCCACTGCACTCCAGGCTGGGCAACAGAGCGAGACTTCATCTCAAAACAAACAAACAAACAAACAAAAATATATATATATATATATGAAATTTATAAAATGTATAAAATTAACTCACACATAAAGATTCTGGCACATATCTATTGTACACTGTCTGAACACTGGCAATGCTGAGTCCATGAAGTCATAAGAACTACATCTTTATCCTTGGAAAAGATGAGACATTGGTCAAAGAGAGCCTGATGTGACAAAGTGAAATTAATACAACTCCATTCCTACTATTCCATTAATTAAACACATATTTATAATTATTTATAAATATTTGTTCGTTGCTTATTATATAAAAGCTTATGACAATGCAGAGAATACAGAGATAAATAATGAATCGTATGCAAAGATCTAGTAAGGGAAACTAACCACATAATAAGTCACATAGCCACATTACTAGGCAGGAAATGACTAGTGCTGCATGAGAGGTATGGAGGAGGGATTCAGAGTAGAAGATTACTCTTTCTTAGTAGTGAGGTCAGAGATTGCTGTTTGCACTACACTGCATTTTTAAAAGGGTATTTGAAGAAGAGGTCAAATTTGAATATGCAGAATTGGGCATGTGGGAGCTGGGAAGGAGCCCAGGGAAGGCAATTCAAGCAAAAAAGAAAACAAAACAAAATGAAACTCATATAATTTTTCTTACAAATAATGGGGAAGTAGCTGTAAACACACTAGCTATTATCCTTATCATCATCATCATTATGTGGACACTATGTGACACACGGACCACTTTGCCCACCATGTTAATTTGCTCCCAACCTTACTTATTGTACTAGCCATTGTGTTCTTCCAGCAGAATCTTCAGTGTTAGCCCAAAAGTTCTTGGGGTCTAACCACCTGAAACATGATTTTGTTGACTCTATCGCTAAACGTTAAAATGTGTGATTATTCAGTAAAAAATATATACCTTCTGTCACTTTTTTTCCCCATGATTCCTTTGCCATTGTGAATAATATCCTCTTAAAATGCCACATAAAATCATACATCTCTGGTATTCTCATTAAAACTAAAATGTATTTTAAATTCTCTTGTTCCTGTATTCAACCAGATAAAAAGGAGGAACAGATCAATTTTCACGTGCCCTCTGTAATTGCAATTTTCAGTACTTCAACCATGTCCCTTTATACTCTTTTCTATTTTGCAGGCTAAATAATCACTTTGAGTCAGTTGCCGCAGTGAAACTTGAAACCTGATCATTGAAGAAGCCTGCAAGTTAGCAGAAAACAAGTCATACCAGGATCTGCTGCTCCAGCTGCATATTGAAGATTCAAGTCTGTTTAAAAATACCCTTATATTTCCAGTTAGTTTCATTGCTATAATATAATTCAAGCCTTAAATAACTTTCCAAAGTTGTTTTCTTGAAGAATATTATATAGTCATACCTACCCACAACTTCTAGGTGGCTCACCATAATCTTATAAGATTATAGTGATGTGATATATAACTATATAGTGATATGATATATGATATAGTGATGATGTATAACTATAATCTTATAAGACTATAGTGATATGATATACAACACTGCTTAAGCATAATTTGTGGGAAATGACATGTGCTGGTTACATGAATTTTCTGGTTAAGCCCTTTTATCTTTCAATCTTGTCACATGATTCAGGATTTTGAGTTGCTTCGTTTCTGAAAATGATGCTGTTATTGAGAGCAGAACCTATGCGGCTAGATGCTGTTTTGATATTATTTTGCTGCTGTTTCATTTGTTGTTGTCATTTGTCTCTATTAAGGGCAGATCCTTTCCCCTTCTCTCTTCTCTCTGTCTCTTCTCTCTCTCTCTCCCTTTTTCTGTCTGCTTTATGTATGTGTGTGTGTGTGTGTGTGTGTGTGTGTGTGTGTATAATTGAGGTGCCAATTAATGCAAGTTAATCGGGTTCTGATTAACTTGGGGTTTTACTGTTAGCAGGCCAAATTACCTCACCCCTAGAAACACCTGGAATATATTCCCTTCTTTTTCTTGTCCCAGTCACTATTCCTTCTTAATGAAAACGAAACAAAACTTATTCACAAAGCCATGTCTCCCAACTACTTGTGAAAACCCATTGTTAACAGCTATCAAAAGCCCATTTATACTTAAATTTGCCAAGCTGATATTTGGTAGTTCTGAATATATAAAACTCCTTTGGTTATCAAGAGAGAATACAGCCTATATTAGTTTGTTCTCATGCTGCTATGAAGAAATGCCGGAGACTGGGTAATTTATAAAGGAAAGAGGTTTAAGTGACTCACAGTTCCACAGGGCTGGGGAGGCCTCAGAAAACTTACAATCATGGTGAAGGGGGAAGCAAACACGTCCTTCTTCACATGGCAGCAGGAAAGAGAAGAATGAGAGCCAAGTGAAGGGGGAAGCCTCTTATAAAATCATCAGATCTCATGAGAACTTACTATCATCAGAATAGCATGGGGGAAAATGTCCCCACGATTCAATTACCTCCTACTGGGTCCCTCCCACAACATGTGGGGATTATGGGAACTACAATTCAAGATGAGACTTGGGTGGGGACACAGCCAAACCATATCACAGCCTATAAGGTATGAAGAAATAGGGCAGATCTAACAATGATTTGCACAGTCCTAAGCCCTAGACAGTGGGGGAAATGGTTGGCATACCAAAAAGTCACCACTACCACCATTAATTTATTCAGCAAATTTGTAAAAAGTCTACTATGTGCAAATCACTATACTAAGGGCCATAAAGAGGACAAGGCATGATCTAGTAGTTTAATATGGAGACTAATAGTTTGAGCAGAGCTAGTATGTCACACATGCCATGTTCATGGTTCAGGAAATAATATGACAATTCAAAGGAGGATGATGTCACTTCTGGGTATGTGATAAAGGAAAATTTTGTAAAAGAGATGATGTCTGAGCTGATCCTTGAAGAAGGTGTAAGAGTTTAGTAAGCAGAGTTGACAGAGTCCAGTGAAAACAAAGAGGCAGGAAAGCCCAAGTCTGTTCAGGGGCTGTGAGGAAAGATGCGTGAAGGAGAAAAATGACAAAAAGGGTTAGAAAGGCAGGTAGGATTCAATCAGGGAAAACTACTCCCAGCTACATTTTGAACCTTATTCCAAATAAATGAACAGTTTTGACCAAAGCCCTGGTCAAGGGCTCAGACTTTTTATCAGATAGATTTGAGCTCCAATCCTGATTCTACTTACTATTTATGACCTTAAGCAAGTCACCTACCTTACCTCTCTAAGCCTCAGGTTGATCACCTCTATCTCACAGGGCTGCTATCAGGTTTAAGTATAACTGGGATATGAAACACTCACTCATTCTGAAAATATTTACTGACCCTTCACTGTATATGTCCCAGACACTGAGCTTTGTAGTGCTAATACAGAGATAAAGGTAGAAACCCTTCCTTCAAGGAACACATGAGCCAATGCGTAAGGCAGATAAGTAAACAGAAAACTACAATATAGTATGAGTGAGCACAGGGGCAGAGGTGTTCAATAACTCAGATCAGGGGTGGGGGTGGTAAAGAAAACTGACCAGAGGAGGTACTCCCTGAGGCATCTCAAAGGATCCTTTGAAGAGGGATAGAAATAGAACTTACTTTCTAAGGTCTGATTATTTTTATTAGCCTTTATGTTAACATGCAGTTTCTAGCAGAAACAAACATTTAAAACTCTAAATAAATTTTTGTTGTTATTGTTATTCACTTTCATCTGTCTGGTTAATTGTTTTTGTCTTATTTCGAAGTCAGAAAAATAGAGATGGAGTAGGAGAGAGTACCTTATTTCTCAGGTGACCAAAGAGAAGAAGAAAAGAGTCCATTTGCAATCATGATAGCAGTGGAAGAGCCAAATCCCTGGGACATGTGATAAAATGAAGGAATTAAAGGGAAGTTAGCTTAACACGAAGTAGGAAATCCAGGTTCTCATTTGCAGGAGATCTGTTACAGACATTTGTTGGGTTTACAACCCATATTTATTTCCTCTTTTGAAACAGGGCCACAGTTTTGTTTTGTTTGAATCTTTACCTATTTTTATTATACGTGTTCTGGTGAAGCTGACTCCATTTGACTCTGGCTTCATGAGTTGGCTGTGATTCAGGCTTGGCCAATTAGAGTCTCACACTGGCCACGGTGATTGGATCAGAGATGAAGGCATGCTCCAATTAGAGCCAGTCAGAGGCAACGTGGGACTTTTGCTGAACTCCTAAGACAAGTATGCCTTGACTTCTACTTGTTTGAACGTGGGAAGTTGTAGACTAGGAGCTGCTGGTCGCTACTTTGCCACCACTTGCAGCCTTAGATTGAAGCCAGTCAACAGGGAGGAGAGCAGGGATCCTCATAGAAGAATGTAAAGTCCATGGGGGCAGGAAGCTTGGCTTTATTTTTAAATCTTTTTTTATTGGCACATCATTCACATACAGAAAAAAATGTACAAAACAAATGTTTGGGTCAAAAATTATTACAAAATGAATACACCCATTTGTCTACCACCTAGATGAAGAAATAGAACATTACCCCCTCATGCTTCTCCCAATCACTATACCTTCTCTCCTGCTAACTAGTAACATCATAGTTTGACAGTTTTTAAGTTATATAGATAAATGGAGTATATACTTGTGTGTCTGGCTTCTGTCACTCAACATTATTGTAAATGTCTTTGGTACATATATGCCTTCATTTCTATTGAATATATTCCTGAGGATAGAATTGCTGGATCCTGGAGTATACAAATGTTCTGCTTTAGAAGATCATTGCCAAATTATCTTCTGAAGTTATTGTGTCAACTTACTCTCCTACCCTAGTGTGTACCTGTTATTGCATATCCTAGGCAACATTTGGTGTTATAAGTCTTTAAACATGAATGTACAGTATATCATATTGCACTTTCCTAATTACTAATGAGGCTGAATACCCTTTCATATGTTTATTGGCCATTTGTATGTCCTTTTTTGTGGAGTACCTATTCAAGCGTCTATTGAGTTACCCATTTTTTTTCTTTTTTTTTTTTTTTTTATTATACTTTAAGTTTTAGGGTACATGTGCATATTGTGCAGGTTAGTTACATATGTATACATGTGCCATGCTGGTGCGCTGCACCCACTAACTCGTCATCTAGCATTAGGTATATCTCCCAATGCTATCCCTCCCCCCTCCCCCCCATTTTTTTTTCTTTTTTGATTTGTAGGAGATATTAAAATTTTTATCTTTTAAAATATCCTGAATATAAGGCCTTTTTAGCTACAGGTGTTGCAAATACCTTCTCCCACTGGGCTTGCCTTTTTATTCTCTTAATGCTGCCATTGGACAAACATGTTACTAATTTTTTTTTTTTTTTTTTGAGACAGAGTCTCGCTCTGTCACCCAGGCTGGAGTGCAGTGGCACAATCTCGCCTCACTGCAACCTCTGCCTCCTGGGTTCATGCCATTCTCCTGCCTCAGCCTTCCGAGTAGCTGGGACTACAGGCGCCCGCCACCACGCCCAGCTAATTTTTGTATTTTTAGTAGAGATGGGATTTCAACATGTTGGCTAGGATGATCTCGATCTCTTGACCTCATGATCCACCCACCTCAGCCTCCCAAAGTGCTGGGATTACAGGCATGAGCCACAGTGCCCAGCCTTCTTCTCAATTCTTATATTGTTAAAAATGTCTTTTTCTTGAATTGTTGCACTGACTAGAACCTCCAGTGCAATGCTGAAAAGAAGCAGTGATAGTGGACTTGCTTGTCTTTTGTACCACTGCATCTCTAGTGTCTAAAATGGAGCATGGGACTCAGTAGCTTTTCAATAAATATTTTTAAATGAATGACAGTAAAGCTGAGAGAAGTGGGAAGATTGGTTCCTGCTTGATCATTTAAGCTTCCAGATCCCACCATGTCTTAAGTCATCCCTAACCTTGGACTTCTTAATGACATGAAGCAATAAATTTGTTCTCCCTTTTTATGTTGTTTTCACCACGTTAGCCAGGATGGTCTCAATCTCTTGACCTCATGATCTGCCAGCCTTGGCTGCCCAAAGTGCTGGGATTAGAGGCATGAGCCACTGCACCCAACCTGAATCATCTTTAATCCCTACCCATTTCTTAGCTTCTTTGTCCAGCCAATCACCCAGTACTGTCAATTCTGTCTCCAAGGATATCTCTTCAATCTGTTGTTATGGACTGAATGTTTGTGTCCCACCACCCAAATTCATATGTTGAAGCCCTAATCCTCACTGTAATGGTATTTGGAGATGAGACTTTGGAAGGTAATTAGGTTTAGAAAGGGTCAGGATGGTGGGACTCCCTTGAAGGGATTAATGTCTTTATAAGAAGAGGAGGAGACTGATGTTTCTCTCTCTCTCTACCATATGAGGACATAAGTAGAAGGCAGCCATCTACAAGCCAGGAAGAGAGCCCTCACCAGAAACCTGACCATACAGGCACCCTGAGTTCAGCCTCTGGAACTGTGAGAAATAAATTTCTGGTGTTTAAGCCAACCAGTCTATGGTATTTTGTTACGGCAACCCAAGCCAACGAAGACATCTGTCTAACTGGTCTTAGTCTTTACCTGACACCTGGACCCCTTGGATAACCTTCTAATTGCAGGTGCCACACCTTCTTTTGGTCATCTCCACTAATTCACTTTCCACATAGTGGGTCAAACCGATCTTTTAAAAACATGCTTATGTCACCTCATTGCCCAAAGCCCTATTATAGTTTATAATAAAGCTCAAACTCCACCAAGACCTACACCTTCTTGTATGCTCTGGCTTTGGCCCAATTGTCTCATTTAATGCCAGCCACATTGGTCCTTTGTTTCCTCTACTAGCCTACTAGTTCTTCATGCCTCAGAGCCTCTTTCTGCTGGCTGTTTCCTCTTCACCACCACTACTCCTCTACCCTGACCAACTCCTATTCATTTTTCAGTTTAAATGTTGCTTTCTTGGGCAAGGATTCTCTATTTATCTATGTTAAATTATACTCAGCTTGACAAGCTCTCCTAACTTCTGCCTTCTCATGATACATATCCTAACTGTTGTCGAACAATTCCTATAATTGTTTAATGTCTCTCTTCTCACTCCAGATTGTAAGTTCTATGACAGCATGAACGGAACCAGTCTTGCTTACTGCTAGCTTATAGGACCCAGAACACCCTTGATAAATATCCATTGAGTGTGAATGGATATCTGGATATTTATTTAAGAATGAGGATGTGTGCTGGGGGTTAAGGAGTTCTTGTGTAGAAATATTTTTCCTACCTCTTCATTACAATAAAAGATTTAGAATGAGAATCACAATATTGGTTCCATCATTAAGGGGAATCATAATTTTGACAAATTTAACCTCATTCTGGGGGCAAGTAGTGAGTAACTGAGGTAGCCACCAATATACTGGAGCAAAATATAGGTAGGTCGGCAGGCAGTAAAGAATCAGCAATTTCCTTCTTGGATGCCATTAACCAGAGAGATATGCTGACCACCTGGAATCAAAGCAGCACTCCACTGGCATGCATGAGTGAGCCAGTTTAATCATAAAGACAAAGCCATTTATACAAGCTTTTTGTTTGCTCATTGATTTGATGTATGCTTGTTGTAGAGCTCTGCAGGGGGAAAAACTGTCAGTTGCCTGACTTTCAATTTGTAATAGACACAGAAATATGTATGCTTTGTAAATGTGTCCTTTATGCTCATTTTACATTTCTTTTGCTATGCATACTGATCTGCAAAGTAAAGTTGGGACAAACTTAGAAGAATAGAAATAGGCTTTTGCATATTTATGAAGGAAGAATACACGAAAATAGGCTATACATTTTCTAAAATACTGGATTCTTGCAACCAAACAAGAGATCTATCTTTGGACTTAAGAACTGGTAAAGAGTATTTAAAATAATAAATTAATGTATGTTGATTATTTCCTAAGTTATTAAACATCTGTTACCAAGCAAAATCTTTCCTACAAGATGGTTTTTTCTTACAAGTAATGAAAAACTTCATATTTTAGTGAAAGTTCTAACTTTTCCTTTGGGGACAGTGAGAGGAGAATACAATTTTTTTTTAATTCAAGTAATAACTAATTTCAGTTAACATAATTCTTACTTTTCCAGCTATTTGTTGTTATAGCATTTCCTCAGTATAGTGCGAGGCAAAGATCACTAGTCTTAATGTCCTTAAACCTGGTTTCTGATTGGAAATCAGCTGCCACCACTAAAACATGATCTGTCTCAGCCCTCGTCTGTCAAATGAGAGGCATCTGCTGTCCTAAAAGTCTGATTTCAGTGATGTTTTCTTTCTTTTGAGTTTATTAATTCTATTTTATATATTGGCTTAAAAGCTATTAAATAAAAGCATGGAAGGGAAAAAAATGCTGTTCTAAATATAAAGTAAGATTTTTGGAAGTAAGACTTCTACATTGAAACCAGATTCTGATTGAGAACTTTTTATTAGAGCTCAGGAATTCATAGCAGTAAAGAGAGTAAAAAAATACAGATGTTTTACTGCCTGGTGTAATGGGAACCAAAATGACCAGACAGTGGCATGAGAATTAAATGACCTTTATAATGCATTTTGGTATCCAGGAAAATCCATTACATAATTGCAATCCATTCTTATATTAATCTCTTACTTTGGATTATGTTGTTAAATTTGCCTAGTTTTATGATGCTCAGGGTTGTTTTGTCTCTATTTGGCTTGCAAAATTTTCCTCACTGCTTGATTTTTATTTTTTTCCATTTAAAAATATTATATAGTGGGGTAAGAATTTGTATCCCTTGTATTTCTACCCCTTAGGGGGTTCTTCCTGAGCAACGGCTGGTGTTGTCGCATACCCAGTTGATGTATAAGGTGGTTCTTGAGAAAATCCTTTAGGAGGCCAACCCTGGCTTCTGTTTCTCTGGCAATGTATGGCTTCTAAATTGCCCACAATTTTCCTTGAGAAGTTTTAAACAAAATTTCTCCTCTCCTGAGATAAGTTTTAAATGAGAATTTTTTTTTCCTGGCTGGGTGCAGTGGCTCATGCCTGTAATCCCAGCACTTTGGGAGGCCGAGGTGGGCAGATCACCTGAGGTCAGGAGTTTGAGACCAGCCTGGCCAACATGGCGAAACCCATCTCCATTAAAAATACAAAAAAATTAGCTGGGCATGGTGGTACGTGCCTGTGATCCCAGCTGCTCAGGAGGCCAAGGCAGGAGAATCGCTTGAACCCAGAAGGCGGAGGTTGCAGTGAGCTGAGATCATGCCACTGCACTCCAGCCTGGGCAACAGAGCGAGACTTTGTATCAAAAAAAAATGCTTTTTTCCTAATAAATGTTTGACTGTTATATCCTTATAGTTCTACTTCATTACAGAATTGCATATTTAAAACACTTTTCTAAACATTATTACTTAAATTACTCCAAATGTAAAATGAGCCAAGAGTATCATCTTGATCATAAATATAATAAATTAATAGTGGCTTACAAAAATCTTGAGTCCTATAACATATCAATGGCAAGTTGTTTTCAAGATATTAGACTAACTGGTTATTTATTCTGCTTAGTGCATGAAAGAAAGTGGTGTATACTTATAACAGCTAGTTTTTTTTTTAGTCATTCATTCATTATTTCAAGTATTTATTGAACTCTTACTTTGAACAGGCACTGTTCCAGGTGTTGCGTGGTAAAGTGGTAAGCAAAACAGAAAAAAATCCTTGCCCTCAAAAGAGCTTGCATTCATGTTAGGGACAGATAAACAATAAATAAGTAAAACATATGGAGGGTTAGATAATAATAAAGGCTAAGAGGTGAAAGTGGAAAAGCAGTTAAAGCCTAGTGTTGTAATGAGAAATATGCATGTCAAGAAATGCCTCACTGAGAAGGTGATATTTGAATGAAGACCTGAAGGAAGTAAGGGAGTTAGCTATGCGGACAACTGGGGAAATTCCAGGCAGAGAGAGGTGCAAGTGCAAATGCTCTAGGTCAGGGCCATGTCTGGTGTTTCCCAGGAATCGTGAGGAGTTCAGTTGTCAGAAATAGGGGGAGCAGGAGCAGATAAAGTCAGAGAGGTAACAGTGGGATGAGATCACCTAGGGCCTTGCAAGAACTTTAACTTTTCTCTGAATGAGATGGGAGCTTCTGGAGGAATGACCTGATCTGACTTAAGTTTCAACAGAAGCAAGCTGACTATCGTTTTGAGAATAGACTGGTGGGGTCGGGGGAAGAAGGCAGAAATGGGGAGATGGCCTAGAAGACTTTTGCAAAAATCCAGGCAAGTAGGATCATTGCACTGCACAACTCCAAGAAGCATCATTCGCCCTGCCGTCTGTATGAATGGTGCCTTCGGTAATAAGCAGTATATTATAGTCCAACAGCCACAGTCAGGGGCCCTGCGGGCAAGATGGCTTGGATCAGTCTGGATGCAGTGTGAATGGTGAGAAGTCTTTAGTCTAGATATATTTCAAAGGTAGAAATAACAGAATTTGCTGACAAATTAGATGTGGTACATGAAAGTCAAGAATGATTTCAAGGTTGCCCACTAGTTTTATACATTATTAAAATTAATTATGCCAAATACCATTTACTAAGGATGGGTAATTCATAATTATTTTAACTCAACAAGCATCTACTGAAAATCTACTATGTAGTATACTGTTCCAGATTCTGTAGGGAAATTTTTTAAAAGTACCCTGCAACAACAACAGAAAATCCTACCCTGGAAATAGTTACAATTTAGTTCATTAGACATATTCTCCATAGAATAAAGAACCAAATACTGTATAAAGCAACATAAAGCAAAAATATGATAGCAGGACTAACAAAATGGTATATATAACTACTTTTCTAGGGAAATTGTTCAATTTGAAAGTAATCTTATATTTGTCAAGATATGCCCATATCCTCTGTTCTACTCAACAATGTAGTCACTATTTTCCTATAGGAACATGACTCCTGTGTTTTCCATTCAAAATAGTTATTGAACTCTTACTTTGTACCAGGCATGGTACAGACACGTACCAGATATGCTCTGTGGTTGACTCCTGCTCCAGCAGGAAGTATATAAAAGGCTTCATGTTTGAAGTACGAATTATTTGTTTCATGTGCTCTTCTGTTGTGTCTTGGGTTGCATTTTTCGGTTTGGTTGAGAATTCATAATTTTACCTTGGCCCCTAGTTCCTATTTGTCCAGTTTCTGACCTGTCAATGTTCTCTCTCTTTCTCTCTCTCCCTTTCTCTCTCTCTCTGTCTCTCTTTCTCTCTCTCTCTCTCTCTCTCTCTCTCTCTCTCTCTCTCTATATATATATATATATATATATATATATATATATATATAACTTTTTAAAATTATTTTAAGAGATGAGGTCTCACTATATGGCCCAGGTTGGTCTCAAACTCCTGGGCTCACGTGATCCTCCCACCTTGGCCTCCCAAAGTGCTAGGATTACAGGCATGAGCCACCACACTTGGCTTTGACTTGCCAATTTTTATACCTTCTGACCACTGATCTTACTTGCAGCCCATGGGCTTATAAGGACTTTTGAGATCTTGTGGCTTCTCATGCCTCACCTCAACCACCTCATTCATAGTCAAATCTTGCCCCTTCCTATTTTGCGGGTTTCATTAAAACAGCTTTCCTAATAATAATGATATAGTGAAGATTATAATAATAATTATGATAGTTAACATTTTAAAGTACCAACTATGAACTAAGCATTAAATTATGCTATTTAAGTACAATCGTCCCTCAGTATCTGAGGACGATTGGTTCAGGGACTACCCCCTCCTCTGCAGTTACCAAAATCAGGGATTTGAGTAAGTCTTTTATATAAAATGGCAAAGTACTTGCATATAACCTACACACATCCTCCCAGATACTTTAAATCATCTCTAGATTATTTATACTACCTAATGCAATGTAAATGCAATGTAAATAGTTGTTATACTGTATTGTTTTTTATTGGTATTTTTTATTGTTTTTAAATATATATATATTCAATACACAGTTGGTTGAATCTATTGATGTGGAATCCGCAGATATTGAGGGCTGACTGTGCACTTTAAACGTAATCCTCACAGCACATCTACGAAGTCTAAATACTATCATTACCCCACAATGAACTGAGCTTTAAAGAGCTTAAATAATATCCCAAGGTTACTTAGAAAGTGGCAAAGCTGGAATACAAACTCAGAGCCCAGGAACACTATTATGCCAGAACACGTCCTTTTGTACCTTGTACCTATTGAACATGATTCAGAGGGAGAACTGAAGCCAACCCCAGCAACGTTCTCTAAACTCTCAAAGCCTCTATGTCTAATAATGATCTTTCTAATGTTATGCATTTATCATTTTATTTATTTTTCCAAGCTCAAGTTGGAAATAACATTTGCAATACTATCCATCCTTTTTTTTAAGGTGTTGATACTAGAATTGGTTTTGAATGGCCCTAGATACAGGTGTACACACATGTACATGAACTCTGGACCCAGGGTAAATACATAGCAGTTGAAAGGGTAAAAATGCCAACTGGGACTTCTAACAGACCAGGTTCAAAATAAAAAGAGATGAGGGAAAGAGGGGGAACAAAAGGAGAAAACTAACAAGTGTTTATTGAGTATTTCATGTTACCAGTTACTGTGTTAAAATGCTCATTTAATCCTTAAACTCTATTATTAGTCCCATTTTACATGGGAGAAAAATAAAGTGCAAAGAGCTTGTTTTCCCTCTTTGCAGATGAACAAGCTATGAGTTAGAGGCTGATAATAAAGTCACATAGCTAAAGTGTCACAGCCAAGTTTAAAGCCCAAGGTTGGCCAAACTCCAAAGCCTGTGGTATTAACTATAGGCTCGAGGGTAGCCCTTCATGATTGCTACCATCAAAGGCAACCATGATTGTTCACACTTTTTGTAATCCCCTCTCCTCAAGTGTGAGTGAAACTTGTGACCTGCTATAAACCTAGAAAATATGCTAGGATATCACTCCATTTGGCTAGCAGATTCACTTTAGAGACTTTAAAGACACTCCTCACTGGCTGATGAAGTAAACAGCTGTGTTAGGGAAACCCACAGGGTGAGGAACTGCAGGTGGCCTCTAAAATCTGAGGGCAGCCTTGAGCCAGCAAGGAGCCAGGGCTCTCAGTCTGTAAATGCAAGAAAATAAATGCTGCCAACAACCTGAAGGAGACTGGAAGCAGATTCTTCCTCAGTCAAGCTTTCAGATGACAATACAGGCTGATGGATGCTTTGATTGCAGCCTTGTGAAACCTTAAGCAAAGTTAAGTTGTGCTGAGACTCCTGACTCAAGAAACCATGACATAATAAACGTGTGTTGCTTTAAATTGCTAAATTGGCGATAATTTGTACATACCAATAGAAAACTAATATACCATAGTATCTTGGTTTTTCCCTATGCTTGGGGTGCAGTAAATTCTTAGTAGATTACAGCTGCTATTATTATAATAATCAAAATGGAAATCTGAAATATCGAGGTCAAGAAAAAAGTTAACAGAGAAATTTAACAGAGTTAAATAATTGCTTCCAAAGTAACCAAGCGGCTGGTGTAGAAGACAAAAAGATGATATGTTGAAGACTTGTATATTACTCCCAACAAGTATTGAGTACATTATCATCACCACATAAAATATTATAAATTTTCTAGTGGTGCTTATATCTACATTTAGCTTTAATATCTTACACCATACTCAAAGTAAACTGGAAAGTTTTCCTACATTAAGATAGTCCTATATTACCTATGAAGAAATATCAAAACACAGTTTCAGGTTAGAGTCATATTGTTATAAATTATCATTTATATTTTTATATACTATATATTAGCTGTATCAAAAATTGTAAAATTTTTTAAATTATAAAAACACATATAATTATATATTTATATATATAACATTTAAGAATAGCTCAAATATGATGCATAAAATAATTCAGGACATTATTGGATCCAAACCCTAATGAAACAATTACCAGCTTGACACCTTCAGTTCATTAGTGCATGTAAATCTTGCTTATCAAAGATAGCTTATTTATACTAAACACACAATATAATTACACATATTTAGCTGTAGAGTAGGTTAAGAATGTGGATGGGTTTCCATTGCATAGATTCAAGGTTTGCTATCACAGAAAAAAGAAGCTAGTGCTTCTATCTTACTAAATTGGAAAATTATTTTTCTCATTGTTCATTCTATCAGTGCCCCCTTTCCCCTCTGTATTTATATAGCACGGGAATGTATAGTTTCTATCAAATAAATCATTAGAAAGGCAATGTTCAGGCCGGACATGGTGGCTCACGCCTGTAATCCCAGCACTTGGGGAGGCCGAGGCGGGCAGATCGTGAGGTCAGGAGATCACGACCATCCTGGCTAACACGGTGAAACCCCGTCTCTACTAAAAATACAAAAAATTAGCCAGGCGTGGAGGCGGGCGCCTGTAGTCCCAGCTATATTGGGAGGCTGAGGCAGGAGAATGGTATGAACCTGGGAGGTGGAGCTTGCAGTGAGTCGAGATCGTGCCACTGCACTCTAGCCTGGGTGACAGAGCAAGACTCCATCTCAAAAAAAAAAAAAAGAAAGGCAGTGTTCAGTGATTGAGTAGCTATGTTAACCTTACTACTGCCACCTATACAAATATGCACAGAATACACAGTAAACATAAACATAGCCCTTTTATAGGTGTTATGGCATTAGAAAATTTGCCATTCTCCCTCTAATTAGAACATATAACCTTGATGGACTATCACTTTTCATGTGATTGGTCGGTAACAGATATAATAAATATGCCAAATACAGTGTTAGTGACATGGTAGCTAAATATTTTCTTCCTGATTCCTTTTTTTGAAGGCAATGATGGAATCTTAACTCCTATCCATTTCTTAATTTTGTATTAATTTCTTAATTTTCTATCATCTGTGCTTTCTGGAAATGTACACTAATAATATATCTATACCTATTTATTTGTGATTTGGCTTTTAGCTCTCATACTGACTGAAATGATTCAAGTGATAGCAAGTGAACATAGTAATTAATTTGAAATTTATCTAGGTTTAAATGAAATTGCTTGCCCAGTTTACACACTTTAAAAAAATTTTTGCAAACCTGATCATCAGCATTTACTTTCCTGTTTAGATTCAAGATTATGAATTGTTCTGTGGAAAAGTAAAAGTAAAAGTAAACATTGAGCTGGATCTCTGAAAGAACTAAGCACGACACTCAATGTGTATTTTCTTCCTATGGTATGTTATCAACAGATGGATAATGAGGAAGCAAACCAGACTGTCTTGTTCTAGTGTCTGGGAGACAACTGACGGCTATCATTTAGTCCAAGTGCCAAGTTGGAATCTTTTCTGGAACAAGGTGGGGTATAAACACAAATATTTTTTTAAAGGCCAAACCAGCCAGGCTTAAGGAAGTTTTTGAACTGTTGTTGACTTCCTGAGGGGGGTCAAAATATAAGAATTTGCTAAATCCAATTCCTAGCATAATCTATGAACTGATTCTAGACATAAAGAAAAATTATTTTCCTTTCTGGCCTTAGATAAAACTTGGTTAATCCTCTTGTTAATATTTTCACAGTATAAACACATCTTTTTTAATAAAAAATTTTTAAACTGACAAATAATAATTATATATATTTATAGGATCCAATGTGATGTTTTGATATATGTACACACTGTGGAATAACTAAACCAAGCTAATTAACATATCTTTCACCTCACCTACTTTTTTTTTTTTTTTTAAGAGATGGTGTCTGGCTATGTTGTCCAGGCTGGACTCAAACTGCTAGTTTCAAGGCATCCTTCCACTTCAGCTGAGACTACAAGTGTGGGCCACTGTACCCAGCTTATTTTTTTTATGGTGAGAACATTTAAAATGTACTCTTGGCTGGGCGTGGTGGCTCATGCCTGTAATCCCAGCACTTTGGGAGGCTGAGGCAGGTGGATCACGAGGTCAAGAGTTTGGAGACCAGCCTGGCAAATATGGTGAAACCCCGTCTCTACTAAAAATACAAAAATTAGCTGGGCGTGGTGGTGCGCGCCTGTAGTCCCAGCGGCTCGGGAGGCTGAGGCAGGAGAATTGCTTCAACCTGGGAGGCAGAGGTTGCAGTGAGCCAAGATCATGCCACTGCACTCTGGCCTGGGCAACAGAGCCAGACACAGTCTCAACAAAACAAAACAAAGAAAGTACTCTTTTAGCTATTCTGGAATATTAAATACATTGTTATTAACTGTGGTCATCGTGCTGTGCAATAGATCACTAAAATTTATTCCTCCTACCTGAAACTTTATACCCTTTGACTCACATTTCCCCTTTCCTCATCACCCTTTACCCCCCAGTCTTTGGTAACCACCATTCTACTCTGCTTCTATGTAAACTCATCTGGTTTTATAAGTGATCAGGGATTTAAGAGGACTTCACTCTTTTACAGTTAAATTTATTTCATATTGGGGAATGATTTTCTCACTTTGTTTCTTACATAATTTTAGAGGATTGAACTTAGAAAAATATAATGTAAGAGTTTTCTCTCAACTATTTTTGATGCTTCCTTACTTTTTGTCCTCTTTCCCCAACTTTAGCTCTTTGGTGGGGAAAATATTATTTCATAAAAGTTATGTTTGCAGTTTTCAAAGTGACTTCTTAGAAGTGAAACTTGGATCAACATTTTTTTCAACCCCCCAACTATAAGAGTTACATTTTCACTTTTGATTTGTTAAAACATACTATGTCTTATAAATGCTTGAAATTTATTTTTAGGCAAGAATTTCAACATTGAATAAAATCTTCCCAAAATTAAGTCACAAGCACTCAAAGGATTGAGGATCTTTTTCTTCCTAAAATATATGTGTGTGTGTGTGTGTGTGTGTGTCTTTATATTTATATACTAAGACCTTCCCTTTCTTGTGGACTGTGTTTTATTGGTTTAAAGTTGCAAGTCCTGTGAAACCAGGCTGAAGTCAGAATTAGAAGGTATTAATTATCATACACACTCCAAGTATCTCAGTCAAGTAACAGGAATAACTGATTACAGTGTCTGGGAGGAAGGCCTGGAACTTGGGGAAGACTTGGAGGGGAGGACTGGATGGGGAAAAGGCCTCAATAGAGAGAACTGGGTTGTTGCGGAGGGGTGACCTTTAACCTTTGGAAGGGCATTTACTAGGGAACAGCTGAAAAGCATTTACTTCGAGGGGGTGGGGGAGAGGAGGAATCTCGTGGAAGTATTTGCTTTAATAGGTCCCGGGTGATTTAGGGATGTTTCGAGTCGGTTGGTCTTGGGGGTGGCGAGGGCTACGCTGGAGGGGTCGCGTCCCAGTCCCGGGGAAGGCGGCAGGAGGTTTTCTGGGTGTTCCTGAAAACTGGGAGTTGGGGGGAAGGGTGGTGGGGAAAGTGGAATTCAGCGTGGATTTGTCTGCGTGTAGGACTATTAGAGGAGGCGCAGGGGAGCCACGCGGTGTATTCCCCGCCCCGAGAGAACTCTGGCTGCGCCTGCGACGGGCACGCCGGCCTGCGCCAAGGCCGCTTTCCCCAGGCGGCGGGCGCTCCCCCCGGCCCGGGCCGCGGCCCTCCCGCCCCGGCGGAGCCGCGCGGTGGATTGTGGGCTGGGGGCTGCGGCGGCCTCCGGCGCTGTCTCCCCGCACCCGACCGGGCCGAGCCGGCTGGGCCGGCGGGGTGAGGGAAAGCAGTGGAGTCGGGAGCAGAAGCGCTAGAGGCAGTGGTCGTGGCGCGGCGGCGGCGGCTCCCCTGGAGGCCGGGGATGTGGGAGAGGCGGTGGCAGCAGCGGCGGAGGCGGCGCTGCGGACCCGGGGGAAACTGCTGGCTGACAGGACACCCGGGAGAGACGTGAGGGAGCCGCCGCTGCCACCTCTCACCCCTGAGTGAAGCTGGGCTCGAGAGGGCGGCCCTGTGCTCCCCGGGCCGACTGGCCAGCGGGCGCGGGGCGGGGGCGGGAACCCGGGCTCGGGCCCGGCCGGGCGCCGGGCGGCGGCGGCCGTGGAGCAGCAGCCTCGGTGCGACGTGGAGGGCTGGAGGCGGCGGCGATGCACTAGGCCTCGCTCAGGGCGGCTGCCCCGGGACCCGCAGGTAGGTGTGCCCCGCGGCCCCCCGCGCGTCTCAGCCCACTCTCACCCCGACCTACAGCGGAGAGAGGGACCGAGACCCCACCCCCTCGGCTCTCCTCCCCAGCCCCAAACGGACCGAGTTTCGGTCACAGCTGACCGGCACTGAAGCTTCCATGCTCCTCTCCGCCACTTCCTTTTTTTTTTTTTTTTTTCCTTTTCACTCTCCCTCCGGGATCGGGGCTGGCAGCTGTGTTCCCTGCCTCCTGTCAGCGACCGCAAACGCCGCTCTTGCCCCTCTCTTATCTTTCCGGGATCCCAGCTCTGGAACTTCCATCACCCCCTTAGACGCTGCCCCCAAACTTTCCTTTTCTTTTTCCAGCCAGGCCCTTAGTCCTATTGGATTCTACTGGAATCGTTAAAACATTTGTTTGTTTTTCTCTCCGGGGAAGGCTAACCCAAAGAGTTACTCAGTATTTTGCATTTTGGCAATGTAGCTTGAAATAATTTGTGCAATAATTTTCTTCAGTTCTGCCTCCTTCCATCTCTGCATAGACAGAAAGGGCAGGCCCTCTCTGCCGTTTCTGCTCTCCCGTCGTTGACTTGGGAACTTTGGCTTGCCAATTATAATTAGCCGTTTGGTCTGTTCATGTGTTGAGTTCAAGATGGTATTTTTAGCATTTTGACTGACAGGCGTTTCAAAAAAAAATTTTTTTCTTCTAACCAGCTTTATTTTTTGGTCTTTATTGAGGCTCTTTCGAAGAATTAAATTGTTTGGACTGTTTTTGTTTTTAATTGGCTGTATTTCTGATTTGTCAAATCAAGGGCGGTCTTAATACTAAACGCCTTTAAGTAATACCGTGATAAATTACTTGTAGTATACCGAGAAATATTACTGCGATAACCTAAACTGCAGATTTTGATGTACATTCACTTTTATAAATCCGAAGGGGAGTTCTAATTGGAAAAAGCACCTTCAGAGCCTAAATGATTTCTAAGCAGTTAAATGATGGAACAGAGGGAATGATGGGATTTGTTTGACTGTATTTGTAGTGTAGTCAGAATCGGATTTCCTAGAAATGGATGTTGATGGTTCGTAGTGCTCATCATTGCTTATGATAGGTTACCAGTAGCTGTAATTGATAGTTGTTTGGGACGACAGTAGATGTTTGCGATTTTATTGTAATTTGGCTATTTTTAAATTATGTTCTGATAACTTAAGAATTATTACACTACCAATCTAAGAGGCAGTCTGAGGATCACTTTTTTAAATAAATGAAAAATGTTTTAATGGGTTTTTAAAATAAAGAATGCATCACAACCAAATCGTAAAGACTGTTTTGTTGTTGATATTCGTATATTTTGTTCTTGTAGAAGTATTGTTACTACAGCATTTGGCTTTCTGAAGTGTTTTTGAAATTAGAATTTAATACTAAAAGTTTACTAGGAAAAGGTGATTACTTTTGCATATGCTTATATTTTCTGGAAAGTTAAAATTGATTTCTGGATAAGATAATTTTTTGTGTCAGAATTAAAGTCAATTCCTATATAGCCCATGAAACGGCAAATTTTGCAGAATTTCTTCATCACACTCTTTTTTTTTGTTTCTTTTCTTTTTTTTTTTTTGAGACGGGGTCTTGCTCTGTTGCCCAGGCTGGAGTGCAGTGGCGCTATCTTGGCTCACCGCAACCTCCGCCTACCGGCTTCAAGTGATTCTTCTGCCTCAGTCTCCTGAGTAGCTGGGACTACAGGCGCCCCCACGCCTGGCTGATTTTTGTATTTTTAGTAGAGACGGGGGTTTCACCATATTAGCCAGGCTGGTCTTGAACTCCTGACCTTGTGATCCACCGGCCTCGGCCTCCCAGAGTGCTGGGATTAGAGGTGTGAGCCACCGCCCCGGCCCCGGCCCATCACACTCTTTTTTTTTTTTTTTTTTTTTTTAATCAACAAAAGTTAATTACAATTCCTCTTTCCTGCTCTTTGCTTTTTAAAAACTGCTTTATTGAGATAAAATTAACATACCATAAAATACACCCATTTAAGGTGTACCACTTGGCCGGGTTCAGTGGCTCACACCTGTAATCCCACCACTTTGGGAAGCCTAGTCAGGTAGATCACCTGAGGTCCAGAGTTCGAGACCAGCCTAGCCAACATGGTGAAACCCCGTCTGTACTAAAAATATATAAATTAGCCGGGCATGGGGGTGAGCGCCTGTCATCCCAGCTACTGGGGAGGCTGAGGCTGGCGAATCGCTTGAACCTGGGAGGTGGAGGTTGCAGTGAGCCAAGATAGCACCACTGCACTACAGGCTGGGTGACAGAACGAGACTCCATCTCAAAAAAAAAAAAAAAATATACAATTCAGTGGTTTTTAGATTAAATAATTGTGCAACCATCACCATAATCTAATTTTAGAACATTTTCATCATTCCCTCAAAAAACCTTTATCCATTAACAGTTACTCCCCATTCTCTTCACCCCACCCCCAGCTTTAGGCAACCACTAGTCTACTTTCTGTCTCAATATTGGCCTAATGTGGGCCTTTCATATAATGCTTCTTGGCTCATAGCTTCTTGAAAAGCTTTTCCTTTAAAATCAGTGTACATGTTAAAATTTTTTATTTGAGCTAGGGAATAAGCAACTGATCACCAATATTAAAAGTGATGTTGTAAATAACTGATACACTTTTTGGTTGTATTCAGCATAAAGTTGGAGAAGGCATGAATGGCTTCAGTAACCTCAAGAGGTAGTTTGGTCAGCTCGGAATCAATAAGTAAAAGTGGGCATTTTTGTCATTGAATATTAGAATATCAGGGAAAAGATCTTAAAGGTCATCAGCTTACTTCCTGCTTACCTCGCTATTAGTTGGCAGCAACCAGATGAGGAAACATGGAGATTAGAAGCTTGAATCTCTAGGATGTGTGGCTCAAGAACCACAGCGTGGCCATGTAAAGCAAGAAATGGGACTTTGGAAGTTAGAATTGTTTAGATTCTTGTATATATGTATGTATTTGACATTTTGCTAGCAGAGCTGAGAAAGAACTGGACATTCCCCCAACTTTGGGGGAAAAGTGGGTGACTATATGTAGCTACATTGATGAAACCCATGTTACAAAATCCTCTAAAAATGCTTTAACCTAAGGAAGGGTAGCAAATGTATTATTTAGATATCTTCTTATACTATTAATGTCTTATTTTTTTAAATCCAAATTTTAAAAAAATATAATTAACAGGGCCAGTTGGAGGTTTCCTTTTTCAAATATCCAGTGCCCTAACATCTAAAACAATGGCTCTGCGAGGACGGTTTTGACTCCAAGGGAAATTTGGCAGTGTCTAGAGACATTTTTGGTTGTCATAGCTGAAGGAAATGGTATTGGCCAAGGATGTTGCTAAATACCCTACAATGCACAGGACATACTTCTGCAAGAAATTATCCGGTTCAAAATGTCAATGGTACCATTGTAAACCTAGGGGCTGCACGATTTCTGGTAAGGACCTAGTGTTTTTGATTCCTACCAGGTGGGAGAATAGTCTCAGTGGGCGATGTTTGGTGAATTAGATTAACACCTTAGATCCTCTAGCAACTAACTCTATTTCTTTGCAAGAGGAGGAATTGAGGGAAAAATAAAAGGAAATCTGTTTACGACATGACGCAGATACTGTTTCGTATGTTTAGGTTGTCTTCAAATCTGAAAAAAGAACCCCTTTTTTTCTAAAAACAGACTTAATTTACTGCAAATTTGGACTACTATTGTTTTGAATTGTTATTTTTGCATATGTTTTTGAAATTGTAAATAGAATATAGTCATATCTTTTTTATCCAGAAGTGATTTTTTTTTTTCCTGGCAGCTTCAACTACCAAGAAAGGAGAAGTAAGCTAAGTGTTTAACTTTATGGATAACACTTATGTTATATATGTATGTATAACACTTATGTTATGTATGTATGTATGTATGTTGTGAATGTCCAGAAAAATTCCAAGCTTATAATGAATCTTTTTTTCCCCTATGAGCTCCACTTTAGACTATTTAATGTTTTTAACAAGCTTAATTTGTTGATGAAAGAAGGTAATTGACAGTTGAGATCACTTTTGCTATTTATCATCCATACCTTATGGATAAGTTACTCAAGTTATTCTTTCTGAGCCTCAGTTTTCTCATCTATAAAATAGGGGTAGTGATAATCCATGTATTACAAGGCTATTGTAAGAATTATTAAATGAGGTAATATGTATTAAGATGCAGTGTCAACTATAATATACTGTAGAAGAGTTATTCGCTTCAGAAGAATCAAATTAGGAAGGAATATAGAGGTTGTCAAAGGCAGGAATGTAGATAGTAAGGCGGAGAATAGTGATGGCTGACAGCCTCTCTAGGGAGGAGAGAAGCACTAAATACAAATATTGATAACAAACTAGTAAAATAACTAGTATATCACTATAATCTGAAACTCCTTAATATAGGGGCAAACTGACTTCCTTCTGTAGCACCTGAGAGTATCACCGTTATAGCACAGTAAAATAACTGATTATTATAATGGTGAAATTAACTTATTAAGAAAAGATTACCTTGTTTTCAAATATGCTATTTGAGAAGACTTGAAAATATATATATTTTACTTCAGAGTTAAAATTTTTGGAAGTGACTTATTCAAAAAGTTTTAGTGTTTTTAAGAGTATGCTGTCGTTATTTGGATTAATTCCCTTTTGGGGAATAATCCTTTTGTCTTCATTTACTATGCCTGCCTTCCTGTGTATTTGAAGGGTTTTTCTATTATCTGAAGGTAATTATTCTTCAGATGTGAGAATTTAACTGAAGAAATAGGGGTTGTAAGCCTGCTCACCATTTGTAAAATCTCATTTCCTTCTAGATTTCTTTTAAAATTATTTTTCATCTTTCTGGCGTGTCACTACGCCCAGCAAATTTTTGTATTTTAAGTGGAGACAGGGTTTCGCCATGTTGGTCAGACTGGTCTCGAACTCCTGACCTTGTGATCTACCTGCCTCGGCCTTCCAAAGTGTTGGGATTACAGGTGTGAGCCACCGCGCCTGGCTGGTTTCTTAAAATTTTGTTAACTGGTCACCTTTCTTTCAGAATCATATAAAAATAAGGGTAGAGGTGGTCAAAGGCCCAGCTATTCAGTAAGATTTTTATGGGGTAATTTGAGGGTGGAATAGTTGCAGACAATATTCAGAATAAGTAATGTGGTATTGATTGGTATTATATATGATATATATATATCTCTCTATATGATATATATATCTCTATATATGTGATATATATCAATATATAGATATATATATCAATATATATCTATATATTGATATATATTTATATATAAATGCTGATATATATCATATGATATATATTGATATATATTTATATATAAATGCTGATATATATATCATATATATATATCAGCATTTACTTAATAACATTATTTGATGTATACTCTATACTTAAATCTTCCCATTTGTCCCAAAAATCTTTATAGCTTTTTCCCCCCTCAAATGCAGGATTCATTCAAGGTTAATGCATTGCATTTGGCTGGTATGTCTCTTTAAGTCTCCCCCAATCTGGACTAGTCCTACCGCCTTCCTCTCTTCTTTAGGTTTATCCATTGAGAAGTAGAGACCATATGTCCTGGAGCATGTTCCACATTCTGAATTGGTCTGTTCCTCATGATTAGATTCTAGTCAGACATTTCTGGTGAGACCATCACACAGATGATGTGTATTTCTGCTGTATTACATCAGGAGGCACATGATTTCAGGCTATCACTATATCGGTAATGCAAGTTTGATCACTTGGTAAAGGTGAACTGACAGATCTCTCTACTGTTTAATAAATAATTTATAGAGGATACTTAATAGCCATGTAAATATCCTATTCCCTGACAACCCTTTAACCAGTGATTTTGGTACCCATTAATGATCCTTGCTTGAATCAGTCATTATGTTGGAGGATTACAAATGGTAACTTTTCTTTTTGCATTCCTTCTACTTTTATTACCTTCTTTGACTTTTTCAGGGCATTGAGGTCAGGTTAGATAAATTCTGAATATAGGCCACGGAATGTAGAAATCAGGTCATTCCTAACCTTTTCTGGAGCCAAGTAAATGGTGAAGATGGAAGACAGCTAAGGAAGTAGACCAAAAAGAGAACGGAGGTTTGCCAATGAAGGGGAGGTGAGAAGTAGTAGCTGGAGGAGGCAGGGAGGAGGGAAAGGGCCTTCATTTGGTGCTTGAAATTTTCTTTTCTTTTTTTTTTTTTTGATGGGCCGATGAAGAGATTAAAGATAGAATTGGGGAATAACTAATAGAAAAAGGTCCCAGATGAAGCAGGAAGAGGTAAGATCAAAAACAGCTGTTGGGGGATTAACTCTGGAAAAGAGTAGACACCTATACTCTATCTCAGAAAGTTAAGAGTTGTGTATAGATGAGAATTAGGTACATTTGGATATGAACGGAAAAAACTACATCTGGGGACTTTTTTTTTTTTTTTTTTTTTAAACAGTTACTTTTTGAGCCTTGCGTTGTTGGAAGTAGGCTAGGGGACTTGAGGAGAGTGATGAAAATGTTCCACATATTGTGGGGAATGGAGAAGAGAAGTGTTTCAAGATAAATAAGTGAAAGAATTGCTGAGCAGCATCAGAGGCTCATCTGAGATTGGAACTCATAAATTTGTAATCAGCATATTTTACTGTTTTTTCTGGCAGTGTTCTGCAAGCAGGAGAAAAGCAAAGACACACTGTATTGAAGGTGGATGAGGGAGGAGAGATGCAAGGGAGATGAAGTAATGGGGATGTAGGCTAAGTAATGAAGTTAGTAAAGTAGAGCAGGGCTAAGATAGCCAACCAGTGGTGAGAGATGCAAGGGTAATGCCAAGGAGTGATTAATTAAAATACTAATTTATTGTTTGTTTGAGGTTATAGTAATCATAAACCCTGTATTTACTTTTCCCTTAAACTAACATTTAATATTTTTATTTGTAAACTATTTACTGACTTATTGCAGATGTTTCTTAGCTATTTTGCTTTATTTTCCCTAAAATGAAAATTCCTTGAAAGCATCATCTTTGTTACTTAATAAGTATCTAATAGTTTATATATTTGAGACATATTTATTCTTCAGTACCTCTGAATGAGAGATTTTAAGATTATCTTGCTAATATTTTTGGCTGGGACACCAAGAAGAGAATACCAGTGTCTAATATGGTTCATTTTGACTGACAAAAATTTCACTAGTAATACAATCGTATCAGTGGCCCAAAGGAGTAAGAAAGCATCCAAGCTATTTTTTGTTGTTGTTGGAATTTTTACATGCTAGAGACAGATTTTATCTTAGTATAGTTTATTCATATTCCAGGCCTGTGACCCTTAATCAATTTTTTTTTTCTTTTGAGATGGAGTCTGGCTCTGTTGCTAAGCTGGAGTGCAGTGGTATAATCACGGCTCACTGCAACCTCCCCGTTCTGTGTTCAAGCGATTGCTCTGCCTCAGCCTCCCGAGTAGCTGGGACTACAGGCGTGCACCACCATGCCCGGCTAACTTTTTGTATTTTAGTAGAGACAGGGTTTTACCATGTTGGCCATGATGGTCTGGATATCCTGTCCTTGTGACCTGCCTGCCTCAGCCTCCCAAAGTGCTGGGATTACAGGCATGAGCCACCGTGCCCGGCCTCCCCTTAATTTTAATGGCTGCTATAATGTTATAATTCTCTGAGTGCTGGGGAAAAAAAGACATTGCTTTTATTTGGAATAATATCTAGACTTAAAAAGTATATATTTTATGAGGATATTTATGATTTTTCTTCCTGATAAAGATATCACATGAAATAGCATTTGTTTTATAAGCCATTTAAAAATATTTAAATTTAACATTACAAATTGTTATAATTTTTATCCTCCTAGTCAATATTATTTCTTATTGTTTCTTGTCACTAAATAAAAAGTAAATAAGCAACTTTAGGAAGCGCATGCATTCAGAGTTTCCTGCAAAGCACAGGGTTTCATAAATGCCATATGAGGATGTAAAGAAAAAGAAAATTAGATTACTACAACTTTGTTCTTATTTTCTGGGTTCCTTAAGCCTCTTCCATACTTCTTTAATGCTCAAGAGGACTATAGAAGTACTTATTTATATGACAGCCCCAATGTTAGTATTTCTTGAGATTATGTTTAAATTGTACCTTCAATATTGAGATTTTTGTGAGCAATAATATGTGATACGCATTTTAAAAAAATTTAAAGATTTTTAAAAATTATGATTAAACTAGATTTTGTCAAATGATAAATAGTGTAGAAGTATATTGCTATTTGTGTATAGGTAGTATGAAAAACTTACATTTGCCAGAAATTGGCTTTTACATTTCAAAAATGTTGTGGAAAGTACTTCTTAGAACATGAGATATTTGATGTATTTTGTAGGCAAACAGCAAGAAACCAACTGAAGGATGAGATTAAATAGGAACAAGAAAAGGTGGTGGAGAAAGGAGGGGGCAGAGTTTTTACTATGGTAACATAAACTCCTGAGTTCTGTCAAACTGATCTTTGGTAGGACATTACAGTGTGGTTAAGTTTTTCTTGCATATTATCAGTACTTGTAAATTTGGAGAAATGAAATTTGAGATTTTTTTGTTTGCTTTTAAAAAAACAGCAGTCAGTTGTGGACTTTTAAAAAAATTAGGTCCAAAATTGTATCAAAATTATGTCAAAAAAGCTCTGTCCAGCTCCAGTGTTAAAAAGAAATTCCACTTTATCCATGTTTTCTCAAATTATAAATAGACTTTTTTTAAAAAAGTTCATTTATAAGTCAATTATATGGGGCCAGGCGCGGTGGCTCACGCCTGTAATGCCAGCACTTTGGGAGGCCGAGGTGGGCGAATCACCTGAGGTCGGGAGTTTGAGACCAGTCTGGCCAACATGGTGAAACTTCGTCTCTACTGAAAATACGAAAATTAGGCAGGCAAGGTGACAGGCGTTTGTAGTCCCATTTTCTTGGGAGGCTGAGGTAGGAGAATCAGTTGAATCCAGAAGCAGGAAGTTGCAGTGAGCCGAGATCACGCCACTGCACTCCAGCCTGAGTGACAGAGCGAGACTGTCTCAAAAAAAAAAAAAAGGGTCAATTATATGGAATTCAGAAGTTGTTGTTGTTGAAATGGCCTCTCTCCACTGCCTTGGTCAGAGTGCAGTGATGCCATCACAGCTCACTGCAGCCTCAACTTCTTGGGCTCAAACTTTCTTGAAAGTGCTAAAATGATGCGCCAAAGTAGTATATTTATCCCACGTTACAGGTGCACAATTACTCCTTTGGTAAGAAAAATGCAGTAAATTACACTGATGAAAATGTAGGCTGGGCATGGTGGCTCACGCCTGTAATCCCAGCACTTTGGGAGGCTGAGGCAGGCGGATCACCTGAGGTCAGGAGTTTGAGACCAGCCTGGGCAACATGGTGAAACCCTGTCTATACTAAAAATACAAAGATTAGCCGGGTGTGGTGCTGGGTGCCAGTAGTCTTAGCTACTCAGGAGGCTGAGGCAGGAGAATCGCTTGAACCCGGGAGGCGGAGGTTGTTATGAACTGAGATCTTGCCACTGTACTCCAGTCTAGGCGACACAGCGAGACTCCATCTCAAAAAAAAAGAAAAGAAAATGTATAGTATCTTTTTTCTTTTGGAATAGTCCTGGTCTTATAAAATTGTCACAATTAGATGTTAATTATTTCTATCATTCAATAGAAGATGAACATAAGTAACAGTTATGAGAGTAAATAATTATTGATTCAGTCATTGATCTGATAAGGAGACAAAGACAGAAGAGGAAAGCACCAGGAGCCTGAAATGGGTGGGAAGGAGTAGTGACATAATTTAAAATTTTTTTATTGGTGCAGAGACAGAGGCATGAAACTTAGAATCAGAAAATCTGAATTCAGATTCCCTCTTCACAGTTAACTCACTGAATGGTCTGAAATCAAGTTACTCTAGAACTTGTTTCTTCATTCATATAATGGAGATCGTTGATTCATTGATTCATTCAGAAATATTTTTCTTACTAGGTTATTTTGAAGATGAACAAAAACATCTGAAAGTAAGCTATTATGAACTGTATAGTGTTCACTGTATTTGACTGTATAGTCAGATATTAGTGATGATGCAATTCTTCTTGTCTTTCCATTTCATTCTTCCCTGTCATCCTTCCTTCTTTCATTGATAGCGTATTTTTACATGCTCTTGATCTAGCGCTTCACAGAACCTTCAGAGCCTGCAGTCCCAGCTGATTTCCACTCCTCCTCCCACTCACACATTGGGCACAGGAGTAGGGTGTGAGGCAACTTTTCTAGGTCAGCCTGCTTATTTTCTCACTGTTGACTGACAAAGTCCTGTCTTTCTCAAGGTGTGACATAAACCTGAGGTGCCTTTTAGTCCCTGGGCTTGATATTCTTTCTTTCTCACTTTGCCTCTCCTTTTCCCATCCCCTCTCGCCCCATTCCTGTGTGTATGTAACTCTGACCATCTCCTTTCTCCACCACTTACTTGTTCCTTTTTTTTTTTTTTGAGACGGAGTCGCGCTCTGTCACCCAGGCTGGAGTTCAATGGCATGATCTTGGCTCATTGCAACCTCTGCCTCCCAGGTCCAAGCGATTCTTGTGCCTCAACCTTCTGAGTAGCTGGGATTACAGGTGCATGCCACCATGCCCGGCTAATTTTTCGTATTTTTTGTAGAGATGGGGTTTCACCACGTTGGCTAGGCTGATCTTGAACTCCTGACCTCAGGTGATCTAACCACCTCGTCCTCCCAAAGTGCTGGAATTACAGACATGAGCCACTGCGCCCGGCCTCTTGTTCCTCTTTAATCTCACCCTTCAATTGGCTTCTTGCTGTTTGCCTACAAATATGGTCAGGTCTCCGATAGCCTAAAAGATTCTTGCTCAACTCTTGTTCTTTTTTTTTTTTTCCTTTTACCACCAAAGAGATGTTGATATTGTTGCCTTTATTACTTCATCACTTACCTCTTAACCTCAGTGGGATTGCTTCTTCCCTAACCACTGTCCTGAAACTGTTCTTAATCCAGTATCCTTTCTAAAGTTAGTAATCTCCTTGATCTCTTTGCAGCATGTTGATGCTACTTACTGTTCGCACTTTACTTCCTGACACATCTTCCCTGTGTAAGGATGGTATTTCTGATTGCCTTTGTCTTTTCCTCTAAACATATTTGCCCTACCCCTTCTTCAGAGCTTTCATTAGCTCTCTTCTTCGGCACTTTCTCCATTTGTAATATCACTTTCCTGTGACTATCTGTAGTTATCTACTAATTCATTCCTGTAATGTAATTGAACTAGAAGCAGTAATGGAAAATTCAGGGAAGCAGGATTCTGTTCACTACAAGAATATTTTTTCTCCAAAGTAATTATGGTTGTTTTACAGTAGTACTCTGCTTTTAAAGTAGTTAATTCTTCATTATTGAAGTTTTCAAGTAGAGGCAAAAAGACACCTTGTAGAAAGGATTTATATATGAAGTAGAAAGTCAAGCCAGATATTCTTTTAAAGTCTTGTCCAACTCAAAAATTGTAATTTTTATCTCGTCTACTCTACTTCCATGGACTTAACTTTGACCTATGCTCAGATGTCTTCCAAACCATTATTTCCAGTCACTCCCCTACCACCTCCTCGTCTGTCTTCTCTCCCACGGGCACAATTTTGTCATCAAAGTTGCTTATGTTCTAGGCCACCATATTTTCTAGCTTCATTATCACTTTCCAATATTCTTTTTACCCCCTTTAGTGGCAAGGCAATGAGGATCATTTTTCTATGCTTTGGTGACTTTTCTGAAAGTAAGTTATGTCTGCCCATATTGGTTTAGTTTGTTATTGCTGTTTTCCCTCTACTTTCTCCTACCCACCACCTCTCTCTCCAGGATTAGGAATGCTCAAGCAAAGAAAAGGACGCCAGAAGAGGAGGCTCAGGATCCTAAAGTTTGCATTTATTTTAAAATTTTGCATGGCACAGTTGAAATGTTAATGTTTGCTGACCATTTAAAAAGTAAGATGTTTGCCGGGCGTGGTGGCTCACGCCTGTAATCCCAGCACTTTGGGAGGCCAAGGCGGGTGGATCACCTGAGGTCAGGAGTTCAAGACTAGCCTGACCAATATGGCGAAACCCTGTCTCTACTAAAATTACAGAAATTAGCTGGGCGTGGTGGCATGCGCCTGTAGTCCCAGATACTCAGGAGGCTGAGGCAGGAGAATGGCTTGAAACTGGGAGGCGGAGGTTGCAGTGAAGCCGCGATTGCACCACTGCACTCTAGCCTGCTGACAGTGAGACTGTCTCAAAAAAAAAAAGTTTATAATAATAGTTGTTGCAATTATTTATTGAATGTCTACTATGTACCAAGTATTATGCTATGAACTCACATAAGTTATTTCATTTAAATCTTATGACATTCCTATGAGGAAGATACTGCTGCTGTCCCATTTTACAAATTAGGAAACAGACTTAGGAAGGTAAGACAGTTGTCACACAACTAATAAATGACAGTGATCTAACTGATTGTATGGCCAATACTCTTAACTAGTATATCGTTTTACAAGGAAGGTGGAGATCTAGAATCAAATTTCAGAAAGTCAAGTAATGTTAATACAAACAAGGAAATATATTTTGGATTTATATTTTTAGATTATTTGAAATGTATGTGAACCTTTTGAGGTATTGTGTTAGTGGCTTGTGTGTCTTACACACTTTCTGTGATATTCATTCATTTGCTCATTCGTTCATTGAATAGTCATGCAGTTTATTGAATGCTTAGACTTTGTATTGGGTGTGGTATAGGAAAGTGAATGAAACAAATATAAGTAAGTAAGTTTACAGTATAGTGGGAGAGATAGGAAACAAGCAGGTAAATAATCACATAATTTATTTTAGTCTAGAGTAGTTTCCCACCTTTTTAAAATGACTGAGTATCCAAGCCATTTTCTTAATAGACTATCTCATACTCTTAATTTGTCTCATTGTTTCCTCATATATGGTGGTTTAAACCTTACTATCCTACTTCCTTCTATTTACTGTAAACTCAAAGGTAGGTCTAGAGCAAGGGTGCTGAACCTTGAGTTCACAGACTCTTGTAGGGTCTGTAGAATTCAGGGAATCTGTGAACTTTAGATGGGGAAAAAATTACATCTTTATTTTAACTTATTCCCTAACTCAGTGGTTCTCAACCGGGGTGAGTTTGTCTTCTCCTTCCCCAACCCTAGGACATTTTTGATTGTCACAGCTGGGTGGGTACAAGATAGTCCCTGATAACAGAATTATCCCTTTCAAAATGTCAGTAGTGTCAAAGTTGAAAAACTCTGCCCTAACTGGATTTTAGCATTTCCTTTAATTAGGAATATAAGAAACGCTTCATGGATACAGTATGGACAGTACATTTACAGTACCTGTAGCTTTGTCACCAATAGAAATCTCAGGTATTCTCATATCACATTCAATTGCTACAGATATCTTAAGATTTAATTTATGCTCATTTATTGCCTATAAGGTAGTTACTAGATTCGTATTAAGAAGCAATAGTAGGCTGGGCGCGGTGGCTCACGCCTGTAATCCCAGCACTTTGGGAGGCCGAGGCGGGCGGATCACAAGGTCAGGAGATCGAGACCATCTTGGCTAACACGGTGAAACCCCGTCTCTACTAAAAATACAAAAAATTAGCCGGGCGCGGTGGCGGGCACCTGTAGTCCCAGCTACTCGGGAGGCTGAGGCAGGAGAATGGCGTGAACCTGGGAGGCGGAGCTTGCAGTGAGCCGAGATTGTGCCACTGCAATCTGGCCTGGGCTAAAGAGCGGGACTCCGTCTCAAAAAAAAAAAAAAAAAAAAAAAAAAAAAAAAGAAGCAATAGTAGACTGGGCATGGTAGCTCATGCCTGTAATACCAGCACTCTGGGAGGCTGATGTGGGAGGACTGCCTGAGCCCAGGAGTTCAGGACCAGCCTGGACAACATAGTGAGACCTCGTCTCTACAAAAATACAAAAATTAGCCAGGTGTGGTAGTGTGCACCTGTGGTCCCAGCTACTCAGGAGGCTGAGGTGGGAGGATCGCTTGCACCCAGGAGGTTGAGATTGCAGTGAGCTGTGATTATGTCACTGCACTCCAGCCTGGGTGACAGTGAGAGCCTGTCTCAAAAAGAAGAAATAATACTATGTTATAATTTAAACAGTTATTATTGTAGCTGTAGTTCAGTATAATTGTCCATTGTAGTGTTGTGTGTTTTATGCATTTAAAAACATTATTCTAAGAAGGTATCCATAAACTTCGCCAGACTGTAAAAGAAATCCACAGGACAATAAAGCTTAACTCCTGATCTAGAGATTGGATTGGATTGGATTGGATTAAACATTTTTGAAGAGACTATTTCATAGGTAATGATGTTTATTTCCTATTTTGTCATTTCATGAATTACATAATATCAGGTTGTCCTCCTGTTATCAGTAATGTTAACTTTAATGACTTATGTAAGGTGGTGACAGCCAGGTCTCCATTTTAAAGATACATTTTCCCCTTTGTGTTGCTAAGTAATCTGTGAGGTAATACTTAGGCGCCATGAGAATATAATGTTTTTAACAACTTTTCACCTAATGGCCTTAGCATACTTTGGTGATTTTTGCCTGAATTAGCTTTTACATTGGGGGTTGCAAATTGGTGATTTTCTAATTTGGTTATTCCTTTTATATTTATTACTGGCATTCTTCAGTAGAGATTTTCTTTCCCCACCCCCTTTCCTTATCTTTTTTTTTCTCCCTTAAGTATCTCTATGTATCCATTAATTTTTACTTATTCCATATGTTATACTCTATTACTTTTAAAAAAATATGCTCAAGTTGTCCCAAATGTGGCCAGTGGGAACCCCCTTTTAACTTGGTCCTTTGTCCTCTTGATAGGTCCTGCTGGTCTTTGAGCATATCTTGCTTTCTGACACAAGAGTGCTCAGGGTAGACTTATTCTTTCTGTATTCCATGTCTGGAGTTACATATTCTTTCAAAGAGTCCTGGTTCTTTTAGTTGGAAGTGGTATTTAGAAACAGAAGTCTGGGCACCACGTGTGTTCATTGCTTGGTGGGGTTCTGGCTGGTGGTTGGGGTTGGGGGAGGCAATGCTTCTAGTGCCTTTCAAAAGAAGTTTTTAACTGAACATAAAAAGATATTTTGAGCTATAAGAAAGAAAATCAAATCTCTATTTACTCATCCTTGGAAATCCTTTTTTTTTGGAATGGATGATTGTTTTTTCTTTTCCTTATTAGCCCAGACCCATTCTGTTATTACTTAAGTATTATTGGCAGCTGTCTGTCTGTTTTGTCTGTCTGTTCTGATATGTTCTACATACCATCCATTTCATTCATCTATAAAATTTTTATTATATGTATGACAGGAACTGTGATAAGCAAATAGAATACACAGAAAAACAGAAACATCAAGAAATGCAAAGCCTGATAGGGAAGAACTGTATGAAAAGCAAAACCTCAGTATGATTGATGCAAAAATTGAAATACATAGAGTGACTAAGTGTGAGAAACCAAAGAAAGCTTCAAGAGAGAATAATATTTGAACATAGTATTCATACAATTATAAGGAGATTACCATGTGAAAAAGGTAGAGCTATTTATAGATTCTCATTACAATTGTTAAAATGCCAAATTTGTTTCTAGATGGTAGTTAACTTGAACTATCAGAAATCAGTAGTTCCCTGTGTTTAGTGCTTAGAGCTTTCCGTTTTCCTGTATTTTGTGTATTTTGTTTGCTTGTTTGTTTTTTCGAACTGATTTTTTTTCTGAGTAGACAAACTATCATTGCTTATCCTGAAACCTTCTTAAGGTTTCTCATCATTTTTGTTCTTTAGCCTTTCAATGAAAGATTATTTCTTTGCTGAAATTTTGTGATTCAGATGCCATGTACATTTGTTGTATTTGTCTGTACATCTACATCTTATGAATAAATCCATGTTTTCTTACCAGTGATTGTACTTTTATAATTATGTGATGATCAGTACAAAGTTTGGTTCTTACTGTAGGGAGATCTTTTTAATAATAAGCTGTGGATGGTGAAGGCAGTGAAGAGTCAAATGTTTGGAAACTGGGACTCATCTTTATAGGCAGTCCACTAGTTTTATGTAATCCCCTTTTACTAGAGATCTTCCCTCTTGTTATAAGAATTAAGAGTGGTATAGGAAAAAAGAGAATGTGCATATGTTTTCCAAGTCAAAATCTTTAAAGAGTAAACCATGTGTTTTTCTCCTCAGATACAGAAATAACTTAGAAGAATCTAGAAATATTTTTCTGCCATCTCCCTGCATATTTCTAGGTTTCTAAAATGGCACTTAGGATTTTTTTTCTGTAAAAACAGCATGGTAAATAGAATAAATCAAGATATCAACATAGTATTGTCAGAATGAATATCTAATTTATCTGACATTAAGCAATGGATGTTTAACATAAATACATTTTCCACATGTCTGTGGCTTAACACTTCATGTCAAAATGTATTTATTTTAGATTTGGGGGTACAGAGCAAGATGGTGGACTAGAAGGCTCCACTGGATGTCCCCCTCCATAGGAACACCAAATTTAACAACTACACACCAAAAGCACTTTCATAAGAAACAAAAATCAGGTGAGCACTCACAGAACCTGATTTTAACTTCATATTGCCCAAAGAAGCACTGAACAGGATAGGAAAGACAGTCTTGAATTGCTGACACCACCTCTCCCCCATCCCCCATGCAGCGACTATGTGGTGTGGAGAAATTTGTATGCTTGGGATAGGAGGAGTGCAGCAATTGTGAGACTTCTCATTGAATGCACTATAACAGCAAAAAGCAAAACCAGGGTGAACTCAGCTGATGCCCACACATGGAGGGAGCATTCAGACCAGCCCTAGCCAGAGGGGAATTACCCATCACAGTGGTTGGAACTTGAGTTCTGGCAAGCCTTGCCACTGTGGGCTGAGGTGTGCCGGGGTCCTAAATAAAAGGCAGTGTAAGCCAAAAGGACTGCAAGTCCTAGTGCTGAACTGGGCTCGGCACCAGTGGAATTAGGGGCACATGACTTACTAAGACATCAATTGGAACACCTAAGGGAGTGCTTGTGCCACCCCTTCTCCAAGCCCAGGCAGCCCAGCTCACAGCTCTAAAAGATATCCCTACCTTCTGCTTGGGGAGAGGAGAAGGAAGAGTAAAGAGGACTTTTGTCTTACATCTTGGATATCAGCTCAACCACAGTAGGATAGGGTACTGGTCAGGCCCCCATTCTAAGCCCTAGCTCCTGGATAACATTTCTAGACACACGCCTGGGCTAGAAGGGAACCTGTTGCCTTGAAGGGAGGGACCCAGTCCTGGCAGGATCCATCCTGTGCTGACTAAAGGGCCCTTGGGCCCTGAATAACTAGCAGTGATAACCACGTAGTACGCCATGGGCCTTGGCTGAGACTCAGACATGCTGGCTTCAGGTGAGACCCAGCACATTCCCAGCTGTAGTGGCTACAGTGAGAGACTCTGCTTGAGAAAAGCAGATGGAAAAATAAAGGGGACTTTGTCTTGTATCTTAGGTATCACCTTGGCCATAGTGGGTTCAAACACCGAGTGGGCTCTTGGGGTCCCTGATTCCAGGCCTTGGCTCTTGGACAGCATTTCTGGACCTGCCCTGGACCAGAGGGGAGCTTACTGAAGGGTGAGTCCCAGGCCTGGCAGCCTTCACCACAAGCTGACTGAAGAGCCCTTGTATCTTGTGAACATTGACAGTAGCCTGGCAGTACTCCCTATGGGCCTTTGGTGGTGGTGGCCACAGGGTGAGGCTCCTCTGCCTGTGGAAAGGGGAGAGAGAAGTGGGAATGACCGTGTCTCATGATTTGAGGGCCAGCTCAGCTGCAGTATAATAGAACACCAGGTAGACTTCTAAGGTTTTTGACTGATTCCTAGCTCCTGGAGATAACTTCTGGACTTACATGAGGACTTGGGGGCACTTGCTGTCTTGAAGAGAAGGACAGAAGCTGGGCTGGCTTTGCCACCTGCCGATGGTAGAGCCCTAGGTCCTTGAACAAACATAGGCGGTAGCCAGGTAGTGGTTACGGTGGGCCTTGGGTGAGACTCAGTGCTGTGCTGGCTTCAGGTCTGACCCAGTGCAGTGCCAGTGTTGACCACAGGGTGCTTGTGTTGCCCTGCTGCAAGCCCCATGCAGCTCAGCAGAAAGAGACTTCATTTGTTTGGGAGAAAGTAAGGGAAGAGAACAAGAATCTCTGCTTGGTAATCCAGAGAATTCTTCCAGATTTTATTCAAGACTACCAAGGTGGTACCTCTACAAGTCTGCAAGAACCACAGCATTACTGGGCTTGGGGTGCCCCCTAAAGCAGATACAGCTTAAATCACAACACCCAAATCCATTAGAGTATCTGGAAAGCCTTCCCAGGAAGGACAGGTACAGATAAGTCCAGACAGTGAAGACTACAATAAATAACTTCAATGTCCAGACACTGAAGAACATCTACACCCATCTACATCATCCAGGAAAATATGACCTCTCCAGATGAACTAAATAAGGCACCAGGGACTAATTCTGGAGAAACAGAGTTATGTGACCTTTCAAACAGAAATCAAAACAGCTGTGTTGAGAAAACTCAGAGAAATTCAAGATAACACAGAGATGGAATTCAGAATCCTATCAGATAAATTTAACAGATTGAAATAATTAAAAATAATTAAACAGATATTCTGGAGTTGAAAAATGCAATTGACATACTGAAGAATGCATCATAATGGCTTAAAAGCAGTTGATCGGCCGGGTGTGGTGGCTTATGTCTGTAATCCCATCAGTTTGGGAGGCTGAGGAGGGTGGATCATGAGGTCAGGAGTTCGAGACCAGCCCGGCCAACATGGTGAAACCCTGCCTCTACTAAAGATACAAAAAATTAGCCGGGCAAGGTGGCACATCCCTGTAATCTGAGCCACTTAGGAGGCTGAGGCAGGAGAATTGCTTGAACCTGGGAGGCAGAGGTTGCAGTGAGACGAGATCGTGCCATTGCACTCTAGTCTGGGTGACAGGGCGAGACTCCATCTCAAAACAAAAAACGGCAGTTGATCAAGCAGAAGAAAGAGTTAGTGAGCTTGAAGACAGGCTTTTTGAAAATACACAATCAGAGAAGACAAAAGAAAAAAGAATAAAAATAAGCACACCTACGGGATTTAGAAAGTAGCCTTGAAGGGGCAAATCTAAGAGTTATTGTCTGTAAAGAGGAGGTAGAGAAAGAGATAGGGGTAAAAAGTTTATTCGAAGGAATAATAACAGAGAACTTCTCAAACCTAGAGAAAGATATTAATATCCAAGTACAAGAAGGTTATAGGACACTAAGCAAATTTCACCCAGAGAGGACTAACTCGAGACATTTAATAATAAAATTCCCAAAGACAAGGATAAAGCAAGGATACTAAAAGGAGCAAGAGAAAAGAAACAACATACAATGGAGCTCCAATATGGCTGGCAGTAGACTTTTCAGTAGAAACCTTACAGGCCAAGAGAGTGGCATGACATGTTTCAAATGCCGAAGGAAAAAACCTTTTACCTTAGAATACTATATCCAATGAAAATATCCTTCAAACATGAAAGAGAAATAAAGACTTTCCCAGACAAACAAAAGCCAAGGGATTTCATCAGCTCCAGACCTGTCCTACAAGAAATGCTAAAGAGCTGGCCAGGTGCAGTGGCTCACACCGGTAATCCTGGCACTTTGGGAGGCTGAGGTGGGTGGATCAGCTGAGGTCAGGAGTTGAAGACTAGCCTGGCTAACATGATGAAACCTTGTCTCTACTGAAAAACAAAAATTAGCCAGGCATGATAGATAGTCCATGCCTGTAATCCCAGCTACTCAGGAGGCTGAGGCAGGAGAATCACTTGAACCTGGGAGGTGGAGGTTGCAGTGAGCCAAGATGGTGCCACCGCACTCCAGCCTGGGTGACAGAGTGAGACTCTGTCTTAAAAAAAGCTAAAGGGTATGTACTTCAATAAAAAAGAAAAAGATTAATAAGCAAAAAGATACCATCTGAAGATGTAAAACTAACTGGCAATATAAGTACACAGAAAATCATAGAATATTATAACATGATAACTGGTGTGTAAACTAGCCTTAATTAGAGAAATTAAAAGGGGCCAATAAAAAATTATAACTATAATTTTTTCAAGACATAAGGATAGTAAAATATAAATAGAAACAACAAAAAGCTATAAAGTGGGGGGACATAGTTAAAGTGCAGAGTTTTATTAGTTTTCTTTTTGCCTATTTATACAAGCAGTGTTAATTGTTATCTGCATAAAACAGTGGGTTATAAGATAGTATTTGCAAGCCTCATGGTAACCTCAAATCAAAAAACATGGAACAGATACACAAAAAATTAAGAAACCAAGACATTAAGTCATAACACCAGAAAAAAATCACCTTTACTAAGAGGAAGACAGGAAGGAAGAGAAGACTACGAAACAACCAGAAAACAAAAAACAAATGGCAGGAGTAAGTCGTTACTTATCAGTAATAATATTGAATGTAAGTTGACTAACTCTCCAATCACAAGACATAAAGAGGCTGCATGGATAGAAAAACAGGACCCAGTGATCTGTTGCCCACAAGAAACACACTTCACCTATAAAGACACACACAGACAAAAAAAGGGATGGAAAAAGATATTCTCTAGTAGTTATCAGACAAAATAGATTTCAAGACACAAACTATAAGAAGAGACAATGAAGGTCACCATATAATGATAAAGGGGTCAATTCAGCATAGGATATAACAATTGTAAATATATATGCACCTAACTATTGGAGCACTCATATATAAAGCAAATATTAGAGCCAAAGAAACAGGTTGGAAATAAAGAAGACAATTCAAATAATATCAAGCATCTTCTCTGACCACAATGGAATAAAACCAGAAATCAATATTAGGAATTCTGGAAACCATACAAACACATGGAAATTACATAATATGTTCCTGAATGACCAGTGAGTCAATGAAGAAATTAAGAAATTGAAAAATTTATTAATAATGGAAACATGACATACCAAAATCTATGAGGATACAGCAAAAATGATACAAAGAGGAAAGTTTATAGCTATAAGTGCCTACATCAAAAAGAAGAAAAACTTTAAATAAAAACCTAATGATGGATTTTAAAGAAAGGGAAAAGCAAGAGCAAGCCAAACAAAATTAGTGGAAAAAAAGAAATAACAAAGCTCAGAGCAGAGATAAATGAAATTGAAATGAAGAAACAGGACAAAAGATCAATAAAACGTTGGGTTTTTGAAAAGATAAAACAAAACAAAACAAAACAAAAACTGACACATCTTTTGCCAGACTAAGAAAAAAGAAGACCCCAAAAGATCAGAGATGAAAAAAGGAGATGCTAAAACCGATACCACAAAATTCAGAGGATTATTAGCGGCTACTGTGAGCAACTGTATGCCAATAAATTGCAAAATCTAGAAGAAATGGATAAATTCCTATATACGTACAATCTTCCAGGACTGAACCATGAAGAAACCCAGGGTGTGAACAGACCAATAACAAGTAATAAGATAAAAGTTGTGATGAAAAGTCTCCCAGTAAAAAGTCCAGAACCTGAATGGCTTCACTGCTGAATTCTACCAAACATTTAATGAGGGTCTAGTACCAATCCTACTCAAACTAGTCTGAAAAATAGGAGGAGGGAATACTTTAAAACTCATTCTACGAGGGCAGTATTACCCTGATACCAAAACCAAACAAAGACGCATCAGAAAACGAAACTGCAGGCCTATGTCTAACGGGGGAACCAGCCCCCTGTATTTCAACATAGGTTCTCTTCTATTTTCCCTAAGTGTCGGCCAGTCTGAGAAATAAAGGGAAATAGTACAAAAGAGAGAAATTTTAAAGCTGAGTGTCTGGGTGAGACATCACATGTCAGCAGGTTCCGTGATGCCCCCGAGCCATAAAACCAGCAAGTTTTTATTAGCAATTTTCAAAGGGGAGGGAGTGTATGAATAGGGTGTGGGTCACAGAGATCACATGCTTCAAGGGCAACAAAATATCACAAGGCAAATGGGCAGGGCAAGGTCACCAGGCCAGGGCAAAACTAGAATTACTAATGAGGTTACTAGGCAGGAATTTCCTAATCCTAATAAGCCTGGGGGTGCTGCAGGAGACTAGGGTGTGTTTCATCCCTATCTACAACTGCATAAGGCAGACACTCCCAGAGCGGCCATTTTAGAGGCCCCCCTCCCCGGCCGGGAATGCATTCTTTTCCCAGGGCTGTTAATTATTAATATTCCTTACTGGGGAAAGAACTCAGCAATATTTCTCTTACTCGTTTTTGGCAATAAGAGAAATATGGCTCTGTCCTGCGTGGCTTCCAGGCAGTCAGACCTAATGGTTATCTCCCTTGTTCCCTGAACATCGCTGTTATCCTGTTCTTTTTTCAAGGTGCCCAGATTTCATATTGTTCGAACACACATGCTTTGGGAACAATTTGTGCAGTTAACGCAATCATCACAGGGTCCTGAGGTGACATACATCCTCAGCTTATAAGGATGATGGGATTAAGAGATTAAAGTAAAGACAGGCATAGGAAATTATAAGAGTATTGATTGGGGAAGTGATAAATGTCCATGAAATGTTCACAATTTATGTTCAGAGACTGCAGTAAAGACAGGCATAAGAAATTATAAAAGTATTAATTTGGAGCACTAACAAATTGTCCATGAAATCTTCACAATTTATGTTCTTCTGCCATGGCTTCAGCCGGTCCCTCCGTTCAGGGTCCCTGACTTCCTGCAACATCTCTCCCTTTCTTTTTATATAAATGTGCCATGGTGATGAAGGCTTGTTCTCTCGATTTTGACGCAGGATTCTTTGACTGGTCCAGCACACTAAAGACAAGCCGATTAAACAGGGAAACATAATTCCGAAATTTACTACAGTGGAGCCCCCAATAGACTTAATCCAAGTTGTGGGGTTTAGTCCAGAAAGATTTTCTGCCACCTGATCTAACGCCTCAGCTCCAGGCACAATGGATAAATGAGCTTGAGAGACTTCAAAAATTTGTTTATTTAATTTAGTCATGTCCAATGATAAATTATCTTCCCTACCCAGAAGGTGTCCTTTGACCATTTCCCATGAATGATCAGTCTCGTTATAGGAATACAGGGTGATACGGAAATCTGAAGTATTCCAGTCGCACTGCATTTGCATGTGATGTTCGAGACTCACTACCCGATCTCCAAGCCAAATAACAGACTGTCTTAAATCATTAATTTGATTAGCCAATTTTTGGTCAATGCCTTGTTGAGAATTCAACATTTGGTGGAATTGGCTTGCCAGTCATTAACAAAATGAGCTGTTTGAATAGACTGATGTAACGCCATTCCGGCAGTGGTGGCCATTGCAGTGACTGTAATTAGGCCCATGATCACAGCAATTAAAGTGAAAACAAATCTCTTAGATCTTTAAAGAATTCGCTGTAACACTTCATTAATTAAATGTATTGAGGGGGAGGATTCCCAAGGTCTGGGCAAAGTTACCGGAATCCAGATTTCTTCTCCAGCTCGAACCAACATTATACTTTTCCTGGAGTCAAAATGGGAGTTAATACAAGTGTATAAATGACAATGCATTGGACAGTTTGATTCTTCGTCCAAATTTTGATATTTCCCACTAATGGCATGTAAGGAGGCTTAACACAACTCTTTGTGGAAACAGGTTGGAGGTAAGTAAAACAGAATGTCTGGATCTACGTTGATAGTGAGAGAGGGGGACGGTAGCAGGGACAACAGACAAAATAGTTTCCCCTTCCCATACTTGCAGTCCAGACATGGCAATAGCCAATTTCTAAAGTTGTGGGTGTTCTGGACTCAGAATGGGGAATATCATACGAGGCCTCAGATGGGGGTAATGCCTTTATCTTCCCATTTTAAGGAAAAGAATGAGCTGAACCTCCTATGCAAAGTAGAATGATGATTCTCGTTCTCCCAATAAGAAATAAAATAAGTAGCCTCCAGGCATTCCCTTCCACCAGAAGAGCACTTGTTTTTTAAATAGCCCTTTGGTGCCCAGTCTATTACTAAACCATATGAGTCATTTATAAACATTACTGCATGTGAGTTAACACAATCTTCCCAAATTAAGGTTTTAGATGGGCCCTCAAAATTTTTAGGGCATGGTTTTCCTGCAGGTTTATATTGAAAGTATGGGATATCTCCCATTACTCCCCCTTTCATTTGTCTTAAAGGAGAAAGGGAGAGGCTGGAGACCAAATGTCCTGGTTTCTCTGTAGCTGATCTCTCTGGAAGATAAGCAGCCCAGACTTGAGTTTCTAGATGGATACAACCAGGTGCATGTCCGAGGCACAGAGGTGGGTGTTTGTAACCCATGGTAACATTAAATGCAGTGCCGCCTTTTCCTGATTGAGCGGGGCAACGGTCATCTGTAGCTCCAGGCATCCACACACTATCATTAGTGTAGATTTCTGCAGGAGCGTCCATCCAGGTGAGTGGTCGAATAAGTGGAGGAAAAGGCACATAAGCCCAATAAGAATAATTTTGTGTAGCCGGTAAATCAGTGTGAAAGGAAACTGGTGAGACAGAAAGTATAAGGAGGGGAATCATTAAATAAAACCTAGTGTAAGCGAGATTCAGTGCCGAAAGAGGAAGAGAAGAACAGAGGGATGTTATTTTCAGGCTAATATAAATGGTGAGATTTTTAGGTTTGTAAGGAGAAAAAGAAAGGTAATTAGGAGAAGTGGGATTGGTTAGATGGGTCTGTGTTGCCATCAGGGAGGATTGAATGAGACCCATTGTGATTTGGTGGGCCAGCTTCTAAGGAGTTGGCACAGATCTCACCACATCTGAGGGCGGTTTTTGACGCGGACGTCTTTTCCCTGTGGTTTTCCTTTGATGATCTCCTGGTGACACACAAGCATATTCTCTTTCCCACGTTAACTAGAATCAGAGACAATATTTAAAGGTTTTGGGGAAATCCTATAAGGCAGTAATTACAGCAATTTAACTCTGCCTTTTGAGCAGAGGTATAAGGGGTAGAAATAAGCTTGTTTGTAGGACCTACATAACCAGCATTTCCATTACTGGAGCCATCAGTGAACACTGTAACAGCCTCAGGAATGGGCTGATCTTTGGTCAATCGAGGGACCACCCAAGAAGTCATTTTTATAAAATCAAACAATTTGTTTTTTGGATAATGAATGTCAATAATGCCAATAAAATCAGTCAAGTGAATTTGCCACAGTATGGAATGTTGAAAGGTGACTTGAACTTCGAGCCGATTTAAAGGAACTACAATTAAATTCGGATCAAATCCGGAAATTTTAAGTATTCTACACCGAGTCTGTCCAATTAAGATGGCCAGTTGGTCCAGATAAACAGACAAAGTTTTTGACACAGAATGAGGAAGAAAACACCACTCCGCTAAATCATTATGTTGAACTATTAGCCCAGTAGGGGAGTGCAATGAGGCGAAAACCAGAAGCTGAAAAGGCTGAAACGGCTGTACTCTAGATAACTGGATGGTCTGAATTCTTTACGAATTCCAGTTCTAGTGAAGCCTCAGGGGTCAAAGTCCTGGGACTGCGGAGATTGGAATCTCCCCGCAGCATAGAAAACAAGTTAGTGCATAGGTCGGAATGCCTAAAGTAGGTGTTAAATAATTAATGTTACCCAAAAGTTTTTGGAAGTCATTTAAAGTTTTCAAATAATCTCTCCTAATTTGAACTTTTTGAGGTTGAATATGTTTATCGACCATGATTCCTAAATATTGAACAGGAGTGGTCTGTTGAATTTTGTCCTGAGCGATGTGTAATCCAGCCTCTAACACAGCAGCTCAAAATTTGATAACAGTCAATTCTTTATCAGTGGGGGCAGCAATTAAAATATCAATATAATGAAGAATATAGGCCTGGGGAAACTGGGCTCGAACTGGTGAAAGCACTTGCCCAACATAAAGCTGGCAGATTGTAGGGCTATTTAGCATTCCCTGAGGAAGTACTTTCCATTGATAATGAGCTGCAGGCTCTTGATTATTGATAGATGGTACAATAAAAGCAAATTTTTCACAATCTGATTTATGTAAAGCAATATAAAAAAATCAATAACTATGAGAGGCCAATTTTTAGGTATTAAAGCAGGGGCAGGCATGCCGAGTTGGAAGGCTCCTATAGGTTTAATTACAGCATTAATGGCCCTTAAATTGGTTACCATCCACCACTTGCCTGATTTCTTTTTTACTAGAAACACAGGAGAATTCCAGCGGGAAAGAAGGTTCCAAATTTCTAAGTTGTAACTGTTCAGAAACTAATTGAGTTAAAGCCTCCAGTTTTTCTTTAGAGAGCAGCCACTGCTGAATCCAAATGGGTGTGTCAGATTTCCATTGTAAAGGAATAGGATCAGGAGGCGTGGCAGTGGCCGCCATTAAAAAGGATAACCTAAACCAGCCCTGTCTTCTTTTATAGTAATTGGGAGGGGTTTAGTAATCCCTTCATGTTTTGGACGGAGACGGAGTCCAGGAACATACCGCATGTTTTCCATCATATGCTGACTGGGAGTACTATAAGAGTTAGGTGGAATGTTAATTTAAGCCCCAGTATCTACTAAACCCTCAAACTTTTTTCCTTGAATGTGTATGGAGGTAGGCTGTTGTTCAGAAATTACATTAATCCAATAAGCGGCCTTTTCGCTGCTGGAGCCCCTTCCAGGGCCACGTGTCTTATCTCCTTTGTTTAAAACAATATTAAGTAGTAAAAGCAATTGAGCAATTGAGTCACCGGCCGGAATGGAAACAGGAAGCTTGGCAGACACGATTAGTTTAATCTCGTCAACTGAATCAGAATTAATGAGACCAGTATGAATGGTGATTCCTTTAGCAGAGGTGGATGCCCTACCTAACACCAGGCTCACCAAACCTTGAGGTAAAGGGCCAGTGACCCCTGTGGGGACAATTAAAGGCAAAGAGTTAGGTAGTAAATTTAGAGGAATAGTGCTACAGAGATCGACCGCCCCAACCCCTAACGTGGAGGTGGACAAGCATTGTACTGAGAAGAAGAGGCTGGGACCCATCTGGGTTGACTGTAGGTAAATTTGTTTGTGGTGGGGGCTGCGTTGGGACTGCCTGAAGTGGAAATGCAATGTTGGTCTGAGTCTGAAGCATCCCATTTGATATTGGGGCCTGGGACTGGTCCCACTTCCCATTTCCCTGGTTCTGTGGTAGGGGGTTTCCATCTGTATCATACTTAGAGTGGCAAGTACTTGCCCAATGTTTACCTTGCGACGACGTGAGCAAACAGTAGCAGCAGCATTTGGCCATGTTTGTTGAGCCGGCTTGGCCGCTTTTAAGTTTTTAACAGTGCAATTTTTCTGAGTATGACCAAGTTGACTGCAATTATAGCAGGCTCCAAGAAAAGAATTAGTGGGGCCAGTTTGATTGGTCCTTCATGGCCCGTGCCCACAGAATAGCTTTGTGGGTGTCTGATCCAATGCCTTCACAAGCTTTAATATATGCAGGGAACACCTCGTGATCAGGTAAATTTTGTCATTGGATGGAATGCATGGCCATTTTACACTCATGGTTCACATTTTCAAAAGCTAACATATGAAAAAGAATACCTTGAGCATGCTCATCAGACAGATTTTTCAATGGCATCTTGTAATTTAGCTAAAAAATCAGGGTATAATTCATCATGACCTTGTTTAACCATAGTAAAAGAAACAGGAGCTTGGCCTGGGGCGCATAATTTATCCCAAGCTCTCATACACACCTTTGTTACTTGTTCTGTGGTAAGAGCATCAAAGTTTAATTGGGCATAAGTATCAGAGAAACTATCGGAGCCTGTGAGCTGAGCCTGAGTAATTAGAATACTATTAGTCCGATTTAGCTGAGCCTGCAGATGGGCCTCTTGTGACCACCAGATACGAAATTGTAAATGCTTTAATGGGGTTAGAAAAGCTTTTGCCAAAAGGTCCCAGTCTAAAGGAAGCAAAATGACCTCAGTACAAAAAGTTTGTAATACCATTTAACATAAGGAGAAGTAGGACCATACTGAGTACAAGCATCCTTAAATTCTTTTAAAAAGCTAAGATTAAGAGGTACATAACGACACATTTGTACCCTTTGGAAGATAGGAGGTTCTAGTGTGACTGGGTAAGCCCACGTGTCTAATCCACTTGTTTCTTTGTTTTGGCATAATAAGTGTTGCATTGAAGTTTCAAGAGTAGGTATCTGAGACAGAGTTGGCATAGAAGTGATAGGAAAAGCATGTGTAGATAAGGGAAACTGAGGTTGAGGGGGTCGGACCAGGATGAGAGTGTGAGAAAGGGGCATTGAGGGAGCAGAAGGAGCAGAGGTATCCTGGTGATTACTGGTGTGCATGTGTGAAGAAGGGTACAGAGAGGCAGGCTGAGTGGATGGCAAAGTGACCGGTTGAGGAATGGAAATGACAGGAGAGTGAGGGGCTGAAGTGGATGGGGTAGGGCCTGAAGAATTATAGGTAAATTGTAGTTTGGTCCTGGAGCCATTAGGTGACTCCGGAGGTTTGAAGAGAGAAGAATTAGCGTATATGGTCCCGGGCTGTCTGAGTCGTGGCCGCGGGAGCTTATAAGTACTGGCTCTTCGTGAAAAGAAACAAGGTCAGCAGGGGGTAACGTTAAGCCAAAGTCACCAGAGTTAGACATTGAATTTTCAGCATCGTTAGGTGGGGGAGGAGTAGCTGAAGGGAGAGGCTGATCAGATAACGAAGTCCATGCGGGAGAGGAAAGTTGGAGAAGAGGTGGAGGGTCCTCACATTCAGAAAATTGTGTTAACTGTAGGGGGTCACGGGATTGGTATGTCATTAGGACGACATGTACCAAGGCCCAATCACCCCAAAAAGTGACAGGAACACATTTCCCTGCCGGGAACAGCTCCTGGAATGTTGCACCAACACGATCCCATACTTTTACATATGGTTCCCTTTTCAGGAAACCAAGGACAGTATTTTTCCACCGCCTTGAATAGAGTGACCATATTTTCCATGGTTACTCGGACCCTTCCCTGTTTTAACAGGTCCACATCTAAGGTTGCTTTTTTAGGAAACCAAGGACAGTATTTTCCCACTGCCCTGAATAGAGTGACCATTTTTTCCATGGGCACTCAAACCCTTTTCTGTTTTAACCAGAGTGTAATATAGAAGAGATAAGCATAATTTTTAGACTCCGTGTGACCCGTAGTTAACCTGGACAAATTCACAGACTACTCACCAGTTGTCAGGGAGTCGAACAAGCATTTCTGTGGACCGAACCGATGACATTTCTCCGCACCTACCAAAGGGAATCGGGTTCCCACGTGCACTTAGGAAAAAAAGAAAAACCATGCTGGGCACCAGATATCGGGGGAACCAGTTCCCGATATTTCAACGTGGGTTCTTTTCTATTTTCCCTAAGTGTCAGCCAGTCTGAGAAATAAAGGGAAAGAGTACAAAAGAGAGAAATTTTAGAGCTGGGTATCTGGGGGAGACATCACATGTCAGCAGGTTCCATGATGCCCCCTGAGCCGAAAATCCAGCAAGTTTTTATTAGCAATTTTCAAAGAAGAGGGAGTATACGAATAGAGTGTGGGTCACAGAGATCACGTGCTTCAAGGGCAACAAAATATCACAAGGCAAATGGACAGGGCAAGGTCACAAGGCCAGAGCAAAACTAGAATTACTAATGAGGTTCCCGGTCCCGCTGTGCAGGCACTGTCATTGATAAACATCAGGAAACAGGGTTTGAGAGAAGATAGCCGGTCTGACTACAATTTACTAGGCAGGAATTTCCTAATCCTAATAAGCCTGGGGGTGCTGCAGGAGACTAGGGCGTGTTTCATCCCTATCTACAACTGCGTAAGGCAGACACTCCCAGAGCGGCCATTTTAGAGGCCCCCCTTCCCGGCCGAGAATGCATTCTTTTCCCAGGGCTGTTAATTATTAATATTCCTTACTGGGGAAAGAACTCAGCAATATTTCTCTTACTCGTTTTTGGCAATAAGAGAAATATGGCTCTGTCCTGCCTGGCTTCCAGGCAGTCAGACCTAATGGTTATCTCCCTTGTTCCCTGAACATCGCTGTTATCCTGCCTGTTCTTTTTTTCAAGGTACCCAGATTTCATATTGTTCAAACATACATGCTTTACGAACAGTCTGTGCAGTTAACGCAATCATCACAGGGTCCCGAGGTGACATACATCCTCATTTTACGAAGATGATGGGATTAAGAGATTAAAATAAAGACAGGCATAGGAAATCATAAGATTGTTGATTGGGGAAGTGATAAATGTCCGTGAAATCTTCACGATTTATGTTCAGAGATTGCAGTAAAGACAGGCGTAAGAAATTATAAAAGTATTAATTTGGAGAACTAACAAATGTCCATGAAATTTTCACAATTTATGTTCTTCTGCCATGGCTTCAGCCAGTCCCTCGGTTCGGGGTCCCTGACTTCCCGCAACACATATCTGTGACTATTGATGCAAAAAATCTTCAATAAAAATACTAGCAAACCAAATTCAACAACAATTAAAAATATTATTCATCATGACCAAGTGGGATTTATTTCAGGAATGTAGATAGTTCAACATGTGCAAAGGTGATACATCATATCAAGAGAATGAAGGAGAAAAAACATATCAATTGATTCTTAAAAAGCATGTCATAAAATTAAACATCCTTTCATAATAAAAACCCTCAAAACTGGGTATAGAAGGAACATTCCTCAAAACAGTAAAAGCCATGTATGACAGACCCATAGCTGTTATCACACTGAATGAGGAAAAACTGAAAGCCCTTCTTCTAAGATCTGAAACACAGCAAGGATGCCCACTTTCACTACAGTTATTCAACGTAGTATTGGAAGTCCTAGCCGGAGCAGTCAGACAGGAGAAAGAAAGAAAGCATCCAAATTGGAAAGGAAGGAGTCAAATTATCCTTGTTTGTAGATTATATGATCTTATGTTTGGATAAACCTAAAGAATTCATCAAAAAATGATTAGAAGTGATAGATTCAGTAAAGTTGCAGGATACAAAATCAGCATACAAAAATCAGTATCATTTACATATGCCAACACTGAACAATGTGAAAAAGAAATCAAGAAAGTAACAACAGCTAGATTTACAACAGCTAGAAATAAAATACCTGGGAGTTAACCAAAAAAGTGAAAAGTCTCTACAGTGAAAGCTATAAAATGTTGGTTCAAGAAATTGAAGGCAAACACACACACAAAGGAAAGATATTCTGTGTTCATGGATTGGAAGAATCAATATTGTTAAAATGTCCATACTAACCAAAGCAATCTACAGATTCAGTGTATTCCCTATCAAAATACCAATTAAATTCTTCAGAGAAATAGAAAAAACAATCTTGAAATTTATATAGAACCACAAAAGACTTGGAATAAACAAAGCTATCCTATGCAAAAAAAAGAAAATTGGAAGAACCGCATGATGTGATTTCAAATTATACAACGTATTGGCATATAACCAGACACATAGAACAGTGGAACCAAGTAGAGAACCCAGAAATAAATCCATTCATCTACAGTGATCTCATTCTTAACAAAGGACAATCTTGGGGAAAAGGACAGTCTCTTCAATAAATTGTGCTGGGAAAACTAGATATCCATGGATAGAACAATGAAACTGGACCCTATTTCGCCATATACAAAAATAAAATGGATGCAAGACTTAAATCTAAGACTTCAAACTATGAAACAACGAAAAGAAAGCCTTGGGGAAAATGTCCAGGTCATTGAAGTGAGCAAGGATTTCTTGAATAAATACCCCACAAGCACAGGCAACCAAAGCAAAAATGAACAAATGGAATCACATCAAGTTACAAAGCTTCTGCACAGCAAAGGAAACAACAAAGTGAGGAGACATCCCACAGAATGGGAGGAAAATATTTGCAAACTACCCATCTGACAAGGGATTAATAACAAGAATATATAGGGAGCTCAAACAACCTTATAGATAAAAATCCAATATGTTGATTAAAAGATGGGCAAAATATCTGAATAGATATTACTCAAGAGAAAACATGCAAATGGCACATGGGTGTATTTATCATCAGAGGAATGCAAATCAGAAGTACAATGAGCTATCTCACCCCAGTTAAAATGGCATTTATCCAAAAGACAGGCATTAAGAAGTGCTTGCGAAGATGTGGAGAATAGGGAACCCTCATACGGTTAGTGGTAATGTAAATTAGTACAATCACCGTGGAGAGCAGTTTGGAGGTCCCTCGAAAAACTGAAAACGGAGCTGTATGATCCAGCATTCCCACTCCTAAGAATATACAATAAATGAAATCAGTATATTGAAGAGATATCCATATTTATTGCAGCAGTATTCACAATAGCCTCGATTTGGAACAGCTGAAATGTCCATCAACAGACGAATGAGTAAAGAAAATGTGGTACATATACACAATAGAGAACTATTCAGCCATAGAAAAGGATGAGATCTTGTCATTTGCAACAGATGGATGGAAGTGGAGGTCACTATGTAAGCCAGGCACAGAATGAGAAACTTCACATGTTCTCCCTTATTTGTGGGAGCTAAAAATGAAAATAATTGAAACTCGAGTGATGGTTACCAGAGGCCTGGAAGGATAAGTGTGGGGGAAGGGGGCCTGGAGGAGAAGGTAGTGGTGGTTAATAGGTACAGAAAAATAGAAAGAATGAATAAGACCTAGTATTTGCTTGCCTAACAGGGTGATTAGAGTAAAAAGTCATTTTTATTGTACATTTTAAAATAACTAAAAGTATAATTTGATAGTAACACAAAGGATAAATACCTACTGTGTACTCACAAAAATTGAAAAAGTTTCAAAAATGTTTTTTGCTGTTTTATTTGATTAATGAGAAAGTTAACATGGTCAATCTTAAATGTAGAATTGTCTTTATCACTTAGTACAGTGTTTCTGTGTTGTACAGTGTTTCTTACCCTTTAGATAAGTATGTGTATTATCCTTTAGATAAAGATACATGTTTATCTCTCTTAAATATGTGTAAACTTTTATACAGAAACAACCATACACTTAATGTGTGTGGATATAAATGACAGAGGCCTTTCAAAGACTCTTAATTTTCCCAAAATAGCATTTTCATCACAGAACTTTTGCCACCAAACCTCTGATGTCTCCTTATTGCATAGAGAACCAACTACAATTTAACTATACTGTGTGTGTGTGTGTGTGTGTGTGTGTGTGTGTGTGTGTATAATTTGTCACTTCTTCCCAGTGTAAACATTTCACTTAGGTCAGTTTCCACTATAGTCAGTTCCTTAGTCTTATGATTGATTATTCAGTGTTCATTATCTTTTGTTCATGTTATTGTAGGCTTTCTGTTTAAGCACCTTGAGGAAGTTGTTTATCTTTGTGTATTTTTAAAGCAGCTTGTTTCTTACTGTTTCAGTGAATGGTATATTTGGTTATGTTTCCTTTGCTTTGAAAGTACTGAGACAGATACATATTTTTAGTTTTCCAGCAAACTAGAGGGAAGTTAGAACAGATGAACTATTTGTCATGGGTTCTTGCCTCATATCTCTGCTCCTTATTTTTTATTTATTGTTTGTTTGTTTGAGACGGGGTCTCACCATGTTGCCCAGGCTGGAGTATAGTGGCGTGATCTTGGCTCACTGCAACCTCTGCCTCCTAGGCTCAAGCAATCCTCTCACCTCAGCCTTCTGAGTAACTGGACTACAGGCATGCACCACCACGCCCAGCTAATTTTTGTAATTTTTATAGATACGAGGTTTCATCATGTCGTTCAGGCTGGCCTTGAACTCCAGGACTCAAGTAATCCGCCTGCTTTGGCCTCCCAAAGTGCTGAGATTTACAAGCATGAGCCACTGTGCCAGCCTCTGCTCCCCATTTCCTACTCTTATTTATCTTTTTGCCAGATTTTCTAACTTGGCTTTTTGTTTTGTTTTGTTTTTTTAGACTTGTTAAACCTCATATTCTTTCTGGGCCTTTCTATTCTTCTCTGTTTTGAGAGAACTTAGACTAGGTGATCTCTAAACATTTCAGTAGTAAAACAATGCATGTTCTTTAGTGTCCAGTTTCAATATTGCTTCATTTATAAAGTCTTACCTGACCCTGTAGCCTGTATTATGTTGTCTTGCTCCACAAATTATTTCAGTATTTACTTTAAAATGTAGACATAGGTTAACTTGTGTTTTGCTTACATATATTTGTTTTAATTACTTAATACAGTTGCAAGCTCTTTGAAGAATGACACTTCCTTTTTAAAGAATTTAATTACTATTTATTTTTTAATCATTATATTACTATGTAGCAGTCACATCATAGTAATAATTACAATGACAGTAACCTCTGAATACTAACTCTGAGGCAGACATTATTTTAAATGCTTTACTTATTATGTCCATTCTCATAATTGGTAACAGGATGTTGATGAGATAAGATCTCGTTTCATCTCCATTTCACTGATGAGGAAAGACAGATACATAAAGGTTAAGTAAATTTCCTCACCACTAGTGAGTAAACATAGATGGACCTAAGCAGGGATACTTCAAAACCCATGCACTTATCTGTTTTGCTATAATGCATAACTACTGTGTACTTGCTGAATGAATAGAGTGTTTTTAATCTTTAATATATGTTGGGTACAACCTTGGTATTTTTTGTACTTTGAATAAAATATTAAGGGTGTTTCACTTTTTTAAAAATGGGGACAAATAACTATCTTAGTAAACTAAATATTGTGATCAATTTTCCCAATTAAGAGCAAATATTCAAATTGCCTACTTTGAGGTATTTTGAAAAATTCTTTTGCTTTTGAAAGAAAATTTGTGACATGTATAATACTTGGATTTTGATTTGCGGTGTCTTAATTAGTATTTCTTACTCATTTTCAGTTGAGTGGTGATTTTATGCAATGGCTTCAAGCCACAGTTCTTCACCAGTGCCTCAAGGAAGCAGCAGTGATGTTTTCTTTAAAATAGAGGTAGATCCGTCAAAACACATTCGACCTGTGCCATCACTGCCAGATGTGTGTCCCAAGGAACCCACAGGTAATGCTTTTTTTTTTTGTAGGATTTTTACTGATGATTTCTATTATCTTTAAATGAGTAGTCAGGTTTTATATACCAACGTTAGAAGAGTAAATTTTATGATGTTAAAAATCATTTGGGGGGGCCGGGCACGGTGGCTCACGCCTGTAATCCCAGCACTTTGGGAGGCTGAGGTGGGCGGTTCACGAGGTCAGGAGATCGAGATCATCCTGGCTAACATGGTGAAACCCTGTCTCTACTAAAACTACAAAAAATTAGCCGGGTGTGGTGGCAGGCGCCTGTAGTCTCAGCTACTCTGGAGGCTGAGGCAGGAGAATGCTGTGAACTCAGGAGGTGGAGCATGCAGTGAGCTGAGATCGGGCCACTGCACTCCAGCCTGGGTGACAGACAGACTCCATCTCAAAAAAAAAAAAAAAAAATCATTTGGGGCCCGGCGTGGTGGCTCACGCCTGTAATCCCAGCACTTTGGGAGGCCAAGGCAGGCAGATCACTTGAGGTCAGGAGGGAGTTCAACATCAGCCTGGCCAACATGGTGAAACCCCATCTCTACCAAAAATATAAAAAATTAGCTGGGTGTGGTGGCGTGTGCCTGTAATCCCAGCTGCTTGGGAGGCTGAGGCAGGAGAATCACTTGAACCTGGGAGGTGGAGGTTGCAGTGCACTCCAGCCTGGGTGACAGAACGAGACTGTTTCTCAAAAAAAAAAAAAAATCATTTGGAAATGATTGGGAAATTGAAATTTTTTTTTAATGTATTTCATGCATTACTTATATAAACTGAAAAAGTGTTGAAAATGAAGGTACAGATTGAAAGCTGCTTAGTTAAAACATGGTACAGTCAGCCCTCATCATTTGCATATTGTGTATTTGCAAATTCTCCTGACTCCTTAATATTTATTCATAATCCCCAAATCACTACTTGCGGCACATTTGTGGTAATTTGCAGTCATGTGCAGAGCAGTGAAAGATTTGAGATACCTGACACATGCATTCCCAGCTGAAGTTGAACAAGACAAAGCTCTGCCTTTTTGTTTCAGCTCTCATACTATAAACTAATGTTCTTTTTGTGGTCTGTTTTTACTTGGTGCCACATGTTTGGAGCTTTTTGTTGGTGATTTTGCTGTTTAAATTGCCCCTAAGCGCAGTGCTAAAATGCTATCTGGAGTTCCTAAGTGCAAGAAGGCTATGATGTCCCTTATGGAGAAAATACATGTGTTGTGTAAGCTTCATTCAGGCATAAATTATAGTACTGTTAGCCACAAGTTCGGTGTTAGTGAATCAATGATGTATACTGAATAAGGCGTCTTTAAACACACAAAACAAGGTTATGTATTGATCAGTTGATGAAACTATTGTGACCAAAGGCTCGCAGGAACCTAACTCTTTAGTTTCCCTACAAGCAGTGGTTCAATATTTGCTAATTCAATATTCACAATAACTTTATAGAACAAATACACTACTAATAATGAGAATAGAGTAAAATTTTCCTTCTTGTATGGTTAATGCCACAGCAACATTTATGTCACCTAATTATAAGCCAAAGGATATTTTATCTAGGAGATCCTGCCATGATATAATAGAAAAGAGGCCTACCTCTAAAAAACAGTGGGGTATTAAAGGATAGAAAATACATAATAGAAAGCAGCATAGTTCTGATGTTGAAAAAAAAAGATAGAGTAATTGTACATTAAGGAAAGGAGTTCATGAAAGACTTTCTTTACTATTCACTCCACCCTGCAATCGTAGTTCTCAAATTTTGCATATCTTTTATCTCGTGCATATTTTTCAAAGCCTTAGTAATTGATGCTGCCAGCTGAAGGTTATTCAATCAGATTGATTTTTATTAAATCATTTACTGTGGAAGATTAGTTGGTTTGCGTAAGATGGAATCTGTGCATTTTTAGTTTTCTAGTGTGTACTTTCAAACATAGAACCAATTTTACAGCATTTACAGAGTTCTCTTGTTTACTTTTTGCAGGTGATTCACATAGTTTATATGTTGCCCCATCTCTAGTTACAGATCAACATAGATGGACTGTATATCATTCCAAAGTAAATCTCCCAGCAGCATTAAACGATCCTAGATTAGCAAAAAGAGAATCTGACTTCTTCACAAAAACATGGGGATTGGACTTTGTGGACACTGAAGTCATACCTTCATTCTACCTCCCACAGATCAGCAAGGAACATTTTACAGTATATCAACAGGAAATCTCTCAGGTAATATCTAATCTTGGCTAGTTACAGTCAGGTCAAAAGTAATAGAAATATTTTTAGTATGCTTTATTATAGATTTTTGACCAGTAATGTTTGATGAACCTATAGTATTCTTTTCGTTCATACAAATTGTACTGTCCTGGGTTGCATTTAATTCTTTGCTTAAATATATTTTAATACATTTCTCTTACAGTAGTGATTTTTCAGAATTACACATTCCAAATAATGCTAAGATTCAACATGAAACCTACCCTGCTTACCAAGGAGAAAATGATTCTGTTAGGCCTATAAAGTCCAGATGATTTGTGAGGTTTGAGAAATTGGCAGAATATTACTGTTTCTGTGTCTGATTCACTGCATACAATTCTATAGAGCACCCTAGCTCTAGCAGATAGTTATAATATCTCCAGACATAATTATAACTTAATATATTACTTTAAACCCTGTCTGAGAGCAAGAACTGAGTATAGTGCAGAGTTTTAGATGGTCTATCAATTCATCTTCAGATTATTAGTAAGTGGCTGTTATCAATACAATTAAAATCATTAAAGTGGTACAGGGGATATTTATATTTTTATAACCATTCCTTTTTATACTTTTTTCATTAGCAAGCCTAATTTGAATTTAGCTGGTTTTATTTTACTTACTTTGCACTTTTTTGAATATGGCTGTATTAACATTAATACTATATAGCATCTGGTTCATTTTTATTCCTATCAAATATTTTTATACAGAACCTATATATTTTATTTGCCTTTGTGTGTATATATTGCCATATTAACAATCACTTAGATCTGATCATTGAAAACAACACAAAAACTGTTTTCAATGATCAGATCTAAGTGATTAAGTAGATGAACATTAATATGCCTTTGTAACCTATAATTTGGTTTTTCTATTTGTATATTGATCAAATATTTATTGAGTGCCTTCCATGTGTCAGGTAGTCTTCTAAACATGAGGATACAGCAGAGAACAAAACTGACATCCATTCCTTCCCTTACAAAGCTATGTTTTTAGCAAGGGGTTTAACAATAAACCCTAAAGCAACCACTAAAATAGCAAAACAAAGAATTACAGCTAATAATGGAAGACAGAAATGGAATTTTAAAAATTCTCAATCCAAACAAAGCCATAAATAGAAAAAAAAGAATGGATAGGACATAAAATAAATTTCAAGATGATAATCTTAAACCTAATCATATCAGTAATTACACCAAATCTAAATGGTTTAAGCATCCCAATTAAAAGGCAGAGATTGTGAGATCTGATGACCCAAGTATATGCTGTATATAAGAAACATACCTTGAATAGAAAGAAAAAAGCATTTGAAAGGAGGAAAAAATATATACCATGCTTAACAGTAGTCAGAAGAAAGCAGAAATGGCTGTATTAATAACAAAGTAGATTTCAGAGCAAAAACTATTAGTATGTATAAATAATGTTATTTTATAATGATAAAAGGGTCAGCTAACCAAGAAGACATTACAGTTTTAAGCATTTTTGCCCCTAATAGCATGCTTCAAAACATGTGAAGCAGAAGCTGAGAATTTTATGGCAAAGTAGCTATTCATAATTACGGAGATTTCAATACTCTTTCAATAAATAATAGGACAAGCAGAATATCAGCAAGATTATAATAGACTTGAACCATTAACCAACCTGGCCTGACTTGAAAGAGCACTCCATATAACATAGAAGAATATACTTTTTTTTCAAGTGTTCATGAAACATTTATGGACATAGACTATATTCTAGGTTTGAAAACAAATTTTAATACATTTAGAAGACTTTACCTCATACACAGTATGCTCTCTGACCACAGTATAATTAAAATAGAAATTAATAATGGAAAGGTTGGTGGAAAATCCACAGATATTTGGAAACCAGAACTTTATGCTTCTAAATAAAATGTGAGTCAAAGAAGAAAGAAAAATCAGAAAGTAGTTTGAACTGAATGGAAATGAAAACACAACATATCAGGATTTGTGGGGTGATGCTCAGTTAGCACTTAGGGAGAAATTTGTAGCACTGAATGCATATATTATTGAAAGAAGAATGATTTCAAATCAGTGACCTCAGCTTCCACCTGAAGAAGCTGGAAAAATGGCTGGGTGCAGTGGCTCATGCCTGTAATCCCAGCACTTTGGGAGGCCAAGGTGGGTGGATCACCTGAGGTCAGGAGTTCAAGACCAGCCTGGCCAGCATGGTGAAACCCTGTCTCTATAAAAATACAAAAAAATTAGCCAGGCATGATGGCAGGTGCCTGTAATCCCAGCTACTCAGGAGGCTGAAGTGGGAGAATAGCTTGAAACTGGGTGGTTGAGGTTGCAGTGAGCCGAGATCGCACCATTGCACTCTAGCCTGGGTGACAGAGCGAGACTCCGTCTCCAAAAAAAAAAAAAAACAAACAGAAAAAAGAAAGAATAAACATCAAAGTCAAAATTAGAGAAACAACAGAGAAAATTAGTGAAACAAAAAGCTGATTCTTTGAGAAGATAAACTCGATAAGCCTTTGGCATACTGATTAGGAAAAAAAGAGAAGATAAAAGTCACCAATAACAAGAATAAGAAAGGTGATATCACTACAGATTCTACAGAGATTAAAAGCCTAATAATGAAATTTTATGAATAACTTTGTGCCAGTAAATTCAACAACTTAGATGAATTTACAGATTTCTTGAATGACACAAAATACCAAATCTCTTTCGAGAAAAAATAGATAATCTGGCTGGGCATGGTGGCTCACGCTTGTAATCCCCACACTTTGGGAGGCCATGGTGGGCAGATCACCTGAGGTCAAGAGTTCGAGACCAGCCTGGCCAACATGGTGAAACTCCGTCTCTACTAAAAATACAAAAATTAGCCGGGTGTGGTGGTGCGCGCCTGTAGTCCCAGCTACTCAGGAGGCTGAGGCAGAAGGATCCCATGAACCTGGGAGGTGGAGGTTTCAGTGAGCTGAGATCATGCCATTCCACTCCAGCCTGGGTGACAGCAAGACTCCATCTCAAAAAACAAAACAAAAAGAAATAGAAAAATCTGAAATAGCTTTATATTTATTACACTGATGTATAGTTAAATACCTTTCCACAAAGAAAGCTCAGATCCACATGGCTTCACTGGTGAATTCTACCAAACATTTACAGAAAAAGTAATTCCAAATCTACACACATTCTTTCAAATTTTGGTAAAGATGTAGAAGACAGGTCTGGTTCTAGGATAAGGTGAGGCAGGTGAGCAAAATTTGAGAGGCACTGAAATCTGAGAGTGGGTACCTCCTTAAATATTGTACCGTATGCTTCTTGCTTGCTTCATCCTACTGCCAGCCTTCATGGAGTAACTGGAACTCTCATATACCGCTGGTGGGAATTTAAAGTGCTACAACCCCTTTGGAAAAAAGTTTGGCAGTTTCTTAAAAAGCTAAACATACTTCTGATCTGTCATGTAAGGAGCTTGGAAGTTGTCACTTCCGTTCTCACAACAAAAAACCTTAGCAAACTGAAAATCAACAACTGAGAAGCACCTGTGAAGGTCGCAGCCCAGGGGCACAGGCTCACTAAGACTGAAACCTAATCATAAGATCATAGAATGCTTCCCCTCCCTTCACGCATTACCACCACATCAGTGGGGTGCTTGAATAATGAGAATACAACGGAAAGGACTACATGTCTCAGACCTTATTTAAGAGGTCTGCAGGGAAACCTGAAGATAGTAGGAGAGGTGAAAAACAAGGACACAAGTGGAAATTTTAGCCTCTGACACCTGCAGCTATAGCAATCAGTAAATAAAGCCTAACTCTTAGCCAGATAAACAAAACTTCATACTAAAGGCCTATTTACCTCAGTTCTTTTTAACTTTGGTATATCATATCTGGCTTTCAGCAAAACATTACAGTGCATACCAGACAGAAAACACTGTTTAAACAGACAGATCAAGTATCAGAATCAGACTCAGATGCGGTTGTGATGTTGGAATGATCAAACTGGGAACTCAAAGTAACTATGTTTAATATACTAAGGGCTGTAGTGGAAAACATGGACAACATGCAAGAACAGATGTAAGCAGAGAGATGGAAACTAAGAATCAAAAGGAAATGCTACAAATCAAAGATAGTATAACAGAAATGAAGAATGCTTTTGATGAGTTCATTAATAGACTTGAAGTGGCAGGGGAAGAAATCAGTGAGCTTAAAGAAATGCTGATACAAACTTATAAAAATGTGTGGGATGCAAGGGAAGTAAGGCTTCAAGGAAGTCTTGCTTAAATAAGCACTGAAGGCTTCATTTAATGCTTAAGAAGAAAATTTAAAATTAATAATCCAAGCTTCTACCTTAGGAAGTTATCAAAAGAAGAGCAAATTTAATCCAAATTAAGCAGAAGAAAAGCAGTAATAAAAATTAGAGCAGAAATCAGGGAAATTGACAATAGCAAATCAGTAGAGAAAATCAACAAAAGCAAAAGCTGGTTCTTTGTGATCAATAAAACTGATAAACATTTAGCTAGATTAAGAAAAAAGAGAAGGCTGGGCATGGTGGCTCATGCCTGTAATCCCAGCACTTTGGGAGGCTGAGGTAGGTGGATCACCTGAGGCCAGGAGTTCGAGACCAGCCTGGCCAACATGATGAAACCCCATCTCTACTAAAAGTACAAAAATTAGCTGGGTATGGTGGTAGGCACCTGTCATCCCAGCTACTTGGGAGGCTGAGGCAAGAGAATCACGTGAACCTGGGAGGCGGAGGTTGCAGTGAGCTGAGATCGTGCCATTGCACTCCAGCCTGGGTGACAGAGCAAGACTCTGTCTCAAAAAAAAAAAAAAAAAAAAAGAGAAGATATAAGCTACTAGTATCAAAAATGAAAGAGGGGCTGTTTCTACTGATCCTGCAGACATTAAAAGGATAATAAGAGAATATTGTGAACAGTTCTATGCCCAGAAATTTGATAGCCTAGGTGAAATGGACCAATTTATTTTGAAAGACACAATTTACCAAAGCTTACACAACAAGAAATAAATATTCTGAATAGGCCTATATTTATTAAAGAAATTGAATCAATCATACTGCTCAAAGCAGAAATCACCAGGCCCAGATGGGTTCCTTGGTGAATTCTACCAAACATTTCAGTAGGAAATTATACCAATTATTTATAATCTATTTCAGGAAATAGAAGCTAAGGACATACTTACTAATGCATTTGGTGAGGCTGTCATGAAGCTAATACTAAAATCAGACAAAAGCATTATAAGGAAAGAAAACTTTAGACCTCTTGTGTGTTTTTTTGTTTTTTGTTTTTTTTTTTTTTGAGACAAGGTCACGCTCTGTTGCCCAGGCTGGAGTGCGGTGGCAGGATCACAGCTCACTGCAGCCTCAACCTCCCGGCTCGAGCAATCCTCCCATCTCAGCAACCCCCAAGTAGCTGGGACTGCAGGCGAGCACCACCACAACACCACGCCTGGCTAATTTTTGCATATTTTGTAGTGACGGGGTTTTGCCATGTTGTCCAGGCTGGTCTCAAACTCCTCAATTCAAGCAGTCTGCCCGTGTTGGCTATTCATTATTTTTAAAAAAAGAACTCTTAGCAAACTAGGAACAGGAAGAAATTTCCTTAACTTGATAAAGAATGTACCGGGCGTGTCGGCTCACGCCTGTAATCCCAGCACTTCGGCAGGATGCTTGAGGCCAGGACTTGAGACCAGCCTGGCCAACGTGGTGAAACTCATCTCTACTAAAAACACAAAATTTAGCTGGGCATGGTGGCGCATGCCTGTAATCCCAGCTATGTAATTGCCAATGGGTTCACCTTGCCTGCTGCTGGCTAGGCAGCTGATTTATTGAGACAGGGGAATTTCAATAGAGAATGAATAATCCACACAGAGCTGGCTGTGTGGGAGACTAGAGTTTTGTTATTACTCAAATCAGTCTCCCCGAGCATTCGAGGATCAGAGTTTTTAAGGACAACTTGGTGGGTAAGGGGAATCCAGTGAGCCGGCAGTGCTGATTGGTCAGGTCAGCGATGATATCATAGGGAGAAGCCATCTCCATGTGCTGAGTCAGTTCCTGGGTGGGGCCAACAAGATCAAATGAGGCAGTTTATTGATCTGGGTGGTACCAGCTGATCCGTCGAGTACAGGGTCTGCAAAATATCTCAAGCATGGATCTTAGGAGCAGTTTAGGGGGAGGGTCAGAATCTTGTAGTCTCCAGTTGCATGACTCGACTCCTAAACCGTAATTTCTAATCTTGTGGCTAATTTGTTAGTCCAACAAAGGTAGTCTAGCCCCCAGGCAAGAAGGTGGTTTGTTTTGGGAAAGGACTGTTATCATCTTTGTTTTAAACTATAAGCTAAGTTCCTCCCAAAGTTAGTTCACCCTATGCCCAAGAATGGACAAGAACAGCTTGGAGGTTAGAAGCAAGATGGAGTTGGTTAGGTCAGATCTCTTTCACTGTCTCAGTTATAATTTTGCAATGGGGATTTCAGCTACTTGGGAGGCTGAGGCATGAGAATCACTTGGACCCAGGAGGTGGAGGTTGCAGTGAACCAAGATCACGCCACTGCACTACAGATTGGGTGACAGAGTGAGACTCTGTCTCAAAAAAGAAAAAAAAAATCTACAAAAACTCTGTAGCTAATGGGGAAACTAGATGCTTCCCACTAAGAACAGGATCAAGGTAAGGATGTCCCCTGTCACTGTTTCTTTTAACATTGTCTTGGAAGTCCTAACTAATGTAATAAGAAAAGGAAATAAAATATATAAAAATTAGGAAGAAGTAAAACTGTTTCCAGATGAAATGATCGTCTATGTGGAAAATCCCAAAGAATCCAAAAAGAAACTCCTGGAACTAATAAGTGACTATAGTAAGCTTGCAAGATACAAGGTTAATATATAAAAGTTAATTACTTTCTTATATACCAGCAATGAACAATTGGAATTTGAAATTAAAAACCCAATGCCATTTACATTAGCATCAAAGAAAATGAAGGCTTTATGTATAAATCTAAATAGATATAAGATCTATCTGAGGAAAACCACAAGACTGATGAAAGAAATTAAATATCTAAATAAATGGAGAGATATTTCATATATGTGGATAGGAAGGCTCAATATTGTCAAGGTGTCTCTTTTTCCCAACTTGATCAATAGAGTCAACATAATCCTGATTAAAATCCTAGCAGTTGGTTTCTTGGATATTGAAAACTGACTCTAAAGCTTATATAGAAAAAGACCCAGAATAGCTAACACAGTATTAAAAGAGGAACAAAGCTGGAGGACTGATACCACTCAGTTTGAAGTTTTGCTATAAAGCTACAGTAATCAAGACAATGTCATATTGGTGAAAGAACAGACATATGGGTCAGTGGAACAGAGAACCCAGAAATAGACCCACACAAATACAATCAACTGATTTTTAACAAAGGGGCAAAGGTAATTCAGTAGAGAAAGGATAGTTGTTTGAACAAATGGTACTGAAACAACTATACATCCACATACCAAAGAGAAAGAATATAGACATACCACCTTGCACTATTCATGGAAATTAGCTCAAAGTTGATGATAGACCTTAATGTAAAATGCAAAACTATAAAACTTCTAGATGATAACATAGGAGAAAATCTAGGTAACCTTGGGTTTGGTAATGGCTTTTTAGATATGAAAGAAAAGCACAATCCATGAAAGAAAAAATTGAAAAGTTGAACTTCATTAAAATTAAAAAGTTCTACTCTGTGAAAGACACCTTTAAGAGAATGAAAAAACAAGCCAAAGACTGGGAGAAAATACTTAGAAAACACATATCTGATACAGGATTGGTGGTCAGGTGTGGTGGCTTACACCTTGTAATCCCAGCACTTTGGGAGGTGGAGGTGGAAGAATCACTTGAGACCAAGAGTTCAGGACCAGCCTGGGCAACATAGTGAGAACCCATCTGTACAAGAAAAAATTAGAAAAATTAGTCAGGCATGGTGGTGTGGACCTGTAGTCCTAGCTGCTCTGGAGGCTGAGGCAGAAAGATTGCTTGAGCCCTGAAATTTGAAGTTACAGCCAGCAACTTCAGCCTGGGCAACAGAACTAGACCCAGTCTCAAAAAACAAAAAGGGACTGGTACCAAAAATAAACAAAGGAGTTAAAACTCAACAACAACAAAACAAACAGCCAAATTAAAAAATGAGTAAAGGACTTTGAATAGACCTTTTCCCAAAAAAAGATATAGAAGTGTGCAATTAGCACATGGAAAGATGGTCAACATAGCAAATAATTTTACGTGATAAATTTTATGTTATATGTATTTTTCCTTAAAAAATATGAGCAAAAGATCTAAATACCTCACCAAAGAAGATAATGCAGATGGCAAATAAGCATATAAAAAGATGCTAAATATCAAATGTCATTAGGGAATTCATAATTAAAATGAGATGCCACTACATATCTATTAGAATAGCAAAAATCTAAAACACTGACAACACCAAATGTTGACAAGGATGTAGAACAACAGGAACTCTTATTTATTGCTGGTGGGAATGAAAAGTGGTATGGCCACTTTGGAAAACAGTCCTGTAGTAACTGATAGAATTGCTACCAGAACTCTGAACACTGCTGGCCTGCTGCTTTTCTTGTTACCACACTTCACTTTCTCAGGTATCCTTTCGGTGATATCTCTGAAAAGATAATGACATTGTTAGTGGTCATCTAATTCTAAATCAGAGTGAGATTTTTTTTTTTTTTACTCAGAACGTGTCAATAACTAATTTCTATCTTTCTTTCCTTTTTTTCTTTTTTTTTGTGATAGAGTCTCACTCTGCCACCCAGGCTGGAGTGCAATGGCATGATCTCGGTTCACTGCAGCCTCTGCCTCCTGGGTTTAAGTGATTCTTGTGCCTCAGCCTCCCCAATAGCTGGGATTTCAGGTGTGCGCCACTACTCCTGGCTAATTTTTGGTAGAGACGAGGTTTCACCATGTTGGCCAGGCTAGTATTGAACTCTTGACTTCAGGTGATCGGCCCGCCTTGGCCTCTGAAAGTGCTGAGATTACAGGTGTGAGCTACCGCACCTGGCCTAATTTGTTTCTATCTTAGATATATAGGTTTTTGAATTTTCTTTCTTGATTCAAATTATTCTCCTAATTCATACATAAATATTTTCCATTTGCTTTCTCACTTTATTCTACATATGGAGATTTTACTATAATTATATGAGATGGAATGGATGTAGGTATATAGATGTGCATAGATCTCATAGAGGTATTTGGTTTATTAACCGCTTGTTACTTGTATTTAAGTTCAGGAGGCTAGTGATTTCATATTAAAAGTCGTAGGACTAATTTGGCATATTCTGATATTCTGTTGCAAAACACTTTCATGCTTTGAATACTCATGTTTACACATACATTGATGATGTTATTTGTCTTTTTATTAGAGAGAGAAGATTCATGAGAGATGCAAGAATATTTGTCCTCCTAAAGATACCTTCGAAAGGACTCTTTTACATACTCATGGTATGAATATGTGTTATTTATAGATAATAAAGCATAGCATAAATATTAGTGAACAAAATCTTTATTTTGGGACCTTATTGCCTGTTATATCTATAATTTTTATTTCTAGTAAAATTTTTATAACCTATGATTATAATATTTTCTAAGAACTTCTAAGAGAAAAAGTAGATCTGATAGTAGTATAATCCTTTAGTTCAACAAATATTGATTGGATATCTTCGTGGTTGGTATGTTCCTTGTTGCTTAAAAATAGATGAGTAAGCTAGACATGATGGCACATGTGTGTAGTCCCAACTACTTGGGAGGCTGAGGTGGGAGGATTGCTTGAGCCTATGAGTTTGAGAACAGTAACGTAGTGATACCCTAAAGTAAATCTATAGATAAGTAAAAAGTAGCTTTGGTCCTCAAAGAACTGATGTTGTCCTGAATAAGTTTAAAGAAAGAAACCAATAATTGTATCACTGTATATTAAAGAGTAAGTTCAGTGTGGTAATGTTTTATAACATGCGTAACTTAGCTTTAGAAGCATTCCTAGAGTTGACAGTGATTACATGTGTTTTAAAGTCGTTAGTTTGAAACATTTATGTGGGAGAAGACATTCCAAGAAAAGGGAATAGTTTATACAAAGCCATAGAATAAAGAGAGAACAGAATATTCAAGGAACTGTAAGAGTTTAATATATTGGTTCTACTGGGAGCAAGAGATGAGACTGAAGCATAGGCAGTGGTCAGATCATGAAGAACCTTATATGCTGTGGTAAGGAATTTTACCTTTTCTGAAGACACTATAAAGCTACATAATATTTTTAACTAGGCATGATCAGATTTATGATTATACATTTATGTGAAAATAGTTGTGGATAGTGAATTATGGGATGATGATTAGACTAGAGGCAAGGAGACAGTTGGAGGCTACTGCAGTAATACAAATGAGAAATGATATTCCAGTAACAGTTACAGTGGAGATGGAGAGGGAATTAGGCCTTTGAGAAGTAACTCAGAGATTGAGACACAGGTTTTGGTGGCCAGTTATTGGTAATGGAGCAAAATGATTCAAGGACAATTCCCAGGTTTCTTGCTTGGACAACTGGGTGGGTGACAGTGCAATTCAGTGAGAGAGGCAATATAGGAGGAGGAATTTTGAGGGAGATGGAGGCAAGTTTAGTTGCAGATTTGCAGTGAAGAACATGCCTTTTTGGCAACCTGGAGCTCAGGTTGAAGATTTAGGCTGAAGATGTAGGTATGGTAGACATCATCATAGACAGGTATGCTGGACAATAGCATGGTAGTTGAATCCAAGGACGTTGGGTGAGATTGCCCAGGGAAGATGTGAACAGTGAGAAGAAAACGACTGGTGATGGAGCACTAATTAAGCTGTCTCATTTAAGGGGCAGACAGAAGATGAGATACCTGTGAAGGAGACAAAAAGTGGTCAGAGAGATAGGAAAGTCAACCAAGAGAGAATTGCACCTTAAAAGTTAAAGCTAGTGAGGATTTCAGAAAGTAAGAACAGTTAGTTGGTCTGTAATGTCAGAATAGTTCGGGATAGATCAATTTGTACACTGAGAAGTCTCCTTTATTTTGGCAATCAGGAGATCTTAGAGCATTTATGGCAGTTCCAGAAACCTCAATACTATATATTAAGGAGTGAGTACAAGAGAAAGAAATGTAGACTACCAGTATTATGTCACTAGAAGATTTGAGATAGATTATTGACTACAGGGAACAGAGTGGAAGAATATTTTTTCATGGCCAGGACTAGATCGGGTAAGAGGCATTTGACTATCCCTGAGAGTGAGTGCTTTTGCATCTGAGGTCCTGCCCTTCCCTCAACCTGGTCCTGGCCTGGGTTTTATCTATATCTATATATATCTATATATATCTATATATATCTATATATATCTATATATATCTATATATATATTAGAATGTGTGTGTGTGTGTGTGTGTGTGTATATATATATTTTTTTTTAATGGGAAAGAACTGAGCATGTTTATATACAAAGATAAGAGAGCTAGTACAAGGGAAGAGGCTGAAGATACTGAGATGGAGTAAACTGATTAACCAAGCTCACAGCAGAGGCAGGAGGGAATGGAGTCTAAGTGCAGAAAGATTGGTTTTGAAGAGGAGAGTAGTACCTTATCTGAGTTGGGATTGGCAGGATGAAAGTAAAGTAGGTTCATTTGAAGATAAGTGTGTATCTCAGCCTTAAGATGTCTGAGAAGAAAATTAATGTAGTATAAAAAAGCAACCTTTGATCATAAGAAATTCTGGATGGGATGATAGATCTTTTAAACAATAAAAACAATATTCCTACTTTAGAATTTAATTCATTTTTTAAAATTACATAGCATGCCATATTCAGTCTTACCAAAACTTGAAAAGATAGCACAGCAGTCCTCAATCTTTTTGGCACCAGGGACTGGTTTCATGGAAAACAATTTTTCCATAGACCAAGGGGTTTGCGGGGAGATAGTTTTGGGATGAACCTTTATTATGCACTTTATTTCTACTGTTATTACATTGTAAAATATAATGAAATAATTATACAATTCATCATAATGGAGAGTCAGTGGGAGCCCTGAGCTTATTTTCCGGGAACTAGATGGTCCCATCTGGGGGAGATGGGAGACAGTGACAGATCATCAGGCATTAGATTCTTATAAGGAGGGCACAACCTAGATCTCTGACATGTGCAGTTCACATTAGGGTTTGTGCTCCTATGAGAACCTAGTGCCACCACTGATCTGACAGAAGGTGGAGCTCAGACGGTAATGTGATTGATGGGGACTGGCTGTAAATACAGATGAAGCTTTGCTTGTGCCCACTGCTCACCTCCTGCTGTGCAACCTGGTTCCTAACAGGCCATGGCCCAGGGGTTGGGGACCACTGAGATAGCATAAAGCCTTTTATGTCTGATTAAAAAGATTTGAGATGTATTTTGCTGTTTTATTGCTGCTATATAATTGATTACAATTACCTGAAACATTGTTTTGTTCAGCGCTTTGCCTACTACTAGGCATGTAATAGGTGCTTGATAGATAATTTGTTGAAGGAATAAACTTTAGTTATTTGGATGTGACCCAGTACAATACTGAATCTGTCAAAATGTATTTTACGGAGTTAAAATGAAAACAAGTTTTAAAAATAATATTTCCCTTCTTTTTTAAATAGATAAATCCAGGACAGATCTGGAGCAAGTACCTAAGGTAACAAAGCTTAAACATGAGAAAATTGCCTTATAATATTTGATCTTTAATTTTGCCTTACAAGCAGATTTCATTTGGCTTTTTTTTTTTTTTGACCCTTTGGCTACTTTGTCTCTTGTGGGGCTGTGTTGCATCACTTTTCTTCTTTCTTTCTCACTTTTCTTTTTTTCTTTCCTTCCTTCTGTCTTTTCTGTCTTTCTTTCTTTTTCTTTCTGCTTTTCTGTTCTTTCTCTTAACTTAGACAGAATCTTGCCCCGTCTCGCAGGCTGGAGTGTAGTGGTGCAATCTCAGTTCACTGTAACCTCCGTCTCCTGGGTTCCAGTGATTCTCCTGCCTCAGCATCCTGAGTAGCTGGGATTACAGGCGCATGCCACCATGCCCAGCTACTTTTTTTGTTTTGTATTTTTAGTAGAGATGGGGTTTCACCGTGTTGGCCGGGCTGGTCTTGAACTCTTGATTTCAAGTGATCCGTCCACCTCAGCCTCCCAATGTGCTGGGATTACAGGTGTGAGCCACCATGCCTGGCCTTTTTCTTTTTTTTTTTTTAAACGAAAAAATGTTTTTAATTGACAAATAAAAATGATGTATATTTATGGTGTTTTTTCTCTTTTGCATCATCAGTCTCTTTCTCATCACTGAAACCTACAAATATTTTAAAATCTTTCCATTAAAAAAATTTTGCTGATCATTCAACCTCTTCAAATTATTAAGAGATACTTACTTTGTATGAAAAATTTTGTCGAGATGTATAATCCATTTTTTTCTGGGAAGAGAGTCAGTTACCTTCATCAGATTCTCAAATAGGTCTGTGACAGTTGTTCTTTAGGGTAAGAAAGAGATGAAAGACACAAAAAAGGTAGAAGGATATCATTTATATCATTTATTTGATCCTACAAAATAAAACTCAAAGTTTGTCATTTAAGGCTCAATGTTCACTTCATGTAATCTTTACACATTCTTTACTTCAGCCAAACTTTTTTTTGATGGCTCTGTGCTTTACTTACACTGTTTCTTGATCCTGGAAGACTTTTCCCTCATCTTCCCATATCTAATTCTCTGTAATCTTTTGCTTAAAATGGCAGCTTTACATGGGTACTTTCTTGTTCTTTCCAACAGAAGATAATTGGCCCTTTTGCCAAATTCCCATAACATTTTATCTGGGACTCTTCCCTCATCCCTCTGCTACCCCTTTAAGGATTTGTCCCTCTTCTCCTTATAAGATTTTTTTTTTTTTTTTTGAGGCAGAGTCTCTCTCTGTCGCCCAGGCTGGAGTGCAGTGGCACAATCTTGGCTCACTGCAACCTCCGCCTCCCAGGTTCAAGCAATTCTGTTACCTCAGCCTCCTGAGTAGCTGGGATTACAGGCGCCTGCTACCAGGCCTGGCTAATTTTAGTATTTTTAGAAGAGACGGGGTTTTGCCACGTTGGCCAGGCTAGGCTGGTCTCAAACTTCTGACTTCAAGTGATCCGCCCACCTGGCCTCCGAAAGTGCTGGGATTACAAGCATGAACCACTGGGCCCAGTCTCCTTATAATATTTTATCACATCCCTTGGATTGAAGCTTCATGAGATTGGGGTCTCTTTAATAAATTATCTTTGTTTCTCCCTCAGTGCCTAGCATCAGAAGTAGTCAGTAAATATTTATTGAATTAATCAATACTTTTAGTTATAATACCAAAGCAGGGATTAGAAAATTTACTCATGTCTCTAGTTAGATTTTTTTCCTACCATATTCATTCTAATTTTTGTATATAGGTAAAATAAATCAGTAAATAAAATATAGCATATAAATAAATACATAAATTGATTAAACCATGTTTTAGGCCCTATGCTAGGTGTTAGAGGTACAAAAATAAGCTATAAATTTAACCCTGCAAGAACATATGGTCTCCAGAGGGAGATATGCATACTAAATAAATAATTTCTATAAAGTATGAGGTAAATAATTAAGTATGCATGATATATTTGTGTTCAGAGATGGGAGTCATTATGTCATGCACAACGACACATTTGCCCTTTTGATTGGGTCATGTTCTTCAGGAAGATGTACAAGAAAAGGCGTTCTAGGCCAGAAGTATGTATGTAAAGATATGCATACTTTATGTATTAATACACTCATTGTAAAAAGAATAAGAGTATGGAAGAGAATTGAATATTGCTAGAGTGTAATGGGTAAATAGTGGGAGTGACAAGATACAAAGAGGTAAGTGGGTCCAGAAAAACAATGAAGGGTTTTGGATGCCATTCTAAATAGTTTGGTCTGTGGGTCATGGGAATCTATTGAGAGTTTTAAACAGGGAAGTTAATACAGTTATACTTGACATTGTAGAGGAGTATCTCTAACAGTAGTATAGGGGATAGATTAGGGAAGGATATCAGTAAATAGCTATTGAAGAGCTGAACTACTGAATGCTGTGGAGATACAGGAAAGCAGAGATTCAAGGTATATTTACAAAATATAACGGGTAGGCCTTATTGCTTAGCTGGTCGTGATATGTAAGGGAAGAGTAGTCTATTCATAAAATTGAATTTGTTTTGGTTTTAATATTTATTGTATGCTTAATCTAAACTAATTTTAAAACAATTTTGAGCAGGAGAAAATAGAAATATAGGTTAGAGAAATTGATATTTGGCATTTTAAAAAACTATCAGTGGGAAATAATGTGGAAATTTTAGGATGAGTATTATATCTGCCTCTGGTATGTACCTGTAGGACTGCATGAGTGAGTATGATCATGTAGTAATAGAATGACCATCTCCATTGGTAAAGGCAAAAAACATTTTGTATCTTTTATGAGTATTTTAAGCTTGGTGAGAAATTTACACATTTTTCTTATAGATATTTGTGTAAAGAACTCAACTGTTATCACTTGCTTTTGCTATTCATACTCAAGATCCACGTTAATTTTGTTTAATGATCATGATGTTAGAAGAGATAATGGGTATAAAGAAAATACTTATCTAATTGAGGGAAATGCATTTTTTTAATAGATTTTTATGAAACCAGATTTTGCCTTGGATGATTCCTTAACTTTTAATTCAGTTTTACCATGGTCTCATTTTAATACTGCTGGTGGAAAAGGAAATCGTGATGCAGCTTCCTCAAAGTTGCTTCAAGAAAAGGTAATTTCTTTTTGACTTTTTCCATGTAGGAAACTATTCTAGTTAAGCGGTACTGTTTGCTTGGGTTCAGATTTAGTTATTTAGTAAGCTGTACTTTTAAATTCATTTTTGTTCTTACTGATAACTATAAGCCTCCCAATCTTAACTGATAAACTAACAGCATTTTGGTTCAATGGAACACAAGTTGTGCAGATGAACAAGGAAAAACTTACTATTTGAGTGCTTCTTACCTGAAAGAGCAGTTGATGGAATTTTAATTGAAAGGCTATATTAGCTAACACAATAAATTGCTTTGCATTTGTCCCAGATATTTTATTTACATACTGGCTAATTTTATTTATTTTTATTTTTATTTTTTTGAGACGGAGTCTCGCTCTGTTGCCCAGGCTGGAGTGCAGTGGCACGATCTCCACTCACTGCAACCTCCACCTCCTGGGTTCAAGCAATTCTCCTTCCTCATCCTCCCAAGTAGCTGGGACTACAGGTGCGTGCCACCATGCTTGGCTAATTTTTTGTATTTTTGGTAGAGATGGGGTTTCACCATGTTGGCCAGGCTGGTCTCGAACTCCTGACCTCATGATCCGCCCACCTTGGCCTCCCAAAGTGCTGAGATTACGGATGTGAGCCACCATGCCCAGCCCCACATTGGCTAATTTTATAAGAATGATTTAAAGCACAGAAAACCAATATTTTCCGAGGTACTGTTTTTCATTTTCACCTAGGGATGATTATTTTGAAACAAAAATATCTTAAAGAATACAATATTCCTATTGTTTTTGTAGCTTTGCAAAGCCTAGTCTTTTACATGTTACTAGTCAGCAGTTCTTTACGTTTTACAATGTCATAGTCCAGAAGTCAGCACCTTGAAAGTCATTTAATATTTAGATCTTTAAATATAATTTACTTATCAAGAGTCTTCTAAAGACATTTGATCTCTGTTCTTTCTTAGCATTCAGTTTAGAGCTCGTCTAAAACTGAAGGTAGTTCTTAAAATGAGAAGTAGTGATTTTGTTTTACTTTAGTGATATCCCCTGGCAATCTGAAAGCTTGTCTCAGGAAGACATCAATAATATCAGGTTCAGTCCTCATCAGGAACTGAAGAAAAGACTAGCTTGGGGAGGAGAGAAGAAGAAATGTGGGGAAGGAATCATGAGTATTCCTTTTCTCACAATTGAAAACGAAAATGAGCTTTTTCCTTTGGCAACATTGTCACCTATAAAAAGGTTTTTCCATGCATAAGAACAAATTGATAAATCTGACGAAAACCATGGGTTTAGAGACACAGGCTTGCTCATGACACAGGCTTTCATATTCTAAGTATATGCCCTGAGAGAATAATACCTTAAAAAGAGAAAAACAGCAAAAGCCAGTAAAAGTCTCATCAATGTATACAGGTACTTTTAATACAGATAATTTAAAAATTATTTCCTTTATAGCATTTTAATAGGAAGTAAACTATAAAAATGTTATGCCTTGAAAAGAGTAAATCAATGGATTATTGAAAATTCAAAAAATCTTTGAGACTCAAATGCTTTTCTTATGCTGAATGTTTAAAGTGACTAAAATAATGGAAATTTTTTTTATTTGTAAATTGCAGAATCAGATTTGCTATATTTACATTCTGACTCCTTTTCGTTCTGCTCTGTTCTTAGAATAGGAATAGAAGACAGGATTCCAAGAGAGCACTTTGAAACTCCTTTTATGATGGACAACAGCTGGTTTATCATGTTCGCTTTTAAGAGCAAGGATGCTATAACTAGAATTAAAGAAATTTGTATTCTATTGTACTGTGCAAAGTGCTGGTCTGCAGTAAAATAAGGAGTTTGCACTGGAATGCAAATCACTGCACTGCTTACTTCATTAAGAAAGTCTGAAAAAAATACAGTGTGCTTAATGATGTAGTTGATTTACTTTCTAGCAAAATTCTTTATTTTATTATGGCCCTGTTAAACAGTCCACAGATTGGCAGCAGCATATAAATCACATTCTGGGTAGCACTGTCCTAAAGTTATCTATTCTCCATTTACTATTCTGGGAATTGAGTCCATGTTACCTTGCAATTTACCCTAGTATATTTGTGCCCATTTTGCTTTTTTAGTGAATAAATGAACAGCCATATTGAAGATGAAAGAGCAAAAGGGCATAAACTCAAGATTTAAACTGTGGAAAAATTTCTTGTTTGTAACCTATTTAGATATTGTAAGATTATTGAAGGAGCATTATTGAAGATATGAATGATACTCTGTGTTTCCTTAGGGAAACAGATTTGATGACCAAATAGTCTCTTCTAATCTTATGAGACCTAAATGTTGAAAGTTCATTAACCCTTTGAAACTATGAATTATCCCAAGACATTCAGAGATAATGCCCGAAGTCTGAGCTGTGGGTTAAAAAATCTCAAAGTAAAAAAATGGGTGAATAATGGAAAGATAATATAGCCAAAAAAGGCATATGCAGTTAGAAAGGAAGAAAAGGCAAAACAAGTTTTAGAAGTCCATATTTGAAATTTAGAAAGCATTTTAAATATATATTACCATAAGAATTAATCTTGGTAATGCTACTAAAAAAATATATATGAGCTAATTGTTTAAGGTATTTGTCGAACTTTTAAGAGGAAAATTCATTGGAAATAAACTGAATTTTACAAATTGATAAAAGAATCACTTTTGAAATGTAAAATAAGCAGCCTGAAAAAAATCCAAATGAATTTTAGTACCTTATCTATAATTTGTGACTGAACCATCAGTCTATCTTGGATTATTCAGCATTTTGAGGCAGAATGGTATAATAGAAACAGCTTCAGTTTTTCAGTCAGAGATATACCAACATTTTAGTTTTGCTACTTAGTAACTACATGACTGTGTTTCCTCATCTGTAAAATGATAATAATACTACCTATATTTCAAGATTGTTAAAATTAGAAAAATTAGATGTGTATAAAATACCTGTGCCTAATCCATAGGAGGAGGTCAATAAATGGAAGGTGTAATCATCTATTTAGTCAGATAAATGATGTGCAATGATATTGGGGGCTAAGGAGATCATTCTCTTTCTCTCAGATCTTAGAACATCTGAAACTGGAATTGTAATTTGAGATGTCTGTGGGGTACTCTTTTAGAAAGCAGTTGGTGTTTGGAAGGTGATAATGACAGGAACAGAGGAGGAAAGTAAATGACCTTGTACTCTTTTGTCTTACATTTATATCTTTGGGGTGTACCCTTTATCTTCCTTCCATTTTGTTGTGCCCAATTTCAAGGATCTCACAATCAAACAATTCACACAATGGAATTTAAAGTATATGTAGAAATCTTTTATCATTGTCATAAAGTATTTGGATAATCAAGGAAGGTATGCTCATAGTACTTCATATTTTTTTTCCTTCTCTTTTAAGCTGAGCCATTATCTGGATATTGTGGAAGTAAACATTGCTCACCAGATCTCTCTACGTTCAGAAGCATTTTTTCATGCAATGACCTCTCAACACGAGTTGCAGGACTACCTCAGGAAAACTTCCCAGGCTGTAAAAATGCTTCGAGATAAAATTGCACAGATTGATAAAGTAATGTGTGAAGGATCACTCCACATTTTAAGACTGGCACTTACCAGAAATAATTGTGTTAAAGTATACAATAAGCTGAAGTTAATGGCCACTGTACACCAGACTCAGCCTACAGTACAGGTGTTATTATCTACTTCTGAATTTGTTGGAGCATTGGACTTAATAGCAACAACACAAGAGGTTCTACAGCAGGAACTTCAGGGCATTCACAGTTTCCGGTATGTTCATTAAGTAAGCCACTAGAAATAATGTTAGAAATTTTTAAAGGATAAAATTGAGCATGTAATGTTAAAAGTGTGAATATATTCAAAGTTAAATGGATATTTTTTCTTCCAGATTGATCATTTGTTTAATAATGTTATTCTGATATTGTAGTATTAGCAAAACAAAAACCATAAGGAATAATATTTTCAGAGACATTTGGATGGAGAAGCAAAATTAAAATTTCTAGGAGATGAGATAAATGCAAGGCCAGTCACAACATTAACATTTTGAAAGTGTTGAAATAGCTTTGTGTCACAATGGTAGGTCAAGGTGGAGAGAATACCAGCATATTTAAAATTAAGTTTGTGTTGAAAGCCTTTAATAGATTTAAAATTGAATAATTATTAAAATTCATTTCTGATTTGCAGTCTGTTTATCAAATTGCAAAAGAAATCCACATGGTGATAGAAAAGACCCAATTTCTCCTGTTATTATTTTGAAAATACCTTAGGTTTTAAATATTTTATATGAAATCATTCCAAAGTGTTTATTTTATAGACTAATTGCAAGCCATCAAAATTTCGTTCCATTAAGCAGGCTTGCAGTATCCTTGTAGAAGTTCATATCTGCTGGGAAAACCATCCAAACCACGTACTAGTAAGTGACTATAAAGTTTTATGGAAGATGTGCTCTGTAACTTAATCCATTATGGAAAAGTTAGCTTCAAAATACATTTATTTTAATTGAATTATAAATCTTATTGACTGAAGATATGTAATTGGAATGTTTAGGATATATTTTTAAAGCTGAAACCAAATTTAATTAGATGAACAATTGATTGATTCATTCAGTTAAGGTATGGCTGTTGAGCACCTATTACATGTCAAGTACCAGACAGAATGAATACTGGGAATATAGTCATGAATGAAGTAGAGATGTTCAGTGCTCTAAAAGTCTCTACAATTTATTTGGCATGGGGAAGGAAGCAGACAAATTACTGCATAGTTATGATATAGTGTAATATAGTATGATGAATGGAAAGATTGCTGTGGAGCTCTGACCTTAGGGGTGGAACCTAATCCAGACTTGGATGGTTAAGAAAACGTTCTGAGTCACAAACTTCTTTGAGAATCCATTGAAAGGTACTGTTGGACCATCTTTCCACAAAAATATACCTGTACATAAAATTTTGCAATCAATTTTGGGTGATTCATGTTTTTTTGAAGTCTACTTTGAATTCCCCAGCATGGAACCCAGGGCAACTAAATTATTTTTAATTTTTCCTTCACCTTTGAAATTATAAGGATTTATCTTTGAATTTGTATGTCGTATGTATTTTTTCAATAAATGTCAATTTTGTCATTGCCTTAGAGAAATGGATTTCTATAATGACAGAAGCTGTGTTTTTAACTTATCACTTACTGTATAATATCATGAGTGTTGATGAATATTGGGAGCCAGTATCCCATAGATAGTACAGAGCTGAGAAATAGAATCAAAGATTGAATGCCGCCTTGGCAAACACAAATTCTCAAATTGTTCTAATTTTTACCTCAAAGTTCATGCAGTTTACTTTTACTTTCCTTGACTCATAAGTTTATGGTCAATACTCATGAAAAGTAATTTTAAGAAGAGGGTTGGATATTTATTTATTCTCAGTAGTTTATGATTTATTGGGTTACAGAATAAAAATTTTATAATCTTGTATTTATTATGAGCTCAAGGAAGAGCTTACCTTTGTTTTCAACCTTACTTTTTTTGTTTGTACCTTAAGTCAAAGTATAAAATATTCTTCATTTAAAAATGTCTATTATTTACGTATGTATTTATTTCGAGACAGGGTTTTTATTCTGCTGCCCAGGCTAGAGTGCAGTGGTGCGCTCTTAGCTCACTGTAACCTCTGCCCCCACCCCCAGTCCCCTGCTACCCTGTTAACTCCCCACCCACCACCAGCTCAAGCCATTCTCTCACCTCAGCCTCCTGAGTAGATGGGATTAAAAACACACACCACCATGCCCAGCTAATTTTTATTTATTTATTTTTTATTTTTTTGAGATGGAGTCTAGCTCTGTTGCCCAGGCTGGAGTGCAGTGGCACGATCTCGGTTCACTGCAACCTCCTCCTCCCGGGTTCAAGCGATTCTCCTGCCTCAGCTCCCGAGTAGCTGGGATTACAGGTGCCCGCCACTGTGCCCAGCTAATTTTTGTATTTTTAGTAGAGACAGGTTTTCACCATATTGGCCAGGCTGGTCTCGAACTCCTGACCTCCGGTGATCTGCCCATGTCGGCCTCCCAGAGTGCTGGGATTACAAGTGTGAGCTACCGTGCCTGGCCTGATTTTTATTTTTAGTAGAAACGGAGTCTTGCCGTGTTACCCAGGCTGGTCTCGAACTCCTGAGCTCACGCCATCTACCTTCCTCGGCTCCGCAGAGTGCTGTGATTACAGGCATTAGCCACCATGCTCGGCCAAAAATGTTTATGATTTTTAAAAAGACTTTCAGATGTTCTGATTTTCTACATTTTGCTCAATATCTTTCTATTTTTTTTTAGAACCACATGTGTAAAGAGTGTTATTTCTTCATGTAAAACATTTCTGTAAAGTTTCCTATCAAATGTCAGTTCCAATATATTTATAACTGTTTAAAAGTTTGGTATCAGAACTTGAGTCTCTGACTTCCAATAAACATATAGCAATTTATTTTCAAAAACAAAAGTACTCTAAAAGAAAATGTTTTTATAGTCAAGGAAGAATACTGAATCATACGTGAAGTAGTTTAAGACTTGTTATTATAACCCCATTCTTTTGTTTGTGTTTTGTTTTAAATTTGTGTCAAATCCTATATGATGATTTACTTTCTTGACTTTATCTTTCCTTTTGCTAAAGGTTGTTAAATATCAGCATTAGTTACTTTCTTATATAGTTTCACAGATGTTTTTAAGACCATTTAACTTTATTTAGAAGCATAAGAATTAGTTTTGGACGCTTTATAGATTGATTTTTATCCAGTACAATATGTATTAGAGATCTCTTATGGTAACATAAGCATTAGGTTATAAGCTGTTCTCCTTAGTTTATTAAAATAATTACACTCTCCCATTAGGAAATAAGAAATATTCTACTTGAATTTCACACGTTTTTGTCTTTTTTATATCAGAGTCCATATTTTAGTCATTTCGTGGGCCATATACTAAGCCATAGGGTCTTACTTGAAATAAGAAATCTTTCAGTAGGACAAGCAAAGGACTCTTTTAAATTTATTTGTTAATAGTCTTTCCATTTTATGAATCTTAGTCCAAGTTTTGCTTTTGGCTATACTGTTCTTTGTATTGCTTTTTTAAAATGTTCTATTTAATATATATATGCAGTCTTGCCCTGTCACCCAGGCTGGAGTGCAATGGTGCGATCATAGCTCAACTATAGCCTTGAACTCCTAGGCTCAAGTGATCCTCCTGCCCTAGCCTCCTGGGTAGCTAAGACTGTAGGTCTGTGCCACCACGCCAGGCTAATTTTTAAATTTTTTTGTAGAGATAAGGTCTTGCTGTGTTGCCCAGACTGGTTCTATTGCTTTTAAAGGGAACTTTCATACCACAATTTTCCAGTAGTTAAATTACCACAAATGCAAATCTCTGTTTTCAAAAAGGAATTTTAATAGTTGTATTTGTCTGCCATTTTTCTGTGTACTATTAACCTAACATCACATTTTTTCTAGTCATTAGTAGCAAATAATGCTTACGTGTGTCTTCTTTTTTCTCATTCCTTCTGTATTTTTTGACTTTGAAATTATTTTTCATGTAAACTTTTTTGGTGACCTCTGAGCTCCCAGAACACCTTGTTTATATTCTGTAATGAAATTTTACAGTCTCCTACCATGTTTTGTCATGGTTTGTGTTTTTATTTTAAATCTTTCTATTGGGCTTTGAATTTAAATGTCTTGGACAAGAGCTATGTTGTACACATCTTAATATGTATTTGTGAAATCTGTGAATTATTCAGTATATTACCAAATGTATCTTGACACTTTATTCCACTCTTTTTTTTTCCTGTCTATAATCATTGTCCCTAATTTCCCATTTATAATCTATATGACTATAATTCTTAATCCTGGCTGCATAATAAAATCTCCAGAAGAGCTTTTAAAAAAGTGTGCCACACCTCACCCAAGCCAATTAAGTCAGACTTTCTAGAGGTTAAGGCTTGAGCATGTGTATTTTTTTGAAAGCTCTCTGGGAGATTCTAATGTGCACCATAATTGAGAAGCCTGGTTTATAACTACTATTGGATACTCAACTTTTTCATGATTTGTAATTAAAGTGGTAGCATCTTCCTACATACATTTGTTCTTTCTAAAATGAAATTTTCAACTAACACATCTTCCTGTCTCTATTCAAAGAGGTTTCTACTAATGGATTTGGGGGTATGATGTATCTGTATAAGTTCCAAGTTTGATTTCCCCTCTTCAGAACTTGAAGGGTAATTTTGACTCATTGCATAACTCATAATTATTATTATTCTTTTGTACATTTGTAGAATTTTTAAATTTAAAAAATTTTGAATGATTGTACTACCTGAATTGTTGCAAAATTGGGCAATTTTAATTATTAGGACATAAATTTTTTTTTTTTTTTTTTTTGAGATGGAGTCTTGCTCTGTTGCCCAGGCTGGAGTGCAGTGGTGCAGTCTTGGCTCACTGCAAGCTCCGCCTCCCGGATTCACGCCATTCTTCTGCCTCAGCCTCCTGAGTAGCTGGGACTACAGGTGCCCGCCACCACACCTGGCTAATTTTTTGTATTTTTAGTAGAGACAGGGTTTCACCGTGTTAGCCAGGATGGCCTCGATCTCCTGACCTCGTGATCCGCCCGCCTTGGCCTCCCAAAGTGCTGGGATTACAGGTGTGAGCCACCGTGCCCGGCCGGGATATAAATATTTTTAACCATTACATGTGAAATGAAATTTTGCTATCTATTACCAATAAAAATGATAATCATTGAAACAATATATATCATTTATATACTAATTTAACTAAAAGTATTGCTGAGGCTAATGGCATTCAAATGCTTAAGCAGATGTAGTACATAAGTCTCGTGAGCCCAAGAATGCATTCGAATGTTGATATCTTGCAGGTTTTGATACAGAAAATCTTTAGTTACCTTGAAACTTAGGGCTGTGGTGTCGTTATTTGCTCTTACTGTAAAGCTTTGTGTAGAAACTCTTAGTTTTCATAATTGTCGTTAACACTCTATTCCTACTACTTCATACCATGATTACTACCACCGCCATTCTACAACAGAGGACATATATTGAATACTTGAGTATTCTGTACCAGATACTGTGCTAAGTATATTGACATCGCCCACTCCCCAAAAAACTGTGAGATAGGGAATGTTACCCACACTTTACAGATAGGAAAACTGAGGTCATATAGCAAGTTAAGTAACAGTACAGTAGAGATTCAACTTGGGTCTCACTGGGCTTGAGAGCTATGCTTTTTAATATATTTGTTTGAGGATCTTATGGGGCCTCAAATAGATCACTCTGAACATCAATACTAATTTGATTGTACAAACTGTGGGCAATTGAGCTATAGGTTTGCTCAGCAGCCAGGAACTACCATATTAATGGATTTTGGCGTAAAAATTACTGCAGCTAGCTTGTTTTCTACTTGTAAGCCTTTTTTTGTTTTGTTTTGAAAGAAAAGATGCAAAACACTCAGTTTATTATAGATTCCAGTTTATTATGATTTCATTGATCAGTGGCCACTGTGAGATTCCATTTAAGGGATCTTTATTATTGGATGTATCAAAAGGTATTTAACATGTTATTTGACCTTAAATCTCCTATAATTTAGATTTTAAAATATTGTAGTAAGAAAACATCCACATTGTATGTTTTGTGATGAAGAAATCAGACTTCTTACTATTTGATGAAACTAGAATTCTACAGAGTTTATTGATATACAAGGTTTTCTGATAAGAACAGCACAGAGGTCACTGTATTGAACATACAGCTTAGTAGAAGGTCTGAATTAATGTGCAAATTGAGGCATATCTAAGTAGAAAGTATTGGGATTGTTTCAGTTTACTTAGCTGGATATATTTTTCAGAAAGTGATATTTTAGTTGTCATTTCAGTAGATTCACCACTCTAAATTACTGTATGTGATTATTAGGATACATACTTTTAAAACAAGGTGTTAGCAGATTTATCTTAAATATTTTTGTTAAGGTTAATAATAATGCATACATCATTATTATTGCATCTATTGTCAAAGTAGCCAAGAATATACAAGAATAGATTGAGGATGAATAGGTGAAACTTGTAAAATATTATAGTTCTGAAAGTTGCATTTAAGGATTTGTGTAGACAAATTCTTGCATATATAAAATACCTGTGATTATAAAATAAGTACTGTTTGGTGTTAGTATTGAGGTTCTTTATTAAATTAATTATATAGCCTGTATTAGATAATTGAACTTTAAAATTACTGTAAGGATACATAAAAATGAAGCTATTCAAGTTGTTTAAAATAATATCTAAGGTCAAATAGAACATTGCATTTAAGTTGTGCCGAAATGAGGGAAAGTTTTATTATTTTGATGCCCAAATATCAGTAGGTACAGTCATATGGACCTCCCACCATAATTCTTTATGGAGATTTGTTGAAGATTATTTATACTTGAGGTAACACATACCTGAGTGCTAACCTCTAGTCTGCATTAAAAAAGAATCAATGATCTTCATAAAAATAATTGAGAGCCAAGCAATATTAGGTCTAAATTTATATCCTACACTGTCACTGTTTTTTTTTAAACTTATACTCAAACATACACAACAGTAAAGGAAATTATATGAAAAGAATTATAGGAAGCTAGATGAATTGTTTATCTAAGTTGTCAATGCAAAGCAAAGTTTGTTTTATCTGTATCCTGTATTATTTTGTAACAAACCCTGAACATTTTGTTTCATTCATAAATATTTCATTAGGTATCTTTGAAAGATAAGGATTTTTTAAAAATATAACTCTAATGTCATTTATATTTTCAAATATAGCTAGTCAGTGTTCAGATTTTCCTGTTAGTCTCAAAATTCTTTCTTATGGTGTGTTTATTGTAATCAGGGTCCAAATAATATCTATATATTGCAATTGGTTGATATGTCTCAAGTGTTTTTTGATCCATAGTTATCCATTCTAATTTTCTTTCAAAATACTAATCGAAGAAACTGGGTTGTCTTATAGTGCTTCCCATAGTTTGGATTTTGTAAACTATGTTTCCATGTTTAGCATGTTATTTTTTCACCTATATTCTCTGTAATTGATAGTTAGTTTTAAAAGCTTGATTAGCTTTAAATTTTACTTTTTAACAAGAGCACCTAATAGACAGTGGTGTGTATTTCAGTCAAGAAGCATGAAAAGTCTCTCTTTTGATGATTAGCAGCCATTTAATAATTGCTGTCTAGATTTATCATTAATTGTGGGCTACAAATTATGATACTCTAATTCTATCCCACTTTCTTTACTTATTCACTGGAATATTTCTATGAATTGATGTTTCCCTATAACAATTATTTGGTCACCCTTTGAAGGACAATTCTTACAAGATTAGACAGGATAAATGCTAGATTCTTTTCCTTTATTTAGCTGTTTTCAAAATAACGAATTGGAAATCTAGCATCCTCCAAAGATAACTGATGAATTTTTAAAGATATTATAAATACATGGATTTATATGCAAAGTGTTTTAAGTTCTTTCTTTTTAATTTTTATCAATGTTCAAATTGAATTATCATTTGTAGGAACCTCCTCAAGTTCATTCTTGAGTCTTTTTGACATGATTTCCTAAGTAGTTATTGACAGTTTTCTTACTTTGTGTTATGACAGGATGTTTATAGTATGCATTTCCTACCCCAGACCTGTAATCTGCCATTTGTCTAGGGAGCCCTACTTTCTTTTAGTAGGAAATAGTATTTAGAAATCCATATGGGTAGTAGGCATGTTCTTGCTACTGGATTGGCCATTATTTCTAGGCTTTTGTAGTGGACAGAACTGGGAAATAATTTTCTTTTTTAAGTGACTTTGATACATCTTAAGGAAAAGAAGAGGAAAAAGTCCTATATTGTTTGTATTAATAATATTGTTCTGAGACAATCTGTGTATGTTGTGGGATAAAACAAGTGAGGAATTATGTTAGTGTCATTAGTAATCACAGTTTTCAGCCTGATTAAAAGGAGACGCATATGTAAGATTGAAGAAGTGAAAACCATATAGTCTTGAATTTAAATGGAAGTATCAGTATGACCTCAGTTTTTCTCCCCCACAACCCCTACCATAAGTCGCCATTTAAAAGTTTTAGTTTGTATCTATCTATCCATCCATCTATCTGTCTGTCTCTCATCTTAGATAAGTGTTAGCGCACTGTACATACTGTTCTCCACCTTGCTGTTTTTACCTTAAAATATACTCTGGATATTGTACATGCGCTACAGCATGCATTCTCAATGGGAGATACTACCGCAAGAGGGCAAATGTTGACTCTTGAAAGGTGAAAAAAAATCTTGAATATAACAATGGTTTTTGACCCTTCAAAGGGCCATAGTACATAAACAGATATATAATACATTTGTGGCATTAAAGTTTCCTAGGGGTGGCTGGGTAGCGTGGCTCATGCTTATAATTCCAGCACTTTGGGAGGCCAAGGCGGGTGGACCACTTGAGGTCAGGAGCTCAAAACCAGCCTGGCCAATATGGTGAAACCCTGTCTTTTACTAAAAACACAAAAATTAGCTGGGTGTGGTGGTGCATACCTGTATTCCTAGCTACTTGGGAGGCTGAGGCACGAGAATTGCTTGAACCTGGGAGGTGGAGGTTGCAGTGAGCTGAGATTGCACCACTACACTCCAGCCTAGGCAACAGAGGGAGACTCTGTCTAAAAAAAAAAAAAAAAAAAAAAAATTAAAAATTTCATGGGGTTGTGTGTGTGTGAGATTAGAAAAGGCTTCTAGAGGGGAAATAATGAAAAAAAAACTGCTCTATAGCTGTATGTATAGGTATTTATCAATTCTTTTAAAAGTGAGTAATATCTATTTAAAATAAATGCATTGTGATTTATTCAACCATTCTCCATTGGTCAGCATTTGGGTTGTTTCTATTCTGTTACAGTTATCAACAGTAGGGCAGTTAATGTATGTTCTTTGGTATTTTTGCTCATGCATCTTTGAGACAGATTCTAAGAAGTGAGATTCCTAGGTCAAAATTCCTCTGTGATTTTGCTAGATACTGCCAAATTCCTCTTGTGACAATGTTTTAGTTTGTACTGGTGGAAATATTCTAAATTAGTCTACTGTAAGATATTGATGCCATTTATGAGAACGTTTTTAGTCTATTAACTATAAGAAATATAATTTCCTGTTGTAAGATGCAAACTTACATGTTATTTCACTTATCAGATTTGTTTCATAATTATCACTACTCCTACTTACCATATGTTGTTTATAAAACAAGAATAATGCATCTACCCAAAAGGTCAAATGGTTTTAACTAATTTTTTAAAAATTGTGTTATATCTCATCTTTCTTAGTAAATATAGTTGCCAGTATTAAGGATTTGTTTTTCAAGTAAATGTAGTGTGGATATAGTTTAAATGTTTTTTAAATTTTAATGTAATATAAAATTTAAATGTTTTAAAACTGCCCCTCAAAATAGAGCTTAAAACATTTTTTTCCCTGAGATATAAACATATTTTCCATTGGACTCTTTCACTTAAGTTTTGAAATTCTTTGGACCAACTAGGTTATCTAGGCTTCTTTAGCTCATTGCTTTTACACAGCTATTTGAAAGTATGGCAGAAATCCCTTTGTATGTGAAAGTACTTCATCCTTACATTTTTCAGTCTTGTGTTTCAATGACTTTCAGTTTAATGACTTAAGCGATGTTGCACAGTAACTCAAACTGATTATAAGAAAGATTGAATTGAGTCCATCTGTACATACAGTCCTTCAGATATTTATTTGCACCCAGAACAGGGCCTAGCGCAGGGTAGGCACAAATGTTTGTTGAATAAATGAATGACTAGGGAGCTACCACCATTGATATTCAGTAAATAGTTAATAAGGAAAGGACTTAGAATGTCAATATTTTGTCTGTGGAAAACAATCATAAATGTACCCAGTAACCAGGTTTTCTAGAACACATTTATTTGGAGGCTAAAGGTACACCTTTGACCTTGAACAACATGGGTTTGGACTTGTGGGTCCATTTATACACAGATTTTTTTTCAGTAAATATATTGGAAAAGTTTTTGGAGATTTGTGAAAGTTGAAAAAACTTACCACATAGCCTAGAAATATATATGCCATGAATGCATAAAATATATGTAGGTACTAGTCTATTTTATCATTTACTACCATAAAATATACACAGCACTATTTAAAAAGTTAAAATTTATCCAAACTTGCACACAGACTGTATATGGCCCCACTCATGCAGTATTAAATCATAACTGCAGAAAACTAACTGTGGTACATATTGTACCACTGTAATAATTTCATAACCACCTCCTGTTGCTACTGTGGTGAGCTGAAGTGATGCTAGTCATCTATGTTTGAGCAGTTCCTCTCTCCAGTAAATTGAGTATCACAGTAAAAGGTGATCTCTTATAGTTTTTGCATGGTTTTTATTGTCTTTAATACATACTATACACCTTAAATAACACCATGGGACCCATACTAAGTTCACTGGTGATGCTGGAAGTACTCCCAAGAAGCAGAGAGAAGTCATGACATTTACAGTAAAAAGTTTAATTCCTTGATGTGTATAGTAGATTGAGGTCTGCAGTTGTGGTTGCCCATGACTGTAAAAAAAAAAAAAAAAAAAGGGAAATTTGTGAAGTCCTCACTCCAGCTACAACAGCATTTACAAAAACCTTTTCTTTTTGCAAGTACCTTTTTATCCATTATTGAAAATGCAGATTTTATGCAGGTGCAGGCTTACTATGAGAAAGGCATACCTATAGACTCTAATATTACTTGAGAAAAAGCTAAGATATCAAGTGGTAATTTAAAGCAAAAGGAAAGTGAAGGATCTAAAGCTGGAGAACTTAATGCCAGCAAAGGATGGTTTGATAATTTTAGAGGTTTGGCTTAAAAAAATGTCATGATAATAGGAGAAGCAGCTTCTGCTGACAAAGAGGCAGCAAATGAGTTCCTGGATACCATTTAGAAAATAATGGAGGAGAAAGAATATCTACCTGAAAGGTTTTAATGCAGACAAAAGTGCCCTACTCTGGGGGAAAAAAAAAGCCACAAAGAACATTTATTAGCAAGGAAGAGATAGTGAGCACCAGGATTTAAGACAGGAAGGGATAGGCTATCTCTTACTGTTTTGTGCAAATGAAGTCAGGTTTCTGATCAGGACTGCCCTTATCTATAAAGCTGCTAACCCACAAGCTTCAAAGGGAGAAGATAAATAACAGCTGCCAGTCTTCTGCTTATACAACAAAAGACCTGGATGAGAACCCTTTTTCTGGATTGGTGCCATTAATGCTTTGTCTCTGAAGTCAGGAAGTACCTTGCCAATAAGAGACTGCCTTTTAAAGTACTTTTGGTGTTGAACAATGCCCCTGTCCACCCAGAACCCCATGAATTCAGCACCAGAGGCATTAAAATGATCTCCTTGCCCCAAACACAACATCTCTAATCTAGCTTCTAGATCAGAGAGTCATAAGTACCTTTACAGCTCATTACACACACTACTCTATGGAAAGGATTATCAGTGCTATGGAAGAGAACCCCGATAGAACATCACGAAAGTCTGGAAGGATTACACCATTGAAGATGCCGTCATTGTTATAGAAAAAGTTGTGAAGACCATAAAGCCCGAAACAATAAATTCCTGTTAGAGAAAACTGTGTGCAGATGCTGTGAGACAATCAAGGAAATCATGAAAGAGATTGTGGATGTGACAAGGGTGAGGAATGAAGGATTTCAAGATAAGAATCTTGGAGAAATTCAACAGCTAATAGGTACCACAACAGAGGAATTAACAGAAGATGACTTGACGGAGATGAGTGTTCTCAAACCAATGCCAGACAATGAGGAAAAAGAGATAGAAGCAGCAGTGCCAGAAAACAAGATGACATTAGACAATCTGGCAGCAGAGTTCCCATTATTCAAGACTTCCTTTGACTTCTTTTATGACATGGACTCTTCTATGGGCACTGAAACTAAAGCAAATGGTGAAAGAAGGATTGGTACCATATAGAAACAAACATTTTTAGAGAAATGCAAAAGTAAAGTCAGAAATTACAGTGCATTTCGGTAAAGTTATACTGAGTGTGCCTGCCTCTTCTGCCTCCACTTCCACCTCCTCTGCCACCCTTAAGATAGCAAGACCAACCTCTCCTCTCCCTCCTCCTCCTCAGCCTACTCAATGTGAAGATAACTTTTATGATGATCTGATTCCAGTTAATCAATAGTCAATGTATTTTCTTTTCCATAGGATTTTCTTAGTACCATATTTTCTCTAGCTTTATTGTAAGAATATAGTATATGGTACACATAATATAGAAAAGAATGTGTTCACTGACTTTATGTTATTGGTAAGGCTTCTGGTCAACATAAGCTATTAGTTAAATTTTTGGGGAGTCAAAAGTTATACACAGATTTCTGATTGCACTGGTGTTTGGTGCCTCTAACCCCCATGTTGTTCAAGGGTCAACTGTAAAGAGAAAAATGGAATTTAGAAGATGAAATGTTTGCAGTTATTTTGGTAAGTTAAAGGACTTCATTTTTTGAAAACATTGCATTATTGCACAGGTACTGTCAACTGAAAAAGTTTTACCTACTAGTTCCCTTGATTGTGGAGCGAATTTGTAGTTTTTAGTGAATATAAATATAACATTTTTCTCTTCCTTTTTAGGCATTTGGGATCACAGCTTTGTGAATTAGAAAAACTGATAGATAAAATGATGATTGCAGAATTTTCTACTTATTCTCACAGTGACTTAAATAGACCACTGGAAGATGACTGTCAAGTTTTAGAAGAGGTATGTGTTTTAACTGTGGAATGAAGTTGATGCCATTGCTTAACAGTCTTGGCTTAGAACACATTTTTCTCAGATTATAGGAATCAAAATTATCTTAAATTTCAAGGGCTATCAGACCTATGAAGTCCTTCACTAGCTATGTGACTTGAGCAAGCACCATGATTGTTCACTATCCTATGGAATTAGAGAATAAAATAATTGTATAGCTTAATTAGAAATTAGAGTTAAAATGAGCTTACAGACCAAGTTAAAAATACAGATATAGGATGAATTAATTTATATTCTGTGTTTATGTGTGCGAGTGCTGGAGCTTGTCTTTTATAAAAAGTGATCATAGTTGGGCGCATTGGCTCCATGCCTGTAATCCCAGCAGTTTGAGAGGCTGAGGTGGGAAGATTGCTTGAGCCCAGGAGTTTGAGACCAGCCTTGGCAACACAGGGAGACTCCATCTCTACGAAAAATAAAAAAATTAGCTGGGTGTAGTGGTGCATGCACACCTGTAGTCCCAGCTACTTGGGTGGCTAAGGCGAGAGGATCACTTGAGTCCAGGAGTTTGAGGCTGTTAGTGAGCCATGATTGTGACATAGCAAGACCCTGTCTCAAAAAAAAAAAAAAAAAAAAACCGAAAAAGTGATCATTATCATATGGTAATTACCCGTCATTCAAATTTACTGAGTACCTATTATGAACATGTTTTTTATATATGTATATACAAATACATAATATCCAGGCTTCACTTAGCTGGTAACTTCTCAGTGTTAATCACTGACAACAACTAGTAAAAAATCCCAGAAACCCTGATAACTGCCTAAGTAAAGAAACTTTTGTAGATGTTAGCAGTTGACTTCCCACTGTGAGAGTCTAGGTCATTATTTCAGTCTTCTAGACTATGCATTACAAAGCATGGGTGAGGTGCAGTGGGTCAGGCCTATAATCCAAGCACTTTAGGAGGCTGAAGCTAGAGGATCGTTTGAGCCCAGGAATTTGAGACCAGCCTGGGCAACACAGTGAGTCTACAAAACAAATTTAAAAATTAGCCAGGTGTGGTGGTGCATGCCTCTAGTCCCAGCTACTCGGGAGGCTGAGGTGGGAGGATCACTTGAGCCTGGGAGATCAAGGCTGCAGTGAGCTGTAATCACCTCACTACACTCCAGCCTTGGCAACAGAGTGGAACGCTGTCTCAAAACAAAGAAGCAAAAACCAAAAAAAACCCACAGGGCCCATGGAGTATTTATTGGTCATCAGGGTGTGAGAAGGATATTTTTTACTTGTTGAAACTAGAACAAAAAATACCCTTGTATTGTTTTGCCCGAAAACCAGCTTCATTGGTTCACTGTGGTGGGGTAGGATTTATCTGTTTTACAGCACTGACTCCAAAAATCTCATGATAAGATTGCTGTGGGAGGGGTTTTCAGGCTGCTAGAAAATACTTTGTGCAGGATAGAGATCTGAGGATCAAACAGAACTCTTGATGCTGAATATTTCTACCTCTAAGTAAAATTACTTCATATTTAAAATGTCAAGTTACATACTTTTATTTTAACAGGAAAGACTAATATCTCTTGTATTTGGACTTTTAAAACAAAGAAAGCTTAATTTTTTAGAAATCTATGGTGAAAAAATGGTTATTACAGCAAAGAATATCATTAAACAGGTAATTATGCATTTTTATTTGACATATTTTGGTCTGGAACCTTTGTGAAGTTTATTTTTATGTTATCCTAGTAATAATATATATAGTGTAATAGTAATATAGCTCATTTATGTAAAAACTGAAAATTTAGAAAAATGAAAGTAAAACATAGCCTTACCAGCCAAAAGATTATTGCTATAGGAATATTTCCACGTGTAGACTGATTTTCTTATGTTGTCATTATGTGTATATGATTTTATACATATATTTCAGTTACAATCATAAGCAGTTTCTCATATTATTATAAAAGCTTTCAGAAACATCATTTTTAATGATTGTGTAAAGTCCCATTAACATTATGTTAAATCTACTTAACTTTTCCTCTGTGTTGAATATTTAGGTTGTTTATAATTTAATACAATAAATAGCACTGTGACAGACATCTGTGGTATAAAGTTATTTTGTTTGTTTTTCGTACTTAAGAATGTTTGTTCTTAGACTGATTCCTAGAAGTATTGGTTAGAGAGTGAAAAGTATTTTTAAGTTATTTGATGTATAGAATTTAATTCCTATTTAAAAAGATTTGCCAATTTATACTCCCATCAGCAGTAGACAAATGTTCATTTCCTTTTTATCCTAATCTCTAAGAAATTATAAACTAGAATCCATGTGTTTTTCAGTATTCCCTGATCTTTGTTTTGACTTTTTTTAGTCAGATAAATCTTATCCACTGAACTTCAGTTTTTTAATATATGAAAAAGATAATATGATTTTAAAGGTATTTATTAGGCTTAATTGATTATTATCATTAGGTTGAATGTACATATATGAGTTTTTAAAGTTTAAGTTTAAAAGTTAAATAAGCAAAAAAATTATAATCATCCCCTCTTTCAAGCACTGATTAAAACACTATTTTTAAATTGGTACAACCACTTTGAAAAATTGTTGGCAATATATAGTAATGCCAAATTTGCATACATGTTGTGACCCAGCATTTCTATTCCTAGGTATGCACCCAACAGAAATATGTATATAAGTTCACCAAAACACAGCAGAAGAATGTTCCTGGCAGTACTATTTGTAATTTTAAAAACTGGAAACAGCCCAAATTCCATCACCAGTAGAAAGGATAAATAGAATTTTGATGTATTTGTACAGTGGAATACTATACATTAATGAGAATGAATAGATTACACAGAATAACAAATGAATATCATAGACATAACGTGGAGCCAAAGAAACCAGACACAGAAAAGTATACATTGTATGATTCCACTTATGTAAAACTCAAATGCAGGCAAAATTATTCTATGGTTTAAAAATCAAGATAATAGTATATTTTGGGAGGAAGTAGTAACTGGTAGGGGAATAGGGGAGGAGCTCTGGGTATTAGCAAGGTTGTTTCATGAGCTGAGTTCTGATTACACAGATGTACTCCATTTGTACAAAAATATTGAGCTGTAAACATAATTTGTACAATTTTCTGTATATATATTTTAAGCAATTTCTAAAAACTGGTATGTTTCAATTCCCAGACTTCAAATCTAAGCATTTATTTTTTAATTTTAAACTGTTGCATGTATCACAAGGAAATGTAACTTCTAATACTAATTTCTTTTGGGATTTTAATATGGGGCTTACACCTTGTTCCTAAGTATTATAGTTCTGCTTTTCTGGTGTAGGATTTTGAACAGTTTTGAATATTAGGTGATTTTAATTATTACAATTCAAACATACTCTGAAATAATTATTTAATTGGCTAATTGTAATCAGCTTTTCAAACACTGTGAGAGATACATAAGAGATAAAAATCTGGTAAAATAATTATTGTAGCCAGTAAGAGCCTTTAAAATTTTTTTTTATCTTAAGTTCAGGGGTTCATGTGCAGGTTTATTATGTAAGTAAACATGTGACATGAGTTTTTTTGGTATAGATTATATCATCACCCAGGTATTAAGCCTAGTACCCATTAGTTATTTTTCTGGTCATTTCTCTCCTCCCACCCTCCACTCTCCAATAGTCTCCACCGTGTGGTGTTCCCCTCTATGTGTCTGTGTGTTCTCATCATTTAGCTCCCACTTACAAGTGAGAACATGCAGTATTTGGTTTTCAGTTTCTGTGTTAGTTTGCTAAGGATAATGAGCTCCAGCTCCATCCATGTTCCTGCAAAGGACATAACCTCATTGTTTTTTTTATGGCTGCATAGTATTCCATGGTGTACGTGTACCACATTTTCTTTATCCAGTCTATCATTGATGGGCATTTAGGTTGATTCCATGTATTTGCTATTGTGAATAGTGCTACAGTGGACATAAGTGTGCATGTGTCTTTAATAATAGAACAATTTTTATTCCTCTGGGTATGTAACCAGTAATGGGATTGCTGGATTGAATGGTATTTCTCTCTTTAGGTCTTTGAGGAATCGCTACACTGTCTTCCACAATGGTTGAACTAATTTACACTCCCATCAGCAGTGTATAAGTGTTCCCTTTTCTCTACAACCTTGCCAGCACCTGTTATTGTTGACTTTTTAGTAATAGCCATTCTTACTTGTGTGAGATGGTATCTCATTGTGGTTTTGATTTGCATTTCTCTAATGATCAGTTATGTTGGCCACATGTATGTCCTTTTTTGAAAAGTGTCTGTTCATATAGTAAGGGCCTTTTTAATGTACAAATGGAACATGGAATACTTAGGATTTGAAAGACAATTAATCAAATTGTTTTTGTTTTTTCTTAAATTTTGCAGTGTGTGATTAATAAAGTTTCACAAACAGAAGAAATAGACACAGATGTTGTTGTGAAGTAAGTATAAATATATAGGTTGGTGGTTATCAGTCAGAGAAAAGATGATAGATGTAAATTAGAATAATTCGAAGTAGATTTCGTTAAGGAATTATTTACTAAGGTGTGAGCAGGGTGTAGGAAAATCACAAGTGACAGTGTGGAACGAAGACAGTGCTTAACAGAATTGAGGAGAAAGGTAGTTGGAAAAAAAGCTGTGACCTTGAGTAGAGGGAAGCAGTCACCCTGAGGCAACCCTTGAGAGAGACAGGAGAAATAGGTACCTTTACTAGAGAGCTAGAGGAGTAGGTACCTTTACTCCTTCCAGTTTTTGTAAGGGCTCCTCAATGGCCAGGCCCACATGTTAGCTTCCCAGAGCAGAGAGCAGGATGGACAGGGACAGAACATAGATATGGAGAGGTGAAATTGGAGATAATTCATTACAGGGGCATAGCAAGCATTATGTTTAAATTTGTAGCTATGTAATTAAAATCAACTTTTAATTGGCTTTGAGAAGTTTGAGTTAATGATTTTGAATTGCCCATGTTTGTATTTTTTTTTTGTTTTCACCCTAGAAATTCCTATTCTTGGCCAGGCGCATTGACTCACACCTGTAATCCCAGCACTTTGGGAGGCCGAGGTGGGAGAATCGCTTGAGCCCAAGAGTTCGAGACCACCCTGGGCAATAAAGTGAGACCCCATCTCTACCAAAAATAAACATTAAAAAAATAAGTTGGGCATGGTGGCACATGCCTGTAGTCCTAGCTACTCAGGAGGCTAAGGTAGGAGGATGGTTTGAGCCTGGGAGGTCCAGGCTTCAGTGAGCCATGATTGTGCCACTGCATTCCAGCCTGCACAAGGAAGTAAGAGCCTGTCTCAAAAAAAAAAAAAAAGAAAGAAAGAAAGAAAGAAAAGAAAAATTCCTATTCTATTATTTTAAGAAGAATAGTGATAATATTTTATGACTGAATTTCTTGTTCATATGGATATTTAAATGTTTTTAGCTGGCTTAGATATGACTAGCAATATGTACGACTGTGAAACTTTCTTGGGCCAAACTCACAGAATGGAGTATTAATTTCCACACTATTATCTAGGGAAAACTCAATTTCAGAATTAGTTGAAGCAAACTATAATAATCAGAGAATTGTTAGTGGTTGGAAAACATAAGTCATTGGGACACTATTAGAAGCTCCATGGATGTGGAGAGTCAGTTTTTCTTCTTCCCTAGGGAATTTTCTCCATAGAAGTAGAGAACTTCCTGTATATCAAGTGTTGTAGTATCTTTTTAGAATAAACTCTTAACTGAAGCTGCGTTTATTAAAAATTTAGAGTAATAAGTCATTTTGGTACTATAAAATATCTTTAGGGAATGAATTTGTATTACTTTTTTTCACCTTGAAGTTAATGATTTCTGTCAACTATCAAAATAATATTGGCTGCTGCTTACATGGTACTTTTAAAAATGTGTCATGAATTGTTCTAAGTATTTTTTATTAACTCATATAATATTTACAACAACCACATAAGGTAGGTTCTGTCAGTTTCCTCATGTTAGATGAGAAAATTGGAGCGTGGAGGGGTTAAGTCACTTGCCAGAGCCACATAGCTAGCAATTCCAATAAGCTGCTGCTATTTTAAACCAAGGCATTGTGTTGTGGTTCCAGGGCTCTTAACTCATGCCATATTACTTCTCATATGGTATTTTTAAAGTTGTAGTTAGAAAAGCAGATTATTAAATTTTGGGGAGAGATGTATGTTTCCATTTTTATTCCAGAGTATATCTTCACACTTATTTCTCTATGGTTTATTCATTCAATGATCATAAAGCTTGTTCATATGAAATTGATATATGATATAGTTAACTTACCAGTCTTAAAAATATTTAAATAAGCCATAACTCTTTGGTAATTTACCTCTTCAACATTTTAGTTAGGTATCTAGATGAAATTGCATTTTATCACTAGATAGTATTTAGTCTCATTTCTTCCAGTTTGTAGATGTTATATTGATTGGCCCAGAGACAATCATTATTTTTGTTTGAATTATTTTTTTCTAGGCTTGCAGATCAGATGAGAATGTTGAATTTTCCCCAGTGGTTTGATCTGCTCAAGGATATTTTCTCTAAGTTTACAATTTTCCTACAGAGAGTGAAGGTAAGCTTATAAATTAGTTTGTCTAGAATATCCCTAAAATTAAGTCAGCTTTCTAGATACATAATATGTAAATAAAGACTCAAACTAGAATAAAACACAGTTTCTTTGTTTTTGTAATTTTTCTAAAGAGGCTTGTTTTTAAATAAAAATTTAGGTACCTCAGAGTTTGACAGTTTTAAGAATTTAATAAGTTATAATTTTATAACTTAAAAAGAAATATGCTCTTACTTTACATTAAATATTATACAGTAATATTTCCTCTCGTGATTTTTTGTTCTCCTAGGTTATCTAGAGGTACAATATTGTTAAACACCCCAAAATCACCCCAAACTATCAATTTTTCTATAAAGTCAATGTTGATATAATGGTGTTTTAAAATATATTGTTTATATTCAAATTACCTTGCTAATTTACTTTTTTTTTTTTTTTTTTTGAGGTGGAGTCTTGCTGTTACCCAGGCTGGAGTGCAGTGGCGCAATCTTGGCTCACCGCAACTTCTCCCTCCCGGGTTCAAGTGATTCTTCTACCTCAGCCTCCCGAGTAGCTAGGATTATAGGCGTGTGCCACCACGCCTGGCTAATTTTTGCATGTTTAGTAGAGATGGGGTTTCACCATGTTGGCCAGGCTGGTCTCGAACTCCTGACCTCAAGTGATCTGCCCGCCTCTGCCTCCCAAAGTGCTGAGATATAGGTGTGAGCCACTGTGCCTGGCTGCTAATATTCTTTATTTACATTTTTATTCACTTTTTGGGCACGAATCCAATCAAGCATCATGTGTTACATTTAATTATTTTGTCTCTTTAGTCAAGCCACTTAATTTTAAACCACTTAGTATAACAAAAAGAACAGGTCACGTATCATTTTACAGAAGATGTCAGACTCTAATACATACTGGTTTGAATCACCAACATGTCATAACTTTGGTTTAAGAAGAATACAGGCTGGGCACGGTGGATTACACCTGTAATCCTATCACTTTGGGAGGCCAAGGCAAGAGGATCACTTGAGCTCAGGAGTTTGAGACCAGCTTGGGCAACATAATGAGACCTCATCTCTACAAAATAAATTTTTAAATTAGCCAAGCATAGTGATGCACACCTGTAGTCCCAGCTACTTGGGTGGCTGAGGTGGGATGATCACCTAACCCCAGCAGGTCAAGGCTGCAGTGAGGCATGATTGTGCCACTGTACTCCAGCCTGGCCAACAGAGCAAGACTCCATCTCAAAAAATGAAAAAATAAAAATAAAAAAAGAATACAATCATTAGGAATTACCATGTGTAACAGTTAAAAGGGACCATTTGTGAAATTAGATATTTTTTGAGTTATCAAGTGTTAACATTGTGTTTTATGTACTAGTTAACATCCCCAGCATCTCCTGAGTACCATGTTAAATAGTGCAGGGGACTTTGGTACTTGTGTATGACATTAATTTTCCTTTATTCACATTGAAGCAATGCTAAGTCACATGTGTAAGCTCTCCAATCAGGTTCACAAAAGTTTTATAGAGTGGGATTCACTGTGCTTAATTTAGACTGCTTCTAAAATGTTGATCCTACCTATAGATAGTGACAGACACAAACTTGTATCTATAGGTGTTCAATAACAAAACCATGTTTTCACTTCTTATATTCTGACCATGACCTCATCATCACACACTTCAATTATTGCATGTCTAGTTATATAGAACTCTTACATTGCATAGTGTAGAATTGGCCAACTTTTTGCCAGAAATTTTTTGAAGTACAGTAAGTCTTCAATGTTATGGATAGGTCTTGGAAACTGTGACTTTAAGTGAAACAACTTATACCAAAGCTATTTTTTTCACTCATCATTATAGTGAAACATTTCCTTCAATGTTTTTTTCAATAACACTGAAGGAAACAGTGTTATTCAAAAACCTGCTGTACGTGGTTTCACTTAAAGTTATAGTCTCCCAGAATCTATCATTCAGATTAAGTGAGGATTTACTGTAGTTATTCCACTATGTGGAATGGCTCTATGTCAGTTAAACTAAGTAGAGTTATTATTTTATGTATGTGCTATATGAAAACTGATTGATTATAGTTGTAATTTCTCATTTTCACATTTGGACCACTTAAACTAGTACTTATGTACAACATCTTTACAGATGACATGAAATATGGTACTTTTTTCTGTGAAAAAAGTTTGTGATTCTGTCAAGTATTACTTCACTGAAAAATAATGTTAATTACAAGCTGTTCATTTTTATTGAAGAATTTAAAAATAACTAAAAATTGGAAAGAACCCAGATGTCTAACAATAGAGAAATGGTAAAATAAATTATGCTTGACACATTCTTTACCATGGAATATTATATACAGCCAAGGATTTTTAATGGTAGGAGAAAATACATACATTATGATATTCAGTTAAAAATGCAAGATACAGGGCCAGGCACCATGGCTCACACCTGTAATTCCAGCACTTTGGGAGGCCGAGGCAGGCAGATCACAAGGTCAAGAGATCGAGACCATCCTGGCCAATATGGTGAAACCCTGTCTCTACTAAAAATACAAAAATTAGCTGGGCGTGTTGGTGCATGTTTGTCCCAGCTACTTGGGAGGCTGAGGCAGGAGAATCACTTGAACCCGGGAGGTGGAGGTTGCAGTGAGCCAAGATGGTGCTACTGTACTCCAGCCTGGTGACGGAGCAAGACTCCGTCTTAAAAAAAAAAAAGGCAAGATGTAGATGTACTTATATAGTGTGATCTCAGCTATGTCAAAAAGAATTTTTTTTAACCCTTTTATCTTCCTAGAACAAGGAGAAACTTTGGGGTTTTTTGGTGGTTTTCTTTAGCTGGTCAGATTAGATGTCATTTAGATTTTTTATTCTTTTCTATTTTCCCTGAATTTTCTACAAAGAGAAGTATTACTTTTATAATCAGAAAAAGTTGTTTTGTTTTTTAATAGAATTTACCACATTACAGGAATAGACTATTTGAATTTCTTGTTTGATTTACCAGGGTTAATAATTTACTCTCCTACATTGTTGCATTTATTTCTCAAAGACAAAGGATATCCAATTCTATATGTCACTTTAGTATTACGCTTTTTTTGTTTTTTTGTTTTTTTTTGAGGTAGAGTTTCACTCTGTCGCCAGGCTGGAGTGCAGTGGCACAATCTCAGCTCACTTCAATCTCTGCCTCCCAGGATCAAGTGATTATCTTGCCTCAGCCACCTGAGTAGCTGGGATTATAGGCGCACGCCACCATGTCTAGCTAATTTTTGTGTTTTTAGTACAGATGGGGTTTCACCATGTTGGCCAGGATGATCTCAATCTCCTGACCTTGTGATCCACCCACCTTGGCCTCCAAAAGTGCAGGGATTTAGTATTATACTTTTTAAAAGAAATTAAAGGGTACATTTTCAGCCAGAATATTTCAATAGTATTTTTATTTTGAATGGATAAATAATAAGCTATTGGGATTTATAAATTTCATATTTGAGTAATTGTTAACAACTTGAGGATCTGTTGCTGTTATTTGTATTTTTTTAGTGTGTATTTTTTCTTCCTTTTTGGTCATGGTAAAAATAAACATAAAACTTAACTGATTTTAAGTGCACAATTCAGTGGCATTAAGTTCATTTGCACTATTGTGCTACTGTTAACAAACATCCATCCACAGAACTCTTTTTATCTTGCAAAGCTGAAACTCTGTACCTATTACATAATAACTCTGGGCCTGGCGTGGTGGCTCACGCCTGTAATCCCAGCACTTTGGGAGGCTGAGGTGGGTGGATCACCTGAGGTCAGGAATTTGAGACCAGCCGGGCCAACATGGTGAAACCCCATCTCTACTAATAATACAAAAATCAGCTGGGCATGGTGTCTCATGCCTGTAATCCCAGCTATTCCGGAGGCTGAGGCAGGAGAATCGCTTGAACCCAGGAGGTGGAGGTTGCAGTGAGCCAAGATTGTGCCACTGCACTCCAGCTTGGGTGACAAGAGCGAAAGTTTGTCTCAAAATAATAATAATAACTCTGGCCAAGGTGGGGCTGAAAGTCCCAGTCCTCTAATCCTGCCTTAGTCTTTCAGGTGACCAGCCTTCATCCTGTGGCTATGTAGGGGCCCTCGGCTATTTGTCATCTCTTTAGCATATGAAGACATTTTTACCACTCTGGAGATTCCAAGAGTTTAGGGAGCTGCATGCCAGGGAATGGGGACAAAGACCAAATATAGGCCTGACATAGTAGCTCATGCCTATAATCCCAACACCTTGAGAGACTGAGGCAGGAGAATCGCTTGAGACCAGAGTTTGAGACCAGTCTGGGCAACCTAGGAAGATCCTGTCTGCACACACACACAGCCACGCACACATGCACACAAGTCCTGGGCAAACCTAGCAAGATCCTGTCTAGACACACACACACACACACACACACACCACACACACCACACACACACACGTTTCCACTTTCCCCAATCCCCTGGCAACCACCATTCTACTTTCTGTCTCTATGAGTTTGACTCATAGAGCACTCATGCTGTGCACCGATTATTAGGTATTTCATATAAGTGGAATCATACAATATTTATCCTTTTGTGACTGGCTTATTTAATGTAGCTTAATGTCCTCAAGGTGCCATCTGTGTTGTAGCATGTTAGAATTTCCTTCCTTTTTAAGGCTGAGTAATATGAATAATATTCCATTATATGTGTATCTACTACATTTTGCTTATCCATTCATCAATGGACATTTGTGTTGCCTTCAACTTTTGGCTGTTGAGAATAATAATAATGCCATGAACATGCATATGCAAATATCTCTCTGAGGCCCCCTTTTAGTTCTTATTTTTGTCAACCCCAGAATTGGAATTTCTGGATCATACGGTCATCCTATTTGTAATTTTCTGAGGAACCTTCACACTGTTCTCCATAGCAGCTGTACCATTTTACATTTCCACCAATAGTGCAGGGTTTCAGTTTTTCTGCATCCTTGCCAAAACTTGTTATTTTCTGGATTTTGTGAGACTAGCCATCCTAATGGGTATGAGGTGGTATTTCCCTGTAGGTTTAATTTACATTTTTCTAATGATGAGTGATGTTGAGCATCTTTTTTATGTGCTTATTGGGCATTTTTATGTCTTTTTTGGAAAAATATTTTATTTGCCTATTATTTAATGGGGTGGTTTGGTTTTTTTGTTGTTGAGTTGTAGAAGTTCTTTACATATTCTGGATATTAACCTTTTATCATATACGTGATTTACAAATATTTTCTCCCATTCCGCAGGTTGCCTTTTTACTCTGTTAATGGTGTCTTTTGATGCATAGAAGTTTTTCTATTTTGATGTAGTCCAATTTGTCTATTTTTTTGTTGTCACCTATGTTTTTCATTTCATATCCAAGAAATCAATGCCAAATCCAGTGTCCTGAAGCTTTTTCCCTGTATTTTCTTGTAAGAATTTTATATTTTTAGAGCTTATATTTAGGCCTTTAATTGACTTTAGTTTGTTTTTATAGGTGGTATAAGACAGCGGTCTACTTTCATTCTTTAGCATGTGGATATTCAGTTTTCCGAGTATCATTTGTTGAAAAGACTGACCTTTCTGCATTGAATGGTCTTGCCACCCTTGTCAAAAAACATTTTACTGTATATGTGAGAGTTCATTTGTGGGCTCTCTCTATTCTATATGTCACTCTTTATGCCAATACCACACTGTTATGATTACCATAGTCTTGTAAGTTTTGAAATCAGGATTATAAGACTTCCATACTTCATTCTTTACGATTGTATTTTGACTTTTTATTAAATTCTTGTTTATTGTTAGCACCCTATAGATTAGGCTAATTTTTATAGGTAAGAAAGATAACAGCCTTTAAATGCAGCTTACCTTCTTTTCAAGGAATTCTTAGCTTTTAAATTTCATTTTGTTGTATGGATAAATAATCCTAGTCTGTCATTTCAGAATGACAATATCAGTTGTCATTATGGTTATCAATATGGCTACCAGATATTTCATTAACTCCATTCTCAAGATTGGAAAATTATATTTGGCTTAGCTGTCCTGGTGTTTTTGAAACATGAACTTGTCTATAGACTGTGTAATAGTTCAGAAAGTAAACCATGTATCTACTGTTGAAAGTATTATGTATTTTAAAATCTTATTTTTTGGATACCAGTCTTCTGGCATTCTTAAGAATGGCTTTGGATTTGGAAAAAATAATCAGCAAATCTTTAAAAGTGTAGATACGGTGAAAACAGCAAAGAAGAATCCCTAGAATACCTGATATACTTTATGTGGAAAATTTTAATAACTGTATAAGCGAAGATGTTATTAAAAGGAATGAAGTATTCAAATCAAACTGGTTTAAACAGTACAAGGAATGTATTGGCTCTGGGAATTAAAGAAAAGTCCAAGACTAGGAAGGGCTTCATGCATGGTTTTGTCTTGGTTCTCCAGCTTAGTTTCTCTGTTTCCAATTCAGCTTTGCCTTTCTCTTTCCTCTTGGCTTCATCAGTTCTAGGTCTGCCACATTTGCCACAATTCTATACCACCTAGAAGTTTTCTATTTTTTACTTAGAGTTTTCCTTCCTCAGTCACCAAATGAAATTCCTTTATCGATTAAGCCAAATTTAGAATTTTTCACCTGGAGTTTTTCTTCTTCAGTCATCAAATGAAAGTCCTTGGCTTTAATTGATTGAACCAGTTTAGGTCACATGTCCAGTCACTGTGATCAGGAAAATGCTGTGCACTGATTATTAGTTTAAATCTGGATTTTCTTCTCATCTCTAAGCTAAACATTAGGCAAGGAGGTTGGGAGTACACTGAGTGGGCTATTTAGAACTGATACTTGAAGCTGGAAAGTGGGCTTATTTCTACCCAAATTATATGGCTGTTGTACCATGGGAAAAGTGATGTAGAATAGATGTTGGATAGGTCTGTCATGTCTTTTTATTTTAAAAAGTTAAGAAAGAAAATTAGCAAGACAGAAGAGATAAGGAAAAAGACGCAAAACAAGATGGGGGAACTAAGTATATCCAAGATTGGACAGCAGTGAGGATTAAAGCAGCAGTAGTGGAGCAGCAAATTTGTGACAATACAGAAGAAGCTAGTGAGCAATGAAGAAAGAAAAAAAATGCAGTATCCATAGTAGACACTTTGGTCCTAAAGCTCTTGAAGGCTCTATCTTCGGTATACTGTATGGGCTATTGACTCATTTAAAATGCTTTCAGTTCCAAATAACAGGAAACACAACTCAGAGGGTCTCAAACAGTTAAGAGGATTTATTAGCTCATACAACTAAAAAAATACACAGAGGTAGGTCAGCCTTAAGGTCTTTCATAAAGAGGTTGTTGGTGTCATCAAGCTTTGGCTTTATTTCTTTGCAATTCTCTCTTCTATGTACCTTACTAATAATTAAGCTCAGATTGTGGTGGTTCCATGTACTAATTGGACTAGCTTAGATCCTTTTGTTGATTTTGGAGACCCGAAGTTAGAGTCTGCTTCCCTAGAACCATGTAGATTCCAAAAAAACTAACCAAGCGTTTTGAGAAAGGGAGAAACAGTTGTAAGACTGCAACTGTGAATGTTAAAATAGGCAAGCAGTCCTTTATTTCTTAATTGTCCATAAAGACATTAGTTTACATAAATTTACTCTTCATTTGCCTAGCTTTCAATATTTACTGAGCACCTCCTATTTGCCAGGCACTATTCTAGGCATTAGGATTACAGTGTCATGGAATGGAGCTGACATTCTAATAGAAGGAGACCTAGAATAAACAAAGATAATTGTACATAATGATAAATGGGTTTTTTTGTTTTTTGTTTTTATTTTTTTACAAAAACTGGATAATGGGATAGAGTTGCTGGGTGGAGATTCAGGGAAGGCCTCTGAGGAAGTGACCACTGGAGCCAGAACCTCAGTGATGAGAAGGAAATATGTGCAAAGATCAAGGTGAAAAGCATTCCGGATAGAGGAAACAGCAGAGGCACTGAGGTGGGAACAATCCTGGAATGAGGGAAGAGTAGAAAGAGAACTAGAATGTCTGGAGAGTAGTGAATAAGTGAGAGAAGATACGAGAAAAGGAGAAAGAGAGGTAGGGGCTAGGCATGGTAAGTAACACAGATTCCTTTTCTTTTAGACAGGCATATCAATGTATATGATTCTCTGATGGGCAAGTTATGTTTAGTGTAACCTTTTTAAGAGGTCAGAGAAATATGCAACATATTTTAGGGAGATTTCCATTTTAAAAATTAGTTAAAATATAGGAAGTTTATTTCTAAGCTTTAGTGAACCCATTTCTCCTGGCCAGTTCTTTTTCACATCACTTTTCCTATGTAATAAAAGATCGGTAGAAATTCTGATATACATGACTTTGACTCATTTATGATTATAGATGTCCAAAATTACATGCACAGAATTCTCTTTTGGGAACTTCAGGTAAGAGACATTTTACGTCCCTTAAAAGTGTGTCCTATTTTCTTGTAGGCAACATTAAATATCATTCACAGTGTTGTTCTCTCAGTTCTTGACAAAAACCAAAGGACTAGAGAATTGGAAGAGATTTCACAACAGAAGAATGCTGCAAAAGATAATTCACTGGACACAGAGGTGGCTTATTTAATCCATGAAGGCATGTTTATAAGTGATGCATTCGGTGAGGGTGAGCTAACACCTATAGCAGTTGACACTACCTCTCAAAGAAATGCATCTCCAAATAGTGAGCCCTGCAGCAGTGATTCTGTATCCGAGCCAGAATGTACTACTGATTCTTCATCCAGCAAAGAGCACACATCATCATCTGCTATTCCAGGAGGTGTGGATATTATGTGAGTATAGTGGCTACTGCCAAATTGACAAGATTTTGAGTCATCTTATTAATGGATTCAGTAAGATTGATTATTCAGTTTATTGAAAAACCATGTAAATTTTAGAATTTAACAAAAATATATTAATTTTATGAAACGTATCTCTATAAAAATGTATGAGAAGTAAGGAGGTGAGCATTGGAAGTAATTGAAAATTATAGAGTTTTAAGATTGCAAAAGAACTTTAAAGACCATTTTATTAAATGCCCTCATTTCAGTGATAAGGTAATTGATGCCCAGAGAGCTTAGATGACTTGCTTACAGTGACTAGTGGCAGAACATATACTGGAACCCAGGTCAGTTTTTGCTTTGGTCATTTTTCTTTCTTCTGTGTCACCTTTGTGATTTATATGTTGTGAAGATCTGTTTGATTTATAACTTTTGGTTTTTCAAAGACATGAATTTCCAAATGGATCACATCTTCTCTTAAACCTTATTTTAAAAACTTCTTATTTTGAAATAATTTCAAATTTACAGAAAAGTTACCAGAATAGAACAAAAAACTCTCATATAACCTTCATCCAGATTCCCCAGGTGTTAATACTTTACCACATTGCACTCTGCCTCCCTCCCTCTCTTTTTCTCTTTCTGTCTCCTTTTGTCTTTATCTCTTATGTTAATATTTTTTCTGAATCCTTTGACAGTAGGTTACAGACATGATGCACTATTATCCCTGGATACCTGGTGTATATTTCCTAAACACAAGAACACTCCTATATAACCTTAGTATACTGATTAAATACAAGGAAACATTGATACAATAAATTATTAATATTACTGTCTGATCCACAGATCCCATTTAAACAAAGTTTACCAATTGACCCAGTAATCTCCGTTATCAAAAAAATAGAACCAATAAAATATTTCTGGTCCAAGAATAGTTTGGATTTAGTTATTGTTAAGAATAACAATATTTTTATTATCTTTATATAAATCAACTCAGTACTTTATTATTACTTCTTTTTCTGTTTTTTTTTTTTTATACTTTAAGTTCTGGGTTACATGTGCAGAAAGTGCAGTTTTGTTACATAGGTATACATGTGCCATGGTGGTTTGCTGCACCCATCAGCCCATCACCTACATTAGGTATTTCTCCTAATGTTATCCCTCCCCTAGCCCTCCACCCTTCACAGGCCCTGGTGTGTGATGTTCCCCTCCCTGTGTCCACGTGTTCTCATTGTTCAGCTCCCACTTATGAGTGAGAACATGCAGTGTTTGGTTTTCTGATCTTGTGATAGTTTGCTGAGAATGATGGTTTCCAGCTTCATCCATGTCCCTGCAAAGGACATGAACTCATCCTTTTTTATGGCTGCATAGTATTCCACGGTGTATATGTGCCACATTATCTTAATCCAGTCTATCATTGATGAACCTTTGGGTTGGTTCCAAGTCTTTGCTATTGTGAATAGTCCCCACAGTAAACATACGTGTGCATGTGTCTTCATCGTAGAATCATTTATAATCCTTTGGGTATATGCCCAGTAATGGGATGTCTGGGTCAAATGGTATTTCTAGTTCTAGATCCTTGAAGAATCGCCACACTGTCTTCCACAATGGTTGAACTAATTAACACTCCCACCAACAGTGTAAATGCATTTCTATTTCTCCACATCCTCTCCAGCATCTGTTGTTTCCTGATTTTGTAGTGATCGCCATTCTAACTGGAGTGAGATGGTATCTCACTGTGGTTTTGATTTGCATTTCTCTAATGACCAGTGATGATGAGCATTTTTTCATATGTCTTTTGGCCACATAAATGTCCTCTTTTGAGAAGTGTCTGTTCATATCCTTTGCCCACTTTTTGATGGGGTTGTTTGCTTTTTTCTTGTAAATTTGTTTAAGTTCTTTGTAGATTCTGGATATTAGCCCTTTGTCAGATGAGTAGATTGCAAAAATTTTCTCCCATTCTGTAGGTTGCCTGTTCACTCTGATGATAGTTTCTTTTGCTGTGCAGAAGCTCTTCCGTTTAATTAGATCCCATTTGTCAATTTTGCCTTTTGTTGCCATTGCTTTTGGTGTTTTAGACATGAAGTCTTTGCCCATGCCTATGTCCTGAATGGTATTGCCCAGGTTTTCTTCTAGGAGTTTTATGGTCCTAGGTCTTACGTTTAAGTCTTTGATCCATCTTGAGTTGATTTTTGTATATGGTGTAAGGAAGGGGTCCAGTTTCAGTTTTCTGCATATGGCTAGCCAGTTTTCCCAACACCATTTATCAAATAGGGAATCTTTTCCCCATTGCTTGTATGTGTCAGGTTTGTCAAAGATCAGATGGTTGTAGATGTGTGGTATTATTTCTGAGGCCTCTGTTCTGTTCCATTGGTCTATATATCTGTTTTGGTACCGGTATCATGTTGTTTTGATTATTGTAGCCTTGTAGTATAGTTTGACGTCAGGTAGCATGATGCCTCCAGCTTTGTTCTTCTTGCCCAGGATTGTCTTGGCTATGCGGGCTCTTTTTTGGTTCCATTAGTAGTTTTTTTCATTTCTGTGAAGAAAGTCAGTGGTAGCTTGATGGGGATGGCATTGAATCTATAAATTACTTTTGGCAGTAAGGCCATTTTCACAATATTGATTCTTCTTATCCATGAGCATGGAATGTTTTTCCATTTGTTTGTGTCCTCTCTTATTTCCTTGAGCAGTGGTTTGTAGTTCTCCTTGAAGAGGTCCTTCACATCCCTTGTAAGTTGGATTCCTAGGTATTTTATTCTCTTTGTAGCAATTGTGAATGGGAGTTCGCTCATGATTTGGCTCTCTGTTTGTCTGTTATTGGTGTATAGAAATGCTTGTGATTTTTGCACATTGATTTTGTATCCTGAGACTTTGCTGAAGTTGCTTATCAGCTTAAGGAGATTTTGGGCTGAGATGATGGGGTTTTCTAAATATACAATCATGTCATCTACAAACAGAGACAATTTGACTTCCTCTTTTCCACATTGAATACCCTTTATTTTTTTCTCTTGCCTGATTGCCCTGGCCAGAACTTCCAATACTATATTGAATAGGAGTGGTGAGAAAGGGCATCTGTGTCTTGTGCCGGTTTTCAAAGTGAATGCTTCCAGTTTTTGCCCAGTCAGTATTATATTGGCTGTGGGTTTGTCATAAATAGCTCTTACTATTTTGAGATATGTTCCATCAATACCTAGTTTATTGAGAGTTTTTAGCATGAAAGGCTGTTGAATTTTTTCAAAGGCCTTTTCTGCATCTATTGAGATAATCATGTGGTTTTTGTCATTGGTTCTGCTTATGTGATGGATTACATTTATTGATTTATGAATGTCAAACCAGCCTTGCATCCCAGGGATGAAGCTGACTTGATCTTGGTGGATAAGCTTTTCGATGTGCTGCTGGATTCGGTTTGCCGGTATTTTGTTGAGGATTTTCTCATCGATGTTCATCAGGGATATTGGCCTAAAATTCTCTTTTTTTGTTGTGTCTCTTCCAGGCTTTGGTATCAGGATAATGCTGGCCTCATAAAATGAGTTAGGGTGGATTCCCTCTTTTTCTATTGATTGGAATAGTTTCAGAAGGAATGGTACTAGCTCTTCCTCGTACCTCTGGTAGAATTCAGCTGTGAATCTGTCTGGTCCTGAACTTTTTTTGGTTGGTAGGCTATTAATTATTGCCTCAATTTCAGAACCTGTTACTGGTCTATTCAGAGATTCAACTTCTTCCTGGTTTAGTCTTGGGAGGGTGCATATGTCGAGGAATTTATCCATTTCTTCTAGATTTTCTAGTTTATTTGTGTAGAGGTGTTTGTAGTATTCTCTGATGGTAGTTTGTATTTCTGTGGGGTTGGTGGTGATATCCCCTTTATCATTTTTTATTGTGTCTATTTGATTTTTCTTTCTCTTCTTATTAGTCTTGCTAGATCAATTTTGTTGATCTTTTCAAAAAACCAGCTCCTGGATTCATTGATTTTTTTTTTTTTGAAGGGTTTTTTATGTCTCTGTGTCCTTCAGTTCTGCTCTGATCTTAGTTATTTCTTGCCTTCTGCTAGCTTTTGAATGTGTTTGCTCTTGCTTCTCTAGTTCTTTTAATTGTGATGTTAGGGTGTTGATTTTAGATCTCTCCTGCTTTCTCTTGTGGGCATTTACTGCTATAAATTTCCCTCTACACACTGCTTTAAATGTGTCCCAGAGATTCTGGTACGTTGTGTCTTTGTTCTCATTGGTTTCAAAGAACATCTTTGTTTCTGCCTTCATTTTGTTATTTACCCAGTAGTCATTCAGGAGCAGGTTGTTCAGTTTCCATGTAGTTGAGTGGTTTTGATTGAGATTCTTAATCCTGAGTTCTAATTTGATTGCAGTGTGGTCTGAGAGACAGTTTGTTGTGATTTCTGTTCTTTTACATTTGCTGAGGAGTGCTTTAGTTCGAGTTATGTGGTCAATTTTAGAATAAGTGTGATGTGGTGCTGAGAAGAATGTATATTCTGTTGATTTGGGGTGGAGAGTTCTGCAGATGTCTATTAGGTCCGTTTGGTCCAGAGCTGAGTTCAAGTCCTGGATATCCTTGTTAATTTTCTGTCGTGTTGATCTAATATTGACAGTGGGGTATTAACGTCTCCCATTATTATTGTGTGGGAGTGTAAGTCTCTTTGTAGGTCTCTAAGGACTTGCTTTATGAATCTGGGTGCTCCTGTATTGGTTGTATATATATTTAGGATAGTTAGTTCTTCTTGTTGAATTGATCCCTTTACCATTATATAATGGTCTTCTTTGTGTCTTTTGATTTTTGTTGGTTTAAAGTCTGTTTCGTCAGAGACCAAGATTGCAACCCCTGCTTTTTTTTTTTTTTTTTGCTTTCCATTTGCTTGGTAGATCTTCCTCCATCCCTTTATTTTGAGCCTATGTGTGTCTTTGCATGTGAGATGGGTCTCCTGAATGTAGCACACCGATGGGTCTTGACTCTTTATCCAGTTTGCCAGTCTGTGTCTTTTAATTGGGGCATTTAGCCCATTTACATTTAAGGTTAATATTGTTATGTGTGAATTTGATCCTGTCATTATGATGCTAGCTGGTTATTTCGCCCACTAATTGATGCAGTTTCTTCCTAGCATTGATGGTCTTTACAATTTGGCCTGTTTTTGCAGTGTCTGGTACCAGTTGTTCCTTTCCATGTTTAGTGCTTCCTTCAGGAGCTCTTGTAAGGCAGGCCTGGTGGTGACAAAAATCTCTCAGCATTTGCTTGTCTGTAAAGGCTTTTATTTCTCCTTCACTTATGAAGCTTAGTTTGGCTGGATATGAAATTCTGGGTTGAAAATTCTTTAAGAATGTTGAATCTTGGCCCCCACTCTCTTCTGGCTTCTAGGATTTCTGCAGAGACATCCGCTGTTAGTCTGATGGGCTTCCCTTTGTGGGTAACCTGACCTTTCTCTCTGGCTGCCCTTAACATTTTTTCCTTCATTTCACCCTTGGTGAATCCGACAATTATGTGTCTTGGGGTTGTTCTTCTCAAGAAGTATCTTTGTGGTGTTCTCTGTATTTCCTGAATGTGAATGTTGGCCTGCCTTGCTAGGTTGGGGAAGTTCTGCTGGATAGTATCCTGAAGAGTGTTTTCTAACTTGGTTCCACTCTTCCCATCACTTTCAGGTACACCAATCAAACGTAGATTTGGTCTTTTCACATAGTCCCATATTTCTTGGAGGCTTTATTCATTTCTTTTCACTCTTTTTTCTCTAATCTTGTCTTCTCGCTTTATTTCACTAATTTGATCTTCAGTCACTGATACCCTTTCTTCCACTTGATTGAATCGGCTATTGAAGCTTGTGTATGCTTCACAAAGTTCTTGTACTGTGGTTCTCAGCTCCATCAGGTCATTTAAGCTTTTCTCTAGACTGGTTATTCTAGTTAGCCACTCATCTAATCTTCTTTCAAGGTTTTTAGCTCCCTTGCAATGGGCTAGAACATGCTCCTTTAGCTCAGAGAAGTTTGTTATTACCGACCTTCTGAAGCCTACTTCCGTCAGCTCGTCTAACTCATTCTCCGTCCAGTTTTGTTCCCTTGCTGGTGAGGATTTGTGTTCCTTTGGAGGAGAAGAGGTATTCTGGCTTTTGGAGTCTTCAGCATTTCTACTCTGGTTTCTCCCCATCTTTTTGGTTTTACCTACCTTTGGTCTTTGATGTTGGTGACCTGTCGATGGGATTTTGGTGTGGATGTTCTTTTTGTTGATGTTGATGCTATTCCTTTGTTTGTTAATTTTCCTTCCAACAGTCACATCCCTCAACTGCAGGTGTGTTGGAGTTTGCTGGAGGTCCACTCCAGACCCTGTTTGTCTGGGTATCACCAGCAGAGGCTGCAGAACAGCAAATATTGCTGCCTGATCCTTCCCTTGCAAGCTTCACAGAGGGGCACCCACCTGTATGAGGTGTCTGTCGGCCCCCTACTGGGAGGTGTCTCCCAGTCAGGCTGCACGGGGGTCAGGGATCCACTTGAGGAGGCAGTCTGTCCGTTATCAGAGCTCGAACACTGTGCTGGGAGAACCACAGCTCTCTTCAGAGCTCTCAGGCAGGGATGTTTAAGTCTGGAGAAGCTGTCTGCTGCCTTTTGTTCAGCTGTGCCCTCCCCAGGGAGGTGGAATCCAGAGAGGCAGTAGGCATTGCTGAGCTGCGGTGTGCTCTGCCCAGTTTGAGCTTCCCTGCTGCTTTGTTTACACTCTGAGCATAGAACTGCCTACTCAAGCCTCAGCAATGGCAGACGCCTCTCCCCCCACCAAGCTCTCACATCCCAGGTGGATCTCAGACTCCTGTGCTACCAGTGAGCAAGGCTCCGTGGGTGTGGGACCCACCGAGCCAGGCACGGGAGGGGATCTCCTGGTCTGCCTGTTGCAAAGACCATAGGAAAAGCACAGTATTTGGGCAGGAGTGTACCACTTCTCCAGGTGCAGTTACTCACAGCTTCCCTTGGCTAGGAAAGGGAAATCCCCCGACCCCTTGTGCTTCCCAGGTGAGGCGATGCCCCGCCCTGCTTCAGCGCACCCTCCATGGGCTGCACCCACTGTCCATCCAGTCCCAATGAGATGAACCAGGTACCTCAGTTGGAAATGCAGAGATCACCCGTCTTCTGCGTCGATCTCGCTGGGAGCTGTAGACAAGAGCTGTTCCTATTCAGCCATCTTGGGAGCGACCGGTCAGCTCAGTACTTTATGTAAATCAACTTATGGTCCTGGAGCTTATAAAGGTCACAGTTACAGCATAAAGTCAGCTATAACACTGCTCTTCAGTACAAACAAACCAAACCCTGAGCTATATATTAATAAAGTTTCTTCTGTGTTCAGGCTGATATTTTCACATTTACTAGTTAGGGTGCAGTCTAAAACTGCTATAAAAAGAGATGTAAAAACTCTGTAGCTTAAACAATGTAAAATTTTATTTCTCTCATGTAACATTTCAGAGGTAGGAGATGGTCAGCTGAGAAGACAGTTCTACCATTCTCATGTGTAGTTTTCATCTGTGTCTAAGGTGGCTGTTCTGGCTTTTAGCATTTCATTTTCATCCGTAGCAGCAGGAAGGAGAGGACAAAGGGCTGATACCTTGCTTACTTTGTTTTGCTTGTTAAACATTTTAACAACAGCCATGTAATTTGGGTAGAACTAAGCCCACCTTCCATCTTCAAGTATCATTTGTATTCATCTTCCTCTCAGCCCTTTTATGATCCATTTGGAACATAAGGCACATATGGGAAAATGTAGCAATTATAAAGTGCTCAGCTCAATTAACTAGCACAAAGTGAATGTGTTGGTGTAATTGTCACCCCCCTCAAGAACTATAACTTTACCAGCTCTTCAGAAGCCCCTCTTGCTGCTGTAATACTACACTACTCCTTCCCATAGGAAACCATTAAAACAATTGGTTTTTCCAGTTTTTAAACTTTATGTTAATGGAATAATATATTTGCTCTTTTGTCTCTGATTTCTTTCGTTCAGCATTACAGTTGTGATATCTATCCAGGTTGTTACATGTAGCAGTGATTTTATTTTTTGTGTACAAATAATCCATTTTATGATACACCACAATGTATGTATGTATTTTACTTTTGATAAGATTTGGGTTATTTTCATTTTGGATTGTCACGAACATTCTTCTAGATACCTTTGTTGCACATGTTACAAGCATTGCTGTTGAATATATACCTGGAAACAAAGTATGTGAATGGTCAATTTAGCTAATGCCTAACAATTTCTCAAAGTGGTTGTACTCATTTATGCTCCCCTCAGAAGTGTGGAGCAGTTTGTGTCACTCCACATCTTCCTTCACTCTTAATATTGCCAGTCTTTTACATGTTAGCCATTCTGTTGGGTATGTTGCAAGTGTAGTAATTTTATTTCCCTGATGATTGTTAGGAGAGCACCTTTTCATACATTCATTGGCTTCTGGGATGTCCTTTTCTATGAAGTGCCTATTCAAGGCCTTTACCCATTTTTCTGTTGGTTTGTCTTGATCTGTGAAGGTTGTTTATATTATGTCAGCACAAACCTTTTGCCAGTTGTCCATATTGCAGATATCTTCTCCCACTTTCTGTATTGACTTTTCACTCTTATTGGGTTTTTTGGTGAACAAAAGTTCTTAATATAATTCTATGATTCATTACTTTCCTTTATGATTTATGCTTCTTTGTGTCCTGTTTAAGAAATCTTTCTCTACCTTAAAGACTTGAAGATGTTTTCTGGTTACTGTCTAGAAACTTTGTTACTGTCTTTTTCACATTAAGACCTACAATCCATCTAGAATTGATTTTTATGTTTAGTATGAGGGTTAAGATTTTTTTCCCATATGGATATGTTTTTGACCTTGCACCATTTATTGAAAAGGCTGTCTTTCCTACTGCTCTATAATGTCACTCTTGACATAAATCAAATATTCAGATAGGCGTATCTGTTTCTGGACTCTATTTCGTTCATTTTTCTGTCTTTACACCAGTACCATTAAGTAAAATTGTCATAGTTACTGTAGTTACGATAGCTTTTGTTTTCTTAAACAATTAGTTTGTAGAGATGGGGTCTTACTATGTTGCCCAGGCTGGTCACTCCTGGCCTCAAGTGATCCTCCTGTCTCAACCTCCCAGAGTGCTAGGCGTGAACCACCATGCCCAGCAACTGTAGCTTTTTAATCCATATTAATATCTGGGAGATTAATTTCTCCCAATTTTTCTTCTTTAGGATTGCCTCAACTCTTCTTGGTCTTTTACAAATCCATATACATTTTAGATTTCTTAGTTCTCTGTTACCTTCATGTAGATTTGTTTATATTTTATTCTTTCTTTTTAAAAACAAGCACAATCCAGAATTCACACTTATTACTTCCACTCACATCCTAGTGGCCAGAATAATTACATGACTATGTCTAGCTATAAGGGAAGCTTGAGAAATAAGTCTTTAGCTTGTGGACTATTTGCCCAGCTAGAGCTGTCATTGTGGCAAAAGAGAGAACAGATACTGAAAGATAGTTAGCTTTCTGCCACACCATTTGAGATCCTTTTAAACTGGATGCAGTCTCACAGTTTTTATCCTTCCCCTCCTACCTCCATTGTGGCTCACTTTATACATTGAACCTTCTCTGGCTTTCCCCAATTGCATCCTCCTACAGCATGAAGCATAGGTTCTGTAGATGGTTCTTTCTATGTTCAGTAGACACATAAATGTCTGGGAACTACCCAACCCAAAGGGGCAATGAATTGAGTATACTTATATGTGTGAGTCTAACTAGTTCTTTCATACAACGGCTCTGACTATTCCTGTAGCAAGTGTTTTTGTGGTATATAATTGAATCACTGATATAGAACATGCAAAAATACGTCTGACGTTCTAACTTTGTTAGTGGTAGATTTTCCCTATTTTCTTACTTCAAAATAACCTGCAATTTTGTAAGTTTATTGCAATGCAAATAAGGCACAGAATAGGAAATACTTTTCTAGGCAGGAAATAGGAAGAGAAAAACAATGGAAAATATTAGAGTTGCAGAGCATAATGTCCTCAAGTTTCATCCATGTTGAAGCATATATCAAAATTTTCTTCCTTTTTAAGGCTGAATAATATTCCATTCACATGTATGTGATATATACATACAAGATGTATATGTATATATCACATTTTGTTTATCTGTTCATCCATTAGTGGACACTTGGGTTGCTTCCACGTCTTGGCTATTTTGAATAGTGCTGTTATGAACTTGAGTGTACATATAAATCCTAGAGATCTTACTTTGTTATTTTGGATATATACCCAGAAGTAGAATTGCTGGATTATGTTTGAATTCGTTTGTTTTTTCCCTATTGACGTGAAAGTTAGAGATCTAACTGAAGTTAAAAAATAATTTTTTTTTCTTTTTTTTTTTCCTCACTCCTTTGCCCAGGCTGGAGTGCAGTGGTGCGATCTCGGCTCACTGCAAGCTCTGCCTACCGGGTTCACACCATTCTCCTGCCTCAGCCTCCCAAGTAGCTGGGACTACAGGCGCCTGCCACCACGCCTGGCTAATTTTTTTGCGTTTTTAGTAGAGACGGGGTTTCACCATGTGTTAGCCAGGATGATCTCGGTCTCCTGACCTCATGATCTGCCCGCCTCGGCCTTCCAAAGTGCTGGGATTACAGGCGTGAGCCACCGCGCCCCAGCCCCAAAAAATCTTTTTAAGAGCAGAATTACAATGAATGAAATTATTTTAAAAAACTAACTTTGGGCTTTTTGGATTAATTCACTCTTTTTTTTTTTTTAAGGACTTGAGTTGTTTTTATTTGCTATTTTCTGTTTATATTTTTGTGAATTGGTAGGATATTGCCAAGAGTTTCAAATTCCTTAATCATTCTGTTACATGGGGGAAATTTTAAGTAATGTTTCAGGAATTAAAAATTTACTTCAGTAGTAAAGTTGACTTTGAAATTTAAGCAAGAATTTTGCAGGTATCCTGTTTTGAAATACTACTAGACTGTTTATATAGAAATGTCGGAGCAGAGGAAGCTTAATCGATTAGAAGTAGACTAAGTCTAGGTTCTAGTTCTACTCTCTTAATATTCTAACCTTGGATAGGTCACTTTAACTTTCTAAGATTCAGTGTTCTCCTCCATAGGTGGTTATTTATCTACCTACCTCAGAGTGTGAGAATGAAACGAGATAATGTTTCTGCGAGTACTTTAAGAATATTAATTCTTCTGTTATTTTGAAGCATTAGTAAACAAATTTGGTGATATTATGATTTTGAAGGATAGCAGGTAATAACCTTCTTTAATACCATAACCAATTAGAATGGTAGTTTGCCTCAAAGTAATATACACCAGAGCCTCTTTGTAGTATCTTTGAAAAGTATTTTAATTCAACTGAAAGAGAGAAAAATGAGGTTAAGGTACTTCACTTGGCTCATGGTAACACTAAACTGAACTGATGGCATGGAATCATTGGTCTTTATATATGCCCCTGGGGGAAAATGTTTAAAAATAGAAAGTTTTACATTCCCCCTCAAAATTGAAAAAAAGCACATTATGTCTTATAAATACTCCTCTTTGAGTTTAGGTTCCTTGAAAGCAGCAACCTATTATATTCCCTCTAGTGCCTAGCGCTTAAGCATGGTAAATGCTTAGTAAATATTAGTTCAGTTGAACTGAATATTTATACTCATTCATAATTATAAGTAAAAAGAGAGCCTGTTTGTCATGAAATAACATTCCTTCCCTCTTCTTGCTTCCACTGTATCATCCTAGGTGCCTATGCACAACTGTCCCCTGACATAGCTACTACCTTGTACCTAATCTAAAAATTTAATTTTGCTATAGTTTCTGCAGACTTTCCAATTGGAGTCTGAACCAAGTGTTGAAAATACTACAGTGGAGAATGAAAATTCTTATTTAAGGTTATGACAAAATACATTTGTGGATGGGCACAGTGGCTCACACTTGTAAATCCTAGCACTTTGGGAGGCTGAGGTGGGAGGATTGCTTGAGGCCAGGGATATTTGAGACCACCCTGGGCATTGTAGCAAGACTCTGTAGTCCCAGCTACTTGGGAGGCTGAGGTAGGGGGTTTGCTTGAGGCTAGGAGTTTGAGGTTTCAGTAAGCTCTGAATGTGCCACTGCACTCCAGCCTGGGTGACAGAGCAAGACCCTGTCTCAAAACAAATAATAATATAGATAATAGTTGTATTATCTGAGCATGTTTAAGTAATGTTTCACTATAAAAACTATAAGATATTTGGTACATCATAGAATTTTTCTTCAAATGTGAATTTTACAGCTTTTTCATCCTTTTTATTGATAGGTCACCTGTGGAGAATACTATGTTTACAACTTTCCCTGACTAAATCTTATTTTGTTATTTTCAGGGTCAGTGAAGATATGAAATTAACTGACTCAGAGCTAGGAAAGCTGGCAAATAATATCCAGGAATTATTATATAGTGCCTCAGATATATGCCATGATCGAGCTGTCAAATTTCTCATGTCAAGAGCAAAGGTAGCTATTTTCATAAAGCTTTATATATTTTATACGTAATAATTTTGAAGATCTGGAATTATGTCTTTGCTTCCTGTGTTCCCCATAATGCATATTATATTTTTAACATTTAATAAAGTCAGTGTTACCACTGATGTGGTCTACTAGGGAGATGTTGAGATATGAAGTAATCTAAAATAAATAGGAGTTATTAAAGCATTATTTTCAGATAAATGATTAAATGACATTTTGAAATATATGTTAATAACTAATTTGAAATTAATGTTGTTTTACATATATAGTAAGTCTATATATGTATACCTAAATATATGTAGTTAAACAAGTTTATAATAAAACTCCAACATTGTGAAAATTTTATAGTATGACCTAAATTCATTTGAACTACTATATTAGTTATAAAGGGATCAGAATCAAATTTGGACCTCTTAAGCATTTCATGCTCAATTTCTGGGTCTGAAGTATTGGGAAATATTATTAAAATAAAAAATATATAGATTATAATAATCGTTAAACTAACTTGGTTTCATAACTCAATTTGGTGTTACACTAACTCTCATGATTTTTGTATTAAAATTTAGGATGGTTTTCTTGAGAAGCTAAATTCCATGGAATTCATAACACTTTCTAGATTAATGGAAACATTCATTTTAGACACCGAACAGATCTGTGGAAGAAAAAGCACGTCATTACTTGGAGCACTTCAGAGCCAAGCTATTAAGTTTGTAAATAGGTTTCATGAAGAGAGAAAAACCAAGCTCAGGTATCATCACCATGTCCATTCTGTTGTTTGATTTTTTCATTTTTCTTTGTGAAACACAGTTATGTTTAAAAGAGGAAACCTAATTGGCCAGTGAAAATGCCTGATAAAGGTTTTTTTAATTAAAGGCAGATTGTGGAATTAAAATCACATTTCTTGGCTTTTCAAAGTGGAGTTAGAATGTTTACTTCTATTAAAGTACTTATCAGGAAGATCCTCAGTAAGTTGACTTTTGTTCCCACTCAAAGTTAAGTAAATTGTTTCATCATTCTTTTTGATTAGGCTGAGATATAAAAAGGGAACTATTTTCTAAGTATTGGTCCTGCTTATTAAAGTGTTCAGCACTTTTTAAGTCTTATGTTCTCACTCAGCTCTTCTTCCTTTTCTTTTAAACCAAGGAAGATGGTATTGAAATGTTAAAGTTTACCTTCTTTTCTCCTTACTGTGGACTAGCCTCCTCTTAGACAATGAGCGCTGGAAGCAAGCAGATGTTCCTGCAGAATTTCAGGATCTTGTTGATTCTCTGTCAGATGGGAAGATTGCTTTACCTGAAAAAAAATCAGGAGGTATGTGTATTCATTCACACATTCTCTTTCAATTTTATATTGTTTATTTATTTTGTATTAATGCTTAATATTTCTTTAGTTGACAATGCCTATTTCAAAGCTAGAACCAATATTTCCAGCTTAGTAAATACTTGACAGGAAAACTATGGTAATTTATAATAATTATTTCAAATATTTATTGCGTGTTATAACCATATGCCAGACACTGGACCATGTTCTTTACATGCATTACTCCAGTTCATTCTCACAACGATCTGTGATACAGGTACTATTGTTTCTTTGTGTAACAGTGAGGAGGCTTGAGGCTTAGAAGGGTTAAGGAATTTTTATACAAATGATGAGTTGGGATTTGAAACCAGCTTTATATAATTTCATAGCTATGTTCTTAGCTACTATACCGTATTGTTTACATACATGAATTGAGTAAGCGCTAGTTAGCTTCTACTTTGTGTCCTATATTGAGACAGAATTGAGACAGAGATAACAGCTGTATTTCTGCTTTAAAGAGGCTAAGTCTAATGAACAAAACCAAAAAATACATAAGCAATCACAAGTAATGTAGTTACATGATAGCGAAAATCCAAACGTAAAGAAAGAAAACCATGAAGGAGACAAAAAAGGAAGAACCAGAGAGGCAGGGAGAAATCTAGAACATAGAAGTAAAATGATGAGAGAGTTTTCATGTGGAAGAGATGGCTGGGAAATATTTTTGTACCCTAGTTCAGGTGGAGTCATCATGTGATAATAATGTAAATTTATTTATAATAGTCCTATAAGATTTACAATTATGAAATTCTTGAGTATTTCTAATAGAGAAGGTAGTTGAACTATTTCAGATTTTATGCATTTAATCAAAGTTTTAAATTGTATACTTCACATTCGCACAAAATGCAACTAGACTACAAGAGAAAGACTTGAGTAAAACACCAACAGTAACCATTAGTTTGATACATAGATCATTTGCAATCTCAGTAATTCAGTGGAGTGATAGTCAAATTGCAGTTCAGTGCTTAGTAACTGGAAAAGTGAGGAAGGGTAGACAAGTATAGCCTACTTTTTCAACAGATTTGGCATGCAGGAAAAGTGAGTGATGAAATAGTAGCTAAAGAAGTTAGAGAGAGAGGGTGATTTACAGGGCAAGGTGCATGGAATCGAATCTAGAGTTTAAGAGAAAGGCTACTACTTCTGCCCCTGTGACAAGGGGAAGAGGGTTAAGGACAAGTATAAAATAGATGAGTTGATATAGGGCAGAGAAAAATTGAAGGAATTAAGTAAATTTTTGTCATATGACAGTTTTTAATAGGTAATAGTGTTGGGTGGTAGAGTTTTCTACTTGATGGTATGATATTGGCACAACTAAAGCATTCAAGTAGCAAGAGCTGATGGAAAAATAAAACTCTGACCACTCCAAATCACTAGTTTAAAATTATAAGACTTATCACTCATCTAGTCTTTCAAGCTATATTTAATTGACTTCCCTCTATGTGAGGTGCTGTGCTAGATGACTAGGATATGTTTTCTGTCCCTGAACAGCTCATGGTCTTTTGATTCCACTGTTAAGCAAACAGAATGATTTCTGAATTAAAATCATAAATGTGGAATAATTGAATTACTCATGTGTTTTGTTTGAAACATGAACTACTTATTTTCACTTCTTTGGAGGATATTGATGGTAGGAGGTTTCTTTTACATACCTTGCTTCATCTCAGTCTTTGTTTTCCTCTCTGAATAGCATAGGTGTATGCTATTAGAAGTCCATTAACATTTTACTAGTTCTTTTCAAGTTAAGGATCCTGGATTATTACCCATTTATCCATGATAAATTAATTGGGTTACTATCCACTCAGCTAGGCATTGGGGAAATGAAGATTAATGGATAGCAGCTAATATTAATTGAGTGTTTACTTACACTGTTTTGTTCTAAGTATTTTACATGTGTTATCTCATTTACAGGTCCATGAGCTAGATATTATTAGTATTCCTATTTTACAAATTTAGAAACTAAGGCACAAAGAGGTTAAGCAACTTGTCTAAGGTTACATAGCTAGGAAGTGGTAGAGCTGGGATTCCAATCCAGGCAGACTGACTTTAGGGCCATTTCTCTTTTCTACGATGCTATGCCACTTCTCTGTAATATAGAGAAGTGATGAAGACACAGTCCTTAACCTCAAAAAATATACTTCTGACATACATAGTAAATTGTGATTGCAATATATATAGCTCTCAAATAGTCAAATATATTTACAAATCCTAAAGGGATTTGAAGCTTAGGGAAGCATAATGAGCTGCCCATGGTAATCTAATCAATTTGGCGTGTCCAGGATAAAATCCAGTCCACTGTTCTTTTCACCTCAATATGCTGAATTTTGTTTAAAGAAATATCACATGCTGAAAATAAAGTAACGTCTGGGTTGAAGTATTAAAAATTAAATATATAATCTTTCCATCAAATTTAGAAATTAACTTGTATTCTATAATGATAATAGTAAAGACAACCAATTTAAATGCTAGTTCTGCCTTTCCAAAACTAATAACTTTTTAAAAAACTATTTGCTGATCATTTACCTTGTGCCAGCCCTAAGGGATAGGCAGTTTGTGATAATTATTTCTACCATTAACAACAACCCTGAAAGATATTGTTGTTCACATTTAATAGATACAGATAGTGATACTCAAAGAGGTTAAATAATTGCCCCAAAGTCATGTATCCAGTAATTGGTAGTACTGGTACTCAAATCCAAATCTCTCCAACTTCCAGTATACTTTATTTACTGTGTGCCAAATAGTTTCCCAGGAAGTAGATGTTTATTTTCAGAAATGAGAGTTTTTGGCCTTAAACAGGAATTATCTTCTTCAGCTTTTTCTCTATTTTGTTTCGTCTGGTACTCTTGTCTCTCGTTTATTTGCTTAACTCTGTAGCCACAGAAGAAAGGAAACCAGCTGAAGTTCTTATTGTCGAGGGACAACAGTATGCAGTTGTTGGGTGAGTGACACATTTTTCTTTAGTAGTTGAGTCAACTATTTAAAACACAAGTCTTCTAGTTCTCCCTTGAAGTGAATTGGAAATTTTGGATTAACAGTTTTAACAGTGTTAAATTTGGATTAACTGTTTTAAATCCTGCAAAGAACTTAAAGGAAACTTTATGGATTTCTTTATCTTCTCTCTTCTGTAGCATACATTATTAAGGACTGCACTGGCTTAACACAAAAAGCTTGATTTTTCTCATATAACAAGAAATCTAGACAACCCAAGAGTAATTGTAGTGGATCCATGATATTATTGCTATCCCAGGCTCTTTCTATCTTTTCTTCTGTTGCTTTCTTAGAATGTATTATAGCATAATAGTTTAAGTTGTGAACTCTGGAACCCACACAATGTGGAAAATAGTACTATACACAGAATTATTGCGAAAATTAAGTAATTCATGTAAAGCATTTAGCACAGGTCTAGCACCTAATAAGTTGATAGTTGTTGGTAGTTATTCTCATTGGCATCATTTGATTCACTAGATCTTTTACCAATAAAAGTATCTCAAATTCAAGTTAACTAAGAAGCATACAAATTCCATCTTTTTTTGTCTAGTACTATGTCTTTTATTAAATTGGTAATTAAAATATATCTTCATATGCTTTAACAGTACTTCACAGCTTAAGTGTTTTCATATATATGTGATCTCATTTGATCTTTACAACTACATTGTAAAATAAAGATATTGGGGATTATTCTTTCCTTTTTCCACTATGAGAATTGAAGCTTAGAAGATTAAGTGGTTCAAGTGACCCAAATGGAGCCAGAATTCAAATCTAGGTCTAACTGCCAATATCTAGCCCAGCATTCTTTTTCACTTTTCTTCTTGTCAAGTGTTTTTTGAAATGACCACCACCTCCAGGAAGAATGTAATTCTATGTTCCTCAATCATGGCACTTACCGTAGTATAATAGAATTGTTTATTTATGTATATGTCTTCTAATTTGACTCTGAATTCCTCAAAGGTAGAGATGAGGTCTTACCGTTTTTATTTTTCTTGGCACCATAATAAGCACTCAAAAAGTATGTATAGAATTAATCCTTTTTCTGTATCTGTATTCAAATACCTGAAGTCCACACATTCTAAACTAAAGCCTCCATTCTTTTCTCTTCTGAAGTCCTTCCCTGTTTCTGGTAGGGAAAGCTTTCTTCAGTCTTCCTGTAATCCCATCCCTTCAATATAATTATGATTTCCCTCCTTAACTACTGGTTATCTGGTCACTCTTCACTTGCTTGATGGATATGGTCCCCTCTGGCCATCTTGCTTTTGGCTCTTTAGGCAGAGAGTCTGTTGCCAAAAAACTAAATTCCCTGGCTAAAGGGGAACTATTACAACTTCTGAGAGACAATTACAAAAGATAAGCAATGGACTCATGCTCATTTAGGCAGACTCTAGGAGAAATAAGCATAGAGACCAGTATGCATATATGGTCTGACAAGGTGTTATAAAGGCTAGACACCATCTTTCTTGAATCATTAGTTCCTGATATCTTTCAGGCTCTTATAAATCCTTATTTTACGTAGATCTTATTTCTGAGCATGTCATTGAACTTAGATATCCTATGATGAATGGCTTTCTCCTTAATTTCAATCTTCTTTAACTTCCCAGTAGTGTGTCTTTTTAACGTGTGATTTGTCCTTCTATGGAGGTGATAACTTTATCATCTTCGGAAAACTTTTTTTTTTTTTTTTTTTTTTTTTTTGAGACGGAGCTTTGCTCTTGTTGCCCAGGCTGGAGTGCCATGGCATGATCTCAGCTCACCACAACCTCCGGCTCCCAGGTTCAAACGATTCTCCTGCCTCAGCCTCCCCAGTAGCTGGGATTACAGATGTGCAGCACCACGCCCAGCTAATTTTGAATTTTTAATAGAGACAGGGTTTCTCCACTGTCAGGCTGGTCTTCTCCATTGTCAGGCTGGTCTCGAACTCCCGACCTCCAGTGATCTGCCTGCCTTGACCTCCCAAAGTGCTGGGATTACAGGTGTGAGCCACCGCGCCCAGCCAGAGAACCTTTTGTGACCTACCAATAAAATTCTTAGGAGACATGTTTTCCTTAGAAGCCATTATAGATTTTTTTTTTTTCCATCTCACTAAGAAAATCTGGACTAGGTTTTCTTCATCAATTCATTAGTTATGATGGAGGACCTACTATGTTGGTAATCAGAAACACTGGATAGGCTTTTTGTCAGTGTTTCTGAATTGGCTAATGAATGCAATACCTGTCTTACTGAAGCGACTCCCTTACTTAATAAGAATGCCATACAGAGAGTATTATGCCTGTTGTACAGAATTTAAGGAGCCACTCATTCTCAGTGTTGTGCAAGCTGATCCTGCAATTGCACAGAGTAAGAGCCTCTTTAAATTTTGCATTCTAGACACCTCTCTTGTCTTGTGTTAGTCAAGAACCTGCTGTACTAGTAGGTAAAATGCATACTTTAACATAGTTACCAAGGTCATTATATTCTCAGAGATCCTTTGTGCCATTAAGTAATTTGATTTTTATATGCCAAATCCTTTTGATTTTTCTTGTTTTGATTTCCTATTGGGCCATTTTTCTTTTCTTGTAGAACCGTATTGCTGTTAATAAGAATTATCCTTGAATATTGCCAGTGTGTGGATAACATCCCATCTGTTACTACTGACATGCTTACTCGTCTGTCAGATTTATTGAAGGTATGTATGACTTCACTCCATTATGGAAAAATTTTTCGAGGAATTAATACATTAGGGTGTGACTAATCTTAACTCAAAGACATTTCAAGGTCAAATTAACTTTAAGACATTAGTTTTATAACATTTGATTGTGGTTGAATCACAACATGTTATTGGAAACAGGCTGCCTGCTTCCTTCTTACTCCACAGTTAGTGATCCTCATTCACCCATAGAGTTGTTAATGACATTGGAGACAGGAGATGATTTGTTCGTTAGGTGCTGAACATGACTGAGGCCACTTAGGTCAAAAAACCTGGACTGGCTTCAAATGTGCATGGAAGGAATTCACTGAACTTTACAAAATTCATCTCACTAAGGTTAGAGATTTTTCTTGCATCATTCTTTCAGAACCATTGATATAAAATGAAAATGTGATGATTTTATTCAGCCATTTCATATTGAGATATTTTAAACTACCAGTACGGAGGAAATGCTTTATTATTTTTTTCAAACCTCTAATCTGTTAATTATGTTCTGACTTGAGTTGTCATGTTTTAGCCAAGACAGATTTTTATAACTTTTGAAAATAGGACTTCCCAACAAGAATGACTGAAACCGAATTTGTTTTGTACATGCAAATTAAAGATTAATTTCTGCGAACTGATTTTTAGAATTTTTCAACTTTTTTCTTATCAGTAAATATTATCATTTAGAATCTCCCCTTCTCATTTCTTTTTCATTAAATAAATAGATACTAATTGCTTCTACTAGATAATTCATTTGGCCATTGAATGAGAGGAAAGGGGAATGTATTTTTATAATAGCACATTGCCAGGATATAAAGAACAGTTTTTAGTAAATTTTGGGGTTTTTTTCTCCTTCTTTTGTTAGTACTTCAATTCAAGAAGTTGCCAGTTAGTTCTTGGAGCTGGTGCACTGCAAGTTGTTGGACTAAAAACGATAACTACAAAAAATTTGGGTATGGATTCTTGCGTTTAATTCACTTGCTGAAGTGTTAACAGTGATGTCACTGTTCTCATCATGTTTTTTTATACCTCATGTTTTCATGGCTCTAACCAAAGTGGCATTACTCTAAAAATAAATGCTACTTACTCTTTTATGTATACTCATCACTGAAAAAAACTAACCATGGGGAAAAGGTTACGATGCATTTCCCCTCCAAGTATAAGTTACTTGGAAGTTACACCACTCTAGAAAATATTAAGATATAATGTGTATAAAGTATTTGGGGGTGAAAGCTATCTGAATGTCATAAGAGAATCAGTTGTCTTGTTATTGTGATACTGATAATACTCACAACTTGAGTCCTTTGTGAAAGCAGCATGTTCATTACATTATTCAGTATCAAATTATTAGACAAAATGAAATATGTTGCCTTCTGCCATAGGGCTCTTCGTTTATGAAATAAACTGGTTCTTTATAAGTGATGTTTTTTATTTGATTTGATTTGTAATTAAAATCAACTAATACCTTTTTTTTTTTTATTTCTCCATTATATATCTACTCCCTGGATCTTCAGCTCTTTCTTCACGATGTTTGCAGTTAATTGTGCACTACATTCCTGTGATCCGGGCTCATTTTGAAGCTCGACTACCACCTAAGCAATATAGCATGCTTAGGCATTTTGATCATATCACTAAGGTACTTTTTCATATATTTTCTATTGGCGTTTCATAAGTTTAGATCCTTAATTGTTAAGTATTTTAAAAATGTGTCCCAGGGACTTAAAAATACAATTATCATTTCTCATTGCAGGACTACCATGATCACATAGCTGAAATATCAGCTAAGCTTGTAGCGATAATGGATAGCTTATTTGACAAGCTGTTATCTAAGGTAATGATTTATAGAAATTATTAGACTTTGTTCAAAGACATTATGATTTTCTATTTTATAAGGAGTACTTTATAAATTAAGATGTGAAAAGATAATCTAAACTTTCATAGGATATTTACCAATTAGTAGAATTTTAAATTTTTTTTCAGGAAAATGTGACCATGTGCTGTGACCAAGACCCCCCATAGTGGTCTAACCTGCAGTTATCTAACAAATTATTCAGGGTTTAGAAAACAACTCAACAAAATTTTCGGATTTCCAAAACAGTTGATATTCTAAGGGGCTGGCAGGAGTAGGAGAGATGATTCTAAGGATGGTAGAAATCCTATGCAGAAGTATTTTTATGTTAATTCATTTCAACATTCATTTCTTGTTTGTTTTTCATTCCCAATATGTCATTAAATGAAGCAGTGTTCCCCAAAGAATTCGCAGTTATACTGGGAGAGTATCTTCAGAAAAATATCATTTAGTCAGCCCCAATCACGCTTGATCTATCTTTCACTGTTTACTTTCCCTAAGTTTTTCAATTCACGTCTTAGTGGGAAAGCCAAAATTTCGTAACTTGAAAGTCTGAAAGTTTACTCAGTGTATACTGTCTGTCCAAGATCATATTTGGAATAACCTTAATAGCAAAGAACTTTGATTTGCTTTTTATCCTACTTGCATCCTTCAGATTCCGAAATGGCAGGAACAGCAGGTACATAAGAATCAAAAGGGCAAGATAAAGTGGTGTCCATTCACTCACACACAAGACTACCCAAACACATATTCTATTAGCCTTCAGAATAATGATATCACAAGTCATCTAAAAATCCCCACTGTTCAATCATGAGAGAATGAGAGTAAAATAGATAAATAGCATCTTATTAATAATATTATTATGAAAGCGGCTTTTACTTCCCAGATTCCTGGAAAGGGTCTCTGACTTCTGGGAATCCCCAGACTACACTACACCTCTGGTGTAGTTGGTAATACAGGTGTTTTATGCTTCACTTTTAAGAAGCTTAAGGAATTTGTATTTATGTACAAACATACCTATACTATGTTATGCCTATTTAAATTAGTTTCTAGTTGTGAAGGGAGAAAAATTACTGTTTAGAGATGCTTTATTTTCTTCACTGGTGCCAAGTACAAGCTACATTCAAAAGCAATTCTATTCTACCAGTTTCCTTTTTGATATACAGCATTCTTCTGTGTACCAAAAGTCGGTAACATATTGTGTCTGCTCTCAAGAAGCTTACCATCTAACAAGGTTAGAAGACTGTAAACAGCTAACAGTGGAGAATAGAATATATGTTAAATAGTGGAACTAGGCTGGGAATAGTGGAACTATGCTTGAGTCCAGGAGTTCCAGCCTGCAGTGAGCTGTGATCACCCCACTGCACTCCAGTCTAGGTGACAGAGCAAGACCCGGTCTCTAAAACAAACAAACAAAAATAGTGGAACAATTAATAGGCTGTGGAATACAATGAAGAAAAACCAAAGATGTGCTAGTACTCTTAAAACTCTGACTTTAGTCTGTCACTTTGGTCATCCACAGAGTTTTTGAATAAGAATTGTCACAGTGACTAGACTTTTTCCTATGACAACTTACTTTTTTTTTCTGTAAAGAAAAAAGAGAATTGTTTAATTAACTTCCCATGTATGCATGACCTATATTCGTTATTAACAATTTGCCTTTTTTGCTAAAATATTTTATAATAAATTTGAGGCATTATGGTATTTTATCCCTAAATACCTAAGTATGCATTTTTAAAAACTAAGAACATTTTTACATAACCACACTATTATCACACCTAACAAAATTGATAATTCCTCAAAATCATCTAATATTTATTCTCCTATTTGAAACTTATTAATTGTCCCAAAAATGTCTTTTTATAATAATTTGTTTGGACAAAGGCTTCTACACGGTTCACAGATTGCATTTGGTTATTACGTCTCTTAAGTCTTATAAACTAGAACACGCCCCTCCTCATTTAAAAAAATATATATCATTGACCCGTTGAAGAATATGGCCAGGCTTTTATAACATAATGTTCTCTCTAGTATCTTCTCCATTGATGACTTTTCCTATTACTCTGGCATATTACATTCTTCCTGTGTTAACAAGTCTCTCTTTGCCACTCCCTATTCTGTTTGCTTTCATGTGTTGCTCAGGAGTTTGACCCTGTTTTTAATTAATATCAAAATAGCAGACAGTGTTTGGTTTGGGTTTGCCTTTCAGTTTTTAACCTTTCATGTTCTAATCTGAAAATATAATTTTAGGAAAGGATGACACAATAACATATGGGTTGATTCTAAGAAGCTAATAAGTGGCCAGGCACGGTGGCTCAAGCCTGTAATCCCAGCACTTTTGGGAGGCTGAGGCAGGTGGATCACCTGAGGTCAGGAGTTCAAGACCAGCTTGGCCAATATGGTGAAACCCTGTCTCTACCAAAAATACAAAAAAATTAGCCAGGCGTGGTGGTGGGCACCTGTAATCCCAGCTACTCGGGAGGCTGAGGCAGGAGAGTTGCTTGAACTCAGGAAGCAGAGGTTGCAGTGAGCCGAGATGGCACCATTGCACTCCAGCCTAGGCAACAAGAGTGAAACTCTGTCTCAAAAAAAAAAAAAAAACCAAAAACGGCCAGGCGAGGTCGCTTACGTCTATAATCCCAGCACTTTGGGAGGCCGAGGTGGGTGGATCGTGAGGTCAGGAGTTCAAGACCAGCCTGGCCAAGATGGTTAAACCCTGTCTCTACTAAAAATACAAAAATTAGCCGGGCATGGTAGTGGGTGCTTGTAATCCCAGCTACCCGGAGGCTATGGCAGAGAATTGCTTGAACCCACGAGGCGGAGGTTGCAGTGAGCCAAGATCACGCCACTGCACTCCAGCCTAGGTGACAGAGTGAGACTCCATCTCAAAAAAAAAAAAAAAAAAAAAAAAAAGGCAGCTAATAAGTAAGGGTACCATTGCCTGGGTAGGATGAAACAATATCTAATTGTACTAACAGCTAGACTAATGTTCCAACCACCATTCATTTATTCATTCATTCTGTAAGTTATGTATTAATATAAACTGTTTTGTTCAGTATCAGGGATACACAAGGGTGAATAAGCCTTTGATCTTGTCCTCCAATAGCAAAATATTTGTCAGGGAAGTACATCAATAACTATGACAGGATGTAGGATATATGTAAAGTGTTACAAATAAGGAGCTAATTTAGTGCTGGAGCTTTTAAGGCTTTGGAAGAGATGGTGTCAGCTGGTGAAGGAGATCTGGGAAAGTTTTATGAATGAGGCATGCATGTAAATTTTGCTTTTAAGGATAGATAAGATGAGGGCAAATGAAGTTGAGGAGAACAGATCTCTGAGATAACAGCATAAGCAAACATGTTGGTAGAAATTTTAAGGCAATTCATTGTCAGGGTTTTGGAGTCAGGTAGACCTAAATTCAAATCCCATGTCTGTCACATACTAGCTATTGAAGGACCTTGGGCAAATTATTAATCTCCTTAAGCCTCAGTTTCTGCCTCTAAAGAGGATAATAGTGGAGCCTACTTCATACAGTTGTATTAATGAGATAATATATGTGGATTGCTTTCCTTTTATCATGTATCTGACTATAGCAAGTTCTAGTAAATATTGACTGCTAATGCTTTTGCTGTTGCTGTTACTAATAATAAAGGTAATAGTTCCATTTGGCTAATGCATCAGAGTGGGCACACATGAGTGGGAGATATGGTGGAAAGATAATAGAGCGCTGTGACTACCAGTAGAAAACTAAGCAATTCATATCAGGTTTATTGAGGTATAATTTACAGTCAGTAAAATTCACCTTTTCTAAGTGTATGTATACTATCTGTATCTAAATACAGATAGTATAACTGCAAGTTATAGAACATCATTGGTAAGCATTCTCTTGGGCACTTTTGTAGTCAGTTCACTCCCCATACTCAGCCTCTGAAAGCTACTGATCTGATATTTGTCCATGTAGTTTTGCCTTTTCCAGAATATCCTCTAAGTAGAATTATACAGAATGTAGTCTACTGTGCCACACTTCATTTAACATAATGTTTTTGGAGTTCATGGATGTTACAGCATGTGTCAGTGGTTTGTTCCGTTTTATTATAGAGTAGTATTCATTGTATGGATTCACTGCTATTTGTTTATCCATTCACCAATTGATAGACATTTGAATTTTCTCCAGTTTTTGGCTGTTATGAAGAAAGCTGTTATAAGCTTACATGTACAGTCTTTGTGTAGGTATGTGTTTACATTTCTTTAGTATAAATACCTTGGAATAAGATTGGCAATTGTGGATTATGGAAATATAAAATTTTATGGTAACTTTATAAGAAACTGCAAAATTTTTCTAAAATTTTCTAAAACGCATCATTTTGCCTTTTTACTTGCCATGTAGAAGAGTTCCAGGTGCTCTTCACCATCACTTTATTTTTTAATGTTCGTCCTCTTGTAGGTGTGTATGGAGTGATACTCATTGTGGTTTTAAGTTACATAATTACAGATATGTTAAGCATCTTTTCATGTGCTTGTTTGCCATTCATATCTTTGGTAAAGTGTCTGCTCAGATTTCTTGCTCATTTAAAAATATTAGGTTGTTTGTCTTATAAGTGTTCCTTATATATCTTAGATACAAATTCTGTATCAGTATGTGGTTTCTAAGTATTTTCTCCCAGTTTGTGGCTTGTCTTCTCCTTTCATGAACAGTGTCTTAGAGCAATTTTTGATTTTGATGAAATTCAGTTTATTTATTTATTTTCTGTTCATGCTGCTTGTGTCCTATCCTGAGAAATCTTTTCTTTTCTTTTTTTTTTTTTTTTGAGATGGAGTTTCTCTCTTGTTGCCCAGGCTGGAGTGCAATGGCGCGATCTCAGCTCACCGCAACCTCCGCCTCCCGGGTTCATGCTATTCTTCTGCCTCAGCCTCTTGAGTAACTGGGATTACGGGCATGCACCACCACGCCCAGCTAATTTTATATTTTTAATAGAGACGAGGTTTCTCCATGTTGGTCAGGCTGGTCTCAAACTCCCGACCTCAGGTGATCTGCCCACCTCGGCCTCCCAAAGTGCTGGGATTACAGGCATGAGCCACTGCGTCCGGCCAAGAAATCTTTGTATAACCCAAGTTACAAAGATATTCTCCAATTTTTTTTCTAGAATGTTATTGTTTTAGGTTTTATATTTAAGGCTATGATTCATTTCTAGTTGATATTTATATATAATGCAAAGTATAAGTCAGTGTTCATTTTTCATAGTTCCAGCACCTTTTGTTAAAAAGACTATCATTTCTCCACTGGCACCTTTGTTAAAAATCAACTGTTTTTGTTTGGTTTTGAGATTATATTCTGTTCCAGTACCACACTGTCTTAGCTACTCCAGCATTATTGTAAATCTTGAAATAAGATAATGTGAGCTCACTAATTTTGTTCTTTTTCAAAATTGTTTTGGCTATTCTAGGTCCTTAGCTTTTCCCTATAAAATTTTATATCAGCTTATCAAATACTACCAAAAAGGCTGCTCAGATTTTGATTGAAATTGCGTTGAATGTATAGATCAGTTGGGGTGAAATTGACATTATTGGGTCTCCTGATCCACAAACAAGGTATATCCAGTTTTGTACCAGAGCCAGATTGCACCTGCTAGCCAGAAACTATGTTGTGTATCTCTTCCCAATACTACATTCAGTAACAGCACACTGGTAACTTTGCCAGTGGTGTGAATATTTACACCATGGAAATTAACAAATACTACAAACCAGTGCTTTTCCCCCAGTGAGCCCATTAAATGTTTACCACACACCACTGGACCTATCTCTTTACTCCTTACATCTTTAATTTCTTTGATCAAAATTTTGTATTTTTCAGTAAACAGATAATGCACACATTTTATAAGTATTTCTTCATTTTTGATGCTATTGTACATGGTATCTTTTTTTAAGATTTACGTTTCCAATTATTCAATGCTAATATATTGAAACACCTTGGATTTTTCTATATTAACTTTGTGTCCTGCATCCTTGCTAAACTCACATATTAGTTACAATGCCAATTTTGTAGATTCTTTGGGATTTTTCTGCATACACACTCATGTTGTCTGCAAATAGAATCTTGCATCTTTTTCAATCTGTATACCTTTTATTTCTTTTCCTTGCTTTATGGCACTGGCTAGGACTTTCAGCACAACGTTGAATAAAATTGGTGAAAACAGATATGCTTGGTTTCTCCAGTCTTGGGACAAAATGTTCAGTCTTTAACCATTAAGTATGATGTTAGCTGTAGGTTTTTTTTAAGAGGCCTTTATCAGGTTAAGGAAGATTCTTTCTGTTCAAGTTTGCTAAGAGGTTTATATGATGAACAGATGTTGAATTTTGTCAAATACTTTTTGTGCATCTGTTGAGATGATCATATGGTCTGCATTTCTTAGTCTGAAGAAATTAATTTCTAAATTTCTAAATATTTTAGGATTGCCTTTAGGATTGCCAAGGTGAATTACCTTCATTGATTTTTTAAGGTTGAGCCAACCTTGCATTCATAGGATAAACCTACTTAAGGATTTTTTTGTGTGGTGGAGGGGTATTATGAAGGATATTGGTCTATAGGGTTATTTGTTTTGTTTTGAAGTGCCTATTTGATTTTGGTATCAGAGTAATACTGGACTCATAAAATGAGTTGGACAGTATTCTTCCTCCTATATTTCCTGGAAGAAGAATTTGTGGGGAGTTGGTATTATTTTTTCCCCAAGTTTTAGGTTAGAATTTACCCGTAAAGCCATTTGGTCTTTGTTCTTACTTTACAGGCAGGTTTTTAATAAGTTCATTAAAAAAAAAATACATATAGAACTATGTGGGTAATCTACTTGAGTACACTTTGGAAGTTTGTTTCTTTGAATGGATTTATCTATTTCATCTGTTATTAACTTGGAAGCATTAACTTGTATATGATATTCTTTTATTCTTTTAATGTCAGTGAGGATCTGTATTATCTGCTGTTTCTTTCATGATATTGGTAATGATGTTAATTTATAAAGTCTTCCTCACCTCCCCCTTTCTGGCTAGAAGTTTATCACATGTTTTGATCTTTTAGTAAAAGTAAATATTTCCTGCTCTTTTTCTGCTTTTTATTTTCCTGCTCCAGTCTGTGTTATTTATTTTCTATTTTCTTTTAACTTGCTTTGGATTTAATTTGCTGTTTTCTAATTTCTCAAGGTAGAAGCCCAGATTTTTGATTTGAGACCTTTCTTTTCCTTTTTTGAATATAAGCATTTGATAATCTGTGTTTTCCTTTATGTACTGCTTTTGCTGTGTCCTGCAAATTTTGATACTTTGTGCTTTTATTTTTATTTATTTCAAAATATTTTCTAATTGCTCTTGTGATTCTTCTTTGGCCTTGGGTTATTTGGAAATCTGTTACTTAATTTCTAAATATTCTAGGATTTTTCCAGCAATCTTTGTTTTGATCTCAAGTCTAATTCTGTTTTGGTCAGCAAACAGACTTTATGTGACTCCAGTTATTTTATGTCTAAGATTTCTTTTGTGGCCCAGAATGTGGCCAAAGAATATCTTGGCTAATGTTCCACATGCACATGAAAACAATGTGTATTTTGCTGTTGCTGGGTAGAGTGTCCTGTGTATATCAACTAAGTGGTGTTGGTTGGTAGTGTTATTTAGGTCTTTTCTGTCCTTACTGATTTTCTGTCTACTTCTTATATCAATTACTGAGAGATGAGCACTGAAGTTTTTTACTGTAATTGTAAATTTGTCTGTTTTTGTGTTCAGATCTTTGCAAGTTTTTGTTATATGTATCTTGAAGTTCTATTGCTGGATACATGCACATTTAGGATTACTATGTTTTCTTAATATTTATTTTGTGATCTCCCTTTTTTTTTTTTTTTTTTTTTTTTTTGAGACCAAGTCTTGCTCTGTTGCCTGGGCTGGAGTGCAGTGGTGCAATCTTGGCTCACTGCAACCTATGCCTCCCAGGTTCAAGTGATTCTCCTGCCTCAGCCTCCTGAGTAAGTGGGATTACAGGTGCCTGCCACCACGCCCAGCTAATTTTTGTATTTTTAGTAGATGTGCGGTTTCACCATGTTGGCCAGGCTGGTCTCAATTCCTGACCTCAAGTGATCCGCCCACCTCGGCCTTCCAAAGTGCTGGGATTACAGGCGTGAGCCACCACGTCCGGCCTGTGATATCCTTTTTATGGCTGGTTATGTTCCTTTTTTTGAAGTGCATATTATCTAATACAAATGTAACCATTCCAATTTTTTTGAATAGTGTTTTTATAGTGTTTCTCTTACTATCCTTGTGTTTTTAACATATCTATGCCTTATTTAAAGTTAGTTTCTTATACCCAGAATGAAGCTGGATCTTGCTTTTTTCCCTTAGTCTGACAATTACTGTCTTTCATTGACCTATTAAACCATTTAAATTGTTTTTATATAGTTAGATTTAAATCTGTCATCTTGCTAGCTGTCTTCTGTTTGTTCCTTCTGTTCTTTGACTGATTTTCCCCTTTTTTCAGATTAAATGTTTTTTATAGTTTTATTTTGTTTAATCTTTAAAGTTGGTGTACTAGCTATATTTCTGTTTGTTTCTAGTGGCTGCTCTAGGGATTATAACATACATCTTTCAGTTTACCTTTAAATAATATGACATTACTTCCCTGATTGTGTAAGAACTTTATGACAGGATACCTGTTTTCTCTCTCTCCTGCTGTGTGCTATTATTGTCATACATTTTACTTCTACGTATTTTATAAAACCTGTGATACCTTGCCACTGTTTTTGCTTTAGATTATCAGTTATCTTTTAAAGTGATAAAAATGAGGAAAACAATGCCTTTTATATTTATCCTCATTTTTATGAAAAAATGAGGATAAATTTTTGGAGTTCTTCATTACTTTGCTTGGATCCATCCGATACCATACTGCCTGAAAACATTCCACTCATATTTCTTGTGAATGTATCTGCCAGCAATGAATCATCTCAGTTTTTGTTTGAAAAAGCCTGTATTTTCTCTTCACTTTTCAAAGATATTTTTGCTAGATGTAGAATTCAGTTCAGTTGTCTTCTGGCTCGCATAGTTTTCAACAAGAAGTCTGCTGTAATTCATTGTTTTTTGCTCTATTTGCCTTCAAAATATTGTCTTTGATTTTCAGCAGTTTCACTATGATGTGTCTAAGTTCTGTGTGTTTTTGATCATGCTTGAGTTTCTTCTGCACTTCTTGGACCTGTTGTGTGTTTCCTTTTTTATAGTTTCAATTTCTCTCTTGAGATTTCGGTTTCATTAGATCCTTTAACATGTTAATCAGTTATTTTATTTTTGTTATGTTATGTTGTGTTATGTTATGTTATGTTATGTTGTTATGTTATTTTTTGAGACAGTCTCACTCTTTCGCCCAGGCTGGAGCACAGTTGCATGATCTCAGCTCACTGTGACCTCCACCTCCTGAGTTTAAGCAATTCTCAGGTCTCAGCCTCTGGAGTAGCTGGGATTATAGGCATGCACCACCACACCCAGCTAATTTTCATATTTTTAGTAGAGATGGGGTTTTGCCATGTTGGCCAGGCTGGTCTGAACTCCTGACTTCAGGTGATCCACCCGCCTCAGCCTCCCAAAGTGGTGGGAATACAGGCTTGAGCCACTGTGCCCGGCCTAATCAGTTATTTTTATATCTCCCTCTAATCGTTTCAACATCTGGATTCTCTCTCAGTCTGGTTCTGTTGGTTGCTTTATTTCTTGACAGTGGGATATTGTTTTCTTTTTTGTATATTTTGTTTTTTTTTTAATTAAATGCTGAACCTTGTATGTAGAAGAACAGTAGAGACTGTGAGGTAAATAGTGTTTATGCATGGAAATGGACATGCCTCTTCTGTCAGGCTATGTTTGTTATGGTTTGAATCAAGTTATTCAATAACCAAGCTAGGTGTCTGTTTTGTTGTTGCTGCTGTTACCCTTAGTATGCCAGAGGCTTCCAACTCCTTCAGTAGTAGGCTGCTACTACCTTGTGTTTAATGTAGGGCCTGAGGTGTTGTTAGAGGGTTTTTCTCAGTGTTGGTTTCACCCTCATCTTTTAGTCATCTCTGTACATCTCCACTACAGAATAGGAGTCTTTCTCCAGACTCTCATTGCTAGGCTCTTAAGGGTAATAGGGGAAATGCTTGTTCTTCTTGTCTGGTCTCCATCTTAGGTAGAGCCTGTATCCCTGGCCTTGAATGTGGAGCCCATACTTCTGCTCTCAACTTCTGCTGGTGCAAGATCCTGGGCTTCAGGTGTTTTTGTCCCTTTCTTCAGCAGCAGGCATGTTTTTTCATTTTGTTTTATTTTGAGACGGAGTTTTGCTCTTGTCTCCCAGGCTGGAGTGCAATGGTGTGATCTCAGCTCACTGCAACTTCTGCCTCCCGGGTTCAAGCAATTCTGCTGCCTCAGCCTTCCAAGTAGCTAGGATTACAGGCATGCACCACCATGCCCAGCTAATTTTGTATTTTTAGTAGAGACAGGGTTTTACCATGTTGGCCAGGCTGGTCTCAAACTCCTGACCTCAGGTGATCCACCCTCCTTGGTCTCCCAAAGTGCTGGAATTACAGGCATGAGCCACCATGCCCGGCCCAGGAGCAGGCATGTTTTGTTCCTGGCTTCACACCGTGACCCCAGTGGTGAGAGTTTGGTGCCCCTTCTCAGTGACTTAGGCCTTTTACTTTGTATGAGAATAGGGTTTGGGGGAAATGGATGATGGCATTTGTTTCTATTTCCTTGTGGCAACTAATCACCTCCTGAATACCTGTGCTACTGGGAGTGGATCTATATGATCTTCTCCCTTTGATCCTCCTGTTTCTTCTGAGTACCTCCTGGAGGCCGTGAAGTAAAACTTGTGCATGAGTGCAGACTCTCCTTATGGCTAGGGTTTTCAGTTATCCTAAATATATCCTAGCCCACGTTTGGCCTTTAAGAATTTGTTAAAATTTTACTTATTTTCATCTTACTTGCTTCTCTTGTGGTTACCTCTTCTTTTTATGCTCTGCCAAAAGTGAGACAGTTCCTGTGTATCACCTCTCCTCAGAGGGCCTTTTCAGTCTTTGGAATTAGTTCCCCTGATCTCTGTTCTCTGATGTATGGTCTTACAGATTATCTGTTTTTTGTATTGTTAAGGTAGTAGCAATGTTCTATTGCAGCTTTCTAAATTTTAAATAAAAGTAGAACCGAAAAGTTTTTTAATGAATTAATCATACGATTAGAATGGTACTTTAGAAGTATTAATCAGATAGTGTATAAAACGGATTTGAGGTCGGACGTGGTGGCACACGCCTGTAATCCCAGCACTTTGGGAGGCCGAGGCTGGTGGATCACGAGGTCAGGAGATCAAGACCATCCTGGCCAACATGGTGAAACCCTGTCTCTACTAAAAACAAAAAATTACCTGGGCGGGGTGGCAAGTACCTGTAGTCCCAGCTACTCGGGAGGCTGAGGCAGGAGAATCACTTGAACCTGGGAGGCAGAGGTTGCAATGAGCTGAGATTGCACCACTGCACTCCAGCTTGTCATCAGAGTGAGACTCTGTCTCAAAAAATCAAAAAAAACAAACAAAAAAAACCAGATTTGAGATGATATGGCCTGTCCTCTACCTGGAATATTTTCACCTGTTTATTTTCCCTTTGAAGACTGAACACCTCAGGTGGGCAGCTCGGGAAGCCATTAGACATCATTATGTAAATATCCTTCACTTGAGTTCCTATAGCGTTCCTTGTCCACTTTTTGGAACACCAACCAGCTTTTAGACAGTTATCTCCCCAAAGGGAGATATAGTATTTAGCCCAAATTTGTCTTATAAATAAAACGGTATATAACTTCAGCTGTGTGAATTCTAAAATATAAGCTAAAAGATGGCTTTTAAAGTCATACTACCATATTGTTTCATATGTAAGAATAGTAAAATGAATTTACCTAAGTTTAAATTTTTAGCACAGAACATTGCTGAAAAAAATCCTCCTTTTAATGTTAGGGTAAAATATTACTATATTGACCCACCTACAAAATAAAAAACATATTTATTCTGCCAGATTTTTCTGTTGATTTCAGATACGATCATACTGACACATTCTTTTTTTTTTTTTTTTTTTTTTTTGAGACAGAGTTTCACTCTTGTCGCCCAGGCTGGAGTGCAGTGGTGCGATCTTGGCTCACTGCAACCTGCACCTCCCAGGTCCAAGCAATTCTCCTGTCTCAGCCTCCTGAGTAGCTGGGATTGCAGGTGCCTGCCACCATGCCCCAGCTAATTTTTAAATTGTTTAAAACGTAATCTGTTTATTTGGAGTGGCTATATTGTATATTGAGCCAGATTAGTAGCTAACAATTTTTTGAGTACTTACTTTGTATCAAGCACTGTCTTGCTTTCTTATGAGTCCTCTTTTTTAATCCTCACAGCAGCCCTTTGGGATAGATAAATTAAATAACTTGCCCAACATCACCTAGCTTAGAATGGGAGGAGCTGGGATCTGAACCCAGCAGTCTGTTCTAAGATTGGAAGCAGGCTTTGTTCTTAGTCACTGAGCTATTTTAGTTCCTTCAAAGTGAATTAAGATGTTGAATGAAAAGTTCTCAAGATTTGTATGAGTAGCGCAGATCACAGTTGAAAAGTGTAAGCTTAAGTACTATGCCAGAATTGGATATGTGGAGGGACAGTAAATATATGTCTCAGGGAATGGTGGAGACATTATGCAATTCAGAGGACATGAACATAATTCTCATTATTTTTTCCTACCAGTATGAAGTGAAGGCTCCTGTTCCTTCTGCCTGTTTCAGGAATATTTGTAAGCAAATGACAAAAATGCACGAAGCTATATTTGATCTCCTTCCAGAAGAACAAACACAGGTGAGAAGTAATTCCTAAAACTATTCATGTATATATAACATACAATATCTGTACAGAATTGGGGTGTTTTTACATGCTTTTGGCAGTTAAGCTGTTCATGTTCCAATATGATTATCATTTTTTTACATTGTTATATTGACTGGTAGAACATGGATAAAAATTTCTAATTTCTAAGTGCTCCTTGCAGTGACAGACCAGAGCTAGAGCTTTACTATATTATAAACAATTCTAAAAAGTAGGTTTTCCATTTGTCCATGATCAGTAGTCCCAGATTCTGCTTACATCATTTATTACGCTGTTCTTGGAAAATTAGAGTTGGCCTTTATCAATGAGTAGCAAAATATGTTACGGTGATTGTAATTCAAATTGGATATGGAAAGAATTAGTGATAGAGTTAATAAGATTAACACATATAATTAACTCAATCTGCTTTATTGTTATGTCAGCATAAGAGATCTGTAGTAAAGACAAACTAGGAAAAAGAGCAAAATGGAGGGTGGGGGAGTCTTTGACACCTCTCAGCTATGAAGTATCCACCCTTCTATCGCTACTGTATTCCCTTACAAAAGTATTATCACAGAGTTCTCTTCACTCCTCAGTAACAGCTCTACCCGCTACAGCCCTGTTGCGCTCTCCTGGAACTTTGAAGTTTTCAGTATTCCCTTTTTTACCAGTTTTGTTTTTTTTTTTAATCTCAGCTTATTTCCTCTGAACTAAGTGTGCCTGGTTTGTAGAATAAATGGTATAATATTAAAGTCTAGTTGCTGTATGACTAATGAATTTAACTTTCACTGAGATTTCTGCTATTCAGACAAGTTTGTTTATTTCAGTTTGTCTCTCTTACTTGGTTGAGTGCGTGGAAATGGTATTTGGGAGCAGAGGGTGGCTTTCTTAGTGTCTCTTGCCTACTGTTGGTCCTGCTGGTCTCCTTTCCTATGCTACCTCAAACTTCCATCCTATACTAGCTGTTAACATTTTCTTCGTACTTCCCTAGGTTTTCATAAATCATACCAAACTCATGAATAAATATCATGTAACTCCTTTGGGACTCACTGAGGACTGAAGGGGAGCCGTAAAATACGACGTACCCACTAGGGTCGTCTCCTTTTTCCTTCTAATTTCTTCTTAGCCAAGCCATCCTTTCCATTCCACATGTAAGATCCTCCACCTCTGACATTCTAACCTTCTGGATTTGCCATCTGAGTTCTAATTCTAGAGCAGGACTTACCCAGGTCAGGGAGCTGGGCATACAGGTACTTCATGTGTTTTATCTGTGGCGTAATTTAAAGGGTACTCTTGTCAATGCTGGGCAAATGTTATTTTATGTCACTATTGCCACTTGAATACTAGTAATTCCACAAAACTTCCATAGATTATTATATATATTTTTCCCACAGAAAATGTTATTTCACAAAATCATTTCATAATTTCATTGTATATAATTTTAGGTTAGGTATTTCCCAAAGAAATATTGGGTCATTGCATGCAAGAACAATAAAATGCTTTGAAGTGATTTCACTAGATTAGAAGTACGAAGGTATCTTTGCCTCTATCATTATGACATTTTTTCCCCTACCAACTTCCTACTTACTATGTTACAAAATTCCCCACTACTTTTTATTATTTTTACCTGTCACAGTTGATCCCACTTACGGGAATTTTTCCAAAAAGGAGTACTGCTAAGGAGGGTAAAAAGGTTTTTCCAACTAAGGAGAAAAAATGTAGTGAAATAGCAATAGAATACTTTCAGAGGAGGATTTTAAAAGTATATGTCAAAGCAAAGGTTTTGGTTTTTAAAAATACTTTCTCTAAATAATATTGATAACTCAGATATCTTCTATTTCAGTAGAACTTTAAGAAACTTAGTTTTATTTCTTTTTCAGATGTTATTTTTAAGAATTAATGCAAGTTATAAACTCCACTTGAAAAAGCAGTTATCTCACTTAAATGTGATAAATGATGGAGGACCTCAAAATGGGTATGTTTTTTAACGTTTTCACCATATACTCCCATATCGAATTGTTTTAATGATCAGTTTTGATTATTTGTGCCATCCTTTTCTGCTGTAATCACACTGAAGACCAACGTTGTAAAATCAGCAAGCTTTTGTGTTTTTTTTTTCCCCTGTGGAAATATCTGTTTCTATCTAACTATCTAAAAGGGGTTTATACATGGACAATTGCTTACCTGACGTTATGTATCTGTTTTGAGGCAGTGTGAATTAGTAGCACTTCCTTAGTTACCCAATAGCTTTCCCTATTCCAAACAGGATTCAGAAGTCCTACTGTGTGACCATGTGAATGTCACTTAACCTGTGTGCCACATTTATAAAATAACAAGGATGAAATCTGTCTTAATTCTTTCACAGGGTTATGAAAAATAATATATGTGTGTATATGTATATATTTTATTGTAAGCTATTGAAAGATTGTATATATTACTGTAAAATAGCATAGTACATAGAAAGCATAGGGTAGGACTTAGAATCTGAAAACTTGGGTTAAGTTCTAGTTCTGTCACTTACTAGCTGTTGTAACTTTGGGCAAATCACTTACTCCCCCTCAGCTTAGGTTTTTTAGATTTGAAAATAGGGATGATGATAAAAGTTTCCTTAATAGGATTTTTTGAAGAGTTATGTAGATAAAGATATGGGGAAGAGATTTTATAAAATTTAAAGCACTGATCATTTAGTTACGTATTAATATCAATTCTTTAGTGTTCTAGGGTTTTTAGGAATAAAATTTTATTTCCTGTTAAAGGAATTTCAGGCTCAAATTTCAAACTTATAAGAACAAATGGAAAATGAAAAAAATGTATGTTGGGGTCAGAAGTTGGCCCTGCCATTTAAGAAGAAGTACAGTGAATCAATTTTGCAAAGAGCTATGTGAAAGCTTCATTCTGTTGAATCTGTTAGGCTGAATTTAAGAGTTTTATGCAAGAATGATAGTCTTATTATCTGATTCTTCTTTTTCTTTTTAAAGAATTATTTGTTTTCAAAAATTTCAAAGCCATGGAACACTTAAAGGACAATAATGAACACTGAATAGCTTTTACCTAGATTTATCAACTGTTAAAATTTTGCCACATACTCTCTGCCACTTTTGCTCCTTCTCCCTCCCACCCCCATACCTCCCTTTTGACAAACAACCAAAAAAGTAGGCTGCAGTCATAAAATTTAACCCTTAAATACTTTGGCATGTGTCTCTAAAAACAAGGACATTTTTATACAACCGTAATACCTGAACCCCACCTAAGAAAATCAACATTAATAGCGTTATACCAACATAGAGTCAGATATTTTCAGCAAGAACATCACATGTGGTGACGCTGTGTATATCTCTCACTTGATGTCAGATGATACAAATGGTACATACATAAGAGACCTGCTCCTGAAAAGATAATAGCATATTAGAAACTTAGGAGACTCTTGGTAGAGATGTATACTGGGTACCTTAAAGAGGCTGTTCAAAAAAAGCTAATAATATTTTTAAGGCCTAACCCTGCTCATACCCTTTTACTTTTATTCCCATAACTAAATCTGGGTTGGTTAGTTGGGTTTTTGTAGACCAGTAGTTCTGAAGCACCCAAGCTAACTCGTTAGCTGTTACTTTTCTTTCTTAATATAGCTATTTGGAAGTCAGTCTGACCTTAGAGAATCCTCACTGTCACATGCTAACAGAAACTCATTCTTTATAAGTCAATTCATGTCTTTGAAATATCCCTGAAGATTAACCTCTACCCTGTAGCCAAGGACATAAACTACCTGCTTAAAAGTTTTTGTTTCTGAAATTGCTCTAAAAATGTAGCTTTTGACTTTTTTTGAGGTGAAATTCACATAACATAAAATTAACTATTTTAAAGTGAACAATTCAGTGGCACTTAGTGTCTTCACAGTGATGCGTAACCGCCACCTCTATCTAGTTCCAAACATTTTCACTACTCCAAAAGAAAATCCTGTACCCATTAGGCAGCTGCTTCCTATTTCTCCCTCTCCCCAGCCCTGTACTTTGATTTTATTTTGAGATGGAGTATCACTCTGTCACACAGGCTGGAGCGCAGTGGCGTGATCTCAGCTCACTGCAACCTCCACCTCCCAGGTTCAAGCAATTCTCCTGCCTCAGCCTCCCAAGTAGCTGGGATTACAGGCACGTGCCACCACGCCTGGCTACTTTTTGTATTTTTAGTAGAGACGGTTTTACCATGTTGGCCAGGCTGGTCTTAAACTCCTGACCTCAGGTGATCTGCCTGCCTCGGCCTCCCAAAGTGCTGGGATTATAGGTATGAGCCACTGCACCCGGCCCAGCTCTGTACTTTTTAATGTGATTTTTTTTCCTCTAAGATATTTTAAAAATAGACACATACAGAGAATAATAAATTATTTATATTTCTACTACCCAGAATTGATCAACATTTGTCATTTTCTCTTGAAAAAAATATTTATTGTATTTTTAAAATGGTATTCAAAAAATTGCATTCCAGATGAAGCTAAGTACACCTTTACACCCCATCTGCAGTCCGATTCCCTTTTTCTCCCAGCCTTTAGGTAACATTTCCAGTGAATTTAGTCTACATTCTTTTAGTCTTATTTATTGTACCTAGATTTATGAAAAATATGTAGTGCTGTTTTGTAAATTTACTTATATGGTATATTGCATATATGCAGCTTGCTTTCTACTAGGCATTTTTACTGATTTATCTATGTTGATATATGTTTAGTAGTCTGTTTTTGACTGCTGTACAGTATTCCATCAAACAACCTTTTTTTTTTTTTTGGAGACAGGGTCTCATGGTCACACAGGCTGGAGGGCAGTGGTGTGATCATGGCTCACTGCAGCCTCAACCTCCGTGGCTCAAGCAATCCTCCCACTGCAGACTCCCCAATAACTGCGACTACAGGTGTGTGGCACCACACCCAGCTAATTTTTTTAATTTTTTGTAGAGACGAGGTCTCACTATGTTGCCCAGGCTGGTCTTAAACTCCTGAGCTCAGGTGATCCTCCTGCCTCAGCCTCCCCAAGTGCTGGGATTACAGGTGTGAGCCACTGCTCCTGGCCATGAATCAGCCATAGATAAATTAGACATTTCCCCTAGTGATAAATTGCTAAGTCATTACTTTTTTCCATTATAACCATGCCATACTGAAGATCTTTATACATGTCTAATGGTGTGACCATTTCTTCAGGGCATATACCTATAAGTGAATTGGAGCTAATACACTTTTCATATTGTTAGGTATTGACAGTGGCTGTACCAACTCCCACATTAGTGGAGTAGTTTGTGAGAATTTGTTTCCCACATCTTTTCAACATTTGCTGTTAGATTTCCTAATTGTTGCTAGTCTGATGGGGGATAGTAGTACCTTGTTTTGATTTGCATTTTCCTGACGTTTACCATTTTTTCAGTTTATTGGTTATTCAGGTGTTTTCATCTGTGACTTCTTATGTTCTTTCCTATTTTTCTCTTGGGTTTTTAAAGAAATATCCAGTATCGCTTATATACATGAATACTAGTCTGTATTTAACGCCTTAGATGACACTTAGAAACCTAGCCTGCTTTTCCCTTGAGTTTACTATTTTAGTCAGCACTCCCATACTCTAGTGCTAACCAATCAAAAACATTTTAGTTTAGCCTGTTATTTTCTCTGTATATTAATTCATGCTGTTTCAAGATAAATCTGATTTTCTTGGGCTGAATTTATCATGAAACTGACTCTAACAGCCATTGGTTTATTCATTTTCCAAATATTTATTATTGAAGTACAGCATTAAATGGCCTACTTATTCATAGCAGGAATCCTGCTAAGTAAAGTATTTGGACACTTGGGCACTAAGAAATCTGAATTTTAGATAATAGGACTCTGACTCGGTGAGCACTGTTACTTTAATTATCTGAATAGAAAGTTTGAGATTTAAAAAATAATTTTCTCTCCATTATTTAGGTTGGTCACAGCAGATGTAGCTTTTTACACTGGAAATCTTCAAGCCTTAAAAGGCCTTAAAGATTTGGACCTAAATATGGCCGAAATTTGGGAGCAGAAGAGGTGATGTCATCCTGGAAAACTGGGTAGTTCATCTGACCATGGGATGTGTTTGTTATGAAGAAAATCTGGATGCCTGTGATTCGAGAATTGAACCTGAAACCCAAAGTGAACTGGGGTGGGGGAAGGGAAAAAGGAAAGTATCAAGTGTTGGGAAACTGGATTCAGTGGGATCTACAAGGAATGTCATTTTTGTGCATCCTACAGTGAGGAGTAACTGATCAGGTGTCTATAACATTTTTCATTCTCTCTGGAAACAGACTCAGGTTTCTTTGGACCAAATCCAAAAGAACACATAGCTGTAACACAGCTGTAGTTGACTAGAATGCTCTGTATACTTTATATTAAAAAATGCTTTGCATTTCTTCCAGTGCAATGAAATTCATATGGTGTCCCACCTTATTTAATGATGGTACAATTTAAAATCTTAGTCAACTTCTGTAGAAAGTTTTCTCTATGAAAGTAAAGCTGTTTGAAAAATTATTATTTTTTTACAGATCTTTCTATAAAAAATAAACATCTTTTGATTGCTTGGATTTAGGAATTCAATTTTTGTTTCAGTGACCAATGTCAAGTTGCAGGCTTTGTGTGTTGCATATTTAATATTTCTACTACCACCGTATGTCAACTGGGTAAAGCCTTCCAGAGCTCTCTAAATACCTGAAAGACTTAAGCCTTTTTTTAAGTAATTAATACTTAAAAAAAAAGATCCTGGCATCTATTTATGCAACTAAATACTTTTCAGAAATGGTATATAAAAGGCTACAGTTTAATATCTGTATTTTTATAAAAGTATGATGAAGGGTTTGGGGTGTTTTTATTTGTAGCAGAGGTAAGAATATGTATTCATATAATCTGCCTACTTTTGAGTTCTCATATTAACATTTAGATAACATATGAAGTATGGCCCCCTTGGATCCTTGTTTTTAAGTTACTTTCGATGTGTATACGAACAAAGACCAGGGAGAAACAGAACTTTTAAAACTATAGGCTGCTGTGTTGGGGCCAGAAATAAGGTGACAAGTAAAGACTTTTATAATACCTACCTTCAAAATTAGAATCAGCAGCACTGTACAAATAAAGTGCCTGTGCTTCACCTCACACCAAGAATCTTGCCTAACCCTGTCAGAGTGCCTAATATCCTGTGGTGATTATGTATAATGAAACAGTCTTATTTTGTGCTCTTTGGTTTCTTAAAAGGAAAGCTTGTTTTCTTTCCTTTATCATTACAGAGGTATGTCTTTGGTTCTTAAACTATCTGTCTAAAATAAAGCTGTAAAAAATTAACAGACTTTAAAAGGCAACTTTTTTTTAAGTGGTATATTGTGAACTTTAAACAAGCAGCCTACTCAAAACAAGTATGGATGAATTTAAAGAAAAGGCATAAATTGAACTACCAGCAGACCTGAATGGAAAGATTATTAATGATCATTTTTTCAGTGATAATAAACAAGCTTCAGGAAATGAAGCTTCAGGGAAAGGGAACTTTTTATGAAGCTATACCCCCTACCTCACTATAGAAGAGTACAAGGATGTGAAGAAATGCCTTCCCTTTGCCCACCCCCGTCAGCTGGGAAAATAAATGCCACTTTGTTTCAATAAATGGAGAGTTTGTGGAAAGCATGGCAGGCATCCCAGTTTTAGAACTAGATGAAAGGTAGGTACTAAAGAAAATACCTTCAGTTTAATTCCTGTGGAAATAATGGTATGATTAAGATTCTTAGAAATGCCAAAAACTGGACTCATTAAGTACACACTGGCTAGGTAACTAGCCAGTGTGTACTTAAAGGGCAAATCTTCCAACTAATATAGTAACTGTCTAACAACAATAAACCAGTTTATAGTTAGCATTATAAAGTACCAGTGTACACAAGTATTGCTTCACTGCTTTATTTTTGAAATCACAAGCAATTCAAAGTGATCATCATTGAGGCTTCTGTTAAAAGTTCTTCCAAAGTTGCCCAGTTTTAAGATTAAACAATATTGCACTTTAAGATGAACTAACTTTTGGGATTCTCTTCAAAGAAGGAAAGTATTGCTCCATCTGTGCTTTTCTTAGACTAAAAGCATACTGCAGAAAACTCTATTTTAAAAATCAACACTGCAGGGTACAGTAACATAGTAAAGTACCTGCCTATTTTAGAATCCTAGAGAACATTTCATTGTAAGAAACTAGCCCATTATTTAAGTGTCCACAGTATTTTTCATTTCAGTGGTCCAAGATGCGAAGGTTTCCAGACACAATCTTGTTCTCTAATACTGCTCCAGGTGGGATATCAATTCTGTCACCATGATTTGCAATGATGATAACCGTTCCCTAAGTGACAGGGAAAACAAAAGAGTGTACTTGCAACTGAAATGCAATTTGATTATCTTACAGTGATCAAGTTTATGTACAACTTTTTTTTTTTTACAGTGAAGTAACTTTTTTTATAAACAATATTAAACATGAAAAACAAATAACAGTTAAGGAAAATTGTAATGTGTCCTTCTGTAACAATCCTGGCAGTAGTTCTAGATTCTCTGTCTCCTTGTTAGAGGTAGAACTAAGAGCGGGAAGTGGACCCGGTGCCACAGCATGGCCAGCCCCTTTTGGAGGCCTACTTGCAAGGCCACCAGCATTATCTAACCTTCATAGAGAAATTAAAAGGTGCTTGGTTTACATTTACATATAGGGCTTTTGTTGTTGTTTTTATAACAGTTTACTGATAAGATTTTTCATGTCTTAAGTCTTTAGGCAGTCTCAGCAATAAAATTCAATATATGTATTTGTTTTTTCAAGATCTTCATTTAAGTAAGTAGCTTTAATGGGAGGAGTATATGAAATCTAGTTAGGAGATTTTTTAAAAAATTACATGATTTGGAAAAAGCTATTGTATCTTTGGTGAGCTTTAATACTTTTATACCCCCGTTTCCCTCCTATTTCTTACGTGAGGCTGGAATGACACTGAAGAGTACCTGAGTACTACAATAATGTAAATGAATATTCTTACAGTGATAACATTCCTTTAATAGGTTATATTCAGTACAAATTGTCATTTTTTTTCTGCTTTTACTCAATCATCTTTAGTAAGCTAATGCTAATAGTGATCCTATTTTAAAGATTCTCATTTCAGTAAAATAATTACACTAGTAATTAAGGTGGCACTAAGACTAACAAGTATTCCTTAAAGTAAATGTAAATTTATGACTAGAAAATGAGACCTATATTGTAAGCTGTAAGAAATATAATTTTCATTGTAACAACATACCTTTAATGAAACATTTTTTCCAAATGTCACATCTCCTGAAACTGTGAGGTGATCCAATTCAAGCATATCTGGTATACTTTCAAATCTTCTTAGATAATCTTGAACCTTACAGAAAAGGAGAAACATAAAAATTTGTCTCAAATGGGTTCAAAGAAAGACAGGAAAAATATTAACAAGAAAGTTTAACTGAACTGTAGAAACCTTTTTTGGCAAAGCTCAGGTCCTCTGTGGGAAGCACCTACTTATTAAGCACTCATTATATGCTAAATGCCGTGCAGGAAAGACCAGGAGCTACAAACATTGTTTTTACACCAAGCAATTTACAAGATAGTTGAGCAGATCTAAGGGTTTTTTTTCTTTTTTTTTTTAAAGATAATCAACATGCCAAGAGCCAGATGAATAGTTCACACAATCTGAATTTAACTGAAAAAAAGAGATCATGCTTTGAAGCAGGCTAGACTGGAGCTGGACTTTAGTGGATAGGTCGGATTCTGAAAAATTAGAGCACATTTTAGGAAGAGCAACAGCACAAATTATTATGTTATCACCATCTTTGTCTTTTTATTTCCTTAGATTTACAAGCACTAGAGATTGTCCTATGTGACCCCGTTTCCTATTTTGCTGGGAAAATGGGAGCAATTAGAAAACTTCCACTTGTTTCCATCCACCACCACCACTACTTTGCCCCCATTGCCCATTACTCTGCCTTCCTAGTACTGGAATTGGACTGCTTCTATTCCTACTTAAAGCCAGCCTCTCCATTTGTTCATCAGATCCCTTCTTATGGCCTATCAAGTGTTGTTTCAGCAACTCTCCCTCTTCAGTCTTTTTTCCCTCCTGACTGCATTCCCATTAATGTATAAACATCCTCCCATTAAAAAAAAACAAAAACTCAAATCCTATATTCCTTTCTACCTATAGCCCCATTTCTCTGTTTCTCTTTAAGGCAAAACTCTTGAGTTTTCGATATTCATATCTCCAATTCCTCGTTTTTCATTCTCTTTTAAATCCATGCCTGTGAGGCTCCCAAACCTCCATACTGATAAATCTAATTCTCATCTTACTTGAATCAGCAGCAGCATTTGACACATGATCAATCCCACTTGAAATATTTTCTTCATTTGACTCTGAGGACACATGCATTCATAGTTTCTAATTCCCCATCTGCATTCTACACATCCACAGCAGGTGGCACCAAACCACACCTGCTGTGGACTAAAACAGACTTGGATGGCAGAGCAGGACCCCATAGGCCAACCACAAAGGCTCACAGTGTCACATTTCATTGATTAAATTTTTTGGATTTCACTTATCAGGCTAGGTTGGAGTTTTACAGCAGGTCCACAGATAGTGCTGTTTTGTTCAATGTTACTTTGTTATAACGCTGATGAGGGGAAAAAAAGGATTGCCAGCCAGGGCTACTGTCTGTGTGGAGTTTGCACGTTCTCCCCACATCTGTGTGGGTTTTCTCCAACTATTCTGGTTTCTTCCCACATCCCAAAGATGTGCATGTTAGGTGAACTGGTGTGTCTACATGGTCCCAGTATGAGTGTGGATATGTGTGAGTGTGCCCTGAGATGGGATGGCGGCCTGTGCAGGGTTGGCTCCTGCCTTGTGCCCTGAGCTGCCGGGATAAGCTCTGGTCACCAGTGAACCTGAACTGGAATAAGTGAGTCAAGAATTATCTTGTTTTTATTAATCAATGTATGTACAGCTCACATTTATTTCAGAGTTTAATATTAGAAGTGTTTTGTTTTTAAAATTTGGTGATATTTTTGTGACCAGAAATAAACTGTAGGAACTGAACTCTTGTTTATATCAATTAGCCTATGGCAAAATGTGTTACACATTGTTCTGCTTACTGTGGCAGTTTCCAAGAACATACTGATGACACTGAGGATGTACTGTACTTGCTATTCCACCTGTCTAGAACACTTTTTGCACTAGATACCGATTTGTCAGACTCAATCAACTCAATGAGGCTGCCTGTGGCCACTCAATGTAAAATTACACCATCAACACCACCCCGCCACCTCCCCAGGCATTCCCTATTCTCCACCCTTGCTTTGTTTCTCCATAGCATTTTCCACCACTTGGTATATCATACATTTACTTACTTATCATCCTTTCCCCACTAGAATGTCAATTCCGTGAAGACAAAGATTTAGTCTGTTTTGTTTACTGCTAAATCCCTAGAACCTAGAACACTGCCCAGTACATGATAGGCATTCAATAAGTATTTGTTAAGCCAGAATTAACCTTTTCCCACTGATGAAAGCAGTACTGGTCTTGGAAGAGACAGAAGATAAAATGCCCCAAAATTTAAAGATTATTTTCTACTCTCCATATGGCAATCATGTTTCAAATGTGAAGTAAAATATTTATCTTCTATGGTCAATTCCCTTTAAAAGGTATCAAAGACAGAGGAATACAACAGGTCAGTGGTAGAGACTGTAATTAGTCTCCAATTCACATGTATATCATATCTTTATAATTACACATTTAAGAAATATGAACTCACATATCTTTATAGTTACGTACCTTCGTAAAAGAACTGCCTAATTTAACCAAGGGCACTGTAGGAAATTCCCGCTTTTCACTCATTGTCAGAGATCCTGCATTAAGACTATAGAGGTTTGACATCACCAGCAAGAGATCTGATGTGGTTTTGACAGGCAGAAAACGGCTCCTTGGCACATTAATACCTAGAGAATTCTCAAAACTTTTGATGGCAGCCCCTACTGCAGTTTCTAATTGAATGACATTCAGGCCTCCATCCAAAGTCTGTAAGAAATTAGGGGTGGGGAATAGAAAACAGAGGTTTTAGGCACCTACAACTTAGTTCCATGTAGGTTAGTTAATATTTGGGAAGTGATTTCAGAGATCCATTGATGGAAAAAAAAAAATTTTTTTTTTTTTTTGAGAAGGAGTCTTGATCTGTCACCCAGGCTGGAGTGCAGTGGCGCAATCTCGGCTCACTGTAGCCTCTGCCCTCCTGGGTTCAAGCAATTCTTATGCCTCAGCTTCCCGAGTAGCTGGAATTATAGGCATGTGCCACCTACCCAGCTAGTTTTTTGTATTTTTAGTAGAGATGGGGTTTCACTATGTTGGCCAGGTTGGTCCTGGCCTCAAGTGATCTGCCGGCCTCGGCCTCCCAAAATGCTGGGATTACAGGTATAAGCCACTGAGCCTGGCCAGAAAAATAATTTTGAGAACTGACATTTATCAAGCACCTATCATATGCCAAACTCTTAAACATGTAATCTTTTTTCAGTCTTAAAACTCTTCTGTTCAGTAATATCATTTCATGATAAACCATAGGTTCAGAAAACTCATGCAAAGTACCGATGGCCAAATGACCTATGAGTGTCAGAGCAACAACTAAGACTGAAGTAGGTTCTCTACTTTTGAAGCCCAGTGTTTTTGCCACTACCACAACCCAGGGTCAAATATAGGGCACCATAACTTGGCACACTAGAGGGGTGACAGCAGATTCTGGAAGACAGGGCTAGGAACTAGAGTCTGAAAAGGCAAAAGGGAGTGACCAATGGAATAGATGGGACAGAGGGAGTGGGCGATGGGGTCTGTGTGTAGCCTACTATGACCTTAGGAACCAGGAAGCTCAATGGGCCACAACCTTGGCTTACCTTTGCATTCACAATGATTTCCATGTCAATGGCATTTTGCTCCTGCAGTCTTTTAACTGCTGCAAGAGAAATCCATAGGTTGTTTGTATTAAATATTTTGAACTTTGATACAGACTTGAACTCGTCTACATGTGCTTTTGGCACTTGAGCAATTTCCACCAGTCTCAGTTTGCCTTCATATTGAGTGAGTGTCCCGCCCTAGAAAGGCAGAAAATAGTGAGTGCCTCCACATCAGTCTCAAGTGCATTTTTTTGTAAATACAAAGATAGTGATTATACAAAAAATATATAAATACATTATGTAGAAACAGAGTAAATTTTCATAAAAGGGACAATGAAATAACATTTAAATGCCAAACTAGAAGAGTATTAAAGGTTTGGACAACTTTACTGAAAGATTTCACATGTTTCAGATTTTTGCCATAAATATGTATGAAATTATTTTAGTTAAAATTACTGATGTAGCTTATCCAAAAAAATAGAGATGATTTTGATACTATTTATTATGGATTTATGATACATACTATTATGTCAAACAGAACATATTAAATGTGTTGTTTAACATAGAAACTTTCAAATAAAAAAGTCTTTAACTTCATAACTTACGAAATGTGAAAACATGAAGCCCTAAACTGCTTCCTCTCGGTATTTACCTTTACATCTGCACGTGTTTTATTTGTGACTTCCATGACAAATTCACAGCGTTTTCCATTGGGTGGGTTCATTAGATGATTAAGAATATACAGATCCACTGTGGCACCCAGATTATCTATGTTAGACACAAAAATATACTCTTTGCCTTCTCCTATAAAGGTATCAAGCAATCCAGAGTTGTAGAAACTGGCGTAAATATCACCATGACCTGGAGGGTACCAAGCTTCTGTATTTTCCCCTGAGTAAGACACGTCCTTTGCTACAGGAAGTAAAGATTCTTTATTAATCCTCGGGTACCTTTAAAAAAAAAAAAGTTCTTTTTCAATATTGACCCTGTAGAGCATTTCAGGCCTTTAAATAAAATAATACATTAAAGTTAAATAAAATTTCACTTCTTTTCAGAGTCTATCAATAAGTAATTTAATTATAGGTGAATCCATTTAAGAAAATCTCTCAGTATCTGTGTTGTCCAAAATCTGTTTTCCAGATGGTGATAGCTGCTGCAAAAACATGTCTCTATGGTCATACAGATGGGAGGACCCATCATATTTTTAAGATATTCATGTTTTATGACTCTCCAAAAGAAGGGATGTATCAAGTAAATTTTCTCAAACTTATGTAGTTGTGAGATTGTTCTTTTCCCTGAAAACCTATCTGGGAAATACTGCCCATTCTTACAAATGGATATATTCAGGGGTGGATCTCTTTCTTTCCCAGAAAATAAGCACCAGGTTAGCATTCCAAGATGTCTGCTTCCCACCACTAGTAAGAAAGGTAAAGCTGGTGATGGGGCAAGAGGAAAACGGGAGCTAGCACCGCAACAGACTAAAGACTAGAAAATAAAGGCAAAACATCTGCAAAGTAAAAAAAAAAAAAAAAAAAAAAAAAAAAAGTAACCATGGGAAATAGATCTTAAAAACAACCAAACAAACTAATGACACAACTTTAGAAATGTCCTTCTTTTTTATTTTTATTTTTATTTTATTTTTGAGATAGGGTCTTGCTCTGTTGCCTAGGCTGGAGTACAGTAGCACAAACAGCCTCGACCTCCTGGGCTCAAGTGATACTCCCACCTCAGCCTCCCAAGTAGCTGGGCTACAAGGGCACACCACCAATGCTAATTTTTAAATTTTTTTTGTAGAGACGACGTCTCATTATGTTGCCCAGGCTGGTCTCAAACTCCTAGGCTCAAGCAATCCTCCTGCCTTGGCTTTCCAAAGTGTTGGAATTACAGGTATAAGCCACCACACCCAGCCTCAAAACATCCCTTCTGTACAAGTTCATGTGGACTGATGTCCATCCCTTAAATGGAAGTCTTATTTCTCCAGTTTCCTGGCCTTCAATCAGAATTCATCATCTGAATTTACTTTTTACTCACTATTCCCCAAAGATTTCCTCCAGAATTTATTAAATTACCCCAAGCCCATAAAAGGTGTTGAAGAAATTCCTTTCCATAGGAAAGGTTATCAATAATGTAGGAATATAAAAAGATTTTCACAGACCCACCTGGAGACCAAATATGCTCTCAGAAAGCAAAGGCTTAAACTATCCCCAAATATTCTGGACATGGAACAGAGTCTCAAGCAGACTGAATTTTAAGAACTGGAAATTAGAGAACCAGAGTGATTATAACAATCACATATCAACAAATGCTCAGCTTTTATGGGCATCAAACACTTGTGAACATCAATATTTGGTACCTGTACATCTTGAAACTGCTCTGTTATAAACAAGATAAAGAAGTCCTTTCCCAGGAGTAACATACCCAGAGTTAATTTTTTACTCATTGTACCTGCTTTGATTGAAAGTGTAGATTTTCACACGACAATGATTGTACTTCTGTAGTATTTTTTTGGTATCTTCATCCGTGTTAAAAGAGTTCATTAAAACAAGAGGAACATCTGTATTGTAGGTTTTATTCAAATGCTAGGGAGGAAAATGACAATTAGATTACCCAGACTCACTTTTCTTTTGCTCAAATATGCAAAATTAGTTCTTAATGGTTAAATCATAAAATATCTAAAACATCATCTGTACGTAGCCAAATATACAGATTTGACAAAAAACTGCTCAGCACGAGCCAGACATTTTGCTAAGCAATTCACCATGCACTTGCTCATTAAATCACTACCCTCTGAGATAGAAACTACTGTCTGCATTTTACGGATGTCTAAACTAAGGCCCAGATAGGTGGTGGGTCTGGCAATGGCAGAGGCAGGACCCCCACCTCCCCACCCTAGGCAGTTTGAGTCTGGAGCTTGTGTACAGCCACAGTGCTCTGTGGCCTTACTGGGTAGGCAAGTGCTGATTACGCATTTACTCTATGTTAACATCTCTGTAGGGATGAAAGTATAAATGTGACAAAGACATGGCTCCCTACTCTCAACATTAATGATCAAAAATTTTGAATCACACCCCAGCTGAAATCTTTTCAACCTCAGAAGAGCTACGAGGCAGCAGAGTGTGAAGAAAACAGGGTCTTAGAAGTCACACTGCCCTATGTTAAAATTTTAATTCTGCACTTACTAACTATCTTGGGAACCTTGGGCAAGTAACCAACCTCTTGTGCTTTGGTTTCCTCATTGGTAAAATGGGGATAACAGTACTTACCTCACAGAGTTGTTGAGAGGAACAAATGAGTAAATTCATATAAAGAGCTCAGAATAATACTTGGTGGACAATAAGTGCTGAATACATGTTAGCCACTGCTACAACTTGCATTAGGATTATAGTTGCCAGCACCATACTAGGCATTAGGATAAGGAGATGGAAAAAATAAGGCCACTGCCCCAAAAGAGCTTATGGTGTACGATTAATGACTTTGTCCTAAGAGAGAAGCCAAGAACAGTTCTTAGCATGCATGACCTGCAGCCAAATACACAGCATCCTCCCCACCACCCTCCCAAAAGGGGTTAATAAAGCAAGATCATCCCAGCCTTGATGAAGGCTGCCACCAGAAAGAAAGTGGGTAGAGCAGTGGGAGATCAAAAGAGAATCTCAACAGACCCAGAGATTTCAACAACCACAGGTGCTATTTAAGATCAAAAGCCTTTACATAACCTTAAGGATTTGCCCTTAAGAACACTAAACCTTTTTTCCACCAATAAAGAGATTAAAGATAGCAGGCTCTTTGGTTAGCTCAAATTCACATCTGCTACATTTTATAACATTTATGATAACTTAAAAACTAAAAACTATTTTAGTATCTCATGAGAAAGGCTAAATGTTACTCACTTCAATTTGCTGAACAGTCAGATCCAGAAAGGTATTCTCATTCCTCACACCAATCAGACTTTTAGGGCCTTTGCAGCCCATGCTGGTTCCCAAACCACCATTGAGTTTCACCACCACTAGTTTGTTCAACACGGAAGATATATTATCAGGCAAGCCCCTGGCCTTTATCTTTTCATAGGGTTGAATCTGAAAGAAAAATAACATTATAGGAGTAATTTAAACAGCTTTAAGGGACGTTAAAGCATATCAATCCCAGGGTTATTTCCATGCTTCCATAAAGTTTCGGTTTCTCTGTGGAAAGTTTTAATCAACTTTTCTTTAATGTCATAGGCCCTTGTGGTTCAAAATCAAGTACTTTAACAGGCAACTTCCCTTGCACACAGTAGTTCAGTGGCTCATTTACTTTACAATGGAGTACGAGAAGGGGGAAAAAGTTGTAGGCCCTATATATTGTCTGGCTGGTTAAGAACATCCAGATCTCTTGGAGTATCTTCAAACACTCAATTCCCATTTTGCATCAACATAGCAAATGATCAAGTCATTTATTTAGAATCATCAAGTCTAAATATTTCTGTTGTACTGTGGCTCTACTTCAATTCTGGAGAACTACATATAAAATTACACATTATTCCTTCTACCACAGGAGGCAAATACCAAAACACACTTGTTCTTTGCCATTCTCCTCTATGCAGTCATAAGTTTGCCTTTCAGAGGAACGTAGCATAGACTTTTTGTCAAACTTCTAGGTATGCACAAGGACAGAATTCCTTCCTCAAGAATTTAACTTTCAGGTGTCACCATATAAAAGCCAATACTGGAAAATTAAGTGTTGTCACTGTTCTAAGAAATGCCCTGGAAGGGAGGGAAAGGGCAAGAGGTGGGGCTGAAGAAAATCCCAACTCAATCTTCTCCCTAGCATCCTCATCTATTTCTGTGAGCAGAGGGCCTTAATCTATAACTTCTCCCTTACAGGAAAGGAACAGTGACACAACTTACAGCAGAGGCCCAGATTCTTTTCTTCAAAGCAGAGGCACAAGCAAGTCTAAACATCTTACAGTAAGAAGGAAACCTTTCAGAAAGATCACAATGTATTTTCTATCCATTTATGTGACATGTTTGCTGTTATTTTGCTTTAATGGAATAGGTCCTCAAATTGACTCTTCAGTTACATCATGGTGTACAACAGCTAACACATAATGGACTGAAAAAAATAAAACTACCCCTTAAGTGCTTTGTGGATGTTAGCTGTTATTTGTTCTGCTACCGTAGGAACGTGTGTGTGTGTGTGTGTGTGTGTGTGTGTAATGGGTAGGTGTGACTGGGAAAGAACTTGACAGGCTCACACTCCAGTGATCTAAGCCTATGGAGGCAAAAATCTCTTTATGCTTGGTCAGATGAACATACATACATATATCATATGTTGCCTCCTGATAACAAAATTCTTGTTTTTAACAGCTTTCCACAAAAAAACTAGTCTGTGGTTCTTATTTCTTCTACCCTGCAATATACTATGTTAACTGCCAAGTGCAAATTAATACACTTTCTTGTTTGGTGTAAATACAGAAGAACATGAAGCACTCTTCTCCAAGGCTCTCTACTTGTTATTGCTCCAATCATCACTAATGATCAATTCTTTCCTCATGTGGTAGGATTGTCAATCTTCCTGGTAAGTGCTGCTAAGTAGCTTTCTAAAGCCATTCATATTCATGAACCAAAATAAGGGCTGGTTACAGAAAAGATAAGAGGAGGGGACAGGCCTGTGGGCACTCCAGGGGGTGCTACATAAATATTGGGATGTGAAATGACAAGGAAGAGGAGGGAGGCAGGAAAGAACGCAGACCACACCGATGGCTGCAGACCACACTGATCGCTTCCCCTGCAGCATGTGGTCCAGGTGAGGACAACGCAGGGGTGATAACAACTTGACCCCCCAACACACACACAAAGCACCCTGCAGAGTTGACAATCCTTGAAGGATGTTTTCATTTGACTCTACTGCCATGACCATCATTTGTTCAGCATTTCAAAGAAACTGGTAATATTGCTTAGGAGAGAAAAACTTCCAATTTATGTCACACTGCTAGAAAAATAAGAGTAGATGACAGTAGAATCTTTGTCACCCTGATATAACAGGGTAGCTTATAATCTTTTCTAGCCCAGCAACTGAGAGCAACCAGTCACTAAAAGAAACAGGCTGGATGCGGTGGCTCACACCTCTAATCCCAGCAATTTGGGAAGCCAAGGCAGCCTAGGGGTTTGAGACTAGTCTGGGCAACATGGTGAAACCCCGACCCTACAAAAAATACAAAAATTAGCCAGGCATGGTGGTGCATGCCTGTAGTCCCAGCTACCCAGGAGACTGAGGTGGGAGGATCACCTGAGCCCAGGTGGTCAAGGCTCAAGTAAGCTGTGATCATGCCACTGTACTCCACAGAATGAGAACCTGTCAGAAAGAGGAGAGGGAGGAGGGGGGAGGGGTAGGGGGAAGGGGGAAGGGGAGAGGGGAGAGGAGAGGAAGGAAAGAAAGACCACTGTGATCAATGGCTGTAAGTAGCCTATTATTAGTTTACAAGAGTCAGCAAGTGGGACCAGGCCAATTATTTTCCAATTATTTTGTAAAAGCCAAGAATTTCCATTTATCAGTTATTTTTCACTTCCTAGCAAGGACCTAATATTTACAGAGGTCTCACAAGGATGTGAAAATCAGTTGAAAGTCACCGAAAACTCCTAGTTCATGCATTCATTTTAGGTAAAATTTTTAGTTCAGAGACAGTCTTACCTATTTATGTTTTGACTACACTTTAAAAAAAGAGTACACAGCAGCAATTTTCCACATGGTAGGACAGGCCTGTCTTCCAATTTTACCTAAAATTTTTAATTGTGGTACATCGCATACATAAAAGTTTATAAAATATACATATACAGTTGAAAGAATAACATTTTTAAAAAAGGAACACTGCCATGCATCTGCCCCTAATCACATTCCTCTTCTACCCCTACGGGTATCCGGACTTTCATTCTATAGTTTTACCACCTATGTGTGTAACAATATTGTATGCCATTTTATTTGTCTCAAAACTTTTAAATAAATTGAATCGTACTATAAAGTATGACCCATCTTGTCATTACAATATCAGGAACTTAAACAAGGGATATCATTGAGTTTGTTGTTATTTGAATATTCTATTTCAAATAGAGGTAAACGTTATCTAGATGTAACTTGGAGTGAAAATTTTCATGTAACATCAATATTTTATCAAAGTATAAATGCTTATTATAAAAGTAAAAATGCTACAATAATTCTGAAAGCTATTAATTTTATATATAACAATGTTTTCAAATAATTCAATAAGTTGGAAAACAGAATGACAATAAACATAAAACTCAGTACATTAGATAGGTATCTTTAGGAAAATATTCCCTTTTTGAGGGAACAAATATTTATACAAATTTAAATAATAACGTGAGGCAGAAAACTCTAGATTACACCTTAATTCTAATCTTTACAGAAATGTTTGGTATACTAACATTCATAGCATTAAACAAAGTGAGCTTTAGGAACCATGTTTAATTTTGAGCTATTTAATTTGATTTAGGACATAAGTCATCAAGAAAAAGTACTAACAGGAACTTTTTTTTTTTTTTTACCTCCAGTGAAAATGAATTAAAAACCAAATGTCAACCTTGCTGCCTTAAAATTTCACCAGAAGAAAACAGAACTCCAAAATCATATGTATTCATGCTAAATCAGCTTTGATCCACACACCATAAATAATAGAAAGTTCTGGCTGGATGCAAGGGCTCACATCTGTAATCCCAACACTTTGGGAGTCTGAGGCAGGAGGATCACTTAAGCCCAGGAGTTTGAGAACAGCTTGGGCAATATGGTGAGACCTTGCCTCTACAAAAAAATTTTTTTAATTACCTGAGCATGGTGGTGCACACCTATAGTCCCAGGTACTCAATGGGAGGCTGGAGTGGGAGGACTGCTTGAGCCTGAGAGGCTACACAAATAGACTGCCAACCCTTTTAAGTAGAAGAAAACAAATATCTGCCCACGTTCTGAGTCCTAGGTACAAAGTTCCTTGTAGAAACATGTTACTGGAAAGTTTTATTATAAATTTTAGTTAATGAAATTAAATGTGCTGCTTTTCTTTCCTGTACTTAGTCATGGAGACATAATCAGAGCCTTTTTTAAGTGTGAAAGCAAAATACAATGATCAATTCAACAATGCTAAAAACATACCTGATTGAAGAAATATTAAAGACAAAAGTGTTATGCAATTATCAGTGACAAATAGGGTGAGAGAACGATTTAGGAATCATCAACATTCAGTGTTTCACTCACACTTTTCACCTGCTGGCTATGAGCTAAGAGGGTGGGCCACTCTCATAATTCTGCTTCAAAGACAAGCTATCAGAGAACATCTGCTTACATGAGATGTTCATACAAGATGGAACAGCACTTAATACATTTTATATAGGCTGTTTGCACAAAAAAATAGTCCCAAAATTATGCTTTGGAAGTAACAAAACCAACATAGCAGGACTTACTAACAACAGTTCAATCGCCAGAACTGCTAAGAAATAACCAACTTATGTGTCCTAAGCATGCAGACTTCTTTTTTTTTTTTTTTTTTTTTTTTTTTTTTGAGACGGAGTCTCGCTCTGTCGCCCAGGCCGGACTGCGGACTGCAGTGGCGCAATCTCGGCTCACTGCAAGCTCCGCTTCCCGGGTTCACGCCATTCTCCTGCCTCAGCCTCCCGAGTAGCTGGGACTACAGGCGCCCGCCACCGCGCCCGGCTAATTTTTTGTATTTTTAGTAGAGACGGGGTTTCACCTTGTTAGCCAGGATGGTCTCGATCTCCTGACCTCATGATCCACCCGCCTCGGCCTCCCCAAGTGCTGGGATTACAGGCGTGAGCCACCGCGCCCGGCCGCATGCAGACTTCTTACAAGACAAGCTGTGAAGATCTTCCACTCATTCTGTTCTAGAGAAAATGTAAAAATTTATGTTTATGCAATGAAAACTGATGTTCAGAGACACACTTGTCATGAGAGCCATTACTCCATCACCAAATTTCTAGATCCAAAATGTAAGATCTCAAGTGACTGTGTGAAGGAACAAGTGCATGCTGAAATATTTTTGAAAACGCACACAAAATAAGGTAATATAAATGAGAAAGTATTCAGAAATTATCCGTCGACATGCACAAAACTTCAGTTTGTGAGATAACTTCAAGGAAATGGCATCATTGCCATAAATTAATGAAATTTACAAGCTCAGGATACTGAGAGGACAGAGCTTCACTTCAGTCAGTTACTATTAGAGAGGAAGGAAAACTTGACATCATGGCAGCTACATCATAATCAGCACATTCAATACTAGCAAAAATAGTTGGAAAATATCTTGCTCCTCCAACAACCTCCGTTGACCAAAGTAAGTCCATTTACTGTTATAGATGTGCATTATGGTGACTGCAAAAGCAATCTACCAGATAACCATGCTGATGAACTATTGTTCTTGCACTGTAACATCAACATTTTAAAGCTTGGTTACTAAATTTCTAAATAGAACTGTAACAACTGCAATTTCTTTGTTATCCCAAAAACTTATTCTATGATGGTGATATAGATTCTCAGCCTCATATTGATTTTAACACTAGGCCATTTGGCCTTCAGCCAAAAGGTATACTAAATATACTTCTAGTTTTAACTCGAATATCCCCAAGGTTGGCATCTTAAGAAACTGAGTTTGAATTTAAAATGTAATTCTGAATACTGTTCAAATATTTGGTATAAAATAAAATGAGCTGATCCACGGACAACATTAAGAATTCAAAAACCAAGTCAATAAAGACTTCTGGGAACAGGCCCTGGCAACTCACAATACAGAGACTTATGTACCATTCAAGTAAGTGCCAGATTTCTCTGTGATGTGTTGTATTTATAACCTTGCATGCTAAGTTAAGGGGGCAGAAAGCCGCCCCACCTCTTAAAATGTCAAGGAACCATGGTTCTTTATGTAGTGCTTTCAATAATACCTTCTTGTCTTGCTATATCTAACCCTTAAAAGCAGCTAATTAAATGTAGGTCCTGCCGAGGAATTTGTTAACCACAGAAGACTCTCAGAATAACTGTGGAAAGGAAAAAAAGAAGTAACAGCGTATGAAGACGGGAGAAATATTTCAAGTGGTCAAGATAACGTTACTGTTGGAAGCCTCCAGGGGAGGTCTTTCACTGATGTTTCCTGACATACCCAGCCCCTACCACCACCACCCCTCAAAAGACACAGGGGTGTGCACAAAGGTACTAGTCATTTGATTCCAGGAAGCCAGGACACTTTCTGTCTAAAGCTTATTACATGTTAAATTTGGTGGTAAGCACAGCTTTCCATCACATAAATCACCCTATTATCAGCAGAGGTGTTCTCTCTTGGTGACACTGTCCACACCCTCTACCAGGCACCTAACCAAGCAGTCCCACAGAGCTTGGTTTAGTTCAACAAGCCAAGGGGATATGTGTTAGAAAATTGCTTAGCAACAGCTAAAGTCACACTGGACACACCTAGTCACAGAGACAAGTTTTAGGCCTGCCTTCCACTTTCCCTACTTAGCTCCCCCAGGAGAATGCACAAAGACATTTACTCAAGCAAAGATGGCTAGTGTTCAGAGACAACACAGGGAACATCACATACTACTGGATACAGCCTCAATGTTACTCTGACTGAATCACTTTAGTCAGTCACCAGTGCGATCTTTGTGCTTTCAATTCTAATCACCCTGTTTCTCTCTTTCCCAAAACATGAATAAAATTCAGTGTTCTAAGACCTCTACTGCAACTAAACAGACAGGAGGGAAACTCCATAGGTGAGGTGGGGCAAACCGCATGAGGCTCCTGGCAAAAAGTCCAGAGGAGGCCAGGCCACTCATGTTCTCTTCTCACTGGTGGAAAAGAATTGGCCAAATAGCTAACATCCTCTGGGGGATAAGTGAAAGAAAGTTAATTGGCAATCTACTGAAGAACACGCTCTAAACAACATTCAGCCCTCTAGGATGTCAATCTAGTTTTTCTGCAGAAAGTGGAATGAGATTTTTAAAAAGATCTTTTTAAAACTATCTACCATGATCTGTACCTTGCCAAGTTTGTTCACAACTTAGTTTCCAGTTAGAAGAAAAGCCAAATTCATCACACAGTCATAGACACACTGTTCCCATTAGTAATAGGATAACCCAGTTCTTGGTAGCATATTTGTGCTATTCCTGGAGACACTGCCAAACACCCAAAGCAAGCTAACAGTACCTGCCCTGTATGCTTCACAAGGGTATGATTATTGCAATCTGAAAGAATTTTTTTTCAACAAAAGCAAGTTTGCCTGAAGGAAAATGAGCTGTGTAAACAGTTAACGAATTAGGAATGCCACTCCATATGTACAGAAAGTGTTCCAAGAACACTGGCTTATTCACTAAACCCTTACTGCTACTGCACAGGGTTTGTGTGCCAAATTCTGTGCTAGTCACTTTCATGTATTGTCTATTTCACATTTCTAAAGGTAATAACCAAAATCTGGATCATTTGAAAGATCCTACAAATTTACTTTATAACAGAAAAGTCATACCTAGAATAATGTCTTTGTCTGGTTGTGTTGCCATAAAGGAATCCCTGAGGCTGGGCAGTTTATAAAGAAAAGAGGTTTATTTGGTGCACAGTTCTGCAAGCTGTACAAGAAAGAAGCATGGTGTCAGCATCTGCTTCTGGTGAGCACCTCCGGAATCTTCCACTCATAGTGGAAGGCAGAGGGGAGCTGGTTTGTAGAGATCACATGGTGGGAAGCAAGAAAAAAAGGGAGGGAGGTACCAGGCTTTTTTTTTTTTTAAACAATCAGTTCTCACTATAACTAATGAAACGAGAACTCATTCATTACCACAAGGACAGCACCAAGCCATGCATGAGGGATCCGTTCCCATGACCCAAACACCTCCCACTCTGCTAAGTTGCTAAATCCTATCAATAACATCAGTACTTCTTATCTGCACTCTCAGATACATCTGACACAACAGACCAGTCCCTAAACCTTGAAGTGCTCTATTCCCCTTGACCTATGAAACACCATACTCTGTTTTCCTCCTCTTTCTGCCTGCTCCTTGAAAATCTCATTCTAAGTAGACCTCCTCTTCTACGCAGTCAGCTTCAATTACTCCTGTCTCTATGGCAATATAACATACTCGGCTGCTAAGACAGAAGCCTGCTCATATGTGATCAATGACCAAGTCCTGTCACTCTCATGACCTGTGTTATTGCAGTGGTCTCTATGATCCTTTACCTCTTTCCAACCCACCCTCCATCTCTCAAGTGGCAGTCTTTTAAAAAAGAATTTGAGCATGTTTCCCTCCTTATTGCATCATTCATAAAATAAAGCACTGGCATGGCATGGCAGAGATTATTAGCTGCCTACCCCAACATCATTTTTTTCCCCTTTCACTTTAGAACCCTGACTTTCAGCTGGGCACACTGCCATCCAGAATAAAAGACTCAATTTCCAGCCTCCCTTGCAGCTATTTGTGCCAAAGTTCTGGTCAATATGATTAACTAGAAGTGAATTAAAAGATTTCCAGGAAGTCTCTGTGAAAGGGCAGGGTCTGTGCCATCTTCCTTCTTCCTGCTGTTTGGACTAGAGGCATGATGAATAGTGTTCATTCTGGTGGCCATCTGGACAATGAGGAGATAAGGGTGGCAGAGCAGCCAGACAGAGAAGCCCAAGTTTCTGATTACCACATAATTGTCTTACTAACTCTGGATTGCCTCTCTCCAGATCTACTGTGTTATTCTGGGTTTCTCTATCCTATGTAGCTGAATCTAATCCTAAGCGGAAGATAGGGTTTGCAAGGTCCTTAATGATTTGACCTTTTTTACCTTCCACTCTTTCTTCTACTCCCCCTAACACGCTGCTCCAGGAACATGGAGCATTGGGTTCTCTAACATACCACATCTCTTGCTTGTAAGGCCTTGCGCTTTTTCCTCTCATACAACTTCATTTCACCAACTACTTTTTCTTTCTCTTCCACATCTCAGCTAAGACCGGCGATTTACAGGCTTTATGAGCCAACGGGTACTTGCGAAGATAAAAAAATGGAGCCTCTTTCAGACTAGTTCACCACCCCCAAAAAAACAAAATGTTTGCTTACAATTTACTTCACTACATTGGAAATGTCATTCACAGAATATAAAATTCATCTTAGTAACAGAAGTCATTCATTTCCCAGTGAAAATTAATGTGCAAATAGAGTAAAAAATAAACTTTACCTCTCTCCAAACTAAGTTTCAATGAGAAGGCTTCTGTTTGGCTTGAATAAGAAGCTGATGCTGTGATGTGGTTTGAGATGATTACGTGCATACCATCTTTAATTGCCATTCCATTTTGACTTTTCTTTTTGATGGTCACAAGTGCTGAAAACCCTAATGTGCTCAAAAGCAAGCTTCCACAACTTTTGTTCTGTTAGTTGTATGCAGCCTGTGCTACAAACACCAGAATTCTCTAAGACTGAGAGCTGAGTGGTTCATGTGTGTCCTGTATCTTTGAAAGTCAATAAGGTCATCTTTGCAGAAGTCTGCATCATTCATACAGGATTGCACCATCCTGGATGTAAGGCTCACGGATGCAGAAGAAGGTGAATTACAGTAATACGTGGAGCTCACTCTCCTCCTCTGCAGCAGGACCAGAAGTGCTGGCTAGCATCACAGACACTCTACTGGCATACAGAGCACCAACACCTCGTCCAGCATGTTTTGCTTGGCTTAGACATGTTATCATTTAAAAAACACTTTCAGAAGAGGTTCATAAATCTTTTTTTTTTTTTTTTGAGGGCACTGGCATGCAATAGCTGGCTGCAGTGAGAAATGTCTGAAATTCCAAGGACATGCTAAAGGGAAATTATGTAGTTGCTGTTTCCTCCGTGACCCGATTCAATAAACTACATCAATTCCAGCATGAATGATATCATTTGACAAAAAGCCTCCTTTTAAATCAAATGAGACAGTAAAATATAGTAAGTGAGAGAGAACACAGGCTTTAATGCCAGGCTACCTGGGTTTCTTAGAATCTACCACTTACTATGGCAAATTATTTAACTGCTCTAAGTCTTTTTCATTTACTTCATTAATTCGTTATGAAGATAAATGAGATAATGCATATAAAGTGCTTAGCAAAGTGCCTGGCCCCACAGTAAATATTCAAATGTTGGCTGATATTATTACTACTTCACTGATTCAGACACACTCCCTCACCCGTACCCAACATTTTAACATCTCTGAAAGCAGGATCCACCATATAACCAATAGGTTCTTACAATTAATTGGTTGATTTCTTTTCTTTATTAGTGGTACATAAAAGGTGTAACTTATAATCAATGGCCCAAATTTGATGAAATATAGTATTGAATTTCTAGGTTTCAAGTCACGAACTAGCTGAATGATCTCCCAGACATGGGCTTCAGCCAAAGTTTCTCTCCAGTCATGTGTAGCCTGAGGATGTTAAGACAGAGGTCAACAAACTATGGTCTGTGAGAGCTGCCACTTGTTTTCATAAAGTTTTATTGGAACATAGCCATACTCATTCGTTTACATATAGTCTACGGCTATTTTCATGCTACCATGGCTGAATTGAGTAATCATCCCCAAATTGTATGGCCTATAAAACCTAAAATATTTACTATCTGCCCCTTACAGAAAACGTTTGCCAACCCCTGATTTAAGAAAGCCTTCTGGAAAAAACCCAAGCTTTGATAATATTTCTCCCTTTTCAAACCATGCTTCTTCTCCTAAAATAGCTCCATACTGCCTGAGACGCCTCAGGATGGCCAGAGAAAAGAGGGTCTCTCTAACTAAGGCTATATGTTGGCTTCGTGCTTCCACTGGCAAGAACGCTGCCATATAAACAACCCCCTAGGCTTTTGTATGTTCTCAAATTTCTCCAGGAAAGCAAAACCAGTAATATGTAATTGGTAACAGAAATCAGGCAATTTTCAAAACAACAGAAAGAAAACTTGAGATTTAAAAAGGTTTTTGTGGCCGTGCACAGTGGCTCACGCCTGTAATCCCAGCACACTGGGAGGCCGAGGCGGGCGGATCACCTGAGGTCAGGAGTTCAACACCAGCCTGGCCAACACGGCAAAACCCCGTCTCTACTAAAAGTACAAAAATTAGCCAGACATGGTGGCGCATTCCTGTAATCCCAGCTACTCAGGAGGCTGAGGCAGGAAAATTGCTTGAACCTGGGAGGCAGAGGTTACGGTGAGCCAAGATTGCACCACTGCACTCCAGCCTGGGCAGTAAGAGCAAGGAGGAAAAAAAAAAGGCTTTTGTCCACTAGTGAGTCATCAAAAGTAATCAAATTCATACAGACAGAAACCAGAATGGTGCTTGCCAGGGGATTAGGGGAGAGGGGGTAGAAGGGAATGGGGAACTGTTCTTTAATGCTACAGAGTCTCAGTTTTACAAGATGAAAAAGTTCTGAAGATTGGTTGCCAAATAATAAAAATATACTTAACAACACTGAAGGATACATTTTAAAATAATTAAGATAGTAAATTTTATGTTATGTGTATTTTACAATTTAAAATTTAATTTAAAAAATATTTTGTGTGTGTATGTGCAGTCACACATGTATGCCCCATCAAGGAGTTCAAGAACCAAATGGCAAAACTATCACTTCCTTTAGAAGCCATTTGTGACCCTCAGCCCTAGTAGTGAATCTGGTGCAGCTCTTGGCTTTGGGAGCTACCGCCTCCTATCACAGCAATTCTTACAGTCTCCAAACTGTCTGCTAAGTTCTCTGGCTCTATTATAAGACTGTAAACTCCATAAGGGCAGAAACTTCCACCTGATACTCCCCACCATATTCATCATCTTTAAACGAACAGGTTAGCTCCCCAGCGTTGGCAGCACTCAAACATTTGTGAATAAGCGAATAAATGAATAAAACAAACGGCTATTAATTAATGAAATCTGTTCTCTGAAAATTATTTCTTGTCCTACTTTTAAATCCTTAGTTTAAAATAAAAGTGGTTTGATCACTGATTAGAAACCAGATTACAACCACCCACTACTTTAATTCAAAAAATAAAATACTGGATCAATAGACGTTATATACAAGTTTGATGAAAGAAAACCTAAATAGAAAACTTTGTTTTGCATAAGAAATTTTATAGGTCATAAAATTAGTACAGGAATTACAAAGCAATCCCCCTATAATAAACAAATAGAATGAACAATCACATATCACAAGCCCGGAAAAGCAAATTTCCTAAGAAAGTTTTTTGTCTTCTACCACTTATAAATTATAAGCAAAGCAAACTATCAGATCAAGTACATATTTTTATTTTCCCAGCTATTAACTCCCAAATCTTTGGGGTTTTTAAAAATTAATTTTAGGGGCGGGCACGGTGGCTCACACCGGTAATCCCAGCACTTTGGGAGACAGAGTCAGGTGAATCACAAGGTCAGGATATCGAGATCATCCTGGCTAACATGGTGAAACCCCATCTCTATTAAAAATACAAAAAATTAGCCAGGCATGGTGGCCGGCGCCTACAGTCCCAGCTACTCAGGAGGCTGAGGCAGGAGAATGGTGTAAACCTAGGAGGTGGAGCTTGCAGTGAGCCGAGATTGCGCCACTGCACTCCAGCCTGGGTGACAGAGCGAGACTCTGTCTCAAAAAAAAAAAAAAAAAATTAATTTTAATTACTCTAAAATAAATGTTACTAACACTATGGAAAGGAAAACACGAAGGCAATTTTTCCAGTGATGGATGAGTCCTCACAGTCCAAAGGCAAAAATTTGTAACATTTTTACATGTAAGTAAAGAGGTCTTTTCAAAGAGCTAGTTAGAAATCTTGGCACCAACACTGTCCTCCAAACAGCTACATACACCAGTACTAACACAATCATTCATGCTCAATATCCTTCAATATAATCTGCTACTTCAGTTACTAAAGTCAGCCTTAGTAAAACTCTAAGCAAAAACCACGTATTTGTGAGCCAGAATCATAAAAGTCACTCATTTTCAGCCTAAATTTTGCGCTGTCCTCTCTAGGAAGCCAAACTTGAATAGTGTGCCTTTTTGTTATATTAAAGCATCATAGCAATTCAAAATCCAATGACCAATTACTACAAATAAAAGGTTAGTTCTCTATTAAATGTTTCAAACAGCAGTTAATACAACAGCCAATGGAAAAAAGATCAACCTGCTAATAAATAAAAATCAAAGAAAAATCTAGAAATTTAAAAATATTTTTCATCTCAACTGGCAAATATGTTTTAAAGTGATAATATTAAATGCTTTAATAAATACAGTGAGATTGGCAATAAAACAGACTGTAGGTCTCTACTCAAATGTCAACTTAGAGACGCCTTCTCTACCCAGCCTATCTAAAATATTACCTCTACCCCTTCATTCTCTGTTCATCTTTCTTTTTCTTCATTCACTTACCGCTACTTGAAATCACGTTACATATTTTTTATTGTCCACTTCTTTACTAGATTGTAAACTAGAAACTAGATGAATGGAGGGTTTTATCATTATGGTTCTCTACTAATATACATACAGTTGGTGCTCAAAAAACAGCTGTTGGACCAACAAATTAATATGAATGGGAGTGCAAATTGATATACTTTCTTTTTTTTTTTTTGAGATGGAGTTTCACTCTTGTCGCCCAGGCTAGAGTGCGATGGCGTGATCTCAGCTCATTGCCTCCCAGGTTCAAGTGATTCTCCTGCCTCAGCCTCCCAAGTAGCTGGGATTACAGGTACATGCCACCACGCCCGGCTAATTTTTGTATTTTTAGTAGAGATGGGGTTTCACCATGTTGGCTAGTCTCGAACTCCTGACCTCAGGTGATCTGCCCGCCTCAGCTTCCCAAAGTGCTGGGATTAAAAGTGCTGGGATTACAGGTGTGAGCTACCGCGCCCAGCCTGATATACTCTTTTTAAAAAACAATCAGAAATACAAAACAAAACCTTTAAAAAGTGCATATCCTCTGAAGAAAACACCATTTCTGAACATTTATTCTTAGAAAATTCAGAAATGCAAAGTTTTATATTCATTACACGGTTTTAATAACAGGAAAAAATCAGAACCAACCTACCCAACTATAAGAGAATCCCCAGAAGTAACAGGAGCTGATATGCTCACACTACCGTGAACTACAATATTTCCTTCAAGTGATTAACTGAATCCACTGTCTTATTTTCCACCATCAAAAAATTAAGAAAAGACATTTCCAAGGTTTTGCCATGCTTAATGATAGATGATCAAAGATCCTATGATGGCCATCAACCATCCTTCCTAAAATTTCACCCAAATTTTGACAACTTAATGCCAAGGACACTGTGCAAAGCCTCCTTGGCCCACTAAACACCACATAATGAACACACACCAACTCTTTAAACATCTCCACCTCCATACAATATGAAAACGGGTACTTAATTATTTTAATAGCTACAATAGTCCTCTAAGACAAGGCCTACCTCTTACATTTATCTTGAGTTTGGTAGACATAAAACCTATAAACATGGTTGGAGTTGCTGGTTAAAGGTAATTCTACATATAACCTAGGGCTTTCAGTATGTGAATCTAGATATCCTTCAATAAAACTCATTAAACAAAATAGTCACCTAAGCATGTTCATAATGTTGTTTATTCTCATTGACCTGACAGACTAGAGGCCTCCTGCAATCCTGAAGTTTAAAGAATTAGCTAAAGTGTATCTTTGCAATAACAAAAATTTGTTAGGCTAGATGAGTTATTTAATACAATGAAAACTGCAGACTAACAACACATTTGATAAAGAAAATTATAAGAATGTAAATATGGTTCTTCTACTTGATAGGATATCTTGCTAAAAATAAAAACAAAGTATTAAATTATTCATGAATCATAAATGAAACATACATCAAATTAAGTACACTGATAACAAACATATAAAAATATATTTAAAACCAAAGGCAAAGAATAAATATGAAAGTCACAGAATTTTAAAAAGCACAATCTAGACTCTTAATTCCATTGTTTTTACTGTGCCCAGCATAATACCTGACATAGAGGAGGTACTTCATAAATATTTGTTGAATGTGTAACGATAGCATCCTTTGCTGTGGTTGAGCCTTTGCCAAAATGCCTGGCACACAGTAAATGCTTTTATGAATATTGTTAATAATCCTCACTAAAATCCTATAAAGTAGGTTCTTTTATTATTTCTACTTTTTATGAGTAAGGAAACCGACACTTAAAGCAGTTAAATAACTTGCCCAATGTTACATGGTTAAGGAGTAATGAGGCTAGGACAAATCTCTTAAGCCTTTTTATCTCACTGCCATTACTAACAAATTGGAAAAAAAAGTGTTAAATACACTGAAGGCAGAATGAATTCAAAATGTATATGTAGGTGGTCTTTGTAATGGTAGGATTTTTTAGTGATTTACATAGAGCTTGAAGTAATTTCTCAGATACCTGTTGACTGTGCACTTGGTTAAGAATATTATAGCTCTCTATCATAAAATTAGGGATTTTAAAACTATAAAAATTCACACAATAAACAACATAAATATACAGAAATTAAACCACAAGCTCAGCTATCCCTGAGAAATGGTGTTAAAAATAAAAAATTTAAAAACAGGTAAATGTCAAAGTAGCCATTTCAGTAACAGTGACCAAGAACCACGAGAAATCTGTATTTCCTATGTAATTTGGGGTTTCACACTGAGGAATTTAAAGCACAGCTACTCCCTACTTGCTTCCTAAAAAATGCATCCGCCTAGACTGCTATAAGGCATAGGATCGTCCATCCTGTGTTTTCCAGCATCTTATTTCAGCCAAAATGATCCCCCAATTGACAATGAGCTTGCAGCATGGCCCCCACTACCTTGCCTACCCTCATTTCCCACCTATTTGCATTCTTATTCTCCAGGAGTACTATAAAAATTATAGTTCTTAGAGCACGTTCTGTTCTCTCATGCCTGTGGGCCTTTGCATACCACATTCTCTTAAACCTGGAGTATCTGCATACCACATTCTCTTAAACCTGGAGTATCTACCCCTGATTTTTTGGGCAAACTCTTACTCATACTTCAAGTCTCAGCTCTAACATTACCTCTTATCCTTAACTTGATTAGGACTTCACCAACTCACCAGCTGCTCCTTCTCCTGCTACACTGAGCACATATACCAGAAACCCACTTATTTAATTATTTAGAACATCTGAACAAGTAGTCAGTTAATTTTAAAAATAAGTGCAAGCATAGAATCATGAAAAAGTTTTAGACACATTAACTGTTTTAACTTTTTACAAATAAGTCTACATTCATTCACCAGGGTCTTTTCCTTATTTATAGCACGAATCTGTTGACCCAGAGCTGTGTGTCATCTTTCTTAAATAAACCACATCAATAATATACATTCTGTGATTTTCAGTTTCAGTTTCTTCCAAGTGGACCAAGAGCTTAGACATTTGTGAAACAATCTGCATGCAGAAGAATCATTCTAGATTTATGAAATTTTCCCAGTCTTTCTTAGTTGTCACACCTATTCAACATTTTTTTTTGCTATTACTCTTTATCCAAGTTTCCCAAAGCATTCAATTCAGTTTTCTTAGAAAGAGCTTTTTTAAACCCATTTCACTAGTTTGTATAAAATTTAATTATATTATGTCATTATAACCAAGATAACTAGCATGAACACATTTGAGAACAAGCACAACTGACTTCGGTAAGCAAGCCACTCACTTTGGTGGGAGAACATATGCATAATAAAAAGTAGACCCAAGGCCAGGTGAGGTCACTCACACCTACAATCCCAGCACTTTGGGAGACCTAGGTAGGAGAATCGCTTGAGCCCAGGAGTTACCAGCCTGGGTAACACAGCGAGACCTTGTCTTTATAAAAAATTTGAAAATTAGGTGGGCATGCTGACACGTGCCTGTAGTCCCTGCTACTCAAGAGGTCGAGGCAAGAGGATCCCTTGAGTTCACAAGTTCAAGGTAACAATGAGCTATGGTCACACCACTGCACTTCAGCCTGGGCAACAGAGTGAGACCCTGTCTCTTTAAAAAAAAAAAAAAAAAAAAATAGACCCAAGCATTCTGAGAATGGAGAACACCAGTTATTCATTCTCTCTAGGTAGAAGCCTGTTAGTGAAATATCTCCTGAACCACATTCATAGCTATTACTCAGTTGCACAATAAACATATTTTTGTGCAAACATCTCCTCACTAAACCAAAAGTTCTGAACTGGCTTGCTATTGCATGCCTGTGTTATTGATTCCTTCAGCCCTCTAGGCAGCTGGGCAGGGCTGGAGGCAGCCACAGCCTCCTTCCCAACTAAACGGCCTCTTACATTTACCCTACTCATTTTCTACGGGAAAATTTGGGAAACACTGTATGGTCCAAATTTTAAGTTCTTTGAGGGGAGTGACTGTCTTTATTTTTGCATTCCCAATAATTAAAATAAAACAGTGGGTATTTGATAGGTCTGTAGAATAAATGTAATGAATAAAGGAGACTTCGACAGCCTCACATAGTGACTACAGATAAATCAGAAAAAAGTACTTCAGACAGGGAGATGTGACTGTTGGGGGTAAGCCTGGGCCAGAAGAGCAGTGATGGGAAATTAGTCTTCTAAATTATTTTACTTATTTATGAATTTATGTTTTATCTCTCCCACTAGAATAGAGCTCTGTTAGTATTAGGCCCTTGACTATCTTGTTCACTTGTATCTCAGTGCCCAGTGCCTATCACACAGTAGCTAGTCAATAAATATTTGTTAAATGTATCGTGGGAAGAACTTCAAAGAGAAGTGAGGGTATTTTAGGCTCTAAAGGAAGGAATGGAGCCTGCTCTACTCTACCCAAAGATGGAGAACTGATGGAAAGGCCATACTTTAAAGACTTTCAAGTTTCTTTCAAACACTGGTGGTAACTGGTGGGTGTTCTACAATACATCATAGTGATTAGGAATGCGGGCTCAGGTAGACCTGGGCCTAAATTCTGCCTTATTAGCTAAGGAAAATTGTGTGGATAACTCAATCCCTCTCAGCCCCCACTGTGTCTTGCATTATGAAAAAAAGGATAACAGTGAGCTCCTAGAGTTATCTGAGTATCATGTAAGAAAACACATGTAGAAGAGTTGAGAAGAATGCTTATTAGTGCTGAATAAATGTTTGTTGCTATTGTTATTACTACTGTTGTTGATAAGCACATAAAATATGCCACATTCTGTGCACTAGAGATAAACATAGGGATGTACTCCTTGTTGTTACTACAGGATACCAAAGAACCAGGTCTTAGGGCCTGACTATCTACACCTGGTTCATCAGGGCCCCTTCTCTTAGGTGACTTACTCTGAACTTCAGTTTCCTCTTTTGTAAAATGACATAACAGTACCTATCTTCCAGGTCTGTTATGAATATTAAATGAAATCACAAACATAAAGGATTCAGCACAAAGCCTGACATGTCAGTACCCAAACACTGGCAATAATCATTAACTACAGAATATAGAGCTTTGCATACACAGCTTTTTACAAAGTTTTAAAAAAGGAAAAATGCTTAAAGCTTTGCTTCATTAAAAACCAAAAAACCCTTTGAAATGGTGTTTCTTGTTCTTTTGAAATAAGAGAATATTTTCCAATCTGCTGTTGGCATTAGGACTATGTACGATGAAGACACTTGTCTTAAATAAGCCCATCTATAAATAGAAATCTGTATTTAATGGCCTACTTCTACTTCTTTCCATATTTAGTCTAGTCACAGGTATTCTCCTGGCACATCCAAGTTTCTTCTCAGCTATCTTTCATATATTTTCACTTCTGACCTTGAAAGAAAAATTCCATCAGTACTCTTAGTTATTACCTTGTCCTTCCTTTGACTCAGTGGGAATTTTAAAAATGAGATACAGTAACAAATTAGCTTGGATAGCTTTATAATGTTTCTAGTTAAAAATAGTGTATCTTTGCAACTTTTTTGTAAATCAAACTATTCTAAAATTAAAAGTTGATTTTAAAACACATATTGTAAGTTGCTTCTCACTTATTCAATGCTCATGTGTTAACCTACTTACAGCATTTTATTTCTTCCTCTTGATATATTTGCCTCTCAAACTCATGTAACTACTGCCCTTTCATTAAAAATTGTAGCAATTTCCAAAATGCTAAAGAGATGTAAAATTATAATGCTCCCAACTGTGCACTTTAAACCTGGAAAACTAGAGAAGAGATGACAATAAAAGAATTGGCAGAAAACCCAGATGAAAAAAACAAGAAATAAGTAAAACACTGTGGTTACAGATGGCAAACGATCCTACAAAGTAGATGGTACCTATGAAGAGAAGGTACCAACTGCTCCCTAAACCTTACTGTATCTAGAATTTTTATAGAAATTTTAAGAAGTTCAAAGACTTCTGAGTATTTTTTAAGTGTAAAAGGTAAAAGTGATACACAGATGGTTTAAAAAAATTCAAACACTACCAACAGTTATGTATATTCATCACCTTTTTATAGAAGTCAGCTGAAGTCATAAAATTAGTCAACCTTGTGGAACATCTGACCCATATCCTTATCAGCTAAGAAGATAGTTTTAAAAGAACACTCCACTTTAGTATGATTAGAAAGGACAAAGGTAGATGACTCAGGGAGCTGGAAAGGTATGCTAACAGAAATGGAGTTCCAAATACCAACCTGCTTACGTCACAATCTGTTCCAGTAAAGTCCTTAGTAAAGGACTCTTTACTAAAATCATCTTGTATCTCCCTTCTTGTTAGCCTGCCTGTGGGCAAAAGAAGTTTCAGAAACTTTAACACCATTTCTTTAACACCATACTTTCTCTGTGGGGTGGAAATTGGAATTGGAGGGACTGGCAATGTTCAAATAGTAGTATTACCACCTAAACCCACACTCTGATTTTCCTAATGAATTCAATTCTGTGGGACTGGACTGTCCTCTACTTTGGACACAAAGGCAGTAGTTAGAGACCCTGGTCCAACAATAAAACCGGGAGTCTATCAAATCAAATATGTAACTGCCATTAAAGTTCCATGTATTTGCTATTGCTATTTCTAAAGTGAAATTATAGACATGTAACCAGTATGGAATTAATAATCATGGGCTTGTTGTCAGTTCCTTTATCAGGTCCCCATTTCTGAAAGTCCTGTACACGAAGGAATGTGAAGGAAGGTAATCCCGAGGGAAATTCAAAAACTGTTCAATTCATCATGAAATCAAAAGTTGAAGCTTTGGCAATATTTGCTAAATTAGTATGTCTGCTTAGTGTCAGTATTTCTATATATTACTGTTTTAAAACTTTATGTCAAAGAAATGATGAGACTCTTTGGTATTCAGCCATGTCCTCAGAGCCATTTCTTTAAATGCCACTAATTCCTTTTTGTGGAATACTTTTTAGAATCTCATTTGTGTGTGTATCTCCACATACACACAAAACAAGTCTCTAATGGCTTTATCATTGGCTAGTTGCAGCTGGGAAATCTTCACATGCTCAAAGCAAATCATCCTATATGGCATACTATATCAGATGCTTGGCCAGATTGCCTCAAGATTTTTTTCTTTTAATGTGCAAACTTTAAATGCACAGTGTACTACGGTTCACCTTCAGAAAAAAAAATGCTATGTATCTGTACTCTGCACACATAAACTGTAACTTCCTCAGACTTCCTTATAAATAAACAATAGCTTTTAATGTTTTTTGTATTGATAGACTAAGAAAAAGTCTCAGCAATTTTATGGAACAAAACAAAAAATCCATTGGAGCTAAATACCACATTGATGCATGCTATTCTCTTCATGCCAATTCTCTACCCTATGACCCTACATAACTCCTCCCTGTTCACAAATATACCTTCACTCTTTTGATCCTATTAAATATTGAAATGAAAAAGTCGTTTTTTTGTTTTTTTTTTTTTTTTGAGACAGGATCTCACTCTGTTGCCCAGGCTGGAGTGCAGTGGTGATATCATAGCTTACTGTAGCCTCAAACTCCTGGGCTCAAGTGATCTTCCTACCTCAGCCTTCCAAGTAGCTGGGACTACAGGTAGATGCCACCATGCACAGCTAACTAAAAAAAAAAAATTTGTAGAGGTGAGGTCTATGTTGCCTGTGCTGGTAAAAAAGCCTTCTTTAGAGAATATTTTGTATAGAAATGAAAATACATCACCACCAGGGGTCAGTGCCAGCCATGTGACTTCAACAGGTTTTAAATTAGCGCTCAAGAGAACTCGTCAGCTCCAATACCTTCTTGAACAGGCCCCGTACTTCCTCGTAACTCTGATCTATTTCCCATCCCTGTCCATGCCCAACGTGTAAGCTTGGCCAAGACCAAGACACTCTCATAACCTCTCTGGAAAACAATGAAATGGTCAAATAAGCTACATATGCTGGCTTGTCCTTTCTTGCTCTAATTTAAAACATTAACCTTTATATATATATAAAAATTTTTTTACTTATGTAGTTAAATATCAAGATAATCTTATTATTACATTTAGTTAACATTTACAAAGAAGGAGCAGAGCATTATCCATAACGCTATAAACTGGGTTCTTATTAGCCATAATTCATAAAACATGAACTCAAAAGACTTCTCACAAAACATCTATGTACTCACTGAGAGCTAAAACAAAGCATTCAACACAAAAGGTAAGAACGAGTAAAACCTCACAATATAAAATTTCAATGCCTATCTATAAAATATGTCCTTCAATCTAGTATTTATGAAAAACTATTTTTATCTAAAAAGTGGTTAAGGCAGGAGGATCACTTGAGGCCAGGACTTTAAGACCAGCCTAGACAACATAGGGAGACCCTGTCTCTACAAAAAAAAAAAAAAAAAAAAAATTAGCTGGGCCTGGTGGCACAATGCCTGTAGTCCTGCCTACTCAGGAGGCTGAGGCAGGAGGATCCCTTGAGCCCAGGAGTTCGAGGCTGTAGTGAGCTATGACTGTGCCACTACCCTCCAGCCTGAGTGACAGAACAAGACCTCATCTCTAAAAGAAAATAAAAAATAAAGATAAAAATTAAAAGTGATCATCTGAAATGACAAAGGCATATGAGGTCAGTTTTCTGAGGGCCAAAGAAATAAAGAAAGCTACCAAAGATGTTCTGAAAATACATACACTAAAATGGGGTCAGTAAATAGGCTAGATAATAAGTATTTCAGGTTTTGTTACAAGCCATACTGTCTCCACTCCAACTATTCAACTCTGCCATTGTTGCAAAAAAGCAGTTATAGACAATACATAAATGAATGTGTGGGTGTGTTCCAATAAAACTTTACTTACAAACCAGGTGGCTGACTCTGCTAATTGTCAACTCATACACAAAAATATAGATCCACTGGTATGACAATGTTTATGTCACACCTTTGATATAAGGCTGACATGAGAAATGTTACTCTAAATGGCTGTTCTTCCACAGTAATTTCTTTTTACTTAGGAATATAAAATATTATTTGCATTTTTTTTAAAAAAAGACCTATGTTCACTTTTAAAAATTACATTTTGAAAGGAAAATTGATCTCTATAATAATCTCTAAGACCTGAGAAAGGAAACCTATGGGAAAGAGAAGAGTAGGACGAGGAGGCTAGAAGGAGGAATCCAAAAGAACCAAGGTGAACAAACATTAGCTCAAGATTTGTATTCTCAGAACTATCTGCAAAAGCTGGTAACATGCATATCGTATATAAAACACATTTGTGCCCTCAAGAAACTCATGACGTAGTTGAAGAGCAAACTTATTTTTTGCCTCTGCATTCCAAAATTTTCAAGATTAAGGGCATATGGGATTGCAAATACATTTTCTGAAGAAGCTTAAAACTTATGCTTCAAAATAAAGACACTTTTAATGAAGACTTACACTTTTATAAACAGAAAAAGACGGCATAAAATCATGTTACATCTAGAATTTATTTTATATTTCTATTCTTTTGTCCTATATCAATTCTGTATTACTATCAGTAACTATGGCTCACTACATGGGCATAGCCTCCTGAAAGAATTTATCAGAACTTTCCTGGGAATGGGGTAGGGTAGTACTGAACCGAAAAAATCCCATGATTCCTCTTCTCCTTCCTTCTCCACCCTCTGACCCCCACTTCAAGAATCCCTACTATATATCATGATCTCTCAAAGTACAAAAGATAGATTTCTCCACTGAAAAAAACTAATTCTTGAACCCTAAAATATATTGAACATAATAAATCTGCGTACCTTCCTTCAAGTAGGCTCTGTCTCCGAAAAGTTAAGTTTGTACAGTAGAAAACAAAAAATTCCCAGGTCTGCAAGCAAGAATTAAGACCAAAACCACTGTCAGGAACAGTGGTTCATGTCTGTAATCCCAGCATTTTGGGAGGCCAAGGCAGGTAGATTGCTCGAGCCCAGACGTTTGAGACCAGCCTGGGCAACATGGCGAAACCCCATCTCTACAAAAAAAATACAAAAATTAGCCAGACATGTTGGTAAATGCCTGTGGTCCCAGCTATCCAGGAGGCTGAGGTGGGAGGACACAAGCCCAGGGAAATAGAGGCTGCAATGAGCCTTGATCATGCCATTGTACTCCAGCTTGGGTGACAGAGTGAGACTGTCTAAAAAAAAAAAAGAAAAAAGAAAAAAGGAAACTACACTTCTACACCCAGGTCCATCATAAATTATATAAGTGAGGTTACTTAAATTAGGGTAATTCCTAAGCAAAAGTTATAAGTGTTTCGGGGGGGCGGGGGGGTGTGGGAATAAATAGTGCCTAAATTTATTATAATTTTAGGCTGTTCCCAAACATTTTTAAGAATCTGACTGAATTTACACCTACTTATTTTCTTAAACAACATACCTATCCAGAAGAATTCTAACTCTTTCTTGGAAGAAAATACTATTAAATCTACTACTTAAAAGTAGAAAAATAAATCACAATTCATTCACTAGGGTCAAGGAAATTAAAGACCAAAATAGACCCTAAAAAAAAATGCATATTGTAACTGTTAAGCATTACAGCCAAGAGGAATTTTAGCTTTAACATCAAAAATAAGAGGCTCCTCAGAGAGAACATTACGTGAGATTTTTATTTTTTAGCTTTTTTTTTTATAGTGAGAATGTTATGTATAGTTTTTAAAACATTAAGAACTGAAAGACATTTTCCACATATGCAAATAAACGTACCTCTAACTAGGAACTATATATATAATTTTCTCATTAGGAAAAAACAAGAGAGATTCATTAGCTTAAGCTATGATAAATAGTATATAAATTAATGAGTGAAGCTGTATTCCAATAAAATACAAGAAGAGAGCTTTAAGGTCTGGCTAAGCATCCATGACCCTACGGGCAATGAGAAATCAAATGTTTTGGGAGAGAGAAGGAAGAAACAAAGTAAACGAAGCTCTTATGGGATATTTAGTGCTTTGCAAAAGTCATTTCATATCCAGGGATACTGGGTACTGCCACAGGGAGATCAGACTGTTAGAGGACCTCAGCAAGACTCAGAGGTCTAAAAGAAGGGAAAGGAGCTGAAGGCTGTCTCCATAGTTTCAGGATGAGGGGTCAGAGAATTCAAAGCAAGTCCTGTCTTGTCTCACATGATTGTTATAGGTCCCCTACACTACCCAACCGTCCTAAGTTAAAACCAGTGCCCAAGATTACCCTACATTTTCCTACATTTTATCTAAAACTTACCGAATCTTCAGGGGGTCTCTGGATTTTTCCCCAATCCACAGAAGGCCCCTTTTCTTGCAAAAATCTATGAAATAGCTTCCGAAATCCATCCAGGTCTTTTTTGGTGTGCTGTGAAAATAGAAGTCATTGTTACAACCAGCAGAATGCTTAATATTTAATAAAAACATAAAGACAGATACAAGTTACACATTTAAAATATCGTTAAATGAAATTCTTACACCATTAGGACATGGAGGGAGCAAGACTTTTTCACATCCTAAAAGCTAATACAGGCTGGGCGTAGTTGGTGCATGCCTGTAATCCCAGCACTTTGGGAGGCTCAGGCCAGCTGATCGTTTGAGCTCAGGAGTTTGAGACCAGCCTCGGCAATATGGCAAAACCCGGTGTCTACAAAAAAAATACAAAAATTAGCCAGATGTGGTGGTGTGTGCCTGTAGTCTCACCTACTCGGGGGCTGAGGTGGGAGGATCACTTGAGCCCAGGAAGTTGAGGCTGCAGTGAGCAGAGATTGCACCACTGCACTCCAGCCTGGGTGACAGAGTGAGATCCTGTCTCAAAAACAAACAAAAACAAACAAACAAACACCATTTGTTTAATGGGAATTCCAACTGGCTCTGTACTTTTTTTTTTTTTTTTGAGACAGAGTCTTGCTCTGTTGTCCAGGCTAGAGTGTAGTGGCGCAATCTCGGCTCACTACAAACTTCACCTCCCAGGCTTAAACTACCCTCCCACCTCAGCCTCCCCAGTAGCTGGGACCACAGGCGCATACCACCATGCCTGGCTAATTTTTGTATTTTTTGGTAGAGACAGGGTTTCGCCATGTTGCCCAGGCCAGTCTCAAACTCCTGAGCTCAAGCAATCCTCCTGCCTTGGTCTCCCAAAGTGCTGGGATTACAGCTAAGAGCCACTGCGCCTGGCCGCTACACTTACTTACCAATATCTTTCTCTACTTCTCAATGAAAATTAATCTTCACTAAAAGAACAAAAAGAAATAAAACACAGCTAGCTTCAAAACATTAAGTATAAATTGAAATATAAAAATGAAAATACTAACCTATTGATTTACAAGTAAAAAAGTAAATGCCTCCCAGTTCTGGAAAACTTCTATGACAATTGTCAAAGTAGCATGGTTCTATCAGAAGTGACTCTCTGGAAAAGGCATGCAGGACATATGAAGCTAACTTCTCTCAATTACAACTGAACACAGGTATGCATTTCTCCACCCAATGACATCAAAACACAGAACAAAGTATAATTTGGTTCTGATTATTTTAATGACTTTGAAAACTTCCTAGGCTTAAATGAAAAAAAGATAATGGATTTACAAAGGGCAAATGTTAAAAGCCGGTAATTGTTAAGCAATTCTAATTTTTTTGTTTTTGATGTTATCGTACATCTTGTGCTGATTTGAGGTGATGATTATCATCATCACCGGCAGCAACTCAGCATGAAGACAGATGAAGGGAGGGGCGGGGGGGTGGAACACTGTAGAAACCTCCTTACCTCAAATTCATGTGATGATGCTGTGGTGAGTATTTTTTCTAGTTCCTTCTTCACAGATAATTCTAGCTCTTGCCGAATGACTTCTTGGAACTGAGAAGCACCATCTTGAGACATTGCTTTGCTAAGATCTTAAAACAAAAACATAAAACCACCAACTGAAAACTCCAGGAAGCCATTCAAACAGCTGGTAAGCTATAACTGATTTCTGGTATTCAGCAAATGAAAAGGGCTCAATCCCAAGGTCCCTTTATCCTGTGGCAGTAATTCAGTGGTGTCAACTAGTTAGGACTCGTTTCACTCCAGTTTCATATTCTCCACTAAACAAGAACCCCTTGAGAGGTATTGGCAATTCCAAGGTGCCTCTACTTCCCTGTATCGACGTTTTCATTTTAAAAGGAGAAGGGCATAGGGCTGCCTGCCATCTTCTGGTTCCCAATTTCAGCCAAGACTTTCCACTGCTTACGTGTGTCAGACTAGACTTTTAATGCTTTTGGCATAGCCGGGCACTTCTGTGACAGATGGATCTCACTAAAGGTGACGGAAATCCCTCTTAGATAAATACAAACAACAAAAATAGAAAACTACAGAAAAAGGCTGGGCAATGGCAGCTCATGCCTGCAATCCCAACACTGTGGGAGGCTGAGGCGGGTAGACCCTGGAGCCCAGGAGTTTGAGACCAGGCTGGGCAACACGGCAAAACCTCATCTCTACAAAAAATACAAAAATTAGCCAGGTGTGGTGGCGCTTGTCTGTATTCCCAGCTACTTGGAAGGCTGAAGCAGGAGGATACCTTGAGCCGAGGAGGCAGAGGCTGCAGTGAGGCGAGATCGCGCCACCGCACTCCAGCCTGGGTGACAGAGGCAGATCCTGTCTCAAAAAGAAAAGAAAAGAGAAAAAAAAAAAAAAAAAAAAACAGAAAAAGAAACACCCCAGACCCAAACACTTTGGCAGAAAAATACCAACACAGGCTGTTTTATACTTTATCTAGAAAGTAATCATCTTATTTACTTCTCATAAAATAGGGACAACTGGATTATTTGTCCACCCTTCCCCTTCTATCCTTAGTATTTGATTCAATCTTATTTTAAAAATGTATTTGTAAAGTTTCTATTCAAATAGTTTGATAACTAGTTATTTTTACAAATGCCTGTTAATTTAGCAGAATCACATTTCAGTAAGGCTAAAAACTCTTTCCCCTTATATACTCCACCTACTATAAATTCTTTCACTTATATTTGAATAAAAGACATTTATACAGATAGAATTAAAGACAACATATAAGATAAAACTAAATGTAACTACAAAGTTTAGAAGTAACTAAAGTAGCTGTTTGAGATTTGTCTAAATGAGAACCATTTGAAAACAAAACAAAACATTTTAGAAGCTCCCTCTGCAGAACAATAACTTATTAATTTACATGATTTAAGGTCAAAACACACAGAACCCAAGTCACTATCCTATCAACCCAAGCTAAGAAAGGCTGGCTGAAAGACTCACATTTAATATTGCATGTGCTCTCTGTCAACACAGGTCTAAGTTTCAGAGGCAGACTTGAAAAAATCCCAGACACAGGATCAAACTCGAGAAATGTCTCTAACCTTTGTTTCTTTCTTTTGTTTGATACAGCACCAATGCACATGAAGAATAATTTGTTTTCTTCCACCCTCTTTATAAATATAATCGGCTTAAACAAAAGAACATTACAACAAGCCTGTCACCTCTTCTACCCCTCTAAAAGCTCTGTTTTTAGTGATTAAAGAATCAGGAAGGGCTTGTAACGAATAAAAAATATTCAAGAATAAAGAATAAGGAAGAGTGCTTAGACAAGAAGCGTAGCTATCTTAAGCATCTGGGCACAGACCAGGAGGCACAGAGCAGGGAACCATTTCCCTTAGTGGTGACTTCTTCATCCATCCTGAATTTTTTAAGAAAGGTCTGAAATTTCTGGTAGGAAAAGTAGTACAGATGTTAGAAGCTTTCTTGGATTTAACATTCTCAGGTTACACTTCTGACAAGGACAGTTGTGTTTCTAAAGGAAGGTCAACTAAAATCCTCTGAATAATCCAAGATTTCTAACCTCATGAAGTGTTTTGTCCCTATTGCCTAGCAATATAAAATTGATTCCCCACGCCTTTAGACATAGAGTGGATTGGGAGTCAAACATTTCATTACCTTAGTCAAACATTTTTATAGATGGGAGGGAGCATTTAACCTACTCTCATCATTTTACAGACGAGGAAACAGGTTGAAAATAGTTGAATGACTTATCCAAGGTCACAGAGCAGGCCAATGGTGGAGCCCAGAAGCAAAGCCATGTTTTTTTAGTCCCATTCCACCACAGTGAGGCAGAAATACCTTGCTAATGTTTTTTTCCTGGCCTGGCTCTCTTTAACCTTGACGCAAAAATCCCTAAATACCACACTCTCCTCCAAAAGCATTTATATCAGAACCTCTTCTTATGTTCAATCAACAGACAAGATAATTCCCCACCACATAAAACTGGACTTACTAGACACTTTAAGTCAATTTCAGATAGAACAGGCAATAACTTTTTTTCACAAGTTCCTCCTTTCCCCCAGTTTCCTAATTCTTCCTGTTCATAGGAACTAAAATTTCAACATCATGGGCTTTTTTATCCAGCTGGAGCCAAAAAAGAGAGAGGGCTACAGTCAATCTGACAAGTGAATATTTTTGTTTCTTAATTCATGGATCTCATTTCATGTATTTCAGCAAGTAAGAGGGATACATAATACCCTTCCCTGACACCCTGACACTGGCGCAAACAAAATAAGTACACAAGCTAGTTTCATAATGCACAGGCCATGGAAAAACCACAGGGAAGGCACCAAGAGCAACAGAGAAGTTGAAGAGCCATCCCTAGGCCACCTCTGTCTGATCAGTCCCAACCTTCCTGGAAAACCCACAATGAGAGATACTCAAAGTCAGAGAATTGGAGAGCGCACTTAATCTTAAATCGGGAAATGACTTGTGATCCAAATAACCATAGAACTCCAAGAATTTAATGGCAACTGGAAATAATCAAGATAAAGCTATCTTGATTATTTCAAGACATAATCAAGAAATAATCAAGATAAAGCTATCTTGATTATTTCAAGGAAATATGAACTATGCCGGCTAGATTTACAACCAATTCAAGCTAACCAGCTTCTTCTGGGCTCACTACAGTCCTTTAAACCCAGTTATTTGTGAATATTCCTCCTAGAAAAGCTCTTTATGGGGTTCCATTACTCAAGTGTATCCTATATCTTTTCTTACCTCTCTGACCACACCTCAGTTTCCCTAACTGGCTCCTCCTTTCCTCTCCTGAGATTCCTAAAATTCTGTCCCCAGACCATTTTTTCTCCTCAATTCTCATGCCACTCTCCTTACTGATCACTCAAACATGTGCCTCTCATCCTAAACTTTTTTCCTGAGCTCCAGGATCACATTCTTTACTTCCTTAAAGACTTCTGACACCTGGATACCCAGCTGGGTACCTCAAACTCAACATGTCCAAAATATGACTGATCATCCAAACTAAATTACTCTTTTGCCCACCCTGTTCTCCACGGCATTAACATTTCCGTAGAAACTAAGGTTTATACCTCACAGTCACAGTTGGCTCTTCCCACCTTTCCCCTCACATTGGACAATGCAATATCAAAACTTCTTAAATGATTGCTGTAATTCCATTCACTGTTTTCCATTTCCATTACTGCTACCTTAGTTCCCCTAGCATTTTTACTCTCCTAGTCATGACAACAGCTTTCTAACTAGTCTGCCCATCACTCTAATCTAATAGTGCCAAGGAGGATGGATTGATCTCCTTAAGCTGCAACCCCCATCATATCACTTCTCTTCCTTGTTTGATGAAATTCTCATTGCCTATGGAAATAAATACAAATTCCTTATCCAGGCATGTCTCAAAAGCCAAGCTGAAGTATCTTTTGGAGTAGCCAAAGCTAATGAAAGTATGAAAGCAGACTGCCTAAAGGCTGCAATTTCCTATTCCATTTGGGACATCTAGAATAGTTCTTCTAAAACTTTAATGTACATACAAATCACTTGGAGGCTGGTTAAAACACAGATTCCTGGGTAAGCTCCCAGAGAGATTCTGATTCAGTAGGTTTGGGGTGGGAAAGATATGCATATCTAATAACCAAACATTGCCAGTATGGCTTTGAGTAGCTCTGGTAGATTATACTCCATTTATCTTAACATATTTGTAACAGCCATATTCTTCATCCTTCTTGCTACTCCAATGCTATTCTGTCACCAACTCCCTGCCCCAATGCCCTGTGTTTCAGAGATGGCACCAGGCCCAGATTGGTCCAAAGCCTTCCTAGTGATTGGTTTAAGCATAAAATGTAATATGATTCTGGCCAGTAAGCCATAAGGGTATAATCTGTCACAGCACTTTGGAGAAAGGTGTTCCTCACTGAAAAAAGACATACATGAGAAAAGATAGTATTTTTTCTACTCACATAATGAGTATGTGTCCACCAATCACCCCACGTTTCTTCTGCCATGATTAGTGCCCTTGAAAGAAGCTGACCCAAGAATGAGGCAGATATGTCAAAGATAGCACAGCAGAAGGAAGGTCTGATAAGCTTTTGTACTGAATTAACCAACCCTGCATATCCTACTTCAGGATTTATGGGATAAAAAGACCCTCATTTTTGAAAGCCAAATGAATTGGTATTTTTCTACTCCATGAAGTTAAAAGCATCCTAACTATAAGATTGTTCGAAACCATGCACTTCAAATACCACTCAACACTTTCAGAAAAGGGGAGGCAGAAATGAGAAAAAAAGTAGAAAAATAAGAATGGCCCAGTATGAGTTCCAGAATAATGAGAATCATCCCAATCTCTGGGAAACCGCCCTGATCTCTCAATCCCCAAAGACTCAAACTGTTTTACTTGATTTGCTTCTGTCATTTTGATGGTGGTATTCCTAGTGTTCTAAGCAGTGGCTTCTGAACATTCCAAGAGGCCTTTCTTTCTACCACAACTGATTTGGGAGTTTTAATCACTCCTGTCTCTGTATTATATCAAACACCCCTCAAAACCCCAATTCTTTAGTTAAATGTCTGCAATCCTAGAACATATTCTCTTGAGGGGGAAAAAACTACATTATGTCATGCAACTTTGTTTTCCCAAAACCTACCTTAGCACCTTGCACAGTACAGGTGCCTAATAATGGTATGTAACTAAACTGTAGATCAGGACTTAAATTCTCATATAATAGTAGTTTGAATAGCTCCTATTCATTTGTCAGAGTTCAGTTTAAATATTACCTGAGATTATCCTCCTAGAAATCTTTCTAAACTAAGTTACCTATTACATGCTCATATGCTAGATCCTTGTACCTCTCCTTTATAACATCATAATTTTAAAAATTTATTCAATGTTTATCTTATCCAACAGACTGTAAATTCTGTGAAAGTATATGTCTGTAATGTTCACAGCTGTATTCCCACTGCCAAACACAGAGCCTGAGATATAGTAGATACTCATGTAACATTTATTAAATGAGTAAGAGCCTATTATGATCCAGCTATGCTCTGGGTATACAGAAGGCAAAGTCTAGTCTAGTGTAGGTAGTGCCTAGTAAGCCCAAAGTGAAACTGTACAAGAGCCATGATGTCTGGTCACAGAAAGGCAGAGTTAAGATAAGTATAGACTGTCATAAGTATCTGAAGCCCCAGTCCCTAAGGCTTCTCAAGCAGAGGCTGATTTATTAGTCAAGTATCAGGGATATGGTCAAAGAAGTTTCACACAGATAGGTAGTCTAGACAAATGACTACTAAATTTCTTTTCAATTTTATTAACCAATATAAATGCCAATGTAATGTTTTCACTAACTTTAGAGATTAAACAAAATTGGGCAATTTATATGTTTACATTTAGTTTAATTTAGGGAAAAATATAGAAAAAATATTCCATGTCATTCAATGATAAATTAAGAAAAGTAAATTCAATTAAGTTGCATCTTACATAATTTTATATGATCTTTTCATACTAAAGTTATTAGACTGTCAACTATGACTACACTGAGATATATTTTTAGATGACTCAGCTTTACATTCATATGAATGGTTAATAAATGCTTTTTGATAACAAAAATAAAAGGATATCAGGCTTTCAAGAACTGTTGCAGCAACAAATATGCAGAGCAGCTCGCTAAAAAAGATTTTTGCTAATCATGCATTGCTTTACTTAAAAAAAAACTGCTACAATTTATATATAAACCAGTCTTCTGATTAACAATTAAAATTAACCCTACTCTTATACAATAGAGTAGCTCTTAAAATCTCAAAGGAAAAAGAAAACACTACTTATGGAAAACAGAACATTCAGAAGAGATTTGTTAAATAATACCACTTTGTTTTATGTTTAATGGATGAGAAGAAAGTCATCACAAAAGGCCTCACACTCCTTTGTTGAGAAGAAGAGAAAGAGGTATAACATAAAATCACGATGAAAAGCCAAAAAATGATCCGGTAGTCCTGCCGTGTAACTTGCTATGTGTGCATTTAGAGAAACTTTTATGCTTAGAACGGCTTTAAGGTCAGTGAGTCCAATTCCTTATTTTGGAGATAAAGAAACAGGGGCCCAGAGATGCTGACTTGCCTAAGGACACAATGCCAAGCTGGAACTCAAACCCTGTTGCCTGGCGCCCTGTTTCTCATTCTTCTGGAGCAAGGTCTCTCCTTTCTCAGTTACAGTGTATTTACATGGTTTACCACCTCCAGGTGTTTGCCACTAAATCTGAATGAAAACCGGCAGCTCAACTATGTCTGCTATGTGAGGTTAAAACTACAATTAGAATAATACTTTCTTACTGCATCTCATGCTCTTCAACTCTTCCTTATACACTGTGTTGTCTAAGCAATGAAAAAAATCGAAGAATGCTTTTATGCATTCCATAAATATTTTATTACCAAGGCAAAGCATTTTACCATTAGCACAAATGAACCCAAAACAGTGGATATAACTATGTTGTTCTGTTTTCTTGTGCTCTTTGGAAGTTTTAAAATTCTAGGCAGGCATATAACACAAATGAAATATTACATCAGCTTCTGCCAGAGCAGCAAATAGAAGAAAATACAAACTCCAATCACATTTTCATTGTGGCCAAGGAGCAAGAAGAGCTACTGTCAAAGAAAGGATCCCCTAAAATAGTATTTTTACAATATGTTGACTAGCAAGTAAAAAGGAGACTAAGCATAATACAACTAATTTCTGGTCCATGAAGACAATTAATGGCTTTTTGTTTGTTTTTTAGGACACAAGCGAAATCACAAAGAAACAATTCTCTTGATTTACACAGAAAAAACTAACAGAAATATCTAAAAATGTTTACGGAAATGAAACATTTTATTGTTTATGTATATTAACGAGACAACATAGCCAATTTCTCCATGTTTCTCAAAAACAATCCTTAATTGTAAAATGGATTGGGGGCACAATCGATTTCATTTGTTAATGACTGAGAAAAATAAACAACGGAACTGTTGGCAGAGGCAGTATTTGAGTCTTAGACAATTACTGTGCAACAAATTAAAGGAGATGCCTGCATCACCAATCAAGAAAACTGGGAAACAGCTTTCAAACAGAGTATTATCTTTTTTCTCACACATAAGTCACCCAATCAAAAAACACACAAAGTTTAATTTTCTTTGATAGCTTCATAAAGCCAACTTTCAAAGAACTTGTTATTAATAGAAGGACACGTGCCTGGCAGTGGAATTTTAAATATCTAAGAATTGGCTGGGCGCAGTGGCTCACACCTGTAATCCCAGCACTTTGGGAGGCCAAGACAGGCGGATCACATGGTCAGGAGTTCAAGACCAGCCTGGCCAACATGGTGAAACCCTGTCTCTACTAAAAATACAAAAATTAGCTGGGCATGGTGGCGTGCACCTATAATTCCAGCTACTCAGGAGGCTGAGGTAGGAGAATCACTTGAACCTGGGAGGCGGAGGTTGTGGTGAGCCAAGATCGCACCACTGCATTCCAGCCTGGGCAACAGAGCAAGACTCCGTCTCAATGAATAAATAAATAAATATCTAAGAAGTATGGTTTCAGTTAATAGTCATTGTGCCTGGGACAATCCATTCAATTACCAAGACCAAGATGGCCACAATTTCAAACACTATTACTCCAAGTTCAAAATATGATATTTAGAAAAGAAATTGTAGGCTATGTCAAAACGGCAACAGTCTTTAGAAAAACTCTGTCTTCTAAAGAGATTCTATCCAACCAAAAAGGTAGTAACTGAATCATATTTTCTCATCCATTAAACCCCAAGCCAGAGAACTTGCCCTACTAATTTATTCATATTGCTGGAATTTTCTCCAACAGTATAAATGCTGGATATCAGGATGAATGGCATTACAGAAAGTTAACACACTCTTCTTCATTTTCACAGATAATCCAGGTTGACTTTCAAATATCTGTTTATGTTAACTTTTCAGTAATTAATATTGCTAACTTTCTGAGAACTCATAATGCCTATGTCAGGCCTCTGAGCCCAAGCCAAGCCATTGCATCCCCTGTGACTTGCACGTATACGCCCAGATGGCCTAAAGCAACTGAAGAATCACAAAAGAAGTGAATATGCCCTGCCCCACCTTAACTGATGACATTCCACCACAAAAGAAGTGTAAATGGCCGGTCCTTGCCTTAACTGATGACATTACCTTGTGAAAGTCCTTTTCCTGGCTCATCCTGGCTCAAAACCACCCCAACTGAGCACCTTGTGACCCCCACTCCTGCCCGCCAGAGAACAAACCCCCTTTGACTGTAATTTTCCTTTACCTACCCAAATCCTATAAAATGGCCCCACCCTTATCTCCCTTCACTGACTCTCTTTTCGGACTCAGCCCACCTGCACCCAGGTGAAATAGCCATGTTGCTCACACAAAGCCTATTTGGTGGTCTCTTCACACGGACGAGCATGAAAGCCTATACTTCTGCAAAAAGCTTGGTGGGAACTAGGAAACTACAGTATATTTCTTTTATTTGAAACACTTTCATTATTAGGCCAACTGATGTTCCTCACACAATCTAAGTATCCCATTATTTTAATTAAACTTGCTATAATTCATCTATGAAGGGAAAAATAATACATACCAACAAAGGGAAGGGTCTCTGTGAAACATATTACAAGAAAATACCTATGGACTAAAATAACACCTGAATTTCCTTTTAAGGTCATTTTTCAATTTATTCAGAATATTAAAATGGCACTCCCAAAAAGAGTACCAGTTAATATTTCTAATTTCTCTAATGTCCCTTATCAATTTTTTTTCCTCAGTAGACTTTCACAAATGAAAATCATCCATCTTATTAGAAGAAAGGCTGAGTTAGCAAGAACACGGACAATTTAACCACAGAGATTACAAGGTCCATGTTGGAAAACAGCACTTTTCATCAGCTCAACTCTTCATTTTAAATTTCTTTAGAATTTTTTTTTACATTTATAACTGTGACTGAATTTAACTAAACCCTTCTCTTCAAATAATATAATAAATCTTAAATCAGATCTTTAAAAAATGAGGGGTATGCCCTAGTCATTATTTTCATGGCTCTTGTCCTCACTCAAATCCATGCCACTATCCCTGTGCTAAAAGTGTCCTCATCATCTAAATAATCAGCAACAGGCTAAATTTGGTTTTAGGATTTGAGAAGAACCAGGCCCCAGAATGCTTCTCATCTCTGTATTCCTCGGAGACCCCTCCAGTTATAATTAGCTCAGTAATCTTCCCTGGCTAGCTGCCATCTATCAAATAGGAGTCACCAAAAAAGTTATGAAAAGAATTTTAACAAATGGGAAAGCTGATAGGCCTCAAGCATTTTTTAAGTGACAGAGGTACTTAAATGACTTTCCCTGAAATGTAAGTATGTACCTCAATTTAAGAACATCAGGGACATTTTTACATAATTTAGATAGATAATGGCACATTTAGAATCATTTTTTTTAAAAAAACAATGCCTCTAATATTAGAGCATTAGCATCCATTATAGCCTTAGCTGGCTAGACAACATTACTCTCTTCACTATTTATTAAGTTTCAAAACATTTAGAGTGATTACCCCATAACTCTCAGAACTTTTTAAAAGCAAAATTCCAAATGGCACCCACTGACAAACCTGACAAAAACCCACAGCTGCTGATGACCCCCGCCCCTGGTACCTTAAACTATGACAGGGAGCCCCCTTTCTCACTCAGCTAGGGAAGAGATGGTACTCACATCCATTTAGAATAACTGGGGGCCCTGGAACAATCCCTGGAGCAAGGAAGAGCAGAAGGAATGTCACAAGTAGGCAGAAGGTGACCCAACAGCAGAATAGCTAGGAATTATGCTGCAGATCCAGTAAAGAAAGGTCTTCCTAAGAGAAGGAATGTTAAGTGCCTGAGGGACAGAGACTTGGGGATGTGACCAAAGAAACGTGAACCTTTTTTTTTGACCAAGAAATATATACTAAGAACTCTCCTGCCTACCTCAATATTTTTATTAATTGAACATTTCCACCTAATAGTTTACGGTCAATATGCTTGAGGATGGAGATACCCAGCTTTCCTCTAAGGCACAATGCCTAGGATTTGGAGAAGGAGATACAAGCCAAGTATAGCAACCATCCTACTACATTCAAAACAGGTGTACACAACACTTAGGTGTAATGCCCAGATCTGCTGAACTTCAGTGCCTACCATAAGGGATATGCCAGAAATCCTAATACAGTACATCATACATAGTAAGAGCTCAAAAAAAATTTTGTTCACTGTATTCAGAAGAAAACCGTCACCAACTTGTACTCAAGTTGAGAGGTTATAAAAACTACAACCAAATTCATATTGTCCAAACGTTACCTTGCCCCACCCCGGCACTTTTTTTTTTTTTTTTTAACATAATAACACCTAGGCCTGAACATGAAACCTGGAATAGGAAAATAAAGAACTTTCATACCTGCCTTTTTTCTTTTAGTTCTGTTGATGACATGTGGTTATATTTTGGGTGGCAATGCTATCTGAAAGGCCACCATCATTTCAGGAAAGAAAAGTAAAATTGACTGGCTACCTAATATGTGCCTAGCACATCCACATAGTTCATCTCATTTCAGCCTCTCAATAACCCTGAGGCATAAGCATTACTGCCCAATTTTTATCTAAGAAGAAACTGAGGTTTGAAAGGTATGTGCCTAAGATCACCTGCTAGTAACGGTATTCAAATCTAAGTCTGTACCTTTCCATCTTTCTCAACATTTATATAATCTAAGAGGTGTTATAAAAACTACAACCAAAAATGTAAGATAAGCTACTAAATAGTAGATGGAAAATGCTAAGCTGTGGGCTTCTCATTTGTCATCCATGACAAATTCATTTAGAGTATCGTCCACTTACAAAACACTGTATTTCTCCCAAGGATATAATATTATCTTTGCCCAATGGGAACTGACAGTCTAGCTGGAGAAACAGGCCATTTCCACAGTTGTTAATGTTAGAAGCAACAAAAGATGTCGGGAAGGACTAGGGTTTTAGACACACTCATGTAAGAATTTCAGTGCTGTGCACTAGCAGCTCACACCTGTAATCCCAGTACTCTGGGAGGCTGAGGCTAGAAGATCGCTTAAGACCAGGAGTTTGAGACCAGCCTGAGAAACATAGGGAAAGCCTGTCTCTTTAAAAAAGGAGAAAAGTAGCCAGGCATGGTGGTGTGCACCTGTAGTCCCAGCTACTCAGGGGGCTGAGGTGGGAAAATTGCTTAAGCCAAGGAGATCAAGGCTGCAGTGAGCTGTGATCGCACCACTGCACTCCAGCCTGGCAACAAAGTGAGACCCTGCCTCAAAATCAATCTATCAATCAATCAGTGCTTTATACAAGCTGTGAACTTTGGACAAGATACTTAACTTTCCTCACCTGTAAGGGCAGGATAAAAAATCTACATCTCAGGACTCTTATAAAGCTTGAGAAAACCCATGAAAAAAAAAAGTTAGAAACCTAACATTTGTTAACTCTTTCCCCTATGAAGGAGCATGAACTACTAAGTGCCAGTGATTGGAAATATCAATATTTTCTGCAGCAAAGATCAAAGAATTTGATTTGCTTAAAAAAATAATCAAAACCAAAATTTCCAACCCTTACACTTGAAAGCTCTTTTGTGGAGACAGCTGTGTCATTTGCCAATTAGGTTTATCATTTACAACAGCAGCAGAGTTAAACATATAGAGGGCTCACACTGTACAAAATTTAAACAATGATAAACAGGAGCACATTCATGTCAAAAAATTTTGAGGAGGTGTCATATTCTTGTGCAAAACTGCCCATCTTAAAAGGAAAACTACCATTTAAAGTAAAAATGTATGACAACTATAGGCTATGGCATATGCCTAAGTCCCATCTACTCAGGAGGCTAACGCAGGAGGACAGCTTGAGCCCAGGGGCTTGAGGCTGTAGTGCACTATGATTGTTCCTGTGAATACCCACTGTACTCCAGCGTGGACAACACAGTAAGACCTTGACAAAAAAAGAAGAAAGAAAAAGAAAAAAGAAAAAAAGTGGCTGGCAACTAAGTGCAATCTGGTATCTTAGAGTGAATCATGGGAACTGTAATCTGAACAAAGCCTTTAGTTAACAGTAATGTACCTATGTTAATTTCTTAGTTTTGACAAATGTGCAACTTTTCTATAAATCCTGAAGTATTCCAAAATATAAAAAGTTTTTTTAAAAAAAGTGGATGACAAAGTAATGACAAACATACACAGCAACTCTTACCACTTGATTTTGAATCTTCTGAGGACAAGTTGGCATTACAGCAAAGGCTGTGAAATCAGTCAATGCTTGCCAATTCTGCAACCTATTCTAAAGCATAACTCTACATGGAACACCTTGGGTTTATTAATATTTCTAACTTTTAAAGAGAAGTAACTTGTCCACTTTTACCTAGCATATTCTTGCAAAATACCGCCTTTATGGTAACTGAATATTGTTATTACAAAACCAGTACGTTTCTAACAGTTCTGCCTTTCTATTCTTGAATAAGACATTTACTCAATCAGAACATAAGCATCTCTTACCACATATAAGGTATAACATGAATTTGAAAGTCTAATAACAAGTGACATTTCTGAGCTTAGCGCTAAAGGCAAGCATAGCGTTCGATCTGTTTCGATAATAACACAGGCAGTCGAATTCTCTTACTTTAATCTACTACACAAAATTTAAAGAAGAGTTAATAAAGCGATGTAGAACTCAGTAGGGCATTTTTATTCCCAGGGTCAAATGATGGCCATTACTGACACAACTTTTTTTTTCCAAAAGTACACCTACATTTATCAGGAAGCATAATAAGTGTTTGTGAACTTTACTAGCTGTGTGTTCATCAAGATGGCTGAAGCTTTCACACACTGGAGTCTACAAGGAAAGAGTTTACTTGCATACCAGAAGGCAAATCTCATGCTACAAACTGGTGTCAAAGGTTTATGCCAGCACCAATTTCAGTGAGTACACCGTACACACATGCATTCATATACACGTTACTGATAATCTCAGTTGAGGCATTCCCTAACCCTTTTTAAATACACATGTGGAATTTAGAGAGCAGTTTTCAAACTTCAAAGGAACCTTAATCATCTTTTCATAGTTCAAAAAAGGAAAAAATAAACACAGCAATGCAGCAAAGTCATTTCTCCAGCTGAAATGACCTCCAGCTTCTTCGGGCTACTCCCAGTTTCGCAATAAGTGAATCTGAGACGCAAACCACGTACACACAAACGAAGTAGAAGCGGAGAACACTAAAGCTTCCCCAACAGTCCCGGCAAAACCCACCCGGCTTTTCTCAGTCCTCCCGCTTCCCCAGCCCTTCCCGTCTGCGTGCACGCACAGGTACCTTGACACAGACCAGGAAAAGAGAACAAGGATTAATTAGCAGCCAAAAATCCTGTTTTATCACTTACAGCCACTATCCAGGAAAGCGACGGTACTACTAACCTGATTTCAGGGAGGCAAAACTAAACCCAGCAGGGTACAGGAGCATAAATTATACGCGTCTGGAACGTCAACCCAGCAGCTCAAGGCAGCTCAGATGACAATTCAACGAAAAGGGTTTCGCAAATGTTATCTCAAATGAACATTTCCACTTCCAAACCACCCACCAACCTCTCCACTGTCAGTACCCAAATTTGCCTGAAGCAACTCGGGATATAAGCAGCAGCATTTCTTACCTTGTACAAATCTCGACATTTTAGGGGCTTAGTAAAATACTCCGGCTTTTTTTTTTTTTTTCTAGAGGAGTCACGCTACAGGGCAGGTCTCTCTTCCTCTCCTGCTTTAACAACCGATGTATTCTTTCTCCTCCTATATTTAACTACTTAAGGGAGTATTTATTCAAAGCGATTAAAACTGGCTCAAGAAAAAAGAAAAGAAAGAAAGAAACTCCTTCCCCAATTCCAAAAGACGGAAACTTGGTGCGACTGAGTCGGTTTGGGAACTCCTGAGCTCCGGACACAAATGAGGGCCAGCTGGAGACTCCCGGAAAAGGTAAAACCACACGAACTTAAATTTCTTCAATGAAAGAGGCGGACCTACAGCGGCTATTTCACCGCCCCCAAGTCCCCACGCCCTCCAGGGCTGTACTGCAGGAGGCACTGGCAGGCCGCGCCCCTAGCTGCCCCCTCCCCGCGCCGCCGTCCAGGCCCCAAACGCCTCCCCCGAAAACCCCGGTTAACAGCGGCTCCCGCCCAAGCAGGGGTCGGGGAGGCGGGCGAGGCCGGCCAGCGGGGGCAGTGCAACCATTTTCACCAGCCATAAACATCCTGGGACTAGGAGGCGCTACCAATTCCACGCTCTGGCTGGCCGACCGGTCGGGGCCTCAGCTCCCCGCCTTCCCGCCTCGAGCAGTGAAACCCGGCCGCAGCTTTTTCTCGGTAGGGGCCGAAGGCTACGCTGCCCCTCCCCCGCAGCGGACACTAAGGGGTCACCGGCTAGAGGCAGACCCGTGCACCGGCGCGGGAGTCCCAAGGGAGGGCACCGACCCTTCCCGTACATATTCTCGCCCCGCCTGCCCTGCGCTCCTCAGAAGCCCAAATTCCGCCTCCGAGACCACACAGCGGGCCAGCGAGAGCGGGAAACACACTCATCCAGGGGGTCGCCGGAAGCCCAACCCCGCCCCTCCTCAAGCCGCCAGCGAGACCCACCTTCCTCTTCCTTTAGCAGCTGGGAAATTGGGGGCGTTTATGGCGCCCCGGGAAGAAGGCTCGCAGGCTGAAAGTCACCTCTGAGGCGCCCTTCTCTCTCTCTCTCTTCCCTCACACATGCACACCTTGAGCCCCTCCCTAACGGTCGCAGCCCAGCTGCTAACCCCCCCTTGTCCACCCGTCAGCCGGCTCCCGACACCCACAGCCCCTACTTTCTCCTAAACACCTCCCCTCCCCCTCCATTCGGAGCAGCCCCTTCAATGCGGAAATGTCCCTGCCGCACGGACCGACAGGCGCAGCCGCCAGTCAGGAGCCGAGGCGGACGCAGGCTCTGGCCAATGAGACGTGTGGAGGTGGCAAGGGGCGGGGCGTTGCGGCACTTGAGAGCCCGTCGGAGTTGGGCACTGAGCAGTACGCGGGGATACCGCGCGTGGGAGCAGCACTTACGGCGGCGTTGCGGCCAGGGAAGCCTCGCCAGTATATCTCAGTGAGGGAGAGCACCTGAGCACGACTGGTTATTTTTCCAATCAGTAAAAATATTCCCGCTGACTAGGGACTAAAGAAAGCCCTGCGGATAGAGCCGGAGCTCCCCACCGCAGCTGCCCCGAGGGAGCCCAGACGCTTCTCAGGGGACGCTTGCTCCCCTCATCACATCTGGTTGGGGGAGGGTGAGGATGCGTTAGGGAGTAGGCATTGGCCTGTGTGGGCCAGCTAACAAAAGGAGGGTTTAGGCATTGAAGAAAGTGACAAGTGAAGGCTCCCTCACCGGAACCACCACCATCCCCATTGCCCCGGTTCCTAATCCTGTAGAGCTGCTGTGATAGGCGTTTACTTTTCTCTTCAACGTGGAACTGGCCTAAGTTACTCCTCAAGAGATGCTTTTCTTTTGGTAGATTCTTGAAGTCCTCAAGGAAAGAGGATGTTACACGGAACTTGACACTAGCCTGGGGACTGTTACAGGGCCAGCCCACGGCTTGTCAAATCACACCTGGTACCGTCAACCCCACCTGCATCTAAGACTCAGTGTGCCTGGCAGCGAGTGCATTTCAGACTTTGCATTTCCACTTTAAGACTCAAATAGCCCGCACCAGGGCAGATGATTTGCCAGCGCCTTCTCTTAAGTGCCTTCAATAAACAAGTACGGTAATTACAGAAGAGTTTGAGGCTTTGGGCAGCACTAATCAACCAAGGTAAAGTGAGAATTTTTTAATGACTCATTGTCTAAACAAAGGAACTTTGATTTTTTGGTTCTACGTCTTTATATGGAAATGTTATTAGAACAAACAACACAGAAAAGGCTAGTGAAAAATTGTTATACTAGAGAATGACAACCATTGGTACTGTGTTTCTTACATGAAATCCAAAAAGATTACACTCAAAAACCTCTCGGCCGTAAAACGAATTTTCCCCAGACAAAACAAGTGTCTAAAATCCAGATGTCTACAGTTTAATAACAGCATTTGGAGACTGAAGATCTTAACAAAATCTCTACATCCTTTGTATACAGTACAAAAATTGTTCCAGCACTGAAAAAGCAGTCTTTACCAATGAGCATTAGTACCAAAATAAAATACTACCGAAAGATTTGGGCCACGTAGGGTTACTTAGCCTGCAAAAGATGAAGGACAATGAAGAGATTTATTTGTTGTTGTTGTTTTGTTTTTGTTTTTGTTTTGAGACGGAGTCTTGCTCTGTCGCCCAGGCTGGAGTGCAATGGCACAGTCTAGGCTCACTGCAACCTCCGCCTCCCGGGTTCAAGCGATTCTCCTGCCTTAGCCTCTCGAGTAGCTGGGGCCGCAGGCTCGTGCCACCGCACCTGGCTAATGTTTGTATTTTTAGTAGAGGCGGGGTTTCGCCATGTTGGCCAGGCTGGTCTCAAACCCCTGACCTTGTGATCCGCCTGCCTCAGCCTCCCAAAGTGCTGGGATTACAGGCGTGAGCCACCGCGCCTGGCGAGTTTTTAATTATACAAGGTTTATTATAAGAAACGATGATCAGTTACTGTATTTTCTGCCTTCATGGAAGATTAAAAAGGAAATGGGTTTTAATTGCAGCAAGAGCATTTGTTAATATCTAAGAATGGCATCTTGATTTATGAGTGATTGAATATTGAGATATAGTACCAAAGGTTGTTGTACACTTGCTGCCTCAAGAACTCTCCAAAAAGTAACTAACTACCCATCTTCAGGGGCTACATCTGTAACTACTCAGTCACTAGTTCTTAGAGAAGTAGCACTCTAGAAGCTTAGTTTCCAAATATTTCCAAACAGTACTTATAAAATGAAATTTCTTTATACATCGGTATAAATTTAAATTTTGAACCCACAAACACTTTGTAAGCGAGCTTCCCACTCTCTCAGAGCCACTAAGAACAACCTCACTTGACAAATCCTGTGGAGATAGGAAAGAAAGAGGTGGAGTTCTTAATGGCCATGGAGCAAAGACATGCTTAGAAAGCAGTTACCTATTTCCCTTTATATATTTCAGTCATTGAAAAATTGCTTTCTCTGGGCAAGTATGTGTATCTTTAATCCTTTTTTTCATAAGATACTACTCTGGAATATCCCTTCAAGGTGCATGATGTTGATAATCTGTATCATTAGAAATCTGTAACATCGGTAGATTTATAGATTTTACCTTTGCAGAAACCTGGGGTGGGGGGATCCAAAGAATGAAGATGGGGGCTGATAAGAGTGTGTACAGGGTTAAGGAGCTGGAGTGAAATGGATTGTGAATTAGAAAGAAAGCCTGGAAGCCAGTTTTTGTCTGGTTCCATATGCGACCATCCACGGATGATACAAATTCTGCCTATAATTTCTTCCTTCTTTCTACTTTCCCATAGAAACTTGAGGAAACTCAGTTTGGTTTACCCAGTCCCATATCCTAGGATGTATAACAACCTCACCATATCTTTTTCCTTTGCTTTAGACAGGAGCTCTCTATCAACAGCAAGGAAACCATGTCTGTGGTCCTATTTCTAAGCATCTTTTTTGGTGCCTTTTTAGATTTAATGCTTGGCACAGTGTCTGGTACATAGCGAACATTCCATAAGTATATATTGAATGACCAGTTTAGTGCCACTAAATCATTTTAACTCACAGTGTTGTATCCTACTCTCCACTCTTTTTTTTTTTCTTTGAGATAGAGTTTCGCTCTGTCACCCAGGCTGGAGTGCAGTGGTGCGATCTCGGCTCAATGCAACCTCCACCTCCTGAGTAGCTGGATTCTCCTGCCTCAGCCTCCTGAGTAGCCAGGATTACAGGTCCCCACCTGGCTAGTTTTTGTATTTTTAGTAGAGACAGGGTTTCGGCGTGTTGGCCAGGCTTGTCTCAAACTCCTGACCTCAGGTAATCCTCCTGCCTCAGACTCCTCAAGTGCTGGAATTACAGGCGTAAGCCACAGGCCCGCCCCTACTCTCTGCTCTTTGAGAGCCATATAAAACATAAAAAGTTTATATTTAGAGATAACGTTTTTTAAGTTTCAGTTATTTCCACCTAGGAGATGAACCTGGGCCAAATTATAAGAATAATAGCAGCAAATGCCCTGATGACTTTACAATAAGCTGTGTTAACTACCCATGAGCATTATCTAATAAGGAGTGGTGTAGGAATTGTTAAAGGTATGAAATAAGTATACAGATCATCAATGTGTGTGGTCCTTTATTTTTTCTTGCCTATCCTCTACATTCAAGAAAATAAAGCAGTGTAGTTTGAGCGAACATGTACTAGACATAAAAATTTCTGTGTCATGCCCAAAGTGTTTAGCCAAGAGACCAGGCAACAGTTATCCACTGGACTGTTGCCCATACTCAATATTGGCTCCCATCTGTACCCATCTAAATCCTAGGCCACCCACATGAGAGAGGAAAAAGGGGCTACTGTTACTCAGTCAGCAGTTGCCAGTAACTGACTACATCTAACAATAGGGCATTTCACTTGAGTAAAAAGGTAACCAAACGGGCTTAACTGGAAAAAGATATCAAATTATATCTATGAGATGGACTACTAATGAATGAGTTGTCTAAAAATGAATGGGTTTCCAAATACTTGAGGAAGAGAAAGACTTCATTCTTTCCTGTTGCCAACACCCTGTTAATGAACCAGGAAGTTTGCTGAAACAAGTTGTGAATTTAAATTATGACATATCCTTCCATTTGTTCACAGTATGATTTTTAAGTTATATTTGAGAGTTATATAACTTTTACATCAGAGCAGTAGCAATTATTTCAAATAACTGAGATGCTTTAAAAAATGAAGTTAGTTCACATTATGGATAGTTAATTAAAGGTTCATAAACCAATCTTCTAAGTGGTTTTAAAAGTCATTAGGCTCCCAAGCATGTTTAATCAAAACATACATTATCTTGTTCATGTTTATCAATAATTCCCCTCTAGATTCTCCTTTGAAAGTTGAAGGAAGCAGGTCCTTACTATTTTGTTTTCTGTTTAGTCTGTTCTGCATGTTCCCCAGAGGAGAGTGTTGGTGAGAAATGGTGACACCCATGAGGTTGTTGTATTTCTCTCATGTGCAAAACTGTATCTCCAAATTGTGTCCGCCCCTTTGATGATAGAGGCAATAGAGCCATTCCCTTTAGTGAATGGCCCAGGAAAAAACATAAATAAACTCCCTATATTCTCTCAGGGTTTTTAACAAGCGTAGATTGTTATGTGATTATAATTTGAAAAGATAAAAAAACTAATAAGAAACCATCTTTTACCAAACTCATAGAATAAATATTATTTTGATTTACTGTAGTGATATATGTATAGAAGTTCAGGTTACTTATTGACTTTCAAATCCTCACAGAGAAGAGTTGTGAAAGAGAAAAGCATTCAGTTTAATTCTATTTTTTCTGCCTCTTTCAACTATATGAAAGATTCCCTGTTGTGCATTCCATCAAATGACTTTTGATGGTTTTCTAAACATCTCTGCCTCTGGTCTAGTTTATTAAATTTCCTGCTAGTGCCACCACTGGAAAGGAAAGGATAAAGAACTTCTGTTTCCTAACTTAGTCTCAGGGAATGTATTTTAAGCATTTCACACCCACCAACCTAACGAAATATTAAAGAGAAGATTCTCAGCTGGGTGCAATGGCTCACAGCTGTAATTCCAGCACTTTGGGAGGCCAAAGCTGGTGGATCATCTGAGGTCAGGAGTTTGAGAGCAGCCTGGCCAACGTGATTAAACCCCCTTCTCTACTAAAATACAAAAATTAGCTGGGCTTGGTGGCAGGCGCCTGTAATCCTAGCTACTTGGGAGGCTAAGGCACAAAACTCACTTGAACATGGGAGGCGGAGTTTGCAGTGAGCTGAGGTCACGCCACTGCACTCCAGCCTGGGCTACAGAACAAGACTTTGTCTCAAAAAATAAAAATAAAATAAAGAGAAGATTCTCAGGACTGCTTTTTGGGTGAAGATTAAATAATTGAATAATTCTATGTCATTAGATGGATAATATGATTAGAGAATAAAAGGTAACTACTTTTTCTCTCTAATGAAAAAGAGGAGGTATGTCATATTTAGAGAAAAAACTACAGGAAAAAATATGAAATACTAATGTTAAGTTCTGGTGCCATTTTATTATTTTTTTTATTTAATTTTTTTTTTTAGATCACATAGCTACTATGTGACAGAACCAGGATCTGAACTGAAGCTATCTGACTCCAAAAACCCACAGGGAGGAAAATTTTCTCCCTTCGGTTTCTGGAGGTTGATTTGCTACCCCTCTCCATCAAAACAGAAAGGAGTGCAAATGGTCAGGCCTTTATCCGGGACAAGTAATCTCTTAATGACTGAAGTTCTCTAGTAATACTGTTTTCTTCTTTTTTTTTTTTTTTTTTTTTTTGAGATGGAGTCTCGCTCTGTCACCCAGGCTGGAGTGAAGTGGTGCAGTCTCTGCTCACTGCAACCTCTGCCTCCCAGGTTCAAGCAATTCTCCTGCCTCAGTCTCCCAAGTAGCTGGGATTACAGGGGCCTGCCACCTCACCTGGCTAATTTTTGTATTTTTTTTGGTAGAGACAGGGTTTCACCATGTTGGCCAGGCTGGTCTCAAACTCCTGACCTCAAGTGATCCGCCCACCTCGGCCTCCCAAAGTGCTGGGATTACAAGTTTGAGCCATGACGCCTGGCTTCTGGTGCCATTTTAAATTGCACTTCAATTTTTTTTTTAAATTTCAGTAAGAATACACAGCTTAAAAAAAAAATCCAGATAGTACCAAAATGCCAATAATGAATAGCAGTACTTTTTTCTAGAAAGTACTTTAAAATAATGATGAAGCTTTAATTTATAAAACATGCATGCATTGTTGGATCAGTCAGACCAAAACTACTTTGGATGCCACAAAAAGGGCACTTCAGCTGCTAACGAAAAATATCCGATGTCTACGAAATCAGAGTTTCAGAGCCACCAGAGCTGCACCATCCAGGAGCTCCATGTTGGCTGCAATGTGCTGAGCACAGCCAAGGAGGTAGGTGTTCCATTATCTGGACATCTACTTCAGGAACCAGCTACTGAACATACCACTCTTCACCTTGGATAAGAGGCCTGTGGAATTATTAGATGTTTTTTTATCATCCACTCTACCTGTAGAGATGCTGCTCCTCTTGGCCACCTTCCAGGAAGCTCTGGTAAATGCTGCTAGCAGCTGGACTGCAACCAGGCCAGGGGCTCCCAACTTGCGTGCCCCAGGCCTGAAAGAATCAATATGCTTCACAGCGTTAAGTCATTCAAAACATATAATTAGAAAATTCTGGTCTATATTACCTCTCTCACAACTGCTGAGCAGCATATTAAAAAAAAAATGAGAATTTGGAGCAGAGAGCAGTACTAGGAGAAAGACAGAGGCCATTCTCAATTATCAGTGACTTACAACAAGAGTTTACAAAGAAAATGTTAAGAGGTCAGCAACTTACTGAAGTTCTAGCTTTGCATGGATCTGTACAGCAACAAATTAAAAACAGACTATTTGGGTAATAGAAATTTATTGAAGACTGCTGTCTGGATTTGGAGCATCACAGACAGACTGAGAGACGTTCAGCTGTTTGATATGTAAGTCTTTCTAACACAGACCAGCATGGAATGGAGACCAGATAAAGTCACAAATGGAGTAATAGGATAATGAAAGAAAAAAGAATACAGATAGACCTTTGCTTAAGCTATGTTAGGCTGAAGGTTTTACCAGTTTCCTAGTGAGAAGGAATAAAACAGTGATAAAACCACATTGATAATTATTTGAAATTTGTGTGTGTGTGTGTGTGTGTATGTTGGCATACACTTACACATGTTCATATATTTATTTATAATTTATATTCTTTCTTATTCTAAAGAGAATTTGAGGCCAAGCAAGGTGTATATATTCCTAATTAAGTTCATTGCTTAGTAAACTGACCATACTATAGTTCATTCTTATAGTGGAAATTCAATTTAGTCATTCTCATCTAAAATCCTTTTTGTTGTCTTTAGATTGTCATGTTAAAGAACCTCTTCTTATATTATTTTTTAAATGACTTTTTCTCAACCCAGTGAACCCAAGTGATAACAGTCTAGATTCTGGGTCTAGAAAGAGTTAGGAAGTAAGCAAAATTCCTCAACATTATAGATGATATTCTAGATTAGGTATGCTATATATTACATGGTCAATCTCTGAAACTGTAAACACTGAAGTCTCTTCAAAAGAATCTCCACAAAATATGTACCATCATGTAAGGGTTCGTTGGTTGGTTTTAATTTATTGGTGTTTTTCTGTTTTCGCATATTGGTGTCTAGGGAAGCAGAGGAGTACATTGGAAAAAGCAGAGTTTGGAAAATAGGTCTTTTTTTTTATTTCAAATTTTGTCACTTAGAACCTGAGTAACCTTGGATAAATTACTTAGATAACCTTATGAACCTTAATTTCCTCACTTAAAGATGAGAATAACAACTAATAGCTTGTCTCACCAGACAGAGAGTTATTATATAATACAGAGGTGTTTGTTTGTTTTTTGAGATGGAGTCTCACTCTGTCACCCAGGCTGGAGTGCAGTGGCATAGCCTCAGCTCACTGCAACCTCCACCTCCCGGGTTTAAGCGATTCTCCTGCCTCAGTCTCTTGAGTAGCTGGGATTACAGGCGCCTGCCACCACACCTGGCTAGTTTTTATATTTTTAGTAGAGATGGAGTTTCACCATGTTGGCCAGGCCGGTCCTGAACTCCTGACCTCAAGTGATCCTCCCGCCTTGGCCTCCCAAAGTGCTGGGATTACAGGTGGGAGCCACTGTGCCCGGCCTGAGTTATTATAAAGATCTTCTCACTCTGTTAGCACAGAGTGTAAGTTCAGCTAATGATTATTCCCTGTATTGCCATATCATACGATTAATCTCAAGTTATTGTTATTAATTGATTTACTATTATAACTTATTAAATATTTATTTCCCCTTCATAGACTATAAGCTCTTTAAGAGCAAGGACCATGTCTCTCTTGTATCCCCAGAGTGTATCATAGTGCTTGACACATAATAGGCACTCAAAAGAAATTTGTTCAATGAACTATCAAATGAGATATTTATGAATGAATTTAAAAACTGTAGAGTACTGTATAGGTGTATATTAGAGTTTTCCCATTATTTCTATTGGAAACATGTTTTGGATGGCAAATAATCAACTTATAAATGTACTTTTATAACACAAAAGTGATCACTTCTAAGCAAGTCCTGCAGTAATAGATTGTTTGCAGAGATGGCCACAATTCTTCCCATCCCTGTGCCCCTTGCTCTTTTGCAATGTGACTTTGTCACTCCTCCCATTAGGAGGTGGAATTTCCCCCCCCCACCCCAACACCTGGAGTCTGTGTTGGCCTGGTGATTTTCTTTGACCAATAGAATACAGCAGAAGTAATGTTATGTGACTCAAGAAGCTTTTCAGCTTTCAACCTCATGCCTTGGAATACTGACCTGAGACTGCTGCATGAGGAAGGCCATTATTACCTGATGGAAAATGACAAGCTACATGAAGTAGAGATGAGTTTTTCCAGTTGAGGCCCCACTAGACCAAACAGTACAGACAAACAGGCTGCCAGATGCGTTGTAGCCCATCTTAGGCTATCCAGCTCTCATTAAACTGCCTAATGAGTCAAACTGGCCACATGAGTGAACTAGGTAAGACTAGTAGAAGAATCACCCAGATAAGCTATATCCAGTGCAGTGTATTGATACATAGTAAAAGTTAATTCATACCATAATTGTAGTCTCAAAGAAAACTCAAACCACTCAAACCACACTCATTTGCTCTTTGCTTAGTCCCAGAACTGCTCTTCATCTTTCCACAAGATGGGACTATGTTTTTCAGTCCACACATTTTTCACCTGTAAACTGTATTCTCCAAATCCTTCTGAGGAAGAGATCTCCTTTTATCACTTTCCTTGTCAAATCAATGCCCCCAAACTTAGAGATGTGCTTTTCCTCTACAGTTCTGAAGATTCTTTAAATGAAAAAAGATTGGTTTTGATGTTAAAAAATATTTTTACCCATGATTTAAATATATTGCTTTTGATATTCACTATATATATATATATATACACACACAAATATTCCATGCAGTGTTTTAATAGTTTAAAAACATTTTAAACATTTAAAAACTATTTAAATGTTTAAAAACGAGGATACAATTCAAATATCACTAGTATGGGCATTTAAATTATGTTAAATACATTTAGCATCAATATAAAAGGATAGTATCACTCATTAAAAGATGTGGTGGCAGTGTGTATTGACAAAGATATTCTTTATGTCTCAAGTGGAAAAAAGTTCAGCCATATAATGACCTGTGGAGCAAGTATGCCAGATAGAAAGGCAAGAACCGAGGCTCTGAAACAGAGCATTGTGTATTCTAGGAGAGAGGAGACTGGAGTGAGGAAATGAATAAGTGCAGAATGGCAAGAGGCAAGAAATGAGTTTGGAGAGACAAGATATAAGTTTGGAGGCCTGGCTGTGTATGTTTTAAATTTATCCTAAATGCAGTGGAAAGCAATCTAATCATTTTAAACAGAGAACTGACATGACCTGATTTACATTTTTAAGAGTTTAGAGATATATTTTGAAAGTGGAAATAACAGGAATTACTGATGGCTTAGATGAGGAGGGAGTTGTTAGGAGGAGGGAATGAAAAGGAAGAGTCAAGGGGAACAGTTAACCATGGGACCATTTTTTGAGTGGTAAAGGGTGAAGGAGATCCAGATTTAGAGATAGAGATCCATTTTGGTCATTTTAAGTTTGAAATTCGTAGGAGACAGACAAGACAGAGGTCAAGAAGATATTTAAAGATGTGAGTCGGAACCTCAGAAAAAAAATCTAGCCTGCTGGTATAAATTTAGGAATTGTCAACATATAGTTTTTTAAACCATGAGAATGGATAAGAGCATATAGGGAGAAGACACAGAATAGAAAAGTGGGTATAAACTCCATCATTTAGAGGTCACATAGAAAAAGGAAAACTGAGAGAGAATAAGGAAGAATAGCCAATTATTTAAGAAAACCAGGATAACGTGTGCTATAGAGCCCAGAGAGGAGAGTATCAGATATGGCCAGTTATGAGAATTCAGTTAACTGTGGAGAGAAAAGAGAGTCAGCCAAACAAAAGTCAGTTACCCTTATAAGAGCAGTAGAGTGATAGGAAGATTAAAGTAGATTGAATTTTGTCATTTATTAGCACCATTGATTATTAGATGACTATTATTAGATTATTCAAACAGCAATATCTTTATAGTTCCGAGAGAAAATTATTCTAACCTAGAATTCTACAGACAAACAAAACATTTAGGGATGAGGATAAATTAAAGATATTCTCACCTTTTTTTGACTTTTTACCCATTTCAGGGGAAAAAATTGCTTAAGAAATGTTCTAGCAAAATAAGAAGAGAACTGAAGAGAGAACATGAGATCCCAGTAATGAGATCTCAGTAATGAGGTTCCAGTAAAGATCTGTTGAAGGTGTGCAATAAAAAGGTATTTCAGGACCACAAATATTTAGGCCATCAAGATAATTAATAATAATAGGACAAGAAGCTGGAAAATTTCAGAGAATGGCTTTAAGAAAAAAGTAAATTTACTTTATGAAATATCATTATTAAAAACCTTAAACATATTTATGATAGGCTGATGATGCTTCTCTTGTCATCAAGACAGAAGAAATAGAATCTTTAGTAAAGGCAAAAAAATTGTATAAGCCATGGCTCAAAGACGAAATGAACTAAAATGTGTCATTATTATGAGTAATCAGTGGACATAATAAGAAAAGAAAATCCATTTGACATTGACACCTAGAACATTCTCCTTCAATAGGTGTAGATTTAATAACACGGCTTACATTTCTCTTCCCACACGTCCATTCATACCACTTGATTCTGCAGTGAATAAGATGTACAAAATTGTAATACTGAAAAAATCTTTAATTTTCAAAATAAAAGACAAAATTTAAGACAAAATGCACAAGACGATTATTCTAACAGAGCAAATAATACAAATATCAACAATGTAAAAGTACTGGTGTAACCCATGGTACTTGGGAAATGGAAGGAAGCGAAAGGATAAAATTTTTTAATCTTACACAATGGAAAAGTCAGGAGACACTTTCTAAATTAAGTACATCAAGAAATAGGTTTAAGTATTCTTTAAAGGAATAAAGTAGCAAATAGAATGTAATATAATATAATTTTAAAAATTGCAAAGAGAAGACTAAGGGAAGAAAAATGGAGAGTACTGGAACTGAGCTAAATTCTCATTGTTCATTCTCAAAATGTAGAGTCAATTTGTTAAAAAAGCAAGGAGTTGAACCAAACAGTGGCAGTGCAGTGCGTGCGTATTATTTTAAATTATGGAGTAACTATCAGAAGAGCTAAAAACAGTTTGATGTTGGCACCTTTTGGGCAGTGTTTTCAAGCTGTGGCAATGAAATCAATTTAGTAGGTTGCCACCTACATTAGGAGACAAGAAGGAAAAAGAAATATCAGGTTGCATTGCACTAGTAAAGACAGTAAAGATGAGTAAAACGTGTGAAATGTTTTTCAGCTTTCTGCATACCTGTAAAATGTATTTCCTACTTGAGTTTTGGTCAATAAAGTACTGTAGGAAGTAGAATTGGATTGTAAGACAGTTGTTTGGCTGCATTTTTATGTTTTATTTTTCTGCTCATCTATAATGTTTGAGTTTTTAAACTCGTGTATTACTTTTATCATAATAATTTTAAATGTTTCTGTTTTAATACATAAAAATACAAATTTATAAGCTTTTATAACACAAAGTGATATACATATTTTCTAACAAAAGCAAATATTAAGCAATTTTCTTGAGTAAAAAAATGATAGTCAATCTTACCATTGCTTAGCAAAATAGAAAAAGTTAAACTTAATAATTTTTAAAGATTATTTAAGGCTCACAAGAGGGAAGGCTAGGGCAGGGGCAAGAGTTTAAAACATTAGAATCCAGGCAATGGATTGAATAGGAAGAAGACAAAGCAAAAGAAATAAAAAATCTTAGGTATCATTGTCACAAAGAAAACCAATGCTAAGGATGATCTTGAATACAACCTTGATGATTGTATGTAGTAGTGTTCCATCTGACAGTGAAAATATTTGGGCCATCTGCATAGTTACACAGAAAACCTCATCTGCCTAAAAAGGAGAAAATGAAGCATAGAGGAGAGGTTATTTTTTCATTAAGTCAACAAATGTTTGAGCCTTAGGCACCGTTCTAGGTACTAAGTATATAGCAATGAGTAAAACGGTCTCTCCCCACATAGATATATATTCTTGGGGGAAGGAGAATGATGAACAAATATTTCATATAATATCAAGTAGTACTAAGTTTTATTTAAAAAGCAGGGTAAGGGATAGAAAGTTTGAAGAAGTTGGGTTCAGGGAAGCCCTCTCTGAGGAAATAGTTGGAGCAGAGGTTTGAGCCAGTTGGGAAAGCAAGCCAAAAATATATCTGGAAGAAATGCTTTCAAGCTGCAGTGCTAGGACATGCAAAAACTTTGAGTTGGGAGCATTCTGGGGAAATTCAGGAGACACAGTGGCAAGAAGAATGAAAAAAAAAAAAAGTAAATCCACACCTAAATAAAGATAAAGAAGAGATCTAAAAAACATCCAGGGAGAAAAGACAGATTTCTCAATTGTTACATAAATGGGTTAAAGATGGCCCCTGTGTATTAGCCCAATGTTTACTTCTTTGCAGCAGGCTAGGACCAGTAGATCAAAGCCTGTCAGTGCCAGACTCAAATTCTTGCATGTCTAGTTGCTTTAAATATAGCTCAAATGAGCATATTTTAGCCATTAGGTCATACCTGCTTGGCATACCCCCATGAAACTGCACCCAACATCTTCTGGCCATAGATAAGACAAACTCTGTGGCTATAAAAGACCACAAACAGCTGCTGCCCTTCAGAGCTATTGACCTAGAGATTCCTCACCTTGCTGCTTAGTGATGTTACCTAGACATGTTAAGATCCCTCTTGTTAGGAATTCCATGAAGCCTGAAAATGAAGCCAGCGTAGTGGAGAATGAAGAGACAGAGTTTTGATTACAAGGTTTGAACCGTTTAACTGAGATCCGCCTCTGCAGGCTATCCATGGACTTTTAAATTATGTAAGCCAATAATTTTTTTTATTCGTTTAGGCCATTTTAAGTTGGATTGTCTGTCTTATGCAAATGAAATGATCATGTTAGAGATGGTAGACTCAGCTCACTTTCTTAAATAAATTATTATAGAATCCATGATCAGTGAATTTCTTAAAATGTTGCTGGCTATAAAGATGGCTGTGACTAATAAGGCCAATATGCAATCAACATGTATAGGAGACCATAAAACCTGTGCACTGGTTTGATTGAACTATTTGAATCATAGTAATATTACATCTTTTGAGAATTCTAAGAAAAACAAAGAGAAAAGAAACAAGAAAAATATTGAGCATATTTTGTTTAATAAAACAAAGCTGAAGGATTGAGAAGAATACAATGACACAGGGTCAGAAGGAGGGCTTAATTTTGTTAGCCAAGTAACAGGGGTAACAGGGGATTGTATAATAGAAAATAAACTCTTGCCTCATTTTTTTGGGTTTATTGAAGGAATTTTAACAAATATGCAGTATAAGCTGCTTTTAAAATTTGCACATTTTGTTCACTAGGGAGTCTTTCTAGGATGACTTACAAGGAAGAAAGATTCAAGGAAGTCTGAAAGTCTTGAGACACAAGAGATTACATTTGCATTTTTAGAAGATTTTTCAAAAGATGGGAGACCTAAAAGTCAAATAAATACCAAATGGATTTGTGACAAAGACAATGGTCTATAGAAGTAGTTCTCAAAATTAATTTTAGCTTTGGACCATTTTTCCAAATTAAATCTTACAGAGAACTTCAAAATTAGAACTTCAAAGTTAGAAAAATGATATATTTGTTAGTACGGATTTATTTTTTAAGTTTAACTGTATAGCATTTATTTTTTAAAGAGTAGAAGAGGGATGCTATTTGGTGAACATGCAAAATATTTAAAATCAGGAGTTATGGATGACAGTTCCACTCTTATCTGCATTATCATTTAATTTATTTCTCTATTTTGGTTATGCAAGAGTAAGGTAAGTATTTCCAAATGATAACTTCAGGATACTTCTCAATTAAACTAACTTAGAAGCCTAAGAAAGAAGTAGCAGACTTTTTAAAAATTTTATTTCAAAGTTACACCACTAGTGTGTCTGTTAGTGGAATTAATTTTCATAAATATAAAAGAGAAAAAAGAACTAAAAGTTAACAAGGACTGCTTAAAATACCTATAATAGGACACAGTATTCTGGTGACAAGATGTCACCATAATGAATACTGAGAATTGTGCTAAGTCAGAAGATAAGAGCCTTTTAATATATATTGCCAAATATTACCCACTAGCGAGGCAGAGTGGCCTTTTCACAGTACTCTTGAACCCTGATTCTGAGGATATGTATTAAATTAAGCAAAGCAAAAACTCTCCTAGTAGGCAAAAAAGAAAAAATAGGATACAGTATCCTGTATCCTATTATAAGAAGTAAGACACCATACTTGTTAATGTGTTATTTTTGGTACGTAAGTGACTATTTTTCCTCAACAGAGAATTTGGCAAACTGATGCATCTGAACTTTTAATGGCATTGAATTGAGCAAGATACATGTGTATGTTGGCTTTTTGCTCATTTTTATAATTTTGTGTCAGGAAATATTTGTTGATGTGTTTTAATTTTTTTAAAAAAAGATAATGCAGGACTGTAACTTTCCATTTAATCCACATTTACAAGAAGTTTAAGTGAGCACACAAAGATGTAGATAAGGAAATCATAAGGACTGTTCACAAATATTCCAATTCTCCTCCTGGATATTTGGTAAGATTGCTCTTCCTTGTCTTCTTTGGAGTTAGTTGTAGCCATGTGCCTTGCTTTGGCCAGTGAAATGTGAGCAGCAGTAATAGGTATCATTATGGGGCAGACATTTTAAGAACAAGTGTCAGTGCACAATTCTCTGTTTCCTTTCCCCTGTCACATGATTAAAGTTCACTTTTGAGATGGAGTCTCCATCAACCTCAATTCCTGGGTGATGATGAACAGAACCCCCTGCTAATCTGCACTGGATGTATAAAATCAGAAACCATGTACAAGCAGAAGAATGTAGTTTGTTAGCAGAGAATAGAGAGTGGGACAGACTTGCAGAGAGAATTGGAGATGCCATCAGAGAAAGAGAGAGCAGCTGATCCCTAGAACTCTTTTGGCTCGAGGTGCTTCCCAGGTCTCATGGGTTCTAACACTAAACCTCATATTATCCTATGAAGCTTGAATAGGACTCCCAATCCTTGAACAATAGCAACAACAAAAAGCCTATATAAAACATTATTTCCACTCAGCAAGATATCACCGTAATGAATACTGAGAACTGTGCTAAGTCAGAAGATAAGAGCCTTTTAATATATATTGCCAAATATTACCCACTAGCGAGGCAGAGTGGCCTTTTCACAGTATTCTTGACTCCTGATTCTGAGGATATGTATTAAATTAAGCAAAGCAAAAACTTTCCTAGTAGGCAAAAAAGAAAAAAACTGTATTCACCGGCATTTATTAGTGAGACTGAAATTTTTTCAAATGTTTCTAAGTCATTCACCCTTTCTTTTGTAATTTTAAAAATTTATCTCGCGCCCAAATTTATTAAGGTCTTAAAGATTTCTTAAGGATTTATATGAGCTTTTTGTATTATAATACCTTTCACAAATATTTGCCCAATTTGCTTTCAGCTTTCACGTTTTTATTATGTGAAAATGTCAATTATTAACTGTTATATTGTAAAATACGTATTTTCCTTTGCTAGTTCACCATTGTGTCTAAGACTAAAAGTTTTACCTAACCAAAGATTATTCATTTATTTTTCCCTTTACTCTCTTTTTCTCATCTATTTGATTCTCATTTATATTGTACAAAAACCTTATATCAATTGAAGAAAACTGTAAATACAAAAAGAGATACACAAATGACCAAACTATTATTTTCTCTTTTAATGGTAAGATTTAAGATTTTTAACCTATAATTTATAATATATTTTAATTTGGCATACAGTATAAGATAAAGATTTGATTGATTCTTTTAAAAAATGGCTAATTATCCTGGCATTTTATTGAACAACCCTTCCTTTTCCTGTTTTTTTTTTTTTTTTTTTTTTTTTTGAAACATGGTCGCCCAGGCTGGAGTGCAGTGGCGTGATCACAGCTTACAGCAGCCTGGACCTCCTGGGCGCAAGCAGATCTCCCACTTCAGCTTCCCAAGTAGCTGGGACCATGGGTATGGGCCACCATGCCTGGCTAATTTTTTTTTTTTTTGTAGAGATAGGTGCATTAGTGCATTTTTATACTACTGTAAGAACTGCCTGAGATTGGGTAATTTATAAAGAAAAGAAGTTTAATTGATTCACAGTTCCACGTGGCTGGGGAGTCCTCAGGAAACTTAAAATCATGGTAGAAGAGGAAGCAGGCATGTCTTACATGGTGGCAGGAGAAAGAGAAGATGTGGAGGAGGAACTGTCAAACACTTATAAAACCATCAGATCTCATGAAAACTCACTATCATGAGAACGGCATGGGGGAAACTACCCCTATGATCCAGTCACCTCTCACCAGTTCCCTCCCTTGACATGTGAGAATTAAGGGGATTACAATTCAAGATGAGATTTGAGAGGGGACACAGAGCCAAACAATATCAACAGGGGTCTCCCTATGTTGCTCAGGCTGGTCTCAAACCCCTGGGCTCAAGCAACCCTCCTGCCTTAGCCTCCCAAAGTGCTGAGATTACCAGGCATGTGCCACCATGCCCAGCCCATTTCCCACTATTTTGTTGTGCTTTTCCAGTATCATTTTTGACCAAATATAATGAAGTCTTTATTTCACTGTATCCATTCTACAGTTCACATTTATCTGTTTCTTTGTTTCATGGTGGCTTTTGAAAGATTCCATTGAGTATAACAAAATTTGGTTATCAAAATATCCCTTAAAGGTTACTGGTGTATTTAGGGGGAGAGTGTATTTAGGGGGAGAGTGTGATGATGTCTATGATGTTTGCAACTTAATTTCATTTGGTTCTGGAAAAAGAGACAGAGAGAAAACAAACAACAAAATGTTACTCTAGTGATTCTAGTATTCACTGTACTATCTTCTATCTTTTATGTAGGTTGGAAAAGTTTTTTTTGTTTGTTTGTTTTTGTTTTTGAGATGGAGTCTTGCTCTGTCACCCAGGCTGGAGTGCAGTGGTGCAATCTCAGCTGACTACAACCCCTGCCTCCCAGGTTCAAGCAGTTCTGCCTCAGCCTCCTGAGTAGCTGGGACTACAGGTGCGTGCAACCACGCTTGGCTAATTTTTGTATTTTTAGTAGAGACGGGGTATCACCGTATTGACCAGGCTGGTCTTGAACTCCTGATCTCATGATCTGTCCACCTTGGCCTCCCAAAGTGCTGGGATTACAGACGTGAGCTACTGCGCCTGGCCAAAGTTTTTTGTTTTTTTTTTTTTTTGGGTGAAACTTTTTGTTCCTAAATGAAATTTTTTAAATTGAGGTATAATTTACAAACAGTAAAGTAGGCTTGAAATTTTACAAAATGAAAGTGAGGAAAAAAACAAAAACAAGACATTTTAAGTGAGATTTGGGATTTGGTTCAATGTTTAAGACAAAAAACTTGGTATCAGAGTTTTTCTGATGAGTTATTTGTTGTGCCATTTTTTCAAAGATTTAATTAAATTTGTCAATGGGTGTTTTGTATTTTTACAGACACCAAGATAGGTTAATAATAACAGAAGCAGATCTGATCAAATAAATGAATATATATATACCAAATATATATATCAAATATATATATATATTTAGAGACAAGGTCTCACTCTGTTGCCCAAGCTGAAATGCAGTTGGCTCAAGCAATCCTCCCACTTCAGCCTCCTGAGTAGCTAAGACTACCACTGCGTGCCACCACACCCAGCCAATTAAAAATTTTCTTTTAGAGACAGGGTCTTGCTATGTTGCCCAGGCGGGTCACAAACTTTCGGCCACAAGCAGTCCTCCCACCTTGGCCCCCTAAGGTGCTGGGATTATAGGTGTGAGCCACTGTGCTCAGCTGACTGAATACTTTCCTCTGTCACTCATATTTTGAGATCTGTGTAAAAAATAAGAGCTACTTTTAATTACTGTTTGACTTTTTCAAATCTGTGAGTTATATGTTATTCATATAATAAAGTAAAATCCAAATTTAGTGTGTGCAAACTGATACTTTGAAAGTTTTAAAATAAATCTCCAAAGCTGAATTTTAATATAAAAATTCTACAAACTCTAATTTCTTTTAATTATGTCATAATAAATAGGTAACATATTGGCCAGTGCTTTGTGTTTTGACAACTTCAGTGTCAACAGTACAGAGAGTGGACCATGGTGAACTACCTCAGACAAAAAGTCTAGTTAGGATGCGGTCACAACAGGCCGTCTATTGCTATTTCCAGTGTTTGACTCAATATTAGTCTCAAATTCTATTTTAAAATTGTTACATAAAACAAAACAGTCATTTTACATAATAATTTTAAAAACAGAGATAAAAAACAGGGAATAATTTTAAAAAACTGGGAGTAACTATTAATATTATTCCCCATATTTTCCCTTTGAAGTTCAGATTGATTGATTCACAAACCCCATCTCTTTTCTATTTTCTTTAATAAAACATTGAATTGTTTCACAGTATATCTCAACAATCGTAATCCCTCTTCCCTCACACAGAGGTGGTTCATATTTTAGTCTTATGTTAATTAGCTGAGTGACTGAAAAGGTGCTGAAAACCTATCCTTACTACTTAACTTCATACCTTAAGTGTGCGTTTGTGTGTGTATTTTTTTCTGAAATCCTTTGATATCCTCAATTTTGAGCTTTAAGCCTTTGAGTAGGGCCTATAGTTTTAGCTCATTTTCACTGACTGTTATCATTTTATGTAACAATTTTAAAATAGAATTTGAGACTAATATTGAGTCAAACATTGGAAACAGCAATAGACGGCCTGTTGTGACCACATCCTAACTAGATTTTTGTCTGAGGTAGTTCACCATGGTCCACTCTCTGTACTGTTGACACTGAAGTTGTTGTCAAAACACAAATCTGATCTTGTCACTCTGCTGCTTACAAAGCTTCCACGTCTCCCAGCCACCTACAGGTAAAATCAAAACTCCTTAGATGAGAAAAAGAACCTTTCACTATCTGGTCTCACCTAACTCTACCCTCCTCATTTGTACTACACTCAAAGGAACACAGGAGCTGTAGCCACGCAGTGATACTTGTAAATCTTAACAATTATTTTCCATGTCAGTGCTTTTGCACTTATTCTGTTATTTCCATTTAGATTGTCCTGCCCTTCTCTCCCTACTTCCTCACCCCAAATCTTAGTATCCTTCAAGAGCCAACCCAGAGTTCACCTTCTTAATGACACCTCCAAGTTCAGACTCCCTGGCAGAGTCAGTCACCTCCTCCTCTAGGGACTAGACAAATCATAGTCTAGTGGGTGAGAGAGACATGGAAACAAATAGTCAAACACATGGTCAGAAGAACTGTGAACTCCTCAAGGACAAGGACATCATCATTTATTCATGTCTGTGTCTCCAGTACCTACTAGTCACATGTCGAATTAAATGTAACTGAATCATGTGGAATGAATTTATAATTGCATTTTCACTTCTAAGAATATTGACTATGTAGATTTTCAAAAGCTATAGTCTCATAATTTGGCTTTAAAAAACAAACCACAAAATGGTTGCTAAAGTTTTAGAAATAAGTATATATACTATAGTTTTTAATAAATTTAAGTTAAATTTATATGGGATTTTTGTTTGTTGTTTTTTTTACTTTAAGGTTTGTGTAATTCCTAGAACCTAGGTAAATGCCTCAGAGTAATTTGAAAGCGTATAAAGCATAGAAATAATATTGGTATGGATAACTAAGATACAAATATTAAGTTTGTCCCCAAAAAACCACCGTTTCCTAAAAAGAACACACGTTTTTTTGCAGAGACCAAAATGCGGAAATATTTAATGAGGCATTGCAAAATATACAAGCCCCCGCTTCTAAGGGAGGCAAAGTCAAGGTTCAGACTGAACTTTGCTTAGCAACTTTGGAACCATGTGTTTAAAGAATGAGATAGGTTTGTCAAGACTGTCTGCCAAAGTACATCACAAGCTTAACATGTGCTTACTGCCTGCTCTCAAAAACGAGTCTCTGTGAGCCAGCCAGCTGCTAGCATTTGTGTTATCCTCTAGCTAGTTAGGTCTCAAACTGGGTTGCATCACTATTTCCCAAAAGAAGCTCCACAAGCTTTCTGTTGTCTCCTCTGTCTCTCAGATTACTAATCTGGTCTGTTTTATAAAATTCCTCAACTTTAACCTTAGAGCCATGATACAAAAATTTATCAATATGAAAATAAATATAAAATTTATAAACATTAAAATGTTCCTAACTAAACTATTCATTTTCCTGACAAACCTGTTCATCTCATGTACTGTTTCTGTTATGATGCAACCATCTTTGCAAACATCCACTTCAAAAAAGTTGAAGTCATAACAATGACAGTAACATTTATTAAGTACTCTTAATGTCCCAGACATCATGCTTTTATCTCCCTTAATTCTCACAGAAGAAGTTTTTGGGAAGAAAATGAACACATGTTCCTGATCTCTCTCTTCCCACAGTTCCTTACTGGAGCAACTCAGGGACTAAAAGCAACTGCCAGAGTCCCTTGGAAGTAATCCATGCTTCTGAGAAAATCTGTGAGCTCTCATAGGAGAGGGTAAATGAGCGACATATGAAGTCTGTAGCTCAGGAAGGCTGACCCCTGTCTAAGAGGAAAAGGGGGCCTGCATAGGTAGATAGAGTCACTCTCTTGCCAAGTGTCTGTGAAAACTGTCTCCTTTGTACTTGGAGAGCCTGAGAGCAAAGAAGCTCCTTCCTCTCTCTTTTAAGTGAAGGGGACCCAGTTTACCAACTTTTCTGACATTGGGCTAGAATAGAGGTTCTAGAAATACTGTGCCTGGACCAGAAGCAACAGTATCACCCGGGAACTTACTAGAACTTGTTAAATAAATGCAAATTCTCATGTCTTACTGCATGTCTATGAATTAAAACTCCGAAAGTGGAGCCCAGCAAGCTGTATTTTAATACAAGTCCTCCAGGAGATTGTGATAAACACTCATGTTTGAGAACCACTGGGCTTGCAGAGCAGAAAGCTTAATATCCTCCACCTGCTGGTTTATGACTATTAGGGAAACCCAAGCCACCTGACCTGTAAACGTGCTGAGGAACTCACAGCCATTAGTAAAGCACAGGAAATAACAATGCAGGTAATAACTTTAGTAAATTGAGGGAGATCCCTCAGCTGATCAATCAGAAAAGGTCACAGAAAAATAATCAGACAGATCAAAATTTTAATCCTAATAACAGCCCTGTTAGTTCCCCTGATAAAAATTGAGGCTTAGACAGGTTAAATAACTTGTTCAAGGTCACACTACTAATAAATAACCAAGATTTGAACCCAGAGCTGCTTTGCCCTCCATATCCTAATTAAGTCATAATTAAGTGTACCTCAGCTGTTTCTGTACAATCTTTTTTAAAACCTTGATTTAAACTGTGATATATGGAGAAAACATATATAAGAGTGCATATATCTATGTGTGTATATTATATATATGTGTGTATACATCTATTTATAGTAAATATATATCAAGAGACGTTTGTATTTATGTATATTTATATGTGTTATTGTTACACAGCCAGCACCCATATAATCGCCACCACTTAGGGCAAAATAGAACATTGCAGCCCCAGAAGCTCATATATGCCTTTCTCTTCCTCCTGGAAGTAACCATTAATTTGACCCTTGTGATAATTGTTTAATCACTTTTTCTTACTAAATCACCTCTATAAGGATTCTCAAGCAACATAGTTTGGTGGGTTTTTTCCCCTGTTTAGCACCTTATGTGAAAGGAATCATACTTTTTATATTCTTTTGTATCCTGCTTCTTTTGCTCAATATAATGTTTGTGAATGCATCCGTGTTGTATGTAGCCATAGATCATTTTCATTGCTAAGTAGTGATGCATTCAGTGGGTCATAAACATTTTCTTTATCCTGGAATTCATTTCTTTGTTCCCACTGTCACTCTCCTAATTCAAGAATTCAGTATATGTTTTCTTAGTAATTAAATTATCCCAGTGACCCCTAACTGTTCTCCTCATCTCCAGGCTCTCTCTGACAGCTGGCAGAGTAATTTTTCTGAAGGTCAACACTGATTATGTGTTGACATTATTCAAGGCATTGGTGACCATTTTAAGGATTGTGGTTTTTATTCTAAAGGCAACGGAAAGCCCTTTCTGGCTGATAGCTTTGACTTTCTAAGTTCAGTTACTCCTACACCAGAGTCCCTAGACCATCAGCTTAGATCCTTTTAATAATTATGTCTGCAAGAATACAACCAAGTGTGCTAGGCCCTTATTATGCTCTGCATAGTGCCTTGGGATTGCTTAGGCTGCTAGTTGGTTCTGTCAGCCCTGGCCCCATTGGTTGCCAATTCTCTTTCATTACTCGCCAATTCTCTTTCATTACTCTGTAATGAACTGTTGTGTGCCTAGCATATCTCACAGATGAGGCCATATAAGTTAATGCATTTATGGATAAAATGTGATGACTTTTGATAGTACAATAGTGAACTATTAATTTTGCTAAAAATGGCAAGTGAAAGAAAAAAATGGAATAACTAAGAATTGTAATATTTAGCTGAAAATCTCACCTAAGTGCCCTACGGTAAAGACATTTCAAGTGTCTTAACAGACATCTCTGATTCATACCATTAAATATAATGAGAATCACAGAATGTTAGAGCAAGAAGAGGCTTCTATAGTTATAAATGTAGTCACAGACTATAATTTTTCCCCCTCACTCTTGCTGTCATCTTACAGACTATAACTTTAGTAGAGAGGTTGGCAAACTTTTTTTTGTAAAGGGACGGATAATAAATATTTTCAGCTTTGCAGACTGTCTGGTCTCTGTCACAGCTACTGAACTCTGCCTTTGTAGAGTGAAAGCAGCCATAGACAATATGTAAATGATTGGGTCTGGCTGTGTTCCAATAAAATTTTATTGGTGGCAGGCAAGATTTAACCCATGGACTATAGTTTGTCAACCCCTACCTTAATGTGTAATTTCAGTCCTCATTGCTGTTTGTTGTTTTGGTTTATTCCTTAGTTTTTAAAAATTAAGTTGTAATTTACAGTCAATAAAATGTAGTAGCTTGGCTGGGTGCGGTGGCTCACTCCTGTAATCTCAGCACTTTGGGAGGCCAAGACAGGTGGATCATGAGGTCAGGAGTTCGAGACCAGCCTGGCCAACATGGCGAAACCCCATCTCTACTAAAAAGACAACAATTAGCTGGGCTTGGTGATGGACACCTGTAATCCCAGCTGCTCAGGAGGCTGAGGCAGAAGAATTGCTTGAACCTAGGAAGCAGAGGTGGCGCTGAGCCAAGATTGCACCATTGCACTTCAGCCTGGGTGACAGAGCGAGACTCTGACTCAAAAAAAAAAAAAAATGTAGCAGCTCTTGAGTGCAGTGTCTGATGAGTTTTTGACAAACTATTCGCCTGTGTAACCCCACCGTCCTAATCAAGATATAGAATATTTCCATTGCCCCAGAAATTGCTTTCATGCCTCTTTCCCATCAGTCCTTACCCCTGCCCCCAGAGGTTAACCACTGTTCTGATTTCTATTCTCATAGAATAATTTAGCCTGTTCTTGAACTTCATATAAATAAAATTACACAGTGCACGTCTGAGTGTATGGCTTCTTTTACTCAACTTGTTTGTGAGAGTCATCCATGTTGTTGAGGGTGTCAGTAGTTCATTCCTTTTATTACTGAATAGCATTCCATTTTATGAATATACCACATTTTTAGGAATATCCCTGTATTAGTTTCCTAGGGCTGCCTTAACAAATGACTACAAACGTGGTGGCTTAAAACAACAAAAGGTTATTCTCTCATAGCTCTGGAGGCCAGAAGCCCAAAATCAGGGTGTTGGCAGGGCTGTGCTCCCTCTGAAGACTCTAGGGGATAATCCTTCCTTTCTTCTTCCAGCTTCTGGTGGCTCCAGATATTCCTTGGTTTGTGGCAGCATAACTCCAGTCTCTGCCTCTGTCTTTATATGGCCTTTCTCCCTGTGTCTCTGTGTCTTTCTTATCTTCTGTCTCTTATATGGACAGTGTCATTGATCTCATCTCAAGATCCTTAATTTCATCTGCAAAAATCCTTTTCCCAAATATAGGCACATTCACAGTTTCTGGGTGGAATCTTTTAGGGGGTCACTATTTAACCTACTATAATATCACAGTTTGTCAAGTCACCTAATAATATACATCTGAAGTATTTCTTTTTTGTTGTTATTATAAATAAAGCCGCTATGAGTCATACCATACCAGGCTTTTTGTAGATTTGTTTTCAGCCTCACAGTTTTTGAATTCCAGTTTTAATTATCTTAATATAAAATGTGATTAATTTTCTTTTTAGTGATAATTACCCATAATATTTTTAATTTTGGCAGGAATTTCTGTAAGAATTGTTCAACCTGTATACATCTGACTTAGATATTTTGTACAACTGAAAACATAATAATGCCAAGAGACAAGATACAGAATTCTACTATCTTCATTTTTGTTTCTCAAGATAATATCAAGAAATGAACAAGTTCCATGAGGCAGTGCCTTTAACTCATTAAAATATCAGGAGTACCTGATTAAAGTGAAAAAAAAAAGCAAAAAATAAACAACAACAACAACAAAACAAAGACAGTTTGACTCCATTGTGTCTTTTGTTTTGTTACGATACTTTATTAGTACTTGCAGCTATCACCTAGGCTAAATTTGATACATTTATCTCATATGGGAATGACTAATACTGACCTTCCACTGTTTTGGAATTTAAATGCAGCTCCTTAATAAACAACCAAATAAAGCCATTCATCTGGGCTGCCCTCCCACCCTTAGATTCTGATAGGCCAACTATACTACTGGTCCGTGGTGTGGAGACTCTCCAGCTGTATTTAAGAGTATGTGTCTGAATGTCACTTTGCAATGAAAGCTTCTTAGAGAGCAAGAACTAGGTCTCATTTGTCTATGTATCTCACAACTCTAGGCCCAGCTCAATGCTTTCTTAATCTTACAAGTGTTTCCTGACTAAATAGTACCTGTTAATAAAAAATAAGGAAAAGAGTATCTTATTTCGTAGTAGAGTAATTCCACTAATGTAGAACAATTCCAGCTAATGAAATTTTTAGAAATAGTTTTAATGAATGATTCCTTTTTTTAATCCACTAGAAAGTCTCTGATTATTATTTATTACGCTGGTGGTTTCTTATTGAATATTTGTTCCCTTTGTTCAAAATTCTAGGAACTGGTGAGTGGCTTCACTACTCATTTATAAAAGCAATTTAAAACACTTCTCAGTCCCTGTTGACACTTGGCAAATCTAACAGAGAAAAGTGTAGAGTTCTCATTATACTTTTTAGACAGCTTTAAAACATGGTCTTGTAAATGGTTTGGAGTTTTTTTTAATGGGCACAGAATTATGTAATGTGCTTTGTCATTACCACTCCAGTCTTTTGCAATGTCTATAAATCGAAAATCTCATTTAACTGTTTTAGAAAAGTATAGATACAGTTTCATTATTTGGAATAGAATTACTTTGAAACTTCTAGGTAAATAAATTTGGAAGTTTATTCTGTTCCTTTCATTTCCCTTTTGGTTGTAATAGTTCTACCTCTGAAATCAGAGTTGACAAACATATCCTATTGAAACCATATTTTCTTCATTTTTGACCCAATTATCCACAGGATGAGGTGTAACAGAAAAGACAGTGAAGACTATGATAACACAGCCACATGTAGATAGTGTAACTTATGATAAATATATTTAAAGACACATAGTGCTGTTTTCAAAAACACAATTTAAAATCAAATAGGCATTTTAAAGTCATTTCGTGTGTGGCATTATTAACCAGATAATATTATTAGCCAGGATTTCTAAGATATCTTCCACTAGTTCAGGAATATTTTCAACTATAAGTAACAGAATAACAGACTAACAGATCTTAAACTAGAGGAGTTTGTCTAACAACAAGAGTTAGGTGCCTTCTGGCATTGGTGTAGTGGCTTAATGTGAGGGCTCTGGATTGGTATCTCTGTGATTTCCTTTGCCTTCTCTTCATAGTCACAAGATGAATGCAAAAGCTCCAAGCACCAAAATTTTCAAATGTAGGAAGCAGGAGATATGACTGGACAGATCTTTCTGCTTTTTTTTTTTCAAACCAGGAAAGACATATTTTTTTTTCGAATCATCCATTGAGTAGATTTCCCCTTGCATTTCAATGACCAGAATGTGTCACATGACTATCTCTAGCTATAAAGGAGGCTGGGAAAATAATTGTTTACTTTGATCTCTGTAATTAGAGGGAGGCAAGGAAGAAGGGGTTGGGAATAACTTTTGGGTAACCAGTCACATATTGCATACACTAGGTGTTTGGTAACTATATGTTAAGTGATCTATACTCTTAAACAGAGCTAATGTTCCAGGTATACATCCACCCCTTTGTTATCTTTCCTATCAAATTTATATTTTCTTTTCCTCATTTGTTCAGAAACAGAAGTTCTTAGTTGTACTACTAGTTATCAGCAAACATTTATGATATGGAATTTATCAGCAAACATATCTATGATATGGAATACATTGGTATTTATTAGAAAACATATTAGTATTTATCAGCAAACATATTAGTATTTATTATCAAACATATTAATATTTATCTGCAAACGTATCTATGATATGGAATATGTTAGTATTTATTCTGTGACTGGAGAGAGAATAAGGAATGGCTTTATATAAGACATTTATCCATTCATTCAATAAATATTTATCGAGTACCTGTTATATTCCACACACTGTTCTAGGTTTTTGAGACATCTGTGGACAAAACAAAGTGCCCTGCCCTCAAGGGAGCCCACATTCTAACAGAGCATATTGACATTTTTAAAAGGTGAGTAGGATTTTTATAAATTTGATGAGGGGGAATTGCATTTCATTCAAAGTGAACAGCATCAGCAAAGACATGGACTTGTGCATAGGCATGTCCTGTTTGTGGATCACCAAGTAGCTCCATGAAGTGTAGAACACATGATGAGGACTGAAAGGGCAGCTTGCTGTCAGGTTGTGACCAGAGAAATATGAGTTTTTCCAGATCAGAACTAGCATCTTGCAAAGTTAGTACTGAAGCTTAGTAGACATCTTCACCTGGAGGACCTATGGACACTTCAAATTATTATGTCCCAAATATACTCGGTATATTAATACTTCTCCTGAAACCTGTGCTTCTCCTTTATTTCCTAACTTGGTAAATGGCACTGCTATTTTTCTGGTTTAGGCCTTCACCATTTCTCACCTGGGCTATTGCCATTATTTCCTGCCTTTTGAATCCATTCTCTCTTAAACTGCCAAGTGATTTTTGGCTGAGCATGGTGGCTCATGCCTGTAATCCCAGCACTTTGGGAGGCTAAGGTGGGAGGATCACTTGAGCCCAGCAGTACAAGACCAACCTGGGCAACGTAGTGAGACCTCATATCTACAATTTTTTTTTTTAAATTAGCTGAGTGTGGTGTTATGTGCCTGTAGTCCCAGCTACTCAGGAGGCTGATGTGGGAGGATCAGTTGAGCCTAGACTGAACCACTGCACTCCAGCTTGGGCACCAGAGTGAGACTCTGTCTAAAAAAAAAAAAATAAAGTGATTTTTTTTCTAAAACTTACGTGACCCAGAAGTTAGATGGGGGACATAGATTATGGAATATCTGTAAACTTGAGGGATGGGGTACAGTAGCGGGAGCAAATATTTGTATTAGTTTTCTATTGCCATGTAACAAATTACCACAAATTTAGAGAGGTTTGAAACAACACCCATTGATTATTCCACAGTTTCTGTGGGTCAGGAGTCACAGGCACAGTTTAGCTGGGTCTTCTGCTTAAGGTCTCACGAGGCTGCAAAGTGTGGACAGGCAGAATGGCTATTATTAAAAAATTGAAAAAAACCAACAGATGTTGGTGAGGCTGTGGAGAAAAGGGAATGCTTATACACTGTTGGTGGGAATGTAAATTAGTTCAGCTACTGTGGAAAGCAGTCTGGAGATTTCTCAAATAACTTAAAACAGAACCATCATATGACCCAGCAATGCCGTTAGTGGGTATATATTTAAAGGAAAACAAATCATTCTACCAAAAAGACACAGCCTTACCTGTTCATCACAGCACTATTCATAATAGCAAAGACATGGAATCAATCTAGGTGCCCAGCAATGGCTGGCTGGATAAAGAAAATGTGGTATATATACACAATAGAACGGTGCCATAAAAAAAGAACAAAATCATGTCCCTTGCAGCAACATGGTTGGAGCTGGAGGCCATTATCCTAAGCAAATTAACACAGGAACAGACAACCAAATACCAGCCAGGCATGGTGGCTCATGCCTGTAATCCCAACACTTTGGGATGCCGAGGCAGGAGGATCATTTGAGCCCAGGAGTTCGAGACCAGCTTGCGCAACATGACAAAACCCCGTCTCTACAAAAAAAAATACAATTAGCTGGGCATGGTGGTATACGCCTGTAGTTCCAGCTACTCAGGAGACTGAGGTGGGAGGATCACCTGAGCCCAGAGAGGTTGAGGCTGCAGTGAGCCTTGATTATGCCACTCTACTCCAGCCAGGGTGATAGAGTGCGACCCTGTCTCAAAAACAAAAAGAAAACCAAATACTGTATGTTCTTACTTGTAAGTGGGAGCTAAACAGTGGGTACACATGAACACAAAGATGAAAACAGTAGACACTGGGGACTCCAAAATGGGGAGGGAGAATAGGGTACAAGGAATGGAAAACTGCCTATTGGGTACTATGCTCAGTACCCGAGTGACAAGGTCTTTCATACCCCAAACCTCAGCATCAAGCAATATACCCAGGTAACATACCTGCACATGTACTCCCTGACTCTAAAATAAAATTTGAAAAAAAAAAAAAAAAGTGTGGACAGGGCTCTGTTCTCATTTGGCAACTTGACTGGGAAATAATCTGCTTCCAAGTTCACTCAGGTTGTTGGCAAACTTCATTTCCTTGTGTTGGTAAGGCTGAGAGCCCCAGCTTCTTTCTGGCTATTGGCTGGAGGATGCCCTTAGCACCTAGAGACCACCTGTAGTTCCTAGAGGCTACTTACATGTGGCCTTTTCCAACTTGGCTGCTTACTTCATCAGACCAGTGAGGAAAGTCTCTAGAGTGAGTCTGTGAGCAAGACCGAGCAATGTAATTATGGGAGTGACATCCCATCACCTTTGCCGTATTTTATTAGTTATAAACAAGTTAAAGGTCCTGCCCACACTCAGAGAGGTATGAATAGCAGAGATGTGAACACCAAGAGGCAAAGATCATGGGGAGCCACCTTATAGTGTGTTTGTCACAACATTTTCACAGTCTTCTCTGTCCTTGGGTTCCGCTTCATGAGTACTATCTCTGGGACTGATCTTGAAGTGAAGCCTGGTTTCTGCCAACAAACAAACCAAAAAAACAACCACTCAAAGTGTTTATGAGTTAGTATTTTATAGAAGACATAGGAGTCCTCTGCCTTTGGCAATTTTGCTGGTTTTTCTCACTTGTCTCCTATTTTCTTACAATTGTCCTAGGAAATTCCTTCTCCCTCTGGAAAGCACATCAGTCCAGCTTTTCTAGGCTTCCACTCACAAACATGTACAGTCAAATTGCTTCAGGGCTCAGCACAACAAATTTAGTCCATATTGTTTATAAAGCAATAGGGATTAAAATAGAAAAGCTTTTCCGTACATTATATCCAAATTTGATCCTGTTTCTCCTTTGCTTAAAAAGCCCTTTAATGCTTGCTTCCCTATTGCTACATAATAGGTATAAAAAATATGGAATAAATTTGAATTCCCAAGTATAACATGTGAGACCTTCCCTGATTTGGTACTTGCCTGGTTTCTGGTTACCCCCACCTTGTACTATAAGGCCCAGATTTTAGGGAATTCTTTTATAGCTTGCTTCCTGGTTCAGAAACTTGACTCCCACTGTTCTTTTTCCCTCCAATGCCTGTCATCTGTCTCCCTTTCTGTCACTCCTTCCTCTAGACATCTACTGAAGTATTATTTCCTCTAGGAAGCTTTTCCTGTCTTCTTATTTTGTAAACTCACAGAACCTTGTATGAACTGATACTAGTACCTATAACACTTTTATAACTTTTTATATGCCTGTATCTTTTTAGAAAACTTGAAGAGGTTGTCCTATCACAAAGATAAATACAGGTCAACACAGCAGGACAGAGGTGATAGCTGGAGTATATATTTGAAAGTAGTCAACATAAAAGATGGTATTTGAAGTCATGGAGTGGACAAGATCATCCAGAGGAAAATAGAAGAGGGCAGAACAAAGCAATATAGAACCTCTAATTAGGATGCCCAGTGAAGTATAAAACCAACTTCTGTTTGCAGTTCACCAGGTCTTTAGGTGCTCTTTGTATATTGCTTATTTTTTGAATTACTTTTTGTCTACACTAAATAGATTAGCCAAATGTTGTAGAGTAGTGTGGATTCTGACTACAGTCTAAATAAGGTATACAATGAAAAATTTCATTTAAGGAAAAAATATTTATCATGAAGGAATTAATTTTTTTTTTAATTTAATTTTATTTATTTATTTATTTTTTATTGATCATTCTTGGGTGTTTCTCACAGAGGGGGATTTGGCAGGGTCATACGACAACAGTGGAGGGAAGGTCAGCAGATAAACAAGTGAACAAAGGTCTCTGGTTTTCCTAGGCAGAGGACCCTGCGGCCTTCCGCAGTGTTTGTGTCCCTGGGTCCTTGAGATTAGGGAGTGGTGATGACTCTTAACGAGCATGCTGCCTTCAAGCATCTGTTTAACAAAGCACATCTTGCACCGCCCTTAATCCATTTAACCCTGAGTGGACACAGCACATGTTTCAGAGAGCACAGGGTTGGGGGTAAGGTCACAGATCAACAGGATCCCAAGGCAGAAGAATTTTTCTTGGTACAGAACAAAATGAAAAGTCTCCCATGTCTACTTCTTTCTACACAGACACGGCAACCATCCGATTTCTCAATCTTTTCCCCACCTTTCCCCCCTTTGTATTCCACAAAACCGCCATTGTCATCATGGCCCGTTCTCAATGAGCTGTTGGGCACACCTCCCAGACGGGGTGGTGGCTGGGCAGAGGGGCTCCTCACTTCCCAGTAGGGGCGGCTGGGCAGAGGCGCCCCTCACCTCCCGGACGGGGCGGCTGGCTGGGCGGGGGGCTGAACCCCCACCTCCCTCCCGGATGGGGCGGCTGGCTGGGCAGAGGGGCTCCTCACTTCCTAGTAGGGGCAGCCGGGCAGAGGCGCCCCTCACCTCCCGGGCGGGGCGGCTGCCGGGCGGAGACGCTCCTCACTTCCCAGACGGGGTGGCTGCCGGGCGGAGGGGCTCCTCACTTCCCAGACAGGGCGGCTGCCGGGCGGAGGGACTCCTCACTTCTCAGACGGGGCGGCCGGTCAGAGACGCTCCTCACCTCCCAGACGGGGTCCCGGCCGGGTAGAGGTGCTCCTCACATCCCAGACGGGGCGGCAGGGCAGAGGCGCTCCCCACATCTCAGATGATGGGAGGCCGGGCAGAGACACTCCTCACTTCCTAGATGGGATGGCGGCCGGGAAGAGGCGCTCCTCATTTCCTAGATGGGATGGCGGCCGGGCAGAGACGCTCCTCACTTTCCAGACTGGGCAGCCAGGCAGAGGGGCTCCTCATGTCCCAGACGATGGGCGGCCAGGCAGAGACGCTCCTCACTTCCCAAACGGGGTGGCGGCCAGGCAGAGGCTGCAATCTCGGCACTTTGGGAGGCCAAGGCAGGCGGCTGGGAGGTGGAGGTTGTAGCGAGCCGAGATCACGCCACTGCACTCCAGCCTGGGCACCATTGAGCACTAAGTGAACGAGACTCCGTCTGCAATCCCGGCACCTCGGGAGGCCGAGGCTGGTGGATCACTGGCGGTTAGGAGCTGGAGACCAGCCCGGCCAACACAGCGAAACCCCGTCTCCACCAAAAAAACACGAAAACCAGTCAGGCGTGGCAGCGCGTGCCCGCAATCGCAGGCATTCGGCAGGCTGAGGCAGGAGAATCAGGCAGGGAGGCTGCAGTGAGCCGAGATGGCAGCAGTACAGTCCAGCTTCGGCTCGGCATCAGAGGGAGACCGTGGAAAGAGAGGGAGAGGGAGACCGTGGGGAGAGGGGAGAGGGGAGAGGGGAGAGGGAGAGGGGAGAGGGAGAGGGAGAGGGAGCGAAGGAATTAATTTTAAGGAAACAGATAAAATGTTCTCTATGTTTTATAATTTGAGCAACTTAAATAATTTTTCAGTCTCCTGCCAGTTTAATTTCAGTAAATTCCTGTCCTAAATAGCATTTCTATTACACACCATAACATATAAACTTACAGCCTTGTGGCCTCAGTTATTTTCTTGAAATGATGAGCCCTGAGTGAATTAAAGGTCTTAATGTTCAGAGATAAGAGCTCAATTTCTCCAGATTTTATGTAGTCACTCTTTGTAATAATTCAGTAAGTACATTGAATATCTATCATATGAATCTGTTATTGCCTTTGTTGGTTTGATTGTTTTCTGACAGATGGCTTCCATAAGATACTTGTAAACTTCAGCAACCTAGTATAATGTCACTTCCTCAAATTTAATTTTTGGTTTTAAAAATACTATAAATTAGAATTAAATTGCAAGCAAAACTCAGTTTTAATCTTCAAGTTCTTTCATACAGAACAGTCTTGTATTTAGTATTCCTTCCTTCAAAATAAGTTTATTGCTAAAATTATTCACAATTTGAGAAGTGAGACAAATTGTTGTGATAAGATTTTGAAAGAGGAAAACATACTTATAGTGATTTTAAATTTATTAACTTTTTTGCTAATATGTTTGTGAGAGATTAGTAAAAGTGTTTTATATTTATTTATTAAGAATAGAGTTTTATGTTATTCCACTTGCATTGCCATAAAGAAATACCTGAGGCTGGGTAATTTATGAAGAAAAGACGTGTGATTGGCTCATGGTTCTGCAGGATATATAAGAAGCGTGGTGCCAGTATCTGCTTCTGGTAAGGGCCAGAAGCTTCCAATCATGGTGTAAGGCAAAGAGGGAGCAGGCACATCACATGGCAAGAGTGGGAGCAATAGAGAGAGATGGGGAGGTGTCACACTCTTTTAAAAAACCAGATCTCTTGTGAATTCAGAGCTGGAACTCACTCATTATCTCAAGAATGGCGCTAAGCCATTCATGAGGGATCCCCTCTTATGGTCCAACACCTTCCTCTAGACCCCCTCCTCCAATAATGGGGATTACTGTTGCGGGAAGTCAGGGACCCCAGACGGAGGGACCAGCTGAAGCCATGGCAGAAGAACATAGATTGTGAAGATTTCATGGACATTTATTAGTTCCCCAAATTAATACTTTTGTAATTTCTTATGCCTGTCTTTACTGCAATCTCTAAACATAAATTGTACAGATTTCATGGACACTTATCACTTCCCCAATCAATACCCTTGTGATTTCCTATGCCTGTCTTTACTTTAATCTCTTAATCCTGTCAGCTGAGGAGGATGTATATTGCCTCAGGACCCTGTAATAATTGCATTAACTGCACAAATTGTACAGCATGTGTGTTTGAGCAATATGAAATGTGGGCACCTTGAAAAAAGAATAGGATAACAGCAATTGTTCAGGGAATAAGAGAGATAACCTTAAACTCTGACCACCAGTGAGCCGGGCGGAACAGAGCCATATTTCTCTTCTTTCAAAAGCAAATGGGAGAAATATCGCCGAACTCTTTTTCTCAGCATGGAACATCCCTGAGAAAGAGAATGCGCACCTCGGGGTGGGTCTCTGAACTGACCCCCTCCCCGGGGCGTGGTCATTTTTTATGGTCGAGACTGCAGAGGTCAGATAGACTCGTCTCCCATAGCGCTCCCAGGCTTATTAGGAAGAGGAAATTACCGCCTAATAAATTTTGGTCAGACCGGTTGATCTCAAAACCCTGTCTCCTGATAAGATGTTATCAATGACAATGGTGCCCGAAACTTCATTAGCAATTTTACTTTTGCCTCAGTCCTGTGGTCTTGTGATCTCGCCCTGCCTCCACTTGCCTTGTGATATTCTATTACCTTGTAAAGTACTTGATGCCTGTGACCCACACCTATTCGCACACTCCCTCCCCTTCTGAAACTCCCTAATAAAAACTTGCTGGTTTTTGTGGCTTGTGGGGCATCACGGAACCTACCGACATGTGATGTCCCCCCCGGACGCCTGGCTTTAAAATTTCTCTCTTTTGTACTCTGTCCCTTTATTTCTCAAGCTGGCCGACGCTTAGGAAAAATAGAAAAGAACCTACGTGAATATCAGGGCAGGTTCCCTGATAGATTACATTTCTTTTCCTTTTCGTTTTCTCTTTTTTTGAGACAGGCTCTCACTCTGTCACCCAGGCTGGAGTGCAGTGGCGCAATCCTGAATCACTGCAACCTACGCCTCCTGGGTGCAAGTGATTCTCTCACCTCAGGCTGCCCTGGGACTACAGGTGCTCACCACCACGCCTGGCTAATTTTTGTAATTTTTGTAGAGATGGGGTTTTGCCATGTTGCCCCGGCTGGTCTCAAATGCCTGGACACAAGCAATTTGCTTGCCTCAGCCTTTCAAAATGCTGGGATTACAGGTATGAGCCACTGCACCCAGCCAGGGATTACATTTTAACATGAGATTTGGAGGGGACAAACATCAAAATCATACTAAGTTCTGTATTAATAATTTGTGGTACATTCCTGTTATACTGCTCTCAAATTATTTTGAAATGAAATGGAGGATTTTATTCATCAGAATTCCTATGGCATTGCCCCTCCTAATGTTAGGAGATGGTGTGCTTATCCCTACTCTTCTGTTTTCATGTGGAGGGACTTCCCCAGAGTAGTAGCACTCTGACCTCTTATTCCACCTGGTTGGTGGCTGACAGCCATTAATCTGCAGATCATAATTGGGTGGAGTGAATCTATCAAAAAAATCATATAAGCACATAAATGTTCAGTTCTGAACCAAACTGAGTCAGTTTCAATTTCTGTTCTGGGGTCTGATTTGGGGACAGAGTATGAGTGGGATAGGGCAGAGTATGTTAGGAAATATTAGCTAGCTCATTTAGCTCTCAGCCCTAACCCTCATTCCACAAACAGTTTTATCAATATTAAAAGTGACATTTTGACCTCTAATTTCCTAGATTCCTTCCAGTTCTGAAATTCCATGATCTTAAATGAGATTAAGTGGGTGGGTACACTCACTGAGCATATGGGTTCAAAACCCAGTAGAAAGCAATATGCTTATCAAAAGTACATCTACTTCTTGATTTAAATTGTAAATTGTCCCTGACGCTTTTCTTTCTATAAGGGAGAATAAAACTTCAAAAATTTGACATGAAATGGGTAGCTTTTGTTTTGCTCCTATCTTCCGCCAGAGACACCCTGGCATGGACTCTTTCTTTTCTTTTCTTTTCTTTTTTTGAAATGGAGTTTCACTCTTTCATCCAGGCTGGAGTACAGGGGTGCCATCTCGGCTCACTGCAACCTCTGCCTTCCAGTTTCAAGCGATTATCCTGCCTCAGCCTCCCGAGTAGCTGGAATTACAGGCACCCACCACCAAGCCAGGCTAATTTTTATATTTTTAGTAGAGACGGGGTTTCACCATGTTGGCCAGGCTGGTCTCGAGCTCTTAACCTTGTGATCTGCTCGCCTCGGCCTCCCAAAGTGCTGGTATTAGAGGCGTGAGCCACCGTGCCCGGCCCAACATGGACGCTTTATATGACAAATCTAGACCATCAGGAGATAGGCCTGAGGGAGAGGGAGTTGTAGGAAGAGAGATCTTGAGTCCTTCTAAGTTATTCTAGTCGTTCACCAACATTATCTTGCAAAGGTGGGATCTGGCCACCTTGCAGCAAGGAGAAGGACACATAGAGTTAGGATAAGTGTCTGGCTTGGGTCGGGCGAGGTGACTCACACCTGTAATCCCAGCACTTTGGGAGGCCGAGGCTGGTGGATCACGAGGTCAGGAGATCCAGACCATCCTGGGTAACACGGTGAAACCCAGTCTCTACTAAAAACTACAAAAAAAAATTAGCCGGGTGTGGTGGCAGGTGCCTGTAGTCCCAGCTACTCGGGAGGCTGAGGCAGGAGAATGGCGTGAACCCGGGAGGCGCAGCTTGCAGTGAAGCCGAGATGGTGCCACTGCACTCCAGCCTGGGCGACAGAGCGAGACTCTGCCTCAAAAAAAAAAAAAAAAAGGAGTATCTGGTTTGTTCTTCAGGGCATTTCTATGCTTCAAAAAGCCTAGGAAAGGAACTGAGAAAAACACTTCTCCTTAATGTACTGGGTAAAGTGTGATGCCACCCCTGCTCTAGATACGAAGGGAATAATTCAGCCTGATAAAATTTCATAGTCACAAGCCCATTACCAAGTGAAGTATCATCTAGGATGAACCTGGTTTTAAATGAAAATTCCCCCCTAGAGGCAACTATTTCAATTCAATGCCAATTTTTCTCAGTCTATCACATGTAGTTTTCTGGTAATAGAAGAAATATGGAAATAGATAATTGAAAGAACAATGTGAAACTAAATATAAAAGCATGGCATTTAATTGTCAGTAATGTTAAGTACATATCTAAAACTAAACACTGAAATTATGTGTATTCATGTTCTGTAACTTAAATTCCCAAAACATATCTGAAAATGCCTTACATGTAGTAGAACACTGAGGTTCATACATGGTGAGTGAAATTGAGGAGAGCCAGCCCTAGTTGTAGCCTCCTTAGTAATAATAAATAGGTAAGTTAATAGGAAATAACATATTTTTTGTGTGTCTGTTTTGTAAAAATAATGAAACAATGAATAAATGTAATATTTAATAGCTTTCTATATTTTTATATAATTCCTATATTAACAGCCATTAAAAAGTACCCCAAAAAGCCAGAAAAATAAAGAGGTAAGGGTTACAGCAGATGGTAAATGCTGGCCAATTATGTAACTCATTACTCAAAGTTACTTAGGTAGAGAGCCAAAATTTTCTACATTTGGAATATGCTAGTTCCATATTATTTAACAATATAATATGATAAGATGGTACTTTTCTGGTTTATATTATACAAATTCTCCCAAAAAGAAATACCATACCAGTTTTAGTGGGTATTCCATATATTTATTGCAAGAAATAAATCCAATAACCAAATTTTTTTTCAGTATTAAAATCGATTTTTCCTTGTATGTTTAAAATACACAGGTCATACTTAACAGCATTGTCTGTCTTTAGGGTTGGTATCTCTGCCAGAGTATGAATGTCAAAGTGAAAATGTCTGAAATCTCATGACTCAGTTTCATAACAGCTTAATTATTATTCATGATAAATACCTATAGATTGAAAACAAATGCTGGTGGGCAGGCATGTGTTCCTCTGATCACCTATATGAGGTGTCTGTGTTACTCCATATATAGCTTGTTTGGGCCTGTGAAATGTCAGGGTCTCTAGAAATGCTATAAAGGAGCTCACTACAAAATGAAAACCTTGAACTTTTTGTGTTATTACAATGTAAAAAGGGTTCACTCCTTGAACAGGTGCAGTGTTTCAGATGGGTAGAGTTTGAGTAATGCCCCAAGCTATATGTGTAGAGTAATGTCCCAAGCCTACTTCTAATAATCAGTTTAAAATGTCCTAAAGAAATCTAAGAATTAGAATTCTTCAGAACTCTTGCTGTTTCTCTTTTAGCTGGAAGAAACATAATACATCTCTATGTGTCTTTTTTTTTAAAGCTGTACTATATAGACTAACAATAATATAGACAATTTCCTAATTCATTTGCCAGACTAGGTACAATGCAGCAAAATTCTTAGGTGAGATGTTGTGAATTCTATGCAATTAAAAAAATCATCATCTGTAGGAAATGTTCCTTTAAGAAATTCAGTCCAAAATTCTTCACAATTTTTTTACTTTCAGTCACAGCTAGAAAAAATCCAGCAAGGTAGTTCTTTAGGACAGTACTATACCTTGTGGCATCTGTAAACCTTATCATGAGACTGAAATATCACTGGAAATATTGTTATATGGAGAAAATAGTGTAAATGGTGTTTGGTATCTATGGGTTAAAAGAAATATTTTGGTAAACTACTTGAGGCTGGTGAGTGGGACCTCCTTCCCATAGGGCATGCTGAGAATAATAAATCTTTTTTTTTTTTTTTTTTTTTTTTTTTTTTTTTTTTTTTTAAGAGAGAGGGTATCATAATGTTGCCCAGGCTGGTCTCAAACTCCTGGATGCAAGTGATCTGCCCACGTTGGCCTTCCAAAGTGCTGGGACTACAGGCGTGAGCCACCATACCCAGCCTACTTTGAATGATGATGTTAGAATATACAAGTTTGAGGTTAAAGCTAAATCATTCAGAAAAAATAGAGGAGATGCAATGTGCATGTTCTTTGCTATTTGTTGTGGTTAAAATGTGTCCACAAATTCTTTGATAACCTTTCTTGAAGAGGTGGTGCTTACTAACCTTCCTCTTGACTTTATGGACTTGCTTTCCCTTGCTTGACTTTATGGACTGCATGACTTGCTACTTACAGATAGAATATGGCATAAGTGACAATGTGTGACTTCTAAGACTAAGTCCTAAAAGACAATGTGACTTCCTCCTTGCTCCTTCTCTTGGATCGCTTGCTTTGTGGGAAGCTAGCTACCATGTCATTGAGAGGTGAGGCCAGCTGGACTTTCTGGGTAGGGTGGGAACTTGGGGAACTTTCCTGTCTTGCAGGAGGATTGTAAAACGCACCAATCAGGAACTTTCCTGTCTTACCAGAGGTTTGTAAAATGCACCAATCAGCACTCTGTAAAACGCACCAATCAGTGTTCTGTAAAATGCACCAATCAGCAGGATTCTAAAAGTAGCCAATCGCAGGGAGGAGTGAAAAAAGGGCATTCTGATAGGACAGAAATGGAACATGGGCGGGGACAAATAAGGGAATAGAAGCTGGCCACCCCAGCCAACAGCAGGAACCCGCTGGGTCCACCTTCCATGCTGTGGGAGCTTTGTTCTTTTGCTCTTCATGATAAATCTTGCTGCTCCTCACTCTTTGCCTCCCTACCACCTTTAAGAGCTGTAACACTCACAGTGAAGGTCCACGGTTTCATTCTTGAAGTCAGCGAGACCACGAACCCACTGGCAGGAACCCACTCCAGACACATCATGAGACACTAAAGGAGCACTATGGAGGGGCTCACATGGGTGAGGAACTGATTTCTTTGAGCCATCTTGGAAATGTATTTTTTAACCTGAGGCAAACCTTCATATGATTCCTGCCCCAGCTGACAGATTGACTGCAAAGTTATGAGAGATCCTGAGCTGGAACCAGCCACCCAGCTAAGATGCTCATCAATTCTTGACCTACAGAAATTGCTAAAGAATAAATGTTTGTTGTTTTATTTTTATGTATTTATTTATTTCAAAACATGGGCATACTCTGTAGTCCAGGCTGAGTATAATGGTCTAATCCCGGCTCTCTGCATCCTTGACCTGCCGGACTCAAGTGATCCTCCCACCTCAGCCTCCGGAGTAGCTGGGACTACAGGCACACACCACCATGCCTGGCTAATTTTTAAGTTTTTTGCAGAGATGGGGTTTCTCTCTGTTGCCCAGGCTGGCCTTGAACTCCTGGGCTCAAGCAGTCCTCCCACCTCAGCCCTCCCAAAGTGCTTGGATTACAGGCGTGAGCCATGATGCCTGGCCTGTTTGCTATTTTAAATTGCTGAATTTTAGGGTAATTTGCTATGTGGTAATAGGTGCACTGTTTTCCAAGAAGCACTTAGTGTTACCTATAAGTAAATGTTGAGCATTTATTTTTTAGATATCGCTTTAAAAAATGCCAAATTAGTACTCTGCCTAGGGGACCCACATATTTAACCCTGGAGTTATATTCCCCAGATTCATATCTGCTATGGGCAGTAATCTTTCCAACATACTTCTGAACTTTTGATTGTTTTATTTTGTTCATTTATTTATTTAATTAGAAAAAAATACAACTCTCCTTACTATGCTTGATGCTGTGGGAATATAGAAACATGGAAAAAACATGGTCTCTGTCTTTAAATAATTTACAATCACTTTTCTTATGTGACATCATAATAGGAGAGACAGGTCTGAAGAAAGGCTACTTCCACTGTGCAAGAACCAGAAATGCAGCTGTACGGAGCTCCGTTACTCACTATACAAAGTAACATTTTATCACACAATAAAAGGAACTCAAAAGTTTCTCAGTGGTTCTGAAATAATTGCCAGAATTCCATTGGGTTTTTTTTTAGAATTAAGTTATATGTTGCCATTCAGTTGTGAATCCTATTTGGATACATTCTAAAAGCCTAAGATGCCTTATTTGGGATCAGTGAATATTCACAAAGACTCTTAGATGTTGAGATTTCAGGGAATAATAATATATGTGTAATTTTCAATTAGTTATATAGACCAATACTTTTTTTTAACCAAGGAAGAACATAAAAAACAGAACAAGCAAAATCTTACTGTCTATGTCATCACAATTGCATACAAAAGAGAACATTTTAATGCTTCTCCATCCCCCACAATGGAGGAAGGGCATGATTTCAGAACAGAGGATAGTCCTTTATACTGAACGAATTGAGTTCATTACATTGCCCTTATTTTTTTCATTTTGCTGGGCTAATGAAAACTTTACTGACCAACACTCTCTGACATATAACAGGTATTGAAAAACTACTAGCCTAGGGGATAAATCTGGCCTTTCAGCCTATTTCTTAACAGGAACTCAAGCTAAAAATGGTTTTTATATTTGTGAAGGGTTACGAATTTAAAAAAGAAGAATATGAGACAAAGACTTTTTGTGGCCCATGAGACCTAAAATATTTACTATCTAAGCCTTTACAGAAATGTTTGCAGATGTCTTGCCTACATCACCCTAGAATTATATCCCTTGAGAAAAGACTCTGATGTTGGTACAAACCATTGAGGCTACTATTGAGTGGTTGTCTCCATCAGGGCTAGTGTTAAGGAAAGACTGAAGTCAAGGCTACTTTGGTATATTCCAAAAACTGCCACTAACTCTGAGATCTTGGGCAAATCACTGAATCTCAGTAAGCTTCAGTTATCTCATTTATAAGTTGATAATAGTTGAGGTCACTTCCAAATCTAAGTCTGTTTCTAGAATACCAATTATCTTCTATGGTTCACTCTCCTTTATATTCAGTTTTTCCCCCTGAATTCAACAACTAACAAGATATTGGTGATCCTTCCTAATTTCTTCATAGGCTAGATTTCTTGGACTTTACTGTTCACTTTGAACAACATAGCTTTTCAGAAATGTAGTTGACATACGTAATAGGGAAAATTCCAGGAACAGAAAACTATTAGTTGTATTGGCAGACTCTAAAGTGTGAAACATTCTTAGTAGGTATGGTAATTAAGCAAAGGTAAGAAACACACATTTGCTCACTTTTAAAGTATTTCAGATCATGAATAAATCTTAGATGTAGGAACACTGATAACCTACCAAAATTCAAAATAAGTAATTCTTGAAATCTATTTTGTTTGATATAAGTATAGCTACTCCGAATCTGTTTGTTTGTTTTAATTGGCATGGAATATATTGTTCCATTCCTTTATTTTCAGCCTCTGTGTGTCATTTTAGGTGAAGTGTGTTTCTTAGAGGCAACGGATCACTGGGTCTTGATTTTTAATCCATTCAGCCACTCTCTGTCTTTTGATTGGAGAGTTTAGTCTATTTACGTTCAGTGTTATTATTAATAAGTAAAGACTTACTACTGCCATTTTTTATTTATTTTCTGGTTGTTTGGTGGTCTTCTTTTACTTTTTTTCTTTCCTTCCTGTCTTCCTATTAGTAAAGGTGTTTTTCTCTCATGATATGATTTAGTTTCTTGTTTTTTATTTTTTGTGTATCCATTATATGTGTTTTGGCTTGAGGTTACCATGAGGCCTGAAAATACTATCTTATAATTCATTATTTTAAGCTGATAACAACACTGTTTGCATAAGCAAACCAACAAACAAGCAAAAAGAAAACTAATGAAGACTATGCCTTAACTTCTTCCCCCTGCTTTTTAACATTTTGTTGTTTCTATTTATATTTTATCATACTATGTCTTGAAAAGTTGTTGTAGTTATTTTTGATTGGTTCATTGTTTAGTCTTTCTACTTAAGAGTAGTTTACACACCACAGTTACAGTGTTATAATAGTCTGCGTTTTTCTGTGTACTTAATTACCAGTGAGTTTTGTATCTTCAGATGATTTTTTATTACTCATTGACATTGTTTTCTTTCTAAGTGAAGTTTAGCATTTCTTGTAGGACAGGGCTTGTGTTGATGAAATCCCTCAGCTTTTATTGTTCTGGGAAAGTCTTTAGTTATTCTTCATGTTTGAAGGATATTTTCACCAGGTATATTATTCTAGGGTAAAAGTTTTTTTCCTTCAGCACTTTAAATATGTCATGCCACTCTCTCCTGGCCTGTAAGGTTTCCACTGAAAAGTCTTCTGCCAGACATATTGGAGCTCCATTGTATGTTATTTGTTTCTTTTCTCTTGATGCTTTTAGGATCCTTTCTTTGCCCCTGACCTTTGGCAGTTTGAGTATTAAATGCCTTGAGCTAGTCTTCCTTAGGTTAAATCTGCTTGGTGTTCTATAACCTCTTGTACTTGGTATTGATATCTTTCTCTAGGTATGGGTTAGTCTCTGTTATTTTTCCTTTGAGTAAACCTTCTATTCCTACCTCTCTCTCTATTTCTTCAAGGCCAGTAACGCTTAGATTTGTTCTTTTGAGCCTATTTTCTAGATTTTGTAGGTGTGCTTTATTCTTTTTTCTTTAGTCTCCTCTGAATATATATTTTCTTTTCTTTTTTTTTCTTTTTCTTTATTTTTTTGAGACCAAGTCTCAAAACACTGAATGTAAATAGACTAAACTCTCCAATCAAAAGACAGAGAGTGGCTGAATGGATTAAAAATCTTTGGTCAGTTTGTGGTGAATGCTGCCAGGCCTGGGACTCTTCCTTCAGGGTAGTGTGCTCCCCTCTGGCCTGGGGTATGTCCAGAAATGCCGTCCAGGGGCCATGGTCTAGAATCAGGAACCCCAAGAGCCACTTGGTGCTCTGTCCTACAGTGGCTGAGCTGATACATAAGCTGCAAGACAATGTCCTCTTTACTCTTTCCTCTCCCTTTCTCAAGCAGAAAGAGTCCTCCTCGTAGGAACTGCAGCTGGGAATATTCTGGGTTACACCTGAAGCCAGCACAGCTCTGAGTCTCACCCAAGGCCCATGGCAAGTACTCCCTAGGTAGTGCTGCTGATTATTCAGAGTCCAAGATCTGTTTAGTTAACAGGTAATGAATCCTGGAAGTTTGGTTTCTTCGCTTCAAGGCAGCATGTTCCCTTCTGGCCCAGTCATGTCCAGGAGATAGGGCCTGGAATGGAGCCTCAGGACTCTGCCTAGTGCCCTTTCCTTCTGTGGCTGAGCTGGTATCCAAGTGGCAGGACAAAGTCCTCTTTAATCTTCCCTTTCCCTTTCTCAAGCAGAAGGAAAGAATCTTTCCTGGAGCTGCAAGCTGCGCTTCCTGGGGTTGGGAGAGGGGTGGTGCAAACACTCCCTTGGCCACCCCAGTTGGTGTCTTACTAGATCTTGTGCCCCTCAAGTCCACTGGCTCCAAGCCCAGCACAACACGAGGACTTGCCTAGGAATTGGAGTCCTTGCGGCCTAGACTGCCTTCAAGTTTATTTAGGATCCCAGAGCATTTTATCCTGTGGTAGTAAGAACTCGGTTAATTCTCCTCTGGCTACTGCTGCTCTCCTCTGGCTGGGGCTGCTCCCTCTGTGGGCTGGCTGACTTCTGCCCCATGTTGCTTTCCACTATGACAGGGCAGCACTGAGTTCCATTGCAATGTTTCACAGTCACTGTGGCCTCCTTCTCCCAAGCACACAGATTATCTCTTTGTGCCACACAGCCACTGCCAGGGGATGGGGGAGGGGGTAGTACCAGCAATTCAAGACTGTCTTACACTCTGCAGTGCCCCTTTCAATGATATGAAGTTAAAGCCAGGTACTGTGATTGCTCACCTGATTTTTGGTTCTTATGAAGATGCCTTTTTAAGTGGATAGTTGTTCAATCTGTTGTTCCTACAGAGCAGACAATTGGTGGAGGCTTCTATTTGACCATCTTGCTCTACCTCCTCCTGCTCCGAGACTGCTTGATTAAATGTCTGAAGAACACTGTTTCTTTCCATTGTTTTCCTCTTCTTAGCATGTCAGCTTCGTACTTAGTATAAGGCTCTCCTCATGTTCACCTGATAGCTGCAGCAGGTCCATGTATCACAACCTGACATGATAAATTACAGCACACAGAGAGAAGCTATAACTCTCTTGTATCTTTTTTAAAAAGTAGAGAAACCTTTACCAGAAATCTTCTAGCAGCCTTCTCACGTCTCATTGCTCAGCACAACCATGTCTAAAACAATTACTTGCAAGGGGAATGGGAGAATCATGATTGGTCTAGACCAGTCAGGATTTACCTCTTTGGAGAGACCAATCTCTCCTGATGCACATGGACACATAGAAGGGAATGGGTACCTGAACAAAAGTAAGATTCTTTCAATAAGGAATAATCGGAGATGGATGTGTAGTAGAGAGCCAGTAGTATCATACATGGTTAGTAAAGTTTCATGCCACACATACTATCCTGCCACACATACTATCTTTAAAGATGCCCAGCCAGGCACAGTGGCTCATGCCTGTAATTCCAGCACTTTGGAAGGCCAAGGATTCTTGACCTTCTTTCCTTCTTTACTATGGGTTTTTAGTGAAAGCCCTAAGAAATAGCCAGTACACACCAGTGTTTTTCTTTCTTTCTCTTTCTTTCTTTCTTTTCTTTCTTTCTTTCCTTCTTTCTGTCTGTCTTTCTTTCTTTCTTTCTTCCCCCCTCTCTCTTTCTCTTTCTCTTTCTCTCTTTCTTTCTTTCTTTTTTTTTTTGAGACAGGGTCTCACTATGTTGCCCAGGTTGGATTCAAACTCCTTGGCTCATGTGATCCTCCTGCCTCACCCTCTCAAGTAGCTGGGATTATAGATGTGCACCACTGCACCTGGCTCAACATTCTTATTCTTACCATTTTCCCTAATACTAGAATCTCAGAAGGCTGTGCTCAGGTACAAAGTGATAGTTCAATGAAATGTTATTAACCACAGAACAAGAGTGACCATCCTCTCAGCGTGAAAACAGTGGGATCCTCATTGTTGTTCCACTCATCCAACTCCACAATTTTGGGGTTGTTATTTGCAGAATTCCACATTCTGGTAGCAAATTCTTTATCATTTAGGTTATTTTCAAATACAAACAACAGAATGCCCTAACTCAAATTGTATTAAACAATGAGAATTTCTGTTAATCAGATAATAAGAAGGCTGGAAGTAGAGTATTCCAGCAGTTAAATGACTCAGAGCTTTTTCCACTTTTCTGTGTTGTCATTTTCAGCATATTGACTTTGTCCTCAGGTGAGCTTCTCTCTTGGCTACACAAGGTTCATATAACCTGTCCTACATGATAATGTCTAGTGGGAGAAGCTATGAATAAATATTGGGTAGAAAACAAACAGTGTTTACTATAAATGACTAGATAGAAGAGTGCTGGTGACTAGAGCTAAGAAAGCCAAATGGTGCACCTGATTGGAAGCAAAGATGGTAGTCAAAAGTGGTAGGAAATTGCATCACTTAGAATGCTTTCAGCTGCAAGTAACCGAAAACCCAACTCAAAGTGGTGGCTTAAACAGTAAGGAAATGTAGTGGTGCACACAACTGGAAGTCTAGAGGTAGAATAGGCCTTGGGCTTGGCTGAAATGCAGTTCAACAAGGTCATCAAGAACCCAAGATAATATCAGGCTTATCCTAAGGTGGTTTCCTAGTGGTCATAGGATGATAGTAACAAATACAGCTACGTGCTTTGTTCATGCCAGCAGGGGAAAAATGCCATCCCTTTTTAAGAGTGAGGAAACTTTTTCTTTAGCAGTCTTTTTGACATGGCTCATTGGCCTAGATACTGTTACATATCTGTTCCTAAGTCAGTCAGCCTTTTTCTAAGGGAATGCCATGTGCTACTTGGTTTAAGCATGGGTTCCTAAACCAGTTACAGGCAAAGAGGATTTTCTTGATTGAATCAGACTTATCTGAGGCTGTCTCCATTGCTGGGGTCAATTCCTTAAAACATATGGCTACTGTACATTGTGGGAGGGGTGGAATAGATGTTGAAGAGATGACCTCAGTGTCTACTACACAAGTAGAAGCCAACCTTAAGGAATAAAGGAGAAATGGCAAAGTACAAACATGAAAGAGAGCAATTCAGAATGGGGCTTTGGCTGGAATATGTCTTTTTTTGCATGACATGGCCGGGTTGACCACATGAAAAATAGAGGTTTCAACAACCAGTATCTAACATCTTTCACCTAATATTTTATCTGTATATATGATTCAATAGTTGTCTTTAATTATAATTCAGTTTCCTTAAGTTCTTTTATAATCACTTCTTAAAAATTAAATTTCCTGCCTGCATTCTAAAAATGGCAATATGATACACACACACACACACACACACACACACACACACACACAATGTAAGTACTAAGTATTTTACAAAATTGAGATTTCTTAAATTTCTTGATATAAATTGTCAATAATATTTATAGAGAGTTCAGTGTAGACATAGGTTTACCCTGGTCCCGGAAAGAATAAACATTTCACATTAATTTCCATTCATAGTCATTTTCAGTCAGACCTGTGACTATCGGGGATGCATGTATAGCTATTAAGATCATAGATTTGGGAGCACATGTAGGGATCCTGATATTTCATTTTATTATTTTATTAAAATAATAAAAGAGTCTTGCTCTGTCACCCGGGCTTAGGTGCAATGGCACAATCATAGCTCACTATAATCTTGAACTCCTAGGCTCAAGCAGTCTTCCCACCTGGGCCTCCCAGAGTGTTGGGATTACGGGTATGGGCCACTACACCTGGCTAATTAAAAAACTGTTTTTAATAGAGATGGGATCTTGCTATTTTGCTCACGTTGGTCTTGAACTCCTGACCTCAAGCAGCTCTCCCACCTCAGCTTCCCAAAGGGTTGTGACTACAGGTGTGAGCCACCATGCCCAGCCTCATTTCAATCATTTTGGAAAATGTATAGTTTTATTCTTAAAAAGAATCAAGAAGCTCAGCCTGTGGTCCCAGCTACACAGGAGGCTGAGGCAAGAGGATCACTTGAGCCCAGGAGTTTGTGGCAATAGTGTGCTATAAATGTGCCTGCAAATAGACACTGTACTCTGGTGTGGGCAATTTAATGAGACCCTGTCTCTAAAAAAAAAAATCAAGAAGCTCAAACTGAAAGACTTTTTATTCTAAAAATGTTTTATTTTCATTATCCTATTGTCTTTGAAATTATTCTGTGATGACATTTACATTTCAAAATTAAGAAGAGGAGAGCATACCTCTTGAGTAGCACAGGAAGGAGGAATTGTCAAACACTTTTAGGCTTCTACCATGGTAGTTCTGCCTTTTTTTTTTTACACTGTTATTTGAATCTATGATGTTATTCATGAGGCCTTTGGAGTGATTTTTTTTTCTAAAACACAAATCTGATCATTTTGTTCCTCTGCTTAAAACCCATCATCTGCTACTCATAGCCCTCAGGTCTGATCCTACATTCCTTTGCCCAGCCACAAGGGCCATGATGAGAAACCCCTACTTAATTTCCACTTCCTGCTCTGACTCACCTCCCTGTCCTCTGTCTGTATTCCAGCCATGTTGATAGACTACTTGCAATTTCTCAAATGCGTCAAGCTCTTTCATGCTCTGCCAGGAGCACCTTTTATCCCTCTTTTCTCCTAATCAGCTCTTTTCTTTAGGATACTCTTCCAGGATTGTCTCTCCTGGTTTAGATGCCCCTCATATGTATAGCCGTATCACTCAGGGCTGACATGTTGATATGGTTTGGCTGTGTCCCCACCCAAATCTCATCCCAAATTGTAATCCCCATAATCCCATGTGTCGAGGGAGCGACCTGGTGGGAGGTGATTGGATCATGGGGGCAGTTTCCCCCATGCTGTTCTCATGATAGTGAGTGAGTTCTCATGAGATCTGATGGTTTTATACGTGTTTGACAGTTCCTCCTTCACATGCCCTCTCTCGCCTGCTGCCATGTAAAACATGACTGCTTTCTTTTCTGCCATGATTGTAAGTTTCCTGAGGCCTCCCCAGCCATGTGGAACTGTGACTCAATTAAATTTCTTTTCTTTATATATTACCCAGTCTTGGGTAGTTCTTTATAACAGTGTGTAAATGGACTAATACACATGTCATTGCACTATTCACAGCACACTGTTTTGAAGATGTCTATTTACTGATTCTTTTTCATGTCATCACCTTTGTACCTCCAGAGCTCAATACAATAATTGGCAGCAAATAGGCAACTAAACATTTGTTGGATGAATTAATATAGTTTTTTTCCCTTACATTTGCTAATAACTAAATAGCAATGATTTAAGCAGCGTTTACATGCAGGCACCGTAGTAAATGCTTTATATTATTTATCTCATTTAATTTCATAGTTATTATGTGAATAGGAATCATTATCCTCATTTTTGCAGATGAGATAATAGGTCTAGAAACATTCAGTAATTTATCTAAAATTAAGTGACAGAGCTAGGATCAACCCTACGTCTGTTAGGTTCCAAATCTTTGCTTTTATCCTCCATGCAACACATTATGGAGATCCTCCCTGATACCCTAGGTGAAGAAAGAGACTGGAGACTCTGGTCTGATGGCCTTCAGGATCACTATTCAGTCAGCTCCATTCAGTGTCCAAGGGTGTAATGGTGCTAATCTCAGTGTTATTCTAGGCAAATATTCAAGCAGTAAGCAGTGCTCTAAGATAAGCAAGCACCATTTCCATGGCTTTAGGGTTATCATTTACCTTCCAAGAAGAATGCTAGGTGGAGGCTATGGGTATAAAAAGCAGGATTCAGTCTTTTAGGAGACAAGATCCAGAGCTAACAATGCATCAGATGCCCAGCTAGGAAGACTAGGTCTTGGTATAAGTCTCCATCCCATAAAGAATTGGAATACTAAGTAAGGAACGGAGATTGGAGCAGTGATAGAAACTGAGCCAACATGGCAGCGTTAGGGACTAATATGTGGTCATCCTGAGCTTGTCAGACACCAAGTCTATGCCAACAAGGCAAATTCTAAATTCCACTTACAATATATTGAATCCTTTAAAGTATTCCCCACCCTAGACCCAGGAATTGAGCAATTATATGTGGGGCTAAATGATAGACCCCAGTGACGTCCAGAATTGGAAACAGCCTATCTCCCTGGTGAGTCAGGCAGTGAGTCAAGAGAAAAAATGTGCTGAGCAGCTTCCTAGGTGAGGAATTCATGTCAAACAGTTGCTAAATCAGTATTAGAAAGAGAAAGCAGCTTTCTTTATCCTAACTTAATTCTTCCTGAATTTTTAAAAAAGAGTCCTTAATTATGTTCTCTATTGACAGTTACTTTCTTGCCTTATTATATGTAAAGGAAAACTAAACAATGTGTGTTTTAAAAATCTGATTATTTCTTTCTCCCACTAAAAATATTTCCCCTTACTAAGAGGTCTTCTCTTTCTTAGAAGTAGCATAGAAGAGTCCAGTTATTTTCCTTATGTCATTAAGTTTTATTTACATGTTCTCTTTTGATGTTTTATTTCAAAAGTCCTGTACAGAAATAGGACTTTCCTTTATTTCATCATCAGTTAGTTCTCGCTTGGCTCCAAGTTTCTGCAGTTCCCTTCTTCCCTCATCAAAGGCTTCATGGTCCTAACCATGAGCTGAACTTATCCTACTGTCTATTATACGACTTGAACAGAAGAGGTTTAAGGGGCTGTAGCCCAATACTATGGGATTCAGCATCAAGTCACCCATGTTGCCAGGCCAACTCTGACTACCTGCTCAAGTTCTGATTACAAGTCTCTGTCTCATCCTCCAAGATCCACTTGTGCACCTGCTTGTGCTTCAGTTTAGTTAACGGAGTTTCTGCCTTGCTTCCCTGTGGCTGGTACTGACTCTGTTATTGGTTTGGTTTCTTCTTAGTTTCATATTTTCTCCCATTTGGGGCACCCCACTCTGAGTATCAGAATCCATAGCATCAACTGTGTGAATTTATCGATTGTTATACTCCTTAGGTATCATGATGCACTATAATTTCGCCCAGCACCTTGAGTGAGGACTGGCTACCCCATCTCTCCCATCAGGCTCTGGGTGATCCCACCTGGTCTGATGGGTGGCTCTAGATCTAGGTGCTGGTGCTTCAGAAGCAGCTCCATTATGAAGCAGTTAACCCAGCCCCATATCTAGATTTGACTTTATCTTTAGTTAAGGGAGTTTCCTAAACTTCTAGCACTTGATGAAGCAATCTAGAAATTTTGAGGTTAAACATTATTTTAGGGTGGAAATAGTACAAACATAAATAGAATAACAATATCACAATTCACAATTCACATGCTAATTCAAGTAAAGTATTTTAACTTGGAACTCTATGTGGAAGACTTCAGTCACTTCCAAATACTGATATCTTGGGACTTGATGTAATCCTATTCACATATGTTTCGCATTATACAGTGTAAAGGGAAGGGTGAGTAACCATATTCTTCAAATGAGAAACATAACTCAAAAGAATAAATTTCCAAGCACATGAAAACTAATTTGCATACTCTTTGGAGACAGAAAGAGTTTCTTTTCATTAATTTCAGTACCTTTCAAAAATGAAAGCATAAGGAAAAATATTGTTTCTTGACTGTAAAACAACGTGACAGTCTTCGGCCTCATTTTCTCTGCCTTTGCTATCTCGGCTTCCCACTAGCTGAGTTTAGGATCTCTGCTGGCAGGTGTAGTACTACCACTCTGCCGAAACTGGTCCAGTCTGGAGGCTGGATATGCTAAAGAACTCTCAGCATAGGCTGACTCTACTTTCACTAAGCTGAGTATGAAGTCACTACCCTTGGGTTGATAGAAACAGAGTGTTCCTTTCAACAAATACCTAATTTGCCAGGTTCTGAGCCAGGCACTGGGCAAAGGCAGACCCAGGTTTTGTGTGGCCTGAAGATTATTAATTTGGGGGCCCTTGCTAAGAAAAAAAATACTTAATTGCAGACCAAAATTGGTATGAAAATGAATAAGAGAAAAAAAATTGTGACAAATTTAAGTTTTCAAAAACTGACAAATACCACTAAAAATTACAAAATCCAGAAAAATGATATAATGTTTTTATTGACTTATCTGGCACATCTCTGTTATATTTTTCTATATTTTTGTCTGCATATTCTTTAACCATCTTTTCATATAACAATAATTATGTGAATTTTTTATAGAAATAAAAATAGTTGTGAGAATGACAATGTTAAGCCAGGCACAGTGGTGTTTACCTGTAGTTCCAGCTACTCAGGAGGCTGAGGTGGGAGGATTGCTTGAGCCCAGGAATTCAGGACCAACCTGGGCAGCATAGTGAGGATCTATGTTTAGTGTTTAGGGTCTGAATGCTCAGAATTATAGGCATACTCTATAGATAGATATGTGTGATACTGAAGTCTGACAATGCCAGGAGCAGAAGGTGATATCAGTGGATAGGTAAAGAAAGAAAAGGGATTTGAAAATGTGAGGTCAACCAAGGCAGATAGAATTTATGTGCACCTAATCATAGCTTTTGAAAACCATTTGCAGAATTGGTGCAAAAAAATTAAGGCAATATTTTTTCTTTGATTTATTTCTTTTTTTAAATCAGTAGCACAAGGAACTTTGGCAGTTTGTTTCTCTTGGTAAAAATAAAAATGTCCTTTAGATAATATTCATGTTGATTATAATGAATGATACAAGTAAGTAAAATAGAACTAAGTATGTATTTAGCATTAGAAAAAGAATAAGTCCTTAAAAGAGTTCTGAGAGAAGTCCTAAAGATGTGCTCCAAGTTGTAGCTGCAAACAGTTTTCACAGGCCTCCCACTACTGCTAAGTCTGTAAGTACTGAACCATATGTTTCTCTCAAGTATAAAAATATGAAGTTGTAAATTTTACTAAGAAAAATTCTGTTTAGCGTTATATCTGTTGAGTAGACTCCCTATTGGAAAATTGCATTAGCTAATGCCCTGCGAGTCATACCCACCAATGACATATTGCTCATTTTGTTTTTTTATGGTACTTGACTGTACTGGAACATCATGGTCTGGAAAATTATACTACTTGTTTGTACGTGTGTCTTGAAGGGCTGTGTAGTCATTCTAGCTACAAAATGTTGCAACATACAGCTACAGATATGCTAGATATCATGAGTTCTTTACAAGATTAAAATAAAAAGAGATAATATGGTATTGGACTCATTTTTTATTTTATTTTATTTATTTTATTTTATTTTTTGAGACAGAGTCTTGTTCTGTTGCCTAGGCTAGAGTGCAGTGGCACATGATCTCAGCTCACTGCAACCTCCGCCTCCCAGTTCAAGCCATTCTCCTGCCTCAGTCTCCCAAGTAGCTGGGATTACAGATGTGCGCCACCACACCCAGCTCCTTTTTGTATTTTTAGTAGAGATGGGGTCTTACCATGTTAGCCAGGCTGGTCTTGAACTCCTGACCTCAGGTGATCTGCCTGCCTCAGCCTCCCAAAGTGCTGGGATTAGAGACATGAGCTACTGTGCCTGGTCTGGACTCAATTTTATCAATCAAATTAATGTAGTATTTTGGTTCCATAGTTTAGTAATTATTTATATTTACTATAATTTTAATTGACAGAAAGTGGATTATGGTCAGTGCCCAAACTTACCTATAATTTTAGACAATGCTGCTCCATGATATATGTTTTAAATATATCTTTTTAATGTAATGTGTTCTGGAACAGCCAACGAAAATCAGTCACATTTGATTCTTCATAGTTTCAATGCCCTTAATTAATGAGGCCCTTAAATTTTTTTAAGTCAAAATTACTTTGGTCTAAGATAAGACAAACCCTCCCCAAGACTGCATATTTCATCTTTTTGTCCAGTAGTTTTACCAGCAGGTATAAGTAGAGAAACTTCTCCGTCTATTTTTCCACTCTACTTGCTTAAGCGCACTTTGCTTATGGTGTAGGAATCTGGTTGACCCTGGCAAAATTACAAAGAAGAAACATTTGTCTTGGATGCCTGTCTCTTCTATCCTGAAGGCACACTTCCCCACAGGGGCCCATCTCCAGCACTCTGTCCTTCTAGATTCTTCCCTCCAATTCCTAATACCTTATTCTTTAAAATCACAAATACCATAATTTCTTTCTCCATTTAAAATTTAGCTATTCTGTGTTTATTTTCTTAGGATCCAAGGGTATCCTAGTTTATATAATTTTTTTAAATGTCAAGGCAGATTTACTCATAGGAGAGGGTTAGAATTGTCATGATCAACGAATGTAAGAACCTTCTAGAAATAGTACCCTTTCCTCATTCATATTGTCTCAGTCATTCGTTCATTTGACATATATTTATTGACTGACTATTGTGTGCCAGATATATTTGAGGCACTTGGAATACATCAAATAACAAAACATAAAATTCCCTGTGTTTGTTTTTCATATAACAATAATTTTGTGATTTTTTTTCTGTGTGCTCACATTTGTTCAATTTTATATCTCTTGAGAGTATGAATCATTCTTTTTCATTTTGTAAGTTGTTACATCAATGCATGCAATTTGGATTTTTTGCAGTCTGTTTCTGCGGATCATGCTTTACGTATGTCTGTATTACTTGATGAAACACAATTTAGTGTCTCAGATGTGGCCGTGTAAGTGGCCAAGTCACATACTTGCTTCTCACCATATTGAAAACAAAGTGAGAGGCTGACACTTAAAGGTCACCATTTTCATGGAGGTAAGGATATAGATCAGAATTTAGTGAGAGGCTGTGCTCAACACACATATGGCACTGGCAGTATTGTGAACAAATTCTAGACCTTAAAATTTTTCCAGGACTCCTGTAGCTTTGGACTAAAATGGTTACTTAGATGCTCTCTTCCAAACTGCATAGAGCCATTCTCCTAAAGACATTCCATAATGGGACTTTTTAAAAAAAATTCAAATGTTTCACTTTCTGCTTAGTTGAATATCACATAAAAAAACAAAATGAGGCCGAGTGTGGTGGCTTACACCTGTAATCCCAGCACTTTGGGAGGCTGAGCCAGGAGGATTGCTTGAGCCCAGGAGTTTGAGACCAGCCTGGGCAATATAGTGAGACCTCGTCTCTACAAAAGAATTTAAAAATTAGCCAGATGTGTTGAGGCTAAGGTAAAAGGATTGCTTGAGTCTGGGAGGCAGAGGTTGCAGTGAGCTGTGATTGCGCCACTGCACTCCAGCCTAGGCAACAGAGAGAGACCCTGTCTCAGAAAAAAAGAAGAAAAAACCAAAGAGAATCATAAATATTTTGAATGAGGAATTTATCTGTGGAAAACACATAACTCTTTTTTAAAAGTTTAGCTGAGCCATGTCAGTGTGGTTAATCTTGTTTGCAATACATGAAGCTATGCTACCAAATGTGTACTCTCTTTTTCATAGTAAAAATGTATCAGTTGTTATTGTGATCATACCGTCTTAATAAAGTCTTTTAAAAAATATCTTTGTCTTGCTGCACAATCATATAAAAACTAGATGTTAAATCAGGTTTCTCCAGATGACCTAATTTAAAACTTGTAAGCCTCCAATTTGGAGACAGAAAGTGAATCTAAGAAAATTGTAGTGGTTGTTTTGCTTCAGTTAAGTTGAAGACTGCATGCATTTATAAGATGCCTGATTTTCAGCTAACCAACAACAATAAAATATAGAATATAATAAAGAGAAGAACAGAGAGGGTTTATCATATTTCCTAAACCTTTCCTAAAATATGGCCCTCTAGGGAAAAAATTATCTGCTGGAGTGTTACATGAAAACTTTATAAATATTAAAGCAGAAAAGTAAATGTATATAATATAATATTTACACGTTCTTAATTTATAAATGCCAATGTAGTATCCTTTCAAAGTAGTGACTAAAAAAAAATGACACTACCCTTCTTCAATAATGAATGAGTTCAGCTCTCCACACCAGAGAAAGGGAAAAGCAGTGAATGTGAATTCATGCTAAGTAGCCAGCCTAGGTGTGTACAAAAGAAGCAGAGGGGGAGAAGGGAGGAAGGAGGAGTAACTCCTCTGGTGTGAAAAGAACCTGGGAACAAAAAAGACATTTTCTCTCCTCTCTGCCTATGGAACATATTTTCACTAGCTTTGACTAGGAAGAATATGTTTAAATATTCTTCTTGTGGTTGAGGGAAAAAACCAACTCAGTGTAATTAAAGAGCAAAACCAATGGAGAAAGACTTTTAAGAAATATTTTTTAATGTTTGAAGGAGATAGTTTCATTTGTTTAACAGTAATTGTCATTTATTGAACTCTCATAGCGTAAGCGTAGCCAAGCTCTGTATATATTGTTTCATTTAATCTTTACAACTTTATGAGGTAGCATGATTATTTTCATGGTCCATATTAAGAAACTGAAGTTTTCAGAGATGAAACCAACTTAAAGCATTAGGATTTATACCCAGGTTTGCCAATTTTAAAGCCTGTGTCCCAAACATAACATTGGTTCCTCATATAGTTTCAATACTTAGATTTGAATTCAAGTACTACAATACAGTTGTATACATGGGTTGTGATTTTAAATTTATAAGAATATAATCATCTTAAAACATCTCAGATTGCTAAATTTGTATTGAGTAATTGGGCCTAAATTTTGACTTGTTTCTTCACTGTCTTTCTTTATTACAGCAAGATCTTTGTCAGAATTTCCCTCTAGAAGTTTCATATTCACACACACACACACACACACACACACACACTCCAGCTAGAGATATTTTTTCAAAAGTTCAGAATTTTAAAATCATCTTTGAAGAGTTGTCTTTCACATGTTGGTGACTCTTATTTGTAATCTCTATTATTAACATTATAGAAAGAATAAGAGCTTTTTTGGACCCACATTCTCTTATGCCCAAATTCTGCTATTAAGTGCAGGCATGTTTCATTATTTTCAAAAGGAATTTCATATGCCAGCTGACCTAAGGCAACATTATTTTAGTCTTGGGCCAAAATTTGTCTTTGGGACCCCTTCTCTCTTCCTTTGAATGCCCTTCTAACTGCTTCAGAGGTCCTTTCCTGGGACCTTCTTGATGATACTGGCTGCTCAGAGTACCCCACCCTTCCTTGACTTTTTCCTGCTTGCCCTCATTGATACACTTTTGTTCATTCACACGACAAATATTTATTGACCATATGTCTCAAGTACAGTGCCAGATGCTAGATATACAATGATGAGAGAAGAGACATGCTCATTGCCCTCATGGAGTTAATGATGTAAAAAGGAATTAGGTGCTAATCCAATGAATAAAGGTTACACAAACAAAAGCAACACTGCAAATGTGAAACGGTGCTGGAGATTTGGTACTGGGATTTGGCTAAGTCAGGGAAATCAGGCTAAACTTTTTTCTTTTGATTTGTATAAATTTAAGGGGTACAAGTGCAATTTTGTTTCATAGATATATTGCATAGTAGTGAAGTCTGGAATTTTAGTGTCTCCATCACTTAAATAATGGTCATTGTACCCATTAAGTAATTTCCCATCATCCAGCACCCAAACCTGCCCACCCTTCCAAGCCACCAATGTCTGTCATTCCACACTTTATGCCAAGGTGTACACATTATTTAGCTCAGACTTCTAAGTGAGAACATGTGGTATTTGTCTCTTTCTGAGTCATTTCACTTAAGATAATGGCCTCCAGTTCTATCTATATAGCTGCAAAAGACATTATTTCATTCTTTTTTATGGCTGAATAGTATTCCATTGTGTATATATACTTATACTTTTTTTATCCAGTCATCTGCTGATGAACACTTAGTTTGATTCCATTTCTTTGCTGTTGCGAATAGAGCTGCAATAAACATATGACTACAGCTATGTTTTAAAAGATTATTTATTTATTAAAATTTTTTTTTTAGAGACAGAGTCTTCCTCTGTTTCCCAGACTGTGGTGCAGTGGTGCGAACATGTCTCACTGCAGCCTTGAACTCCTGGGTTCACTAATCTTCCCACCTTAGCCTCCCAAGTAGCTAGGACTACAGTGTGTACCATGACACCTGGCTAATTTCCTTTTTAATTTTTTTTTTTTGTAGAGACAGAGTCTTGCCATATTGTCCAGGCTGGTCCTGAACTCCTGGCCTCACGTGATTTTCCTGCCTAGCCTCCCAAAGCACTGAGTTTACATGCATGAGCCACTGTGCCTGGCCAGGTATCTTTTTGATGTAATTATTTCTTTTTCTTTGAGTAGATACCCAGGAGTGGGATTTCTGGATCACATGGCAGTTCTATCTTTAGCTCTTTGAGAAACCCCCATACTGTTTTCCATAGAGGTTGTACTAATTTACATTCCCACTAGGAGTGTATAAGCATTTCCTTTGCTCCTTCTTTTAATAAGGAAGTGACACTTAGCTGCAGTTTGAAGGATGAATTAACACTGGAAAGGAGAAGGAAGGGCTTTTTTGGACTAACTGCCCATTTCTCTCTCCATTTTCCATTCCTGAGGGAATGTGATGGCTCCAGGTTGTCCTTTTATATATTACACACACACACAAACACACAAACACACACACACACACACACACACACACACACACACATGTTGCCTGTGGACTGACTGCTTCAGATTAGGTGGCCAACTTTGGCCCACCTTTGCCAACATTCATTATTTTTTGTCTTTTTAATAATATAATAGAATTTTAAAATTCTGACTGGTATAAGACAATATCTCATTGTGGTTTTAATTTGCATTTCTCTAATGATTAGTGATGTTGAGCATTTTTTCATATGCTGCTTGGCCATTTGGATGTCTTCTCTTGAAAAATGTCTATTCTTGGCCTTTGCCCACTTTGCCCAGTTTTTAGTTGAGTTGTTTTGCTGTTGTTGTTGAGTTCCTTCTAGATTCTGATATTAGTACCTTGTTGGATACATAGTTAGCAAATCTTTTCTCCCATTCTGTAGGTTGTATGCTCACTCTGTTGATTATTTCTTTTGCTGTGTAGAAGCTTTTTAGTTTAATTAAATCCCATTTGTCTATTTTTGGTTTTGTTGCTTGTGCTTTTGAAGTCTTAGTCATGAATTCTTTGCCTATTCAAATGTCCAGAAGAGTTTTCCCTGGGTTTTATTCTAGTATTTTTATAGTTTCAAGTCTTACGTTTAAGTCTTTAATCCATCTTGAGTTGATTTTTTAATATGGTGCGAGATACAGGTCCAGTTTCATTCTTTTGTATATGCAAGCCAGACTTCTTAATAAGAAAGTGATACTTAGCTGCAGTTTGAAGGATGAAACAGTTTGAAGGATGAACACTGAAAAGAGGGGAAGGAAAGGCTTTCTGGGCTACCCAATTCTCTCTGCATTTCCCAGTCCTGAGGGAATGTCATTGCTCTAAGTTCTCCTTTTATATACACACACACATAGGTTGCCTGTGGACTGACTGCTTCAGATTAGGTGCCCACCTTTGGCCCAGAGAGCTGTGGCTGGGTGAGGGAGAGTTCCTGGGTCCTGGGCTCCTTAACAAGATCTAAGCAAGTGACAACTTCACTTACTGGAACTATGGCTGTAATAATTCATTTCGGGGACACGCTGCTGCCTCCAAGAAGCTTCCCTAGTTCCCCCAAGCAAAGTGATTGCTCCCTTCTCTTTTCTTCTCTTGTATCTTATACCTGCTTCTGTTGGTTGCACATATCCCACAGATTGTTTCGTTTCTGTTGTTAACATGACTCTCTGCCTCCCAAGTAGGCTGTACTTCTTGAGGACAGAAAATATGTCTTATTTATGTCTGTTTTCCTAGAATCTAGCATAGTGACTGTACAGTGCCTAGGGTAAGCACTCAATAAATGATGCTGAATGAATGAATGAAATGACAAACTGCTACTGGAGTACTTCTCAAAAATGAATGAAATAAAGAACAGGAGAGTAGGCACTCTATCCCTTCCTTCTCTTTCTCTTCCCAAGTCACCCCACAAATATGTGTCCCATTCAACATTTCTGGTACACATATTTGGCACATGTGACATATGCTATATGGACAGGCAAGTGTGATGGCAAATATATACCAGTCATGGAATGCCCGTGCTCAGCAAATACCTACATGGCATTTTAGAGCCAACCCAAGTCCTGGCATTTGGACTGGGATTGAGTATGGAAATACTATAGGAAATAAACAGCAAGATCTTATGGTGCCCACCAGTGGTGCAGATTTGAAGTAATAATACAGAGTGGGGGGAAATAGCACTAATTAAGCTGAATGGCTCAAAGAGCAATACCCTTTCTCAAACCAATTCTGTAACAGACCTGGTTCTTCAATTTTCTATTGTTGGCTCAATTCTAACTGTGCTGAGATTCCATCCATTTCTGAAGTGGTTTTATTTGGTGAGGGAGGAATGCAAAATGACTACTTGGCCCGGTTTTCAGGTCCCACATGTTGTTTGGTTTTTGTTTTGTTTTATTTTGGATTTTGTTTTAAAGAGTCTAAAAGGGCTTCATTACACTGGAATCTAACTACCTATTTATTTTCTTTACTGCTTCCATTCTGCCTGAAGTTAGTTACCATAATAAATGTTGTTCTCCAAGCTGTGCATATATTATCCATCACTGCTAGGAAACAAAGAAAGATGTGTTTTCCTGAGAAGACTGCTGTTGTTAAACAAAGCAGCAGGTGTCTTGAATCAGACCGTGTGGGCTGATTAAAACACTGTGATTCTCCTCCTGACTTTGCCTTTCATTTCTTACACTTCAGCTCCTACTTCTGATTAGACCAAGTATGTCCTTGGGAGTTACGTGCTTAGAAGGAAAAACATGTAACAGGAAAAATACCTACTTCTCTATAATTGAGGATAATAATGTTCAGCTTGGTTCATTAACAGGGTATCCTTCTGGTAAGGAGTAGAATAATCCTTCTATCTCTTTCTTCCAGATTGTATTCTGGCAGTCACAGCCCTCAAAGACCTGCACGAGAACCCTTTCCACTAGCTTCTTTTGGTGGCTGGGAGTTTCTCTCAGGGTACAGTGATACATGCAATATGCATTCATCAAACTAAAATGTGTTGAACCAAGCCTCCTCTGGTCCAGGTACTGTACCCAGGACTCGAAGGATCATCGACTGCCAATCACTTTTTGGCACCATACATTTGTGACTTCTGCAAGATGGAAATAAACAGCTGTGCATAGCTGAAAATGTGAGTGCAGGGCACAGAGCTAGAAATAAAAATAAAAGACAACATCCCTAGATTGCTGGGAGTTTACAAAACAGCCGTGAGGGGGTTATAGGTAGGCAGGGGAAAGACTAGGAAAAACCTGAGAACAGGAATTATGTGTTTATTCACCCTTGCATACCAAGAACCCTAACTATTTGATAAATTATTAAGAAATATGTCAAAGATGAGGATGGCATCTTGACTCTAAGAACTAGTTTTTGGAATCTTTTTGGAAAAAGAAATGAAAGTATAATTTAGATCTTATGTATCACAAAACTAGATTAAGCTTTAAAATCCTTTGCTCACACAGTGAATTAGAAATTGAGGCTGAGTGAGGTTTAAGGGTTTTTTTAAACAGTATTTTCAGCCCATCTGAGAAAGTGATTTGAAAAACTTTGGTGAAACTGCCTCCTCTCTTTGCACTCAAGAATGGAAAGCATCTGCTATTTATTCCTCACAAGGCGCTTAATCAACATCAAGCCCTCTTCTCTGCCCCAAGGATATACGCACCTAGAGATCGATGGTGATTTATCCTCAGAAGGGAGGTGTGGGCACCCCTCCCCACCAAAGAGGGTTGAACAGCCTTGCTCAACCATAGAAGCACTGTGTTGCTTCTCAGCCTCAAGTGGAATCAGAATAAACCAGGACAAGCAATGCCTTATTTCTCTGAAATTTTATTTTGGCTCTTCTCAACTTAATATAATTACCCCAAGTACTCTAACATCCTACCTTTTACTGTGGGAATGAAAGTGAGATTCCAACATCTGTTGTTCCCTGAGTCTCTGCTGAAAGTATGTCTTATGTTTGGAGGCCATAGCAATACATCCTACCATAAAGTAGTCATTTATACGATAGGTTACGTGTTTTGGAAAACAGTTCCAGCATTTTCACAGTTCCTGCTAGGTCTTTCAAATTCTTGAGAGGATGCTTGTTTATCCCAGTGATTTATCTAAAAGTATTTTGTTGCTTAGTTTTGAACCTTCTTGTGAATTTACTGTTATTTTCCTATTGAGCCTGTCCCCTCAAAATATAGTTGCAATTCAATTAGATTTTATAAACCTTCATTGAGAGTTTACTGTGTGTCCAACATTGGGATTCAAAGAAGGAAAAGATACATTCCCCTTCTTTAGTGAGGTGTTTCTCAATTGGGAGAGAGAGGGATGTATGCCAAAATCTAGGCAGCAGAAGGGAGGGAGAAACACATATAACTTGAAAAAAGCATATTCAATGATAAAATATTATCTTTTATTTGGAAAACAAAAATATGTTATTTTATAACACAAATGACAGAAAGTAAAGCTTGAACAAAAATTTCGGACTGGCAATATTATATAGAGGATGCGGAGATTCTCAGAACCAACAGTGAGACTAAAGGTTAAGACATTTATGTTTATCAAAAGAGAGCATAGAGTTTTTAAAAGCTGAACAGTGCTGCTCTGGCCAGTGGTAGAGTTTGAGATATAAAAAGAACATAGAATCAGTGTGTTGTAAGTTTGAAAATAGTGTTTATGCAAACCATAACAGGAACAACATAAGACACAGGAACTTTCAGAAGGAAGTTAGGAGGCCATCTCAGAGGTCGAGACATTTTAGTTGGCTCTTGTAGGATGGGAAGAAGTTCAACAAGTGGACAAGGGAGGCTGGGCACAGTGGCTCACGCCTGTAATCCTAGCACTTTGGGAGACTAAGGTGGGTGGATCATGAGGTCAGGGGTTTAAGACCAGCTTGGCCAAGATGGTGAAACCCTGTCTCCACTAAAAATACAAAAAATTAGCCAGGTGCAGTGGCAGGCGCCTGTAATCCCAGCTACTTGGGAGGCTGAGGAAGGAGAATCGCTTGAAGTTGGAGGGTGGAGGTTGCAGTGGGCTGAAATCGCGCCACTGCACTCCAGCCTGGGAGACAGAGTGAGACTCTGTCTCAAAAAAACAAAAAACAAAAAACAAGTGGACAAGGGAGAGACAACCTCTAGCCAGAGAAAACACCATGTCTAAAGACTCAGAGACATGAAGGAAAAGGCATAATCAGAGCATGTAAGCAGCTCTGTGTGCCCATAGCACAGAATGGGTCAGGTGGAGTTGAAGGAAATAGGGTAGAAATATTGTAAAAGGCATTGCATACTAGGAGTTCAGTTTTTATCCCAAAGTCCAATGGCTCTCAATCTTACCTCCTTACCAGAATCATCTATACAGTTTTTAAAGACAGCTTTATTGAGGTATAATTGCATACAATAAACTGTGCATATTTCAAGTGTATAATTTGATGTTAGACATGCATATATACCCATAAAATTATCACCCCAGTCAAGATAATAAACATCTCCATCACCCCTTAAAGTTTCCTTATGCTCCTTTGTGATTCTTCCCTTTCACTCTTTTTACTCCCCTCATCTTCAGGCAACCACTGATCTGCCTTTTGTCACTATAGAACAGTTTGTATTCATTAGAATTTTATATAAATGGACTCATACACCATATATTCTTTTTTTGTCTGGCTTCTTTCAGCATAATTATTTTGAGATTCATTCATATTGTTGCATGTATCAACAGTTTATTCCTTTTATTAATAAGTGAGATTTCATTTTATGGATATACTACAATTTGTTTATTCATTCACCTGCAGATAGACATTTGGGTTGTTTCCAGTTTTGGGCTATTACAAATAGAGCTGCTGTGAACATTCAACTACAGGTCTTTGGATGTATGCTTTCAATATGGTAGCGGTATGTTTAACTTTTTAAGAAACTGCCAAACTGTCTTCCAAAATGGCTGTGACATTTTACGCTCCTATCAGCTGCAGAGAGTTCCAGCTGTTCCACATCCTCACCAATTGTTGGCATCTTCAGTTTTTGAATTTTAGACTTTCTAGTAGGTATGGTTTTAATTTGCATTATGGTTTTTTAAAAGTTTTAATTGACAATTATTTTTTAAAAGTTTTAATGGACACATAATAATTATACATATTTATGGAGTACAATATGATATTTCAATACATGTATATATTGTATAATGGTCAAATCATGGTACTTAGGATATTCATCACATCAAACATTTGTCATTTCTTTGTGGTGGGAACATTCAAAATCCTCACTTCTAGCTATTTTGAGATATACAATACCATATTGTTAACTGTAGTTATCCTACTGTGCAATAGGACACCAGAACTTACTCAGTCTTTCTAACGGTAACTTTGTACTCATTGACCAACCTCTTCCCATTCTCTTCTATGCACTACTTCTATGAGATCAACTTTTTTTATGTATGAGTGAGATCATGTAGTATTTGTCTTTCTGGGTCTGGCTTATTTCACTTAACATAATGTTCTTCAGATTCGTCCATGTTGTCACAAATGACAGGATTTCATTTTTTATGGCTAAATAGTACTCCATGGCACTGTGGTTTTAATTTGTATTCCCTAACAACTAATGATGTTGAACATCTTTCATGTGCTTGTTTTCTATCTTTATATCTTTTTTTTTTTTTTTTTTTTTTTGAGACAGGGCCTCACTCTGTTGCTCAGGCTGGAATGTAATGGCACAATCATGGCTCACTGCAGCCTTGACCTCCCAGGCTCAGGTGATCCTCTTATCTCAGCCTTCCTGGTAGCTGGGACTATAGGCATGCGCCACCACACCCAGGTAATTTTTTGTATTTTTTGTAGATATGGGGTTTTACCACGTTGCCCAGGCTGGTCCCAAACTCCTGGGCTCAAACAACCTGCCTACCTTAGCCTCCCAAAGTGCTGGGATTACAGACATGAGCCACTGCACCCAGCCTATCTTTATAACTTCTTTGGTGAAATGGCAATTCATATCTTTCCGTGTTTTATACTGGGTTGTGTGTGTTCTTATTATTGAGTTTCAATAGTTCTTCATGTATTCTGGATACAATTCCTTTATCTGAGGTGTGATTTGCAAATATTTTCTTCCTGTCGGTGGCTTATCTTTTCATTTTCTTAAGTTTCTTTCAAAAGTTCTTTTTTTTTTTTGAGATTCAGTTTATCAGTTGTTTCATTTGTGGAGCAACTTGTGTATGTATGTATGTATGTATGTATGTATGTATGTATGTATGTATATGTGTATTTATAGGCAGAGTCTCACTCTGTTGCCCACGCTGGAGTGCAGTGGTGCAATCATAGCTCACTGCAGCCTCAAACTCTTGGGCTCAAGCAGTTCTCCCATCCTAGCCTCCCAAAGTGCTGGGATTTTAGGTGTGAGCTGCTGCACCTGGCCTGTTTTTATTTTTTAATACTAATGCCTGGGCATCTTCCCTTAAGATCCTCATTCAGTAAGTCTTGAAATAAGCCTGGGCATCTGGGTATGTATAAAACTTCAAAGATGATTTTGATGTCAGCTACTGTTGGGAATACTGCATAAAACAACAGAAGATAGTAGGATTTTGTATTTATTTATTTGAATGTTTGTGTATTTATTTAGTTATCTCCTTTTATTTCACCTTGTTCCAGAAAGACTCTAAGATAGTTTATAAGGATCCAGGATAGCATAATTTGAAAGTAAATAGAAGAAATAAAAGCGAAGTGGGACTGAAGCTACTAATGAAGCTAAAGATGCATACTTTAATGATGTATACATGGACTCTGAGCAGGACACAAATTTGCCTTCAACCTTTCCAACAATTCAATGTGTATAAGACACAAACAAGCCAACTGCTTAGGAGACATACTAGTACTAAAACTATATATGAATTTCCTCCAAAGAACCTCATAAAGAGGGAGGAGCAGTGTTGTAGACAGCAACAGTAAGTTTCAAAGGGCAGTTTGTTATAACAATGTTCAGTATGGGCTGACCGCATTACAATTAGGTGCAATTCAATAAAAGCCATTCTTTCAGAGAGCCAATACAATGAAGAATAGGTATCCAGCTCACTGCTGATCTAAATTGATGCAAGAGTGTACTTAAGACTATCTGGACTATAAGAAAGGGTAAATAATCTTCATTTCAGACAATAATCCACATTTTCTCTTAAACAAGTTTTTGAAAATATCGGTTGGGGTCTGTGACGTTGAGCCCAAGATTATGCTCCCTGCTTTTCTATGCTGCTTGTTGAATATATACTTTATATATTAAGGGAGACAGTTGGATTTGGGATTAGCATCTCTTTGCAAAGGCTATTGCCTAACAGAGTCATTCCACCTATGCCAGGATATCAAGGAAATCTTATAGTTAGGGACAAGAACCATTAGAGGTCTTAAAGCATGAGATTGATGTGACTTATATTTTAGACAGATGAGTTTGTTAGCAGTGTGAAGAACATATTGAAAGGCGCAGAGAAGTTAGGGAGATGGGAGACTATTGAAACAGTCTACGAAAATGAAAATGAGGGGCCTGCTCTGAGACCATTGTAGTGGAAACTGAGAGGTGGGGATTCAAGAATGACTTGAAGAAGCTGAAGAAGAACTTGAAAATGACTCTAAGATTATTCTAGGCTGGCCAACTAGGAGGACTGTTGGCCAAGTCACTGCAATTTAGAACAATGGAGGAAGAACTGGGTATGCCATAAATGATCATGAGTTTAGCTTTTGACATTTGAAGGTTATGTCTTTAAGTTATTCAAGTGAAAATAGCAGTAGAACATTAAAAATAAATCTCTGGAGCTCAGAAAAGAGAGGTGGCTGGATATAAAGATTTGAGGAAAAATATACACACATAGGTGGTGGGTCAAAATCTTGGGAAGAGTTGAGATTTCCTGGGGAGATTTTGTAGAGAAGGAACAGAAGAGAACTGAAGTGAGAAAATTGATACTAGGGAGTTTAGATATAAGATATTTTCTAAAATATTTTTCAGTAAAGATGAAAGCAAAAAAAATTCTATCTGCAGCTATGCCTTCATTTTACATTCGCTCCATAATGCTGACCTGATTCCACTGATTTTCAGTCTGATTTTGAATATTTTCTGTCATAAACTTTTGTTATTAGATTTTATGGCCCTGGAAAGATATTTCCATAATTGCTTGGCACTGTGTAATTTCTGACCTACAATTTCCTAGGCTTTACTGATCTCACTTAAAATTATACCTGTTTTACTTTGCATATAGCCATGGCATATTTTTCTTAGAGTAGGAGGTCTTTTAATCTGAGGTTCAATTTTTCCCAGACTTTTCAAATATTTTATATAATCCCTAGAATATACAGTGACTTACTATATTTTTAAGTCTCCATACCATTATTTCCTCACAATGCTAGTATTTTTTTAAAAAATCTTATTTTTTTGCTGCTCCTTGTGGACAGGGCTAACCCATAGCCAGTGTGCTCAGAGTCAGCCAATACTCAACGTTTTTATCAGTTTCCAACACTAAAACAACATGATGAGATTTAAAAATTTTTCTCTCTTTCAGAATAATGTTGAACTGAATTACATTCATTAAATTATATAGCTCTTTTGGCAAAATTTGATTTATCTCAAAAATATTTTGGCATTGAACCTGGTATTTCTCAAAGACTTCTTATTCAACAGCCATTCATTTGCATGTACAAGTAAAAAAGATTTCTTCTTTAGTATCTTGTACAAGTATCTTTATGAATTATTTTATTGAAGTATAATATATACAGAAAAGTACAAAATTCTTAAGTACTCAGCTTAATAAATTTTTATACAATGGTTATATCCATGTTATGTCTACTTAGATGAAGAAATAAGGCACTACTGGCACCTCAGAAATCCCCCCTTGTGCCCTTCCCAGTCACCCTTCCCTGCTTTCTAAATGGTAATTGGTCTTCTGACTTCTGATCTCATAAATTAGTTTTGTCTGTTTCTGAGTGTCATATAAATGTTATTATACAACATTTACTCCTTATGTCTGGCCTTTTTCATTCAACATATTGCTTATGAGATTCTCCATATTCTTGCATCTATCATTAGTTTGTTCCTTTTTGTTGCTATATAGTATACCATTACATGAGTATATCTCAATTTATTTTTCCATTATACTGTTGTGGGCATTTGGATTATTCCCAGTTTTCTGGCTATTATAAATAATGCTGCTGTAAATGTCTTTTGGCATACATATGTACATATTTTATTGGATATATATATAGGAGTGAAATTATATAAAGAAATGCAATGCTAATGGTTTCTCTAAAGATTCTTTTGGATTTTGTACATATATGATCATATCATCTGTGAGTAATAACAGTTTTATCATTTTTCTTTCATTCTAATACTTTTGTTTTTCTTGACTTATTGTAGTGGCTAGGCCATTCAGAAAAATAGTGAATCACAGTGGTGACAATAGGCATCCTTGACTTGATCCCAGTATCAGGAGGAAAACTTTCAAAGTAATAAGACATTTACTGTAGGTATTTTGTAACTACTCTTTATCAGCTTAATGAAGTTTACTTTTATACCTCATTTGTTATGAGGTTGCTGTTGTTTTATTTTATGTCATGAGTAATTGTTGAACTTTTTTATTGTTGATGCCTTTTCTGCATCTACTGAATTGATATAGTTGATATCTTTTATTCTATTAATGTCATGAATTACATTGATTGATAATCAAACATTAAAGCAATATTGCAGTCATAGAATAAACCCAATTTGGTTTTAGTGTATTATTCTATTATGCATCCTTGGATTAAGTTTGCTAATCTTTTGTTTAGGAGTTTTGCATCTGTCATAGAAGAGATTGACCTGTGTTTCTTTCTTGTATTGGCCTTGTGAGGTTTTGGTACCAGGTTATGTGGTCTCATTAAACAAGTTGTCTATTAGACATTTATATACAGAATCTATAAGGAATAATTCAGCAAGCAAAACCAAATAACCCCATTAAAGAGTGAGCAAAGGACATAAACACTTCTCAAAAGAAGACATACAAGCGACCAACAAACATGAAAAAATGCTCAACATCACTAATCGTCAGAGAAGTGCAAATCAAAACCACAATGAGATGCCATCTCACATCAGTCAGAATGGCTATTATTAGAAAGTCAAAAAGGCAGATGCTTCAGAGAAAAGGGAATGCTTATACACTGTTGGTGAGAATGTAAATTAGTTCAGCCACTGTGGAAAGTAGTTTAGAGATTTCTTAAAGAACTAATAGAACTGCAATTCGACCCAGCAATCTCATTACTGGGTATATACCCAAAGAAAAATAAGTCATTCTACAAAAAAGACACATGCACTCATATGTTCATCGCAGCACTATTCACAATAGCAAAGATATGGAATCAAGTCAGGTGCCCATCAGTGGTGGACTAGATAAAGAAAATGTGGTACATATACACAATGGAATACTATGCAGCCATTAAAAAAATATCAAAAGTAAGTCCTTTGTAGCAACATGGATACAGCTGGAGGCCATTATCCTAAGAATTAATACAGGAAAAGAAAAGTAAATACATGTTCTCACTTATAAGTGGGAGCTAAACATTGGGTACACACAGACACAAAGATAAGCACAATAGACATCAGGGCCTCCAAAAGAGGGCAGGGAGAGTGAGGGGGCAAGGAAAAACTACCTATCAGGAATTATGCTTGCTACCTGGGTGACAGGATCAATTGTACCCCAAACCTCAGCATCATGCAATATAACAATTAACCCAGACCTGCACATGTACTCCCTGAATCTAAAATAAAAGTTGAAATTAAAAAAAAAACAAGTTGGCAAGTTTCCACTTTTAGTTTATTCCCTTGAAGAGTTTGTGTAAGATTGGTGTTATTTATTCTTTAATTGTTCGGTAGAATTCACTGACAAAGTCATCTGGGCCTACAGGTTTTGTGTATACCAGAGAAAGGTTTTAAATTATAGATTAAATGTTTAAATAGATATAAATTATTTGTATTTTCTATTTTTTTTGTGTCGCTTGAGTTTTATATTGTTAGGAATTTATCAATTTATTAAAATTTCAAATCAATTAACATAAAGATGTTTATAATATTTTATTATTTTTTAATGTCCATTGACTTTATAGTGATATCTCCTTTTCATTCTCGATATTAGAGATTCATGCCTTTATTTCTTTTTTTCTTGATCACCATCACCACTGATAAATCAATTTTATTAGCTCAGCGATTCTCAGGACTCTCTACACTTTTAAAAATTATTGAGGACCCTAAAGATATTTTGATAAATATTTATGTTACAGGTTAAAAATGTGAAAAATTTAAAATATTTATTTTTAAATTTACTTATAACTATTATACTTTAGCATAACATTTTATGTTATTTTTAACATAATAAAGATAATAGAGATAAAATGTTTATCTCAAATGAAAACAGTAATTTTTTTTAAAACAAGAAATTGGGAAGAGTGACATCGTTTTACATTTTAAATCTCTTTTAATGTCAGGCTTAATCGAAGACAGTTGGAGTCTTTCACCTATTTTTGCTGTCAATCTGTTGCAATATTCCCTGTCATGCATCCACTGGAAAACTCTGTTGTATACTTGTGAGGGAATAAGGATGAAAACGAACATATTATTATTGTTATAAAAATAATTTTGACCCTGTAGACTCCTTGAAAGGACCTCAGAGATGTCCAAAAGTCCTCAGACCACACTTTGAGAACCACTGTATTAGTCTTCATAAAGAAGCAACTTTTGGTTTTGATTCACACCACTATAATTTTGTTTTTTTGTTTGTTTGTTTCATTATAGCTTGTTAAGTTCTGTGATTTATTATTTATTTCCTTCTATTAAATTTAACAAAATGAAATTGCTGTTTTTGTAGGTAAAAAATAGTTGAATACAGATAATTTAATATGCTTCACTTTAACACTTCCTTTAGGTTTAATTTGGTACTCTTTTCATGACTTTTTCAAATGATTTTCACCTTCTTTTTGAATATATTCATTTAAGGATACAAATATTTTTCTGAGTACAACTTAAATTGCACTCCAGTTTGAATATGTTGTATTTTCCTAATCTGAAACAAAATATTATTTTCAGATGAGATTGGACACGTTCAGGGTGGTATGGTGGTAGACTAAAATATTATTTTCAGCTCAAAAAGTTTCCAATATTTGTTGAAGTTTCCTTAGAACCGTAGGTTATCTAGAAGTGTATGTGTAATTTCCAATGACTTAGCAATTTTTAAATTATCCTTTATTACTGATTTCTAGCTTAATTCCACTGTAGTTTGAGAACATGCTTTGTTTCATTTCAATCATTTGAAATTTGTTCAGACTCATACATGGCATTTGTCTTGGGGGGACTCTACCTGCTTAAGGCTCTCAAAAGGAATGAGCCGTGTTGAATAACACAAGGAATGACTGAAGGAAATAGTGACTCTGAACTTAGAGAAAAACTAACAGAAACTTAAAGAAAAACTAATAGAATTCTGTATCCCTCACACAGAATTAGTTACCCACCAGCAATGTATTCATTTTTTTCCCCATCAACCTTGAAATGTGAATTATGATATACCTACAGTTGTGACCCAACAGTATAATGTAGCCATTTCATGAAAGTTTCATGAAAAATTTTAAAGAACTATTTCATGGAATCAGAAACTCAGAGTAGTTACCAAACTCAGAGTAGTTCTTGCTTGTTGAATTATTCCGTATAGATTCTGTATATAGAGGTCTAATAGACAATTTGTTTAATGAGACCACATAACCTGGTACCAAAACCTCACGAGGCCAATACAAGAAAGAAACACAGGCCAATCTCTTCTATGGTCCAGAATATGGTCCATTTTGGTCAAGGTTCCATATGCCCTTGAAAAAACTAATTATATTTCTAAATCTGTCAAATATTTTAGCTGCTACTTTAACTCCATACAAACTATACTCCATATAAACTTTACATTATCCTGGTCATGTGATCAATGCAATAGATTCACCCCACATATTTTTATGTTATTGGAATTTCCTACCCACAGAAGTTTCATGGTTCTGAGCTTCTTTTTCTCAGTGAGACAGTTGCATTATTACTATTTCTGTTCTCTGTCCTACATAATGCATTATGTCCTACATAATACATACCCACTGGCAATGTATTCATTTTTTTCCCCAACAACCTTGAGCTATGAATAATAAGAAAGCCTACAGTTGTGGCCCAACAGTACAAAGTAGCCATTTCATGAGAATTTCATGAAGAATTTTCAAAAAGTATTTTATGGAATCAGAAACTCAGAGTAGTTATCAAACTCAGAGTAGTTCTTCCAAGAACTCTTCTGATACTGAAAAGCCTCTGCAACTTTCTTGTCAGTACATTGTAGGGAGCTGGTGAATGTTTAGTGAATGAATCCCACTAATCTCTAGGACCAAAGAGATCTCCCCTCCTAGAAAGCCCATTGTTTCTGAGGACATCATTGACTGTTGAAAGTACCTCCTTGGGCTAAGATAATGTCTGATTCCCTGAAGTTTCTGTCTGTTGGGTTTGCAAGAGTCTAATTCCTCTCCTGTATGATAGCCTTTCAAGTCCATGTCTCCTTGAAAGTTTTTCTCTAAGCTCAGTGTCACTATTTCCTTCAATTATGCCTTGTGTTATTCAATATAGTTCATTTCCTTTGGGAGCATTAAGCAGTCAGAGCTGCCTGCAAGACAGATGCCAGAGATCAGTGTTCACAACTCTGGCTGTACATTAAAAGCACCTGGGGAATTTCTTAGAAAATACAATGGCTTGTCTTGTCCCCAGAGATTCTGATTGAATTGGCTTGGAGTAACCAATACCCAAATGATTGAAGACTTGATATTTTTAAGACATCAATTATCCCCAATTTCATCTATAAATTCAATGCAACCCCTATCAAAATTTCAGCAGATTTTTTAAAAGTTGACAGATTGACTCTAAAACTCATAAAAATGCAGAGGACCTGGAATAGCCAAAACAATTTGGAAAAAAAAAAAAAAGGAACAAAAATGGCACACTTATACTGTCTGACTTAAAGATAGTGGCATAAAAATAGTCAAATAGTTCAATGGTATAAAATAGAGACTTCAGAAATAGGCCTACACATGTATGGTCCATTGATTTTTAACAAAAGTACAAAGTCAATTCAGGAAAAAAGCATAGTCATTTTCAACAAAAGGTACTAGAACAATGGGACATTTATTTGCAAATAAATGAACTTTGGTCCATACCTTCTACCATAAATAAAATCAACTAAAAATTGATCATAGACCTGAATATAAAACCTAAAATATGAAACTTATTTTTTGTTGTTTTTAAATTTGTTCTTTTTGGTTGTTGTTGTTATTTTCCTAGGCATCAACCTCAACTTAACTAAAACTATAAAACTTCTGTAAGGAAAAATTAAGAGAAAATCTTGGTAACCTTGGGCTAAACAAAGCTTCCTTAGATACCATATGAAAGAGATGATCCATTTAAAAATTTTGATAAATTAAACTCTATCAAAATTGAGACATTTTGCTGATAGAAAGACACCAAAGAGAGTGAAAAGCCACACAGACAGGACAAAATATTTGCATATCACATATCAAATAAAGGACTTCTATCTAGAATACATAAAGAATTCTTGAAACTCAACAATAAGAACACACATACACAAATAAACCTACAGATAAGATATTTGAACAGACTTTTTGTCAAAGAAGATATTCAGATGGCAAATAAGCACATAAAAAGATGTTCATCATCATTGATCATTACAGAATGCAAATTAAAACCACAATGATATACCTATACCCACTAGAATGTCTAAAATTAAAAAGACTAATCATACTAAGTTTTGGAGAGGTTATGGAACAACAGGAACTCTCATACAATTCTGATGAAAATGTAAAATGTTATCGTTGTTTTGGAAAATGGCTTAGCAGCTTTTTAAAAAGTTAAGCCATACATCCACCAAATGACCCATTCAACTCCTAGGTATTTGCCTCAGATAAATGAAAACTTACACCCACACAAAGACTTATACATGAATATTCACAGCAGCTTTATTTGTAATAGCTCAAAACTAGAAACAACCCAAATGTCCATGTACAATGAATGAATAAGCAAATTAAGTATATATACAATGCACTATTACTCAGTAATAAAAAGGAATAAATTATTGATACAAACAACAACATGGAGGAATCTCAAAGTAATTCTGTTGTATGAAAGAAGCCAGACTTGACAGAAAGTGTACATTATAACTCCATTTGTATGAAATTCTAAGGAACAAAAACTAATCTATAGTGATATAAAACAAATCAGTGGTTGTCTGGGGATGGGGTGAGGGTGGGGCAAGAAGGTGGCATTAAAAAAGGACAAGATGAACTTAGAATAGTCAAAATCATAGACAGAAAGTAGAATAGTGGTTTCCATGGGCTCGGGATAGAAGGGAATGGGAGTTATTGTTTAATGGCTATGGAGTTTCAGTTTTACAAAATGAAAAGAGTTATGGAGTTATATGGTGGTGATGGTGCATAATTTTATGAATGTATTTAATAACACTGAACTGTATACTTAAAATTGTTAAGATGGTAAATTTTATGTCTGTGTATTTTGATAAGAAGAGTCTTTTGAGAGTGATGCATATATTCACTGTCTTGATTGTGGTGATGTTTTCACAGGTGTATTAATGTGTTAAAATTTTTCATAGTGAGACTTTAAACATATGCATTTTATTATATGCCAGCTATACTTCAGTAAAGCTTTTTTTTTTTAAGTAACATACAGAAATCCATAGATTAAGTATATCCATAGAGTAAGATAACTATACATAATCCTATTGTCAAAAAATTAATATTGGCTAGGCATGGTAGTACACGCCTATAGTCCCAGCTAAATGGAAGGCTGAGGTGGAAGAATCGTTTGAACCCAGGAATTCAAGGCTTCAGTAAGTTATGATCATGCCACTGCACTCCAGCCTGGGAGACAACACAAGATCCTGTCTAAAAAAAAAAAAAATTTAATATTTGGGCATATTTACTTCCAGCCTAATTTCTTTATAAATATATTTTAAAAACATACCTTAAATAAAACTTATATGTATGTAATGTATATGTTCAGGGAGGGATGAGACTCACTGATTTAGCTGCTGGCTTTTCACATCTCTGCAAGCAAAGAATGCTAATCTTTTGGGTTAGCTGAGAACTGCTTTAGCAGAACTGCCTGCTCTGTGCTCTACCTCCACTCATCCATTACAGTGATATTTCTTGATTTCCTAAAATGCACCTAGGTGCATGTGCTAGGTGCTAGTGCTCTAAACAAGATGGACAACTTTTGAGGCTCCCTGGAGCTATGGATGGTTGGAGGTGCTATCCCTACTCATAGAAGTTCTGCCCAAATATCTGATAGGAAGCCTGGCCCTGATGTGACTGAGAGATGTATGGCTCTTCACGCAGCTCATTCCTGGTAAAATGTTTCTGCTAGGTAAAGCACAAGCATGGCTGCATCCTTCCTACAATAGAAGAGTCAGTGTCATGAGGGGTTTCCCATGCAGATGAACAAACACATGTGCCCCCGAATTGAGCCAAAATTTTTAACCAGGCAGTAGGCCAACCCTGTCAGTACCACATGCCTTAGCTGTGGTTCCTGGTCTGAGACTTGATCCAGAGTCCAGGATAATTTTGGAGTTTCTGGAAGGGATTGAATCCATGTCTTTGGGACAATGTTGCATAGAAGCCAGAGGCATGTGACCTGGCCACACAAAAGGCCTAGTACATCTAGCTAGAGGGGTAACCAGACACCTGCCTAATCCATTTACCAAGCCCCTCAAGGCCCCAGTTCAATTCATACCCCACAACCTTACAACAGTGAAGGTCTCTCTGCCCTGCCTGTGGCTGGTTTGCTTGCTGGCAGAACAGTCCACAAGTGCAGGGAAGTAGCCAGCTCCTTCATAAACTGTTCTGCTGCTTTTCTCACTGGCCCCTATGCTTAAGCCCGCTGGCCTCAAACTCCAGCTCCTCCCACCTCAAAACATTTACACACACTGTGCCTACTGCCCCCACCCTCTTGCCTTCCCTACCCTTTATTGTTCAGATCTCAGCTGAAATGTCTCCTCAGGAAAGTCTTCCCTGTCTTTCCAGACTGGGTTAGAGTTCTGCCATTAAACACTGCCGTTGCCTAGTGAACTATTCCTCTGTAGTCTTTATTGTAGTCAATATTTATGTAGTCCTATTTTAAATATCTACCTTTAGACTGTAAAATTCTTGGAGACAGGGAGTATATCTGTCCTGTTTACCATTGTATCTTCCATGTTTAACAAATGCCCAGCACATAGTGCTTTCCACACATCTTTGTTGAGTGGAAAAGCTACCTTAGCCTAGTTTAGGACTCCCTCTTAGATAAGCAGCTCTTTCCATTTTCAATTTTTTATTTACCATGTTCCTACTCTACCCCATCCAAACATGACCTCAAAGAGAATCTGGGCTAGGAAAGTAATCTGAATGACAATATAACCCTGGAATCAGAAAGGTCACACCCCTTTGGTGACTTAGCCTTTGTTTCCAGCCCAAACTCCTCCTTCATGGTCTTGCCTTAAAATAGATTTTCTCCTCAGGAAGCCTCTCGGTCCATCCCCTAAATAAACGAAAGCCCCTTTACCAGCACAAATTCCTCATCAAGAAAGTCAAGGTTGTAAAGAGGCATTTCCTAAAGGCTGTCAGTGTGTAGTGTTTGTGGCTTTTTTCACATTTCAATCCATTTATATTTAATGTGCTTTTTTAATCACTTACCATATCTACTCTTTGCGTGGTGTTTGACAATTCAAAAATCATTTAAGTCTGAAAACCTTAAATACACTTAAAAACTCAGTTGACATTTTGGTCTTCCAGGATCATCCCAGGTAGCTTTCTCAGAGGCCTATGCAGAGATACACCTGCTGCCCATCTGGAGGTCAGACCATGCCCATATGTTCAGCATCAGAGGTCACCACGGCATCACTCAAAGGATCACAGGCTAGCCCTTGACTGGCCTTGCAAACCCTATTATTAAAGTTACAATTTTTATACTTTTTGGAGGAAAATACTTTTCCTGTTATTTTTCTATTACAGAGCTGATAGGATTGGTGCTTATTATGTGGAGCCAGAGATTAAATAATTCTCAGGGTGACTGCTTAATGGGTATGAGGTTTTCTTTTGGGGTGATGAAAGTGTTTTGAAACTAGAGAGAAGTGATAGTTGTATAATATTGTGAATGTACTCAAAGTCACTGAATTGCACACTTCAAAATAACTTTATCTTATGTGAATTTTACCTCAATAAAAAGTAATAACAATAACTATCAGGGAACAAGAATTGATAATTATCAATAATTATCAACTGTAGAATTCCTCTCACAAGAAAAGTCCAGGAAAAGTCCAGGAATTTTAGTCAGTCATCACTGAGGTCATAGAATTCCCTAGAGATCTGGCCATCTGTGACCCTCCCCCCAACACCACCACCCTGTACCGTTTGAAGCCAGCTGGATTTAATGTACCACTTAAAGATTCTATTTTTAAAAACAACTTCTAACAGCAATTTTTTGGCACAAATAAATAGCCATAATGGAAGAAAATGAAAATAACTCCTGACTATCTCTGAATATATCCTTTTTAGGTATATTTTTCTACATAATTTCACTAATCAAAACACTTTTTTGTGCTACATTTCCGAATATATGAGAGGAATTTTGGTTTCATGAAGTTTTAGTAATGCTAAATTAACAACATGTGTATTTTGGATGCATTTCATGAGTTATGTTATTCTTACTGCAAATGAATTCACTTATTCCATCAACAATTTTTTTTTTTTTTTTTTTTGAGACAAAGTCTTGTTCTGTTGCCCAGGGTGGAATGCAGTGGCGCAATCTCGGCTCACTGCAACCTCTGCCTTTCAGGTTCAGGTGATTCTCTGCCTCAGCCTCCTGAGTAGCTGGAATTACAGGTGTGCCACCATGCCCAGCTAATTTTTTGTATTTTTAGTAGAGATGGGGTTTCACTATATCGGCCAGGCTGGTCTCAAACTCCTAGCCTCAAGTGATCCACCCTCCTCAGCCTCCCAAAGTGCTGGGATCACAGGCATGAGCCACCGTGCCCGGACCATCAACAAATACCTTTTTGTACTTTCTGTGTGTCAGTCAGGGTATTAGGTGCTAGGAATACTGAGAACAATAAGGCATACCCCCCAACTCAAATAAGTATGGTCTTGATAATCACATTAAATATATAGATGATCATGTTTCAAATATAGAGAGAGCTGCATCAGAAGATGAAAGTGAGCTTCAAGATATCAAGACTCTGTTTGTCATGGTCACTGTTGTATCCCAACATATATAACAGGTCTGGTATACTGGAGAAACTCAGCAAATTTTTTTTATAAATGGATGAAGCTTTCCACAATTATATACCACCTTCATTGTTTTACTTAGTTCTTATTGCTGTGGTTTGAATAGCCCCTCCAAAATTCATGTTGAAACTTAATCCGCAATGTGGCAGTATTGAGAGGTGGGGTGGAGCCCTTAAGAAGTGATTGGATCATGAAGGTTCTGCCCTCATGAGTGGTTTAATTTATTCATGGATTAATGTGTTATCATGAAAGGAGAACCAGTGGCTTTATAAGACGAGAAAAAGATCTGAGCTAGCATGTTAGTACACTCAGCTTCCTCACCAGGTGATAACCTCCTTCGGGACCCTTCAGAGAGTTCCCACTAGCAACAAGACTCTCACTGGATATGGCCTTTCAACCTGGGATTTCTCAGCCTCTAGAATTGTAAGAAATTAATATATTCTTATAAATTACCCAGTTTCAGGTATTCTGTTATAGGCAACAGAAAATGGGACTAAAGACCATACATTGTCCTGCATTGACTCAAACCAAAAATGCCCAGTTTATTGGCATAATCTGAAAGGGGTAATGAGTGCATTTTTTCTTACCCTCCTCAGTGTACAAATGTTATTTCGTGTTAGATTTTCAGATTTTCTGATTTTAATTCATTTAGCTTGCTCACATAATGATCAAAGGGCCACAGAAAAACCCTTATAGAAAAAGGCATCCATCCTCCTCTGCAGCCTCGTTGGTCCCCTCAGTCACCAACTCTTCTCTTTTCCCCAGTGATTCAGACTCCCACATTTACCTCTTCTCCTGCCCGACCACTTGGACTTAGTGGTTTGGTTTGAGGCTATTTGCACTGATTTGGGCCATAATGCCCCCACTCAAGGCAACTTTTAGTATCTCAATCCTGTCCTGAACCTTGGCCAGAAAGAGATGGCAATCTTGCAATGGTCTTGAAGAACCACGCTAAGACTTTTACTAATATCTCTATTTATCTGATGCACGTGTTTTTTTTAAATGTAAGTATTATTGTCCAGGAATTAGTAACTAGACCCCCAGCCCAAAAGAAGATGTGTTAATACCATGTTATAAGGCAGCCACCAGTAATGGGGACAACATATATGTGATGGTTAATACTGAATGTCAACTTGACTGGATTGAAGGATACAAAGTATTGATCCTGGGTGTGTCTGTGAGGGTGTTGCCAAAGGAGATTAACATTTGAGTCAGTGGGCCGGGAAAGGCAGACCCACCCTTTAGCTGGGTGGGCACAATCTAATCAGCTGCCAGCATAGCTAGAATATAAGCAGGCAGAAAAATGTGAAAAGAGAGACTGCCCTAACCTCCCAGCCTGCATCTTTCTCCCATGCTGGATGTTTCCTGCCCTGGAACATGAGACTCCAAGTTCTTCAGTTTTGGCACTTGGACTGGCTCTCCTTGCTCCTTAGCCTGCAGATGGCCTATTGTGATTGCGTGAGTTAATGCTTAATAAACTCTCATATATATTATATATAATAGTATTAGGATGATGCTAGAAAAAGGAAGAATATCAGGCTTGTGGTTTGCCTTAGTCCATTTTTTGTTGCTATAACAGGATGCCAAAGGCTAGATAATTTATAAAGAAAAGAAATTTATTTCTCATAGTTCTGAAGGCTAAGAAGTCCAACATCAAAATACTGGCATCCGGCAAGGACCTTCTTGCTGTGTCATCCCATGGCAGGAGGCAGAAGGGCAAGAGAGTGTGAGAGAGCAAGAGAGGAAGGGAACCAAATTCATCCTTTTATCAGAAACCCACTCTGAGATAATAGCATTAATCCATTTATGAAGGCAGAGCCCTCATTACCTAATCACCTCTTAAAGGTCCCACCTCTCAACGTTGTTGCATTTGGGATTAAGTTTGCAACACTTGAACTTTGGAGAGGGGGACACGTTCAAGCCATAACATGGTTCATCCTCCCTTGAGGGAGAAGAGGGAGCCTTCACCTCCCACCCCAAGCCAAGTGGGCAGGGGAGGAGCAGGAGAGCCTAGTAGTAAACCCAGTAATAATAGAGTATTGGATGTACCACTGAGTGGATGGGTGATGGCTGTGGATGAGGTGGGGTGGCGTCATCTGCATTGGAGATTCCTGTGGTGGGCAGGCCTTGACTCTGAAGAACTCATACATGTACCCCACAAGGAAAGCAGAATTTAGGGACTGTCACACAGAGGGCATCCTTAGAACCACAGTGTTAGTCAGAGAGAAGTGACAACCCACCAAGTTGGAAGAGATTCTTGTCCTAGACCTTCGCCCTTTTCCTACCTAATGCTGGAGACTTCAGCTTTGGAAAAGGTAAGAAGGAAAGATGTTGCAGAAACAGATTCTCTAATAATCAGGGTCCCAGGTCAGTTCTACCCTAGGAGGAGGGGAAAATGAGATTTAAGTTGAGGATGAGATTAAAGTCTTTAAATATACCGAGTTTTAATAGCCAAAATGAGTAGTTATGGAATCTGAAAGTTAGGAATCTAGTTTGCCTATAAGTTCTAGAAGTTGTTAGGGGCAGGAAGGGAAATATTCCACAGATTTCATGTTGAAAGGAAGAATTGGAGAAAAAGAAATCCTTTTCGTGTGTAAACGCTCTGTGTTATAGATGCAATCAAGCCCTCCTGGAACAGAGTTGTAACACTGATATGTAACAGTGGATATCAACATCAACTCTGGGTGTCGTATTAAACTCTCAGGCAAGGCTTCCTTCATGGATGCAGTCTCATAAGGCCTCATGCTCAGAAGGGGGCTTTATGCTTGGGGTTTAATATTCTGTTGTCACCATCTTAAAGTTCTTAATACTTTATCTTCAAATTTGTGTTTGGTAAGTGAAGTCTGGTAAGACAATGGAGCACGTACTTGGGGCTTGGAGCCCAGGCTCATTCACAGTCCTGCCTCCCACCACCTTCCCAAACAGCTTCTTCACTGCCCACTCCCCTATTCCCTGAAGCCCAGAGACTCATCCAGCCTCCCTCTTACTGCCCCCACCCAGTGACAGCTATCACCCATCACCCCCTGGGTGTAGGCTTGGGGAGGGTTGGGACCAGTTGGGCATGGGCAGTGCCATCTTCATCCTGTACTGATAGTGCCACAGTATATTAGGCAAGAACTTGGCTGAATGAGCCTCTAGCCTAACCCTCATCCAGGTATCTGGTATATCTGGAGGTTCTGCTGTTCATTGTGGATTGTGGCAGCAGGCCGGTGAGAAGGAGAAATGCTTGACTTAAATTTCTCACCCTGACTGTGGGCAAAACGTTGGTTTAGTGGTTGGTGGGAGGAGAAACCCAGTAGTTGGTGTATCATGTTGGGGCAGGGGCCCCTGGCTGCTTGAAATCTCCATTCACACCAAGTCTGCATGAACATAACATTAAATGGCAAATTTAAAGTACCATGACAGGTTGAGAGAGAGAAAGTGGAAGAAAGGAAAAAGATTTATATATTAGTTCCTGTAACAATACATGTTTCCTGCTTCCTGGACAAAAAGCCTCACATTTTTGTTTTGTACCAAGCCCTGCAATTGTGTAGCTGGTCCTGTACTCAAGTCCCCTTTCCCAGGGAAGGATTAATTTCCTAATATGGAGTGTCCTCTACCTGACTCCCAGTGCCTGAAGCTGTGACAAGACTTTCCATGCCAGCTTACTGCCTCCATACAGAGGCCGATACAGGTTGCATGGACCTGAAGCTCATATAATTTAGGGGGCAGTCCTTTAAAAAACTACAAATACAAGATTGCTAGGTCCCCTCACAGGACCTTAGAAAGGGCCTGTGCAAGTGAGGGGTCCTAAAGCTTATGCCTTATGAGCTTCATGGTAACTCCACCCCTGCCTTCCCAGCATGCCTTCTATTCACTCCTGGGTCCACTTTAAGAATCTGGAGCTTTTTTTTTTGGCCGTGCATGGTGCCTCACGACTGTAATCCCAGCACTTTGGGAGGCCAAAGCGGGTGGATCACCTGAGGTCAGGAGTTTGAGGCCAGCCTGGCCAACATGGTGAAACCCCGTCTCTACTAAAAAAATACAGAAAATTAGCCCAGCATGGTGGTGCACACCTGTAATCCCAACTACTCGGGAGGCTGAGGCAGGAGAATTGCTTGAACTCGGGAGTCTGAGGTTGCAGTGAGCTGAGACTGGGACACTGCACTCCAGCCTGGGCAACAAAGTGAGACTCTGTCTCAAAAAATAAAAATAAAAAAAAAGAATCTGGAGCTTTTTTTAAAGACTCCAGAACTGGGCTGTACGCAGTGGCTCATGCCTGTAATCCCAGCACTTTGGGAGGCCGAGGCAGGCAGATCACTTGAGCCCAGGAGTTTGAGACTAGCCTGGGCAACACGGTGAAAGCCTATCTCTACAAAAAGATACAAAAATTAGCCAGCCGTGGTGGCATGTGCCTGTAGTCCCAGCTACTTGGGAGGCTGAAGTGGGAGGATCACTTGAGCCCAGGAGGTCAAGGCTGCAGTAAGCCAAGATGGTGCCACTGTACTTCAGCCTGAGTGACAGAGCCAGGTGCTGTCCCAAAAAGCAAAAACAAAACAAAACAAAAAGATTCCAGAACCTCTCCTGATTACCCTGAAACCCACAAATTAAAAGCTAAGCAGTCATTTTTTTTTTGGTAAACTTTCATTGAGGCCCTCATAATTTCAGTGTTTTTCTCTCCTGTCTTTCACTCTTCTTTGCTGCCACGGAGTACTTATTTGTGGCCTCCTCGAAACACCTCTTCTGCTGAACCAACCCTAGACTTCTTTATGAGAACTCTTTCCAATTCAGTGGTGCTGGGCTGCTGAGTTGAGATGGTTGACTTTATTAAATTTTTGGCCAACAATTTTACCTAGTACTGGGAAATACAATTTATTAGGTTGGTTATAAAAAAAAAAAAAACCAACAACACTTTATCTCAGGTTGATTGACATTGATCCTACTTGTCTTTGTGAAGGAAATAATTTCAATGAATTAATAAAATGTGTGCTTGTGTTAATAAAAGTCTACTGCCTTTTACTGTAGTAACAAACAACTTTCATATCACAGAGGCTTGATCACAATAAATATTTATTTCTTGCTCACTCTACATTCAGAACTCAGGTTAGCAAGGAGGTCTCTGTTCAACTTAGTGACTCAAGGACCTGGGCTGAAAGAGGTTCCATCTATACATGTGTTTCTGTGATCGCTATGGTAGGAGAGAAGAGAAACATGTGAATAAATGAATTTTGCCTGAAAGTGACACATATCATTTCCACTCACATTTCATTGGCCAGAGTAAATTACCTGTCTATGTCTAACTTCAAGGGGCAGGAAAGTACAGTCCCATCATATCCCCAGAAGAACTAGAATATTTAGAATAGCTCTAATGGCTACATGCCTTTTGGTCACCAAATGTTTGATTTGCTCTATTTCTGAGATGCAAAATATACCCACCCATTCCCTTAGGGAGAAAGCCCCAAAGTCCTAGGCAAGCATAGCATCAAGGTCATAATCTGTGACATCTGGGTGAGGTATGGTAGTTTCTAATCATGATCTGCTTCTGTAGATCCTACTTACACCTGTGAAATAAAAAAAAGACAGATTTTCTGCCTTCTCTCACCTGATACATAAGGGCTGATACAGGAACAGGATAATTGTAATATTCTCCTTGGGGAAAATGGAAAACACACAGCAAATACATGTCTATAGAATTCTGAAATCCTGTTGGGAACAACTTTTGAGGGCCCCCTACCTGTGTTTGAGGAATGTTACCTGATTAATTCTGATTTTGAGATGCTCCTTTTGCTTATTGGTCTCTGTAGCCCCTGGATCTGCCTTCTGAAAGTTTTGTCCTTTTTCATTTTCTTCTTTGACTGAATCTAAAGTGGACATTGGGAAATATGCCTTCTTTCAGGACAGAGCAAATTTCTCATATATAACCAATTTGGACTAAGCTTTTCCTCAGGGTGCTAAAATACTCCACATTGTAGTACCCCCAACTCCCACTACACATGTATAACCAACCAGTAAGGTCCCATACCTCCTGCAATTAATTGGTTTATATGTCCCCTGCAAGAGACTTTGATATGAGCACAGTGTAGTGATAAGTGCACTAGAAAATTTCTTGGATATATGATCTTAAGCAGGTTACTTGACTTCTCTGTCTGAATTTTCCCATGTGTGAAATTCTATTTTTAGATTAACAGGATTAAAGGACCAATAAACAAAACCTTTATGTGCCATATAAATGTTGGCTAAGTTCTTTTACATTTTTCCCTCTTTTAATCTATACACAGTCTTAAGAGGTTGTTAGTATTTGTTTTTATATGAGGAAACTGGAACTCAAATAGACTAGATGACTTGCCCATGTAAGAAATGATATGGCTTGCCCATATATTAAATGATATGATAAAGCTAATAAATGATAGAGTCAAGATTCCCAACTTGATATCTTGTGTACATTCTACTCCCACACAGCTGCTCCTTGTTTTGAGGTAAATGTTATTAAATTCTATAGAAAATATATAATGTATATTTGGTTTTTTATCATGAATCAAGATGTCACAGAGTGATCATAATCATTGACAAGAATTTTGCCATCTGATTTACACATTTCTGCATTACAAAGAACTGATGGACCCTGAAATAAGGCTATTGCTTTCTTAAATTGTTATAATAACAATGCAGGATGCAGCAATTCAAAGGATACAGAATTTTTTATAATGTGCTACTTCTATCATTCCAATCAAGTGTAGTCAAGCAAACTTACTTTAAAAAGAATGAATATATACTATCTTCAGTGGAAATGTGGGCAAGACTAGTTCTGAGTTGTTAAATGTTTAGGAAAAATCAATAACATTCTGAATTCCAGTTCACTGATGCAGAATATGACTCAAAGCCAAAACAGAATGTTTGGGACAAATTAGGAAGAAAACTATTTTTCACTTGAGGTTCTTGTTACAACTGAGATTATCTCTTCCTCATTAAGCAAAACTAATTAAAAAATCTTTTGGTTCAATATTTAATCTTCTATCTGAGATTTTACTGTTTTAATAGGAAATGCAATGAGAATTACCTGGTCTCTGACCTAAGTCAGTGCATAGGAAACATTTCTGCAGGGGAGATTCTTAAAGAAGGGATAGAATATTTTGCACCTTGGTTACTAATTTTCCAGGCAGCGAGTGTGTAGACAAATTATATTTTCCCTATTGTATATGTGTCTTGGATTTCACTAATGGACATTAGTATTTTTTGCACTATTTTTAAAAAGTCAGTTACTTAAATTGAAAACATTTGTTAAGGCCATGCATGACTAAGATGTTGGATTTTTAAAAACAATCTATCAGAATTTAAGAGCTTTTGCCTATGAGATTCTATAGACAAGAACAATTTTATGAAATCAGAAAAAAAATTTAAGCATTATGTAGGTTTGGGTACATAAAGAAATTTGCTCACTAACGTCAACTTTTGTTGTTATTTTAGTTATTCTTGTCTTGAAGATTTTTTCTTCCTGTTTCATTTTCCCAATTGTAGCAGAAGCTGCCAGATGTGCATTTAAATACTTCCCTCCTCCTTCCACTGTAATAAAAGGCACATGGCTAACCAACTATACGACATGTCCTTGCGTCTCCTGCTATTAGATGTAGCCATGCGAGTAAGTGTACTCCAATGGAATGCAAATAGGATTTGTCCTTAAAAACCTCCCACACGTGCTCCTCTAAGATGATAGCGCACCTCTGAGATGGCTGTCAGTGATTCTTGGCTCATGGTCCCTGTATAATTCCCTCCTCTACTGAATATAGCAGACCTGTGTAACGAACAAGATAGTGCAGAAATGATGGAATGTGATTTCCAAGTCAAGGCCATAAAGGACATTTAGGCTTTCATCTTGTTCTCTTAGATTACTTTCCTGAGGGAGGTCAGCTACTACGTCATGAGGGCATTCCAACAGCCCTTATAAAGAGGCCTGAGTGTCAGGAAACCAAAGCCAGCTGCCTATAGCCAGGACTAAGGAAGCCATATTGGAAGCAGATACTTCAGCCCTAGTCAAGCCTTCTTATGACTGTACCCACAAAACACATCTGATGGCAAACTCATGAATGACCTTGAGCCAGAACCATTCAGCTAAGAAATTGGGTCCAAATTTCTGACCCAAAATAACAATGAGATAATAAATATTAATTGTTGTTTTAAGCTGCTAAGTTTGTTATGCAGCAGCAGATAATTAATACACCCAGTCAGCTGGATGGCAATACTCATGAGAGTCTTGGAAATCATGTCTTGAAGATTGCAGAGCTGCTGTCAGCTCAGGTGCCTGAATGATTGTGTAAAGGAGGGCCCTTTCCTCTAGTTTCTCCACTCCCCACATCAACCTGGACTGTTGAGAGAGAAATAAACTTTAGAGCCATTACATGTTTGGGGTCTAAAATTTGTAACAATATAGCCAGCCCTAACAAATACACCAACTTTGTATTCTATTTCTTCCTTACATCAAGTCTTATTCATCTGTGAGAGTATTATTCCCCTGAACAAGGATTATTATTGGCATAGTTCTTCAAACACTATCAAAAATATTGTATTGGCTACAAGGCATTACATTAAATATTCAAAGCACTTCCCCCACCTGCAAATCCTATTTTATTTGCCTAGGACTCTATGTTTACTATCAGAGTTGTGGTTGATACTGTGGTGCCCTGTTCAGATCCTGTTCACTTGGTTAAATCTTCTATCCCCAAGGTCCTATGAGTGGTGGCTGGTAATAGCTTACAGCTAGCCCTCTTCTCTAGAGAATTGCCATCAACTGATAGGAGCCAACTTACTAGGGAAGTTGTGCTCCCTCCATAGATGACCCACAACAGTGGCCAACTGACATGATGGCATAAAAGTCCAGCCCTTGCCACCAGGGATGACAACTCTGCTGTGCTGTTTGTATTTCAGATCCCTCCCTTCTGTGGTTTGGGCCAGGACTAGACTTTACCTAAGACCAGATCCTTGCTTGGCAGCTCTTTTCCCTTCCCTATCGTGCTCCTCTCCTTCACTTACAGGTTTTTCCCGAGGAGTCCCTCAATAAACCACATCCACCCAAATCTCTGTCTCAGATTCTGGTTCCAGGGAATTTTATCTAAGGCTACCTACTTCCATAAAACTGAACACGAGAGGTAAGATCCTCTTCTCAGGTACTTCCATAACTTATATTGTTTGGATCTGTGTCCCTACCCAAATCTCATGTCGAATTGTAATTTCTAGTGTTGGAGGTGGGGTCTGGTGGGAGGTGATTGGATCATGGAGGTGGTTTCTCATGGCTTAACACCATCCCCCTTGGTGTTATCATAGCTAGAGTGAGATATTGCAAGATATGCTTGTTTAAAAGTGTGTAGCACCTCCCACCTCTCACTCTTCCTCCTGCTATGGCCATGTGAAGTGCTGGTTTCCCCTTTGCCTTCTGCCATAATTGTAAATTTCCTGAGGCCTCCCTAGAAGCTGCTATGCTTCCTGTACAGCCTGTGTAACCATGAGCCAGTTGAACCTCTTTTCTTTATAAATTACCTAGTCTCAGGTATTTCATTTTTTGTTGTTGCTGTTGTTCGAGACGGAGTCTTGCACTGTCACCCAGGCTGGAGTGCAATGGCGCAATCTTGGCTCACTGCAACCTCCGCCTCCTGGGTTCAAGTGATCCTTCCACCTCAGCCTCCTGAGTAACTGGGATTACAGGCACCTACCATCATGCACGGCTAATTTTGTATTTTTGTAAAGACGGGGTTTCATCATGTTGGCCAGGCTAGTCTTGAACTACTGACCTTGGTGACCCGCCCGCCTCGGCCTCCTAAAGTGCTGGGATTACAAGCGTGAGCCACTGCGCCCAGCCCCTAGTCTCAGGTATTTCTTCATAGCAGTGCAAGAACGGACTAACACAATACTGATATATTTTATGCATGATAGGAAGAATATATATTCAGTCCAAAACTTTGAAAAAGACTTAAAAACAGAAAAACAATAAAGAATATTAAGAAATCTAAAAGTTGGCCGGGTGCGGGGGCTCATACTTATAATCCTAGCACTTTGGGAGGCCGAGGTGGGTGGATCACTTGAGATCAGTAGTTTGAGACCAGCCTGGCCAACATGGTGAAGCCCCATCTCTACTTAAAAAATACAAAAATTAACTGGGCTGGTGGTGGGCGCCTGTAATCCCAGCTACTCAGGAGGCTGAGACAGGAGAGTTGCTTGAACCTGGGAAGCGGAGGTTGCAGTGAGCTGAGTTATCAACAAAATTGATAAATCCTAAAATGGATTAAGAATATAACATAAGGATACATTCATTAACTTACTTCTTTCTGCCTGTGGTCGCTACCAAGGAAGAGTTGCTAAAGTCTCTTCCCACCGCCACCGTCATGTCTAAATCAGTATCCTAAAGAGCCTGAGCAGCTCTTCACTGGAAGGCTGAGCTTTGAAACAACTGATGAGAGGCTGAGGAGCCATTCTGAGCAATGGGGAATGCTCACAAGCTGTGTGGTCATGAGAGATCCCAACACCAAGCGCTCCAGGGGCTTTGGGTTTGTCACCTATGCCACTATGGAGGAGGTGGATGCAGCCACGAATGCAAGGCCACACAAGGTGGATGGGAAAGCTGTGGAACCAAAGAGGGCTATCTCAAGAGAAGGTTCTCAAAGACCAGGTGCCCACCTAACTGTGAAAAAGGTATTTGTTGCTGGCATTAAAGAAGACACTGAAGAACATCACCTGAGAGATTATTTTGAACAGTATGGAAAAATTGAAGTGATTGAAATTATGACTGATTGAGGCAGTGGCAAAAAAAAAAAGGAGCTTTGTCTTTATAAGCTTTGATGACCATGACTCCGTGGATAAAATTGTCATTCAGAAATACCGTCGTGTGAATGGCCACACCTGTGAAGTTAGGAAAGCCCTGCCAAAACAAGAGGTGGATAGTGCTTCACCCAGCCAAAGAGGTTGAAGTGGTTCTGGAAACTTTGGTGTTGGTTGTGGAGGTTGTTTCAGTGGAAATGACAACTTTGATTGTGGAGGAAACTTCAGTGGTCATGATGGCAGCTGTGGTCATGGTGGATATGGTGGCAGTGGGGATGGCTATAATGGATTTGGTGATGGAAGCAATTTTGAAGGTGGTGGAAGCTACAATGCTTTTGGCAATTACAACAATTAGTCTTCAAATTTTGGACCCATGAATGGGAGAACTATGGAAGCAGAAGCACTGTGGTGTTGGAGGCCAATACTTTGCCAAACCACAAAACCAAGGTGACTATGTCAATTTCAGTAGCAGCAGTAGTTACAGCAATGGGAGAAGATTTTAGTTACTACCAGGAAACAAAGCTTAGCAGGAGAAGAGAGCCAGAGAAGGGACATGGAAGCTACAGATTACAACAGATTTGTGAACTCAACCAAGCACAGTGGTGGCAGGGCCTAGCTGCTATAAAAAAAAAGACATGTTTTAGATAAATACTCATGTGTATGGGCAAAAAACTTGAGGACTGTATTTGTGACTAAAGGTGTAACAGGTTATTTTAGTTTTTGTTCTGTAGAAAGTGTACAGCATTCCAAGAAAGGGTTTTAATGTAGATTTTTTTTTTGCACCCATGCTGTTGATTGCTAAATGTAATATAGTCTGATCATGACGCTGAATAAATGTGTCTTTAAAAAAAGAATAGAACATAAATCACCAGTATCAGAAATAAAAGAGAGGTTATCACTATAAACTCTACAGGCATGAAAAGGATAATAAGATACCATTACTAAAATTTTATACTAAAAATATGACAACTTAAATAAAATGGATAAGTTCTTTGAAAAATGCAATTTACCAAAGTCAATACAGGTTAAACAAAAACATTAATAGTCCTATATCCATTTTTAAAATTAAATTTATTGTCAAAAAATTCCACAGTGTAAATCTAGATTCAGATGGTTTCACTGATGAACATTCACTGAAGAAATAACACTAATCTTACACAAACCCTTATAAAAAACAGAAGGAGGGAACACTTTCCTGCTTGTTCGTGAGGCCACCATAACTCTGATACTAAAACCTAACAAAGAAATTACCAGAAAAAAATTTGCCTACCAATATTTTCCATGAACATAGACATAAAAATCTTTGAAAACTTAATGCATTGATTGCAGCAATATATATCAGTAATAATATACAGTGACCAAGAAGGGTATGTCACAAAAATGTAAGATTGGTTTAACACCCACAAATTTATCACTATAACCACATTAACAGAATAATGAAGAAAAAAAACATAAGATCATTTCCATAGATGCAGAAATAACATTTTTCAAAATCCATCACCCAATTATAAGAACACTTTTAGCTAACTAGGAATAGAAGGGAACTTTCACAAAAACCTAGAGCTAACCTCACACTTAATGAACATACATTGAATGCTTTTCCCCTCAGATCAGTAACCAAGAGTGAAGGCCCACCCTTACAACTTGTACTCAACAGTGTTAATGAAGGTCCTAGTTATTGCAATAAGACAAAAACAGGCAGCAGTGGGGAGAATAAAAACTTGAAGTAAAACTATCTCTGTATTCAGGTTTTTTTTTTTAAGTATATGCTTTCCTATTTATTTTACCAAGGTTGTGCGTGAAATAAACCAAAATATTTCAAGAAAACTTGAGTTTAGATAGGCTTGCCTTCTGAATTAGAGTTTTTAATTTCATAGGAATTCTGTTGTAAGTTATTCTAGTTATGCTTATATAACTAAACCTAGGCAAAATTGTGAGGCAAGAGAAATTTATTTTAGTGCCTTCCTATCTTTGGGGATTTTAAGTATATCTCTCATCCATTCTGATGCCTCCCTGTGTCTCCCAATCACCGATTGCCCAGAGGTAACATACCATTCCAGTCTATTTTTCTTCAATAATATCTCATTCTTCAAAATCACTTCTCTTTTCTTACCTATTTTTATCACAAATATATATATTCTCCCACTGTTTCAGAGTTCTAGTCACTGTTGTCAGAGGAATACATCTCAAAAACTATTTCAAACTAGTAAGTTCACAGTTAATGTGTTGTCCCTCCCAAGGATATTTGCATTGGAAGAGCATATTTATAAACAATAATAGCAAAATTAAGATAACAGCAAGACTATAGGATGGGGATATAAACATTTAATACAGTAATTTCACATCATGTGGAAGAATAGGCACCTAGTTTGTCCTTTTTTAAGAAAACAACAAAAAATTCTAGATTATGTGTTCAAGAAATCTTAAAAGCATCAATGAACTACAGATGCTTCTTATAATGGGGTTACTCCCTGATACACCCATTGAAAGTTGAAAATATTGTAAGTGAAAAATGCATTTAATACACCTAACCTACTAAACATCATGGCTTAGCCTAGCCTACCTTAAACAGGTAGTTGGGTGCTAAAACGCCTACATTAGCCTACAGTTGGGCAAAATCATCTAAGACAAAGCCTATTTTATAATAAAGTGTTGAATATTTTATGTAATTTATTAACTCGTGTATCGAATATGAAAAACAGAATGGTTGTATGGGTACTCAAATGGTTTCTACTGAATGCACATCACCTTTGCACCACTATAAAGTCAAAAAATTATAAGCAAACCATTGTAAATTGGGGACTGTCTGTACAAGAAAGTAAGGAAGTCTCAGATCAGGGACTAAAAGAGGAAGGGATCTTGGAGAAGTGTAGTATTTTAGCCAGTTTTCTTTCTGAGTCTATTTGTTAACTTGTGTAAATTTGAGCCTTGGTTATCCTGAATCTACAGAGCCCACAGAGCAGGAAACAAAGACAAGGACTTTCAAAAGGTAGCAATTTATTAGCTCATCCCTTACTTTAAAAGAGCTGAAATATCAAAGTTCTAAACAGTCAGTGTAAGCATGACCTGGAAATAAACCCATCCCTTTCTTGTCCCTGAGGTCTAAAAAGAAAATATCCTTGACCTTTAGCAAAGAGTACAGGAGGTAAAAATAGTTGCTGAAAATTTGGAATCACAAGATGGTCCTCACACAGATTTGTAGCGCAAATTCACAGAAACTGTGTGTTACCAAAAACCACAAGTTAAGAATTTAAATTAGAGCACCCCAGACTTGTAGTGCCTTCATATGGCTGGTCAGAAACAAATGCAAATTAATCTATAGTATCCCACCATCATCTCAGTCTTCAAAGACTTCAAAGAAATGAAACTCTAAGTAAAATGAACAACTCACAACAAAAACACAACAAAATATACGAGTGAACAAAAGCACCATGAGTGATACACAGCAAAAGCAAGAGCTACAAGGAATATGTCCATATGTATTTCACATACCAGCTATAAAGTTAAAATGTTTACTATGCTTAAAGGAATAAGGGATAAGCTTCAAAGTATATGCCAGTAATAAAATATTACCAAAAACATACCCAGCAATGGGTATGAGATAATATATCAAATTAGGTTTATCCTAATAATTCGGGATTGGTTTATACTAAAAAATTAGTAATGTTGTTCACCATGTTAACAAATTAAAGGAGAAAATTTATATGATCATCTCAATAAATGCAGAAAAGGTGTTTGATAAAATTTAACATTCATTTATAATAAAAACATCTAGTTAACTAGGAATAGAAGGAGCTTCCTCAGTCTAATTTAAAAATAAATAAAACTAAGGAAAATATTATATCTTGTGGTTATTCAAATAATTTTATCTAAGATTAGGAACAAAACAAGGATTCCCATTTCTATTTAACATTACACTGTATGTACAAGTCACTGAAGAAAAGCAAGAAAACATAACAAAAGAATAAGGATTGAAAGAGGGATAATACTATCATTGCTTTCAAATAATACTGTTAATATGTAAAAAAATTCAAAATGAACTACCAATAAATTTTTTAAATGAATGTAAATTTAACAAAAGTTGTCAGATACCAACTCAATATAAAACTCTATTTCATTTCTATATAGCAGCTAGAGTTAGCAAATAACACATACACTCTTTTTCTTATTCTCTTTCTATTTCCCTCACTCTCTCTCTCTGTATATATATTCATTCCATCCACATGTATTTTTAATGGAAAATACCTATGTATTAATCTAACAGAATATACAAAACTTTTAAGAAACAATAGAACTAGAAGATTCTATATTATAAAGATATCTGTTGTCCCTAATTTGATCTACAGAATCAATGCAATCTCAATCAAATCTCTGATAGATTTTGTTTAAAAAGTCAAACATGACCATCATATTCTAAAATGTATATGGAATAACAAAGGACCAAAAATAGCCAAAACACTCTTAAAGAGGACAAATGAGTTTGTCCTACCAGCTTTCAGGACACTAATAAAGCTGTGGTTCTTAAGATAGTACAGTATTAGTGCTGGATAGACAAATAGATCTATGGAACAGAATTAAAGCCCAGAAATAGACACTGACATATATAGATACTAGATATATGATGGAAGTGGTATTGCAGATGACAGGAAAATGATGAGTTTTTCAATAAATGGTACTGGATAAAGATATCCATATGGGAAAAAATTATATTGAGTCTCTACCTCACACTATAAACAAAATAAAATTTTGGGAGAATCAAAGACCTAAAAGTAAAAGGCAAAACCAAAGCCTTTAAAAAAATACATAGGAAAATATCCTCATGGCAACAGAGTACAGAAGGATTTCTTGAACAAAGTACAAAAAGACAAACAGGTGAAAGATTGAAAATTTAAACTAAATTAAAATTAAGAATTTTAGATATGTTTCAGATCATCAAAGGACAACATAAAAAGTGCAAAGACAAGTTACAAATTAGTAGAAAATATTTGTAGCATATGTTACTAAGATCTAACATCTATAGTATGCAAGAGCTGCTACAAATCAGTGGGAAAATGACAAAATAGGACCAGACATTTTATCAGGGAAAATTCAGCCCCCGATATTTCAACGTCGGTCCTTTTCTATTTTCCCTAAGTGTCAGCCAGTCTGAGAAATAAAGGGAAAGAGTACAAAAGAGAGAAATTTTAAAGCTGGGTGTCTGGGAGAGACATCACATGTAGGCAGGTTTCATGATGCCCCCGAGCCATAAAACCCAAGTTTTTATTAGCAATTTTCAAAGGGGAGGGAGTGGGTCACAGAGATCACATGCCTCAAGGGCAACAAAAGATCACAAGGCAGAATGTCAGGGCGAGATCACAAGTTCAGGGCGAAACTAGAATCACTAATGAACTTCCATGTCCCGCTGTGCACGCATTATCATTGATAAACATCTTAACAGGGTTCAAGAGCAGAGAAACGGTCTGACTAGAATTCGCCAGGCTGGAATTTCCTAATCCTAGCAAACCTTGGGGCGCTGCAGGAGACTAGGGCGTGTTTCATCCCTATCTACATCTGCATAAGGCAGACACTCCCAGGGTGGCCATTTTAGAGGCCCCCCCTGGGAATGCATTCTTTTCCCAGGGCTGTTAATTATTAATATTCCTTACTGGGGAAAGAATTCAGCGATATTTCTCTTACCTGTTTTCGGTAATAAGAGAAGTATGGCTCTGTCCTGCCCAGCCCACAGGCAGCCAGACTTTAAGGTTATCTCCCTTGTTCCCTGAAAATCGCTGTTATCCTGTTCTTAAGGTGCCCATATTTCATATTGTTCAAAAACACATGGTCTACAAACAATTTGTTTAGTTAATGCAATCATCTCAGGGTCCTGAGGCCACATACATCCTCAGCTTACGAAGATGACAGGATTAAGAGATTAAAGTAAAGACAGGCATGGGAAATCACAAGAGTATTGATTGGGGAAGTGATAAATGCCCTGAATCTTTACAATTTATGTTCAGAGATTGCAGTAAAGACAGGTGTAAGAAATTATAAAAGTATTAATTTGGGGAACTAATAAATGTCCATGAAATCTTCACAATTTATGTTCTTCTGCCATGGCTTCAGCCAGTCCCTCTGTTTGGGGTCCCTGACTTCCCACAACACATTTCACAAAAGAAGAAACTCAAATGGCCCATAAACATATGAAAACATGCTCACCTTCATTAGTGATTAAGAAAATGCAAATACAATGAGATATTTCCTATCTATCAGATTAACAAAAATTTTAAAATAGCCAATACCATGGGTTGATCAGCATCTGCCTTAATGGGAACTCAGCTGTGCTGGTGGGAACATAAATGGGCACAAAAACAGTTTGGCAGTACTTCATAAAGAAGAAAAGAGGCACAGTTTTTACCCTAGTAACTCCAGTAACTCCCTCATACTCATCAGGAGTCATACAGAACATTCATGGAAACATAGTTGATAATAGCCCCTATATTAGTCAAGATTCTCCAGAGAAAGGGAGCAAATAAGATGGAGTACAAGTGTGTGTGTGTGTGTGTGTGTGTGTAAGTGCGTGCATGCGCATATGATTTTAATCATAATGCAGAGCTATAAGACCAATACCCAAACTCTAGGCCTTCCAGATGAAAGAGCTGTAATAAAACAACAGTTGAAAAATCATTACCTTGTCTAATTAAAAATATCTAAAACCAACAACTATGAGTTCTAAACTATGAATGTAAATACATATGTTTTTAAATTTAATAATGATAGTAATCAACCAACAGTGTAGAGAAACTGGTACTCATAGTTGTTGGCAGCATTGCCAGTTGATACGATCATTCAGTGGAATAGTTTTAACCATATTAGAAATATGAAATGAGATATTAAAACATTGCCATTCTTTGACTCAGGTTTCTGCTTTGGGAAACTTAAGGTTATTTAAGAAAATAATTTTTAAAGGGCAGAACAAACCAATGTGTAAAATAATGTTTAAGGCAGAAATATTTATAAAGGCAAAACTTAAAACAATTCAAATTCTTTACTCTTTATAAATCCTCAAAGTAGAGTACATTACTTATGAAAATAACATAAATATATACCTTGTATTGATATATGGATATATTAAACAACATCAAATGAACAACCAGACTAAACATAAATTCACATATTGTTTATATGATTAAAAAGATCTGCAGAAGCACTGAAAATATCAGAGAAATTTAAAGTAATATAAATAGTTGTGTTAGGCTTATGGGAATGTTCAATGACGTGATTATTATTTTTAAAATAAGTGGGTATATATTTAATCTGAAAGAATATATTTAATGATGAAATTTCAGGCAGTGTTATAGACAGATGGTGAAACTATTTGTGCAGGAGGTGGGGTGGGTAGGGGAAAGGGGGACCTAGAATCTCACCACATGGAAGTTTCTATAATCAGAGGGTTTTCTCTGGGTTGTGCAGACTGTGGAGCCAAAAGGCAGACTCATACAGAAGACTTCTCAAAGGGGAAAAAAGAACTGAAAGGACTATAATTAGAAAAATGTGATTGTAAATTAATTTCCCTTTAGGATGTAAGCTGCTTTTCTTTTCTTTGTTTCTTTTATTTGTTTACGTTTAAAACAATTGCAACTTAGTGATTTACTACAGTATATGAGAGACGTTGTTTTCCAGAGAGTCTGAGTTCTGTGTCCTTGGTCTGACTAATTTGTTTGATTTAACATTGAGAGAAGTATGGACAGTGTAACTATGGAAGAAGCTTATCAATTAACTGGCATCCAGTTCCTTTGATGGCAGCAACATTACGGTGGCTGTCTTCTCAGAATCTTGTCTCATTTACTGAAGACAAAAACGAGGAATGATGTGCCATTCTGAACCAAAGGCCAGCATAAAAGAAGGTCAGTGAGCAAGAGGAGAGGGCTGCATTGCTGTTGCAGCTTTCAGGTTAGAGTATATTGGAAACAAAGAAGAAGGCACCATTTCCTTAAACTGAAGCTGTAAAGTATGAATATTCTGCTCGAGAAAAAGTGCAATGCAGCTAAAACTGTATTGTGCATCCAAGAACACTATGACTGCAACAGATCACTTCTCTATTTCACTTTCTCCAGTTATAAAACAAAATGAGAAATAACTCCCTCTGTCTACTATCCCTCCACACCCCCACCCTTCATACATCTGGAACATGTTATGACAGATTAGAAAAATCAATAATTTCTTTTTAGAACATGATGTGTATAAGTTGCCCCTGCCATTAAGGGGCTTATTACACTTTAATTAGTACTGCTTTCTGTTTTGTACATTAAGTTATGTGATTTCTACTCAAGTGTTTTGTTGAGAGATCTTAAAGTCACAAAGAGTGATAAGCAATGAATAAATTTTTTAAACATAATTTTCCATGTTATTAAAGTTGCAATAAATATATCACAATCAGTTGTTACTTTTAAGCAGCTCATGGTATTTTTTTTAAAAAGCTTTTAGTATCACAAGGTCTACAATGTAATCTCCCTAATAAGATCACTTGATATCAAGTTGCTCAACTGTGCACATGGCCTTTCAAATAGAATGCCATCTCTTAATGCTGTGGACTGTCATGCAAGTATTCATAACTTGGGATTAACTTTCATATGAATTATTTGAGAAGTCTACATAATGCCAACAAAATAATTTTCTAAAAACCTCATTATCTTATTTCCAGGTATATCTTGATGTATTTTTTTAAAAACTGTAGAATCAACAAATCCCTTTGGAATCTAAAGTTTAGATAATGTCACAAGCTATTCAAAGGAATTAGCAAATCTTTCCAGCAGCTGTTCTTCCATTTTCCCTGGCAGCATCAGGTGGCAAGGACAGGCGGTAACCAAATCCATTTAGTGTTAAGTGTGACTCTAACATTGATGACCTTACTGAAATAGTTGGGTCTGATGCTCTGAAGAATGATTAGGTAGGGAAGCCACGTAGCAGGCTGCACATACCACCTTATCACAGAGCTCATTTAGAATATAGTTTGAAATTTTGTTGGAATAACAACTTGCAGGTAGGAAGAACAGCTCAGGAGAAAGAGCACTGGAATGGGACAGATCTGGATTCAAATTCCAGCTCACCACTTACAACATCAATCCCTCCAAGCCTTGTTTACTCATCTGTAACATGAAAATACAAACAATATCAATTCCACGGGGTTGTTTGGGGATTAAAAAGATGTAAACATCCCTTTTGGCATAAAATAGAGGCTCAAGAAATGTTAGTTCCCTTCTTTCCGTTCACCTGCGTCATGTGTCATGCTGGCCTTTCTTATTAAATTTTCAGTTCATTTTCAATTATAGCACCCTTAAATTCTTTACAGGCTAGTAATAAAATGCAACTGATAACATTGGGCTCTGTGTTACTGAGGCAAGGACTGGGTATAGAGTTTCCCTGGTGCTGCTTGGCACGTTACCCAGATGTTCTAGAAGGTCATGGTCTGTGGCATTGTGTGGAACATACAATAAACAATCCACCAACGTTTTTATGTCATCTCGTATGGGTCTTTTGTTAGTTATCACTGCTCTCAAGTTTTGGGTTGATAATCTACAGATAATATCATTAGAATTTATAAGAAAAAAGAACCCTTGTAGGCATGGCAGACTGCATAAAATAGATTGAACAAGACGAGGCTTTTAATGCAATCTACCTCATTAGTGAGAGGATATGGATCAGGCAGGGCACGATAAATTCTGAGGACCATCCCAAAGTGATCCCTGGGACCTATTCTGTAATGAAGTAGGAAGGCCAGACCTATCTTAAAACACTAAGTCTCCCTATAATGTTGGGTGAGTATCATCCACAAGTTACATGGCACTTTAATTAAGAGGACCACTAAAATTATAAGCTAGAATACAGACATTGAAATAGAAACTTTCCTTCCTTTCTCCCTTCCTTCCTCCCTCTCTCCCTTCCTTCCTTCCTCCCTCCCTTCCTTCCTTTTCTCTTCTTCCTGTTTCTTTCTTTCCATTTTATCTTTTTACAGAAAGAACAACAGGCTACTGACAAAAACACTTACACTGTAATAAGATGAACTATTAGAGATAGGGGAGACTAATATTCCTGGACATACAGTCAAGAAATTCCTCTGGGTTTATGCCAAGAGATAGACATCAGACTGAGTCAAGCCCAAGCACACATGATTGAGATCTCTAAAATATGCCTGACATGTGAGAAAAAATTTATCTGGAGTTCAGCTAATCCATATCATTCAGTTTTCTTTTTCTTTTGTTAAACTGAAGTAAACTTTAATAGTTCTTTATTAACCACCAGCTGTTGTATGATCCAATTTTAATAACGTTTTCCATTTATCTTGCTTTTTGTTTGTCTAATCTTTTATCTGTATATAGGCATAGAGAAGTCTGGAATAATATTCACCTAAAGTTAGCAACAGTCATTTTCTGAGTGGTAAGAGGGGGCTTTATTTGTTGTGCTTTTATAAATTGCTTGAATTTTTAAATGATTTATTTAAAGAAATCAGAGGGTTTTTAAATAAAATAATCCACAACACTGATTTTTCACTTACCCAGTTTCTGATTAAAAGTGGCAAATGAGGAATGACGTTACATTGTTAAGCCATTAAATTTGAAAAAAAAATGCAAATATTGTAATCATGCAGGTAAACCAAAAAAATTTAAGATGCAATTTATCAAAGCCAGAAATCATTCAAAGTAGGCAAGCAAAGAAAGTAAACATTAAGCATAGTGAAATACAAGAGACCAACTCTACTTAAACCATTTCCCACTCAATTAAACAATTAAATAAAACATTTATTTCTAACAGCTGGCTGCCAGAGATGCCCAGGAGAAACCCAGCTCTGTGCAGGTATCTTAACTCAGGGTGTACAGTGGATAAATGAGCCTGAAAAAAAAAATAAATCAAAGAAGGTCCGAGGGACCTGAGACTGACTCCCTAGCTAGTGCTTAATGGTGCCACAAAAGATGTCTTTATTAAGTGCTTTGTCTCAGTATTTTTGAAGGATCAGCTTACAGCAAAGTAAGAGACATTGCACAATATCAGAAATTTGTTACTGATTGTTAGAGTCAACCTTTATCCAGAAAATTCCAGCTTCCTTCCCTAAAGGCAGACATTATCCAGAAACATCTGACTTCCTGGATATCCCATTAAGGATATAAAATTTCTCAGCAATAGCTTTCCACATACCACAATTTTGATTAATACCAAAATTGGTTAATACCAAAATCATCAGGACAGAATTTCACAAAATAGATGTGCCAAGAATGCATGAGCAGAAGAACTAGAAGTAAAGCAATTATATATTCCTCATGGACAGGAGAAAGAACTATGTTTTTATACCAAAAGACAATTAACTGCTCATGTGTTGGGCATGGCTCTGGGCTGTAGGAACTAGGAGCAGCAAATGGACAAATTACCTTGTACAGTAAGACTAGAGTGAGGTCTTAAACTTCTTAATGTATTATGGAAATTGTGGTTTGAGGAAGAGCATCACCTGCAGGAAGAGTTGCTACAAATAACAACTGCCTGTTACCAAATGCAAAGTAATGTTGGTTACACATTTAGATTACAGCTGCAAACACAGAGAATAATCATTATCTTCCCATTCATAATATACTTTGTGGCTTAAAAACAAACAGATAATTTATGGCAGGAGGAATATTCACTTAGACAGCAAATTCACTAAGGTATCTATTTACAAATTGGTTGCGAAGCCCAATCATTTATTAAAGAAAGATGTATGCCTTGATTGCTTGAAAGTGATAGAAGGTGTGCAGTGAACTTAAGATGTATGAAAATTAGATAAAGACACTGATAACTTAAATCTAGTCAAATCTCTCTTTAGAGTAATAAGTAAAATCCAAAGTGTTGGAAACAATGTGGAGAAACTGGAACTTTGATACACATCTAATAGAAGTATAAATTGGCACAATCACTTTGGAAAACTTTTGGGCAGAATCTCCTACAGCTGAATATACATATATCCTCTGACTCAGCAATTCTACCCCAAGCTATATACTTAATAGAAGTACACATATATGTGCAGCAAAAGACATATATGAGAATGTTTGTAGCAGCACTTTTTCTAGCCCCATCAAAATGTAAATAATCCAAATGCTCATCAATAGTAGAATGACTAAATTGTAGTGTAATCACATAATGGAATACTATACAGCAATGACAGTGAACAAATTATGATTATATATAACAATGTTAATGAACATAATGTTCATTAGTGATGTTAATGTTTATTAACCATGTTAAATTTACAAGAGAAAAACAAAAACCCATTAAATAGTGGACAAAGGACATGAATAGACACTTCTCTAAAGAAGGTATACATGTGGCCAACAAGCATATGAAAAAAAAGCTCAATATCACTGATCATTAGAGAAGTGCAAATCAAAACCAGAGTGGGATACCATTTCACACCAGTCAGAATGGCTATTATTAATAAAAGTAAAAAAATAACAGATACTGGCAAGGTTGTCAAGAAAAGGGAACACATACACTGTTGGTAGAAGTGTAAATTAGTTCAACCATTCCTCTTTGAGGAATCACCACACTGCTTTCCACAAAAGTTTGATTGCTGCTATCCACAAAAGCAGTGTGGTGATTCCTCAAAGAGCTAAAAGCAGAACTACCATTCAACCCAGCAATCCCATTACTGGGTACATACCCAGAGAAATACAAACCATTCTACCATGAAGATATATGCATCCGAATGTTCATTGTAGCACTATTCACAGTAGCAAAGACATGGAATCAACCTAATTGGATAAAGAATTAGGATTGGATAAAGAAAATGTGGTACATATACACCATGGAATACCATGCAGCCATAAAAAAGGATGAGATCATGTGTTTTGTGGAAACATGGATGGAGCTGGAGGCTGTTATCCTCAGCAAACTAACGCAGGAACAGAAAACTAAATACCACATGTTCTTACTTATAAGTGGGAGGTAAATGATAAGAACTTATCAATGCAAAGAAGGAAACAACAGACACTGGGGTCTACTTGAGGTGGGAGGAAGGAAAGGAGCAGAAAATATAGCTATTGGGTACTGGACTTAATACTGGGGTGATAAAATAATATGTACAACAACCCCTGTGAAATGTATTTACCTATATAACAAACCTTCACAAGTACCCCCAAACCTAAAATAAAAGTTAAAAAACAATGTTAATAAACATAATGTTGATCAAAAAAAGCCAGACACATAGAGTACATATTGTATAAGTTCATTTGTACAAATTACAAAAATAGGCAAAGCTAATCTATGCTGTTAGAAGTCAGCATAGTAGTAACCTTGGGAGTTAATATTTGAAAGGGTTGTCGGGGGGATTTTGGGGAGCTGGTAATGATCTCTTTCTTGCTCTAGGTGGTAGTTACATGAGTGTGTTCAGTTGTGAAAATTCAATGATCTGTACATTTATGATGTATATACTATTCTGTTTATCTGGTAATACTTCAATAAAAAGTTTAAAAAACATAAACATTTATCCTTTATGACAGATTTAAATTATCCTCACATATTACTATGCCTATAGCTATGAATATAATCAGTATTTGGTTTTCAGGCAATGTTTGGTCTTTGACCAAGGTATAGATTAAAATTTCAAATACAGATATGCTTGAAAAATCACCATTTAATTCTAAAAGTGACATGATCAAACAGACAAAAATGAAATTGCTTTCTCATTTGTCATAAGCATTCTGGCCTTTCTCATTTTCCACTTCTGGATTGGGCTGATATCAAGCAGATCTATGTGCACAGGAGAAGGAGTGGGGGTGGTCCCCTGAACAAGCAAATGTCAATAGTAGCCCTGATAAAAAAAATAAGAACCTGAGTATTTGCTGAACATTCTGTTGTGAGGCCATAGATAAACCACGTATTACAAGTGAAATAAAGTGGATAATATTATACAATCATCTCCATGAGTCATGCTGTAAAAGGGATTTCACCTGAAATATTGAGACTCACAGAATTTTCAGACTCACAGGCCAAGCAGTTAGTAATAGAAATGAATAAAACGGGTCAGATGAAATGCAATGGGGACTGGTGAGGGGTGTGGGAAAACTACAGAGCACCTAAGCACTGGTTGTCAGAATATGTCTCCAGACCAGCTACATTAGGAACTAGGTAGACATTCAAGTTATCTGGCCCCCAACCCAGAGCCATGGAATTAGAAATGCTGGGGGTGGGGCCCAGCAATCTAAGTTTTAACAAGCCCTGGAGTTGTAACAAGCTTGATTCTGATGCACATTCAAGTATGAGAACCACTGATCTAGATGTATACTAACTCAAACAAAATTTTTTAAAATCATGTGTGCTTAAAAAAAAATCATCTGGCCAGATTCAGCCTACAGGCTGCCAATTTGTAACTCCCAATGAGATTCAAATGAAAAACAAAAACTTGAATTATTTGTATAATTATGTCAGTTCTGTATTTCCTTTTTTAAGATGAAGAAAGATAGTATGTGGTAAAGGTTGAGCCTAAGTTTTATCTTCCCCAGTATTCAGGCATATCTGGACATGCCTGGTATCTAGTGGGATGGGCCTTCTGGAATTCTACTTATAAGACAACTCAAGTAGCCTCCAGGAAAGAACTCATCCCAGTGGAAGGAAGAACCAAAGTACAGAGGTTGTATTAAGACAGCAGATGAGGTTGAACATGTCTGAGTACACATGATGTCTGCCACTCAGGTTGCTTCTAGCCCAGCAAGGAGGACTAATTCATTCTTTCAACAAATAGCTATTGAACATCTACCTCATCTGTCTCTGAGTTCTGTGACCCCAAAGTGTCTGTAATATAAGACCTAGTAGAAACTAAAGGAGTTGGTGTTTGCTAATCTTCTTAGGACATGGAGAGTGCAGCTTGTTTGTGTCATGAATATTGGTGCCAGCAGCAGCAGCCTTGGCTCCAGGACTATCAATATCTTTGATGCCCTTGAAGTTGAGCTTTGAGCCTTGGAGGCCTGCTTGCACACATCAGCAACTGCAACAGTGGTGGTAGTGCTTTTGGTGGGCAGTGGGACATGGCTTGAAGGATTGCCAGCAGCTGCTTATATCAGGCATGGAGAATTGTGAACCACATGGCAGCCAAGAGAACTGTTTTGGGAGTACACATGAGACATCCCTGTACATTTTTGGAGGATGAGAGCCCTCCAGGAGAGGTAGAGAAATGGTAGTTTATAGCTTGTTTTTGTGCTGTCGTTTGAGTCTATAAGGTAATATATGGTTTTTTTTTTCTTTGTCTTTGGCAGCATTTAAAGAAATTACATGCTGCATCTTGTAATAAGATTGACATAATATGCCTGCAGTGAACATGGTGGACTCAAAATCAAATCTCAAACATTTGGTTTTGTTTTTTAAAAATAAAAAGCAGCAAAATTATTATAGGTTTTGGGATATGAGGTTTAAAAAATCACAGCATTCATTCCTAATTTTTTTTTCTCTTTCAAAACATCCCTACAAAATCAAACAACATTGCTGATGAGCTGTTCTTTGGCACCAGCAAGCAGCTTATTCCAGAGGAAAAATAACTTTGGAGATAGCCACTCCTTTCCTGCCAGAATTTTGAGAGACTGATGCCCTTTTCCTTCATTTCTGCAATGCCTATAGGCTGCAGATTTTCAGTTACTTCCTGAAATCCTAAATTGAATTCTATTAAAAACATATTTGGTGTTCTCAATAAAAAAAAGTTTGGTATTATATTTTGGAGACCACAAGTTCTCTGTAAGACCTAAGGAATTCCCCTAAGTAATCAGAGTTTTCCACAGAGTTAAGTGGTTGCTACATTGCATTTAAGCCAGTGTTTTATGATACCTGATAAGTAAGGCATGTGGTACATCAGTATTTCATCCAGACAGCAATACCTTGCAGGTTTCCAATTTTCTGATGGAGTCATATTTTTTGTTTGCTATTTATTTGAAACCAATTTTTTAAGCCCATGTGAACTAAAAGAGTCACTTTATTTTGATACTTCAGTTCTAGCCAACATAGAATATCCACAGCAGAATATGCATTAATGAGATGAGGGTCAGAGATCAGGAGATTTGCATTCTAACCAGCAATGTTTTCCTGGAGAAGTCATTTCCTCTATGGTGTTCAGTTTCACTGTCAGTAAAATTGGAGGTGGGGAAACTGGCCTAGACTTCAGTGTCTAGAATTCTGCAATCCTTAACCTCTGGATTATGAGAACTCTCCCTGGAGAATCTTAATGATGGATTAAGTATTTCAAAAAGAAAAATTTAACTGGAAAGGACTCTCGAAAACCATTGGTATTATAAGTTTCTTTTTTAACAGAGAGCTAGGGTTATTTTCTGTGTATCTTTGGGTACAGGTGCCTGATATTGTCACCAGTCAGTCAAAGCTTGTTTCTATATTAACTTAATAGAATTTAGCTTTCTGGAACACAATTAACAACAAGAATATGAAACATTTATTCGATTCTGATTTCATAATATTTCTTTCTTCCATGCCTCTAGTCTGACGGTGTCTCTCTCTTTTGGACCATGGTAATAGACTCCTAACTGGTTTTCCCACTTTGGGCCCCTTCCTCCGACCCTTTTTACATGATTTTATACTTGGATTACAAGTTAATCTTTCCCACATACAGCTCTTCCCTATTACTTCCCTGCTCAAAAACCTTAATAGCTCTCTGTTGGCTACAATATAAAATATGAACTCTTTCTCATGGCATCCAAGACCTTGCACTGTCTGACTCAACCCTGTTTCCCATCCTGTGGCGCATTGCTCCTTGTCCCACAGTCTTCTGAGCTTCCTGTTCTTCCTTCACATGCCCAGAAATGCTCTGATTTTGTCCCTTTGTCCCACCGGTTCTTGCTCCCTCTTTCTACCTGTTCAGATTCTACCTCTCCTTACAGTTTAAGGCCACGGTTCTGATATCACCTTCTCTGCCTGCCCAGCTTTTCTTGGTCTCTCTTAACTGCAAGGGACCTATAATTTTTCTGAACTCCTGTAACAATTTATCTGCATCTCTATCATAGGAGCTATCACTTCCACTCTATATTATAGATATTTGTATTCATATCTTACTTTCCTCACTAGATACTCATTTTCATGAGGTCAGAAGCAATATTGTTCTGTATTTGTAGCCCTCAAGATACCTGGCACATAGTAAGTAATTCTTCTATAAATGTTTGCTTAATGAATAAATGATATCAGAGTTACCATGGAAATCTGAACTTACCCAAACTCCTTCAACTAAATTAGAACCACTCACAGGGCATATTTTTTAAGTGGGAAATTTCTTCATCTGTCTATCATCTATCTATCTGTCTGTCTGTCTGTCTGTCTGTCTGTCTGTCTGTCTATCTATCTATCTCCATCTATCTATCCTTCTGCAACTTAAAATTTCTCAGCCTATGTTTGGTTTCAGTGAGGAAAACTAAGAAAAAAAATAAAAAGGTGCAATAACTTAAACTGCAGGTTTAGCAAGTAATTTTTATCCAGCTCCTTTCTTTCATGCATTTTGCCATGGTCAGCTTTCAACAATGGTTTAGGTTCACATTTGTTTGCATACTGTGATGTTCAAATGTTTGTTAAAGCTGATGCAACTCTGAGAAAGATCAACACTAACTCTGTAGATGGAACATACAAGTTTTAATCCAGTGAAGTGAAGATTTACTCGAGGTATTGTTTCATGTGGGGCACTGAGAAAAGTCATGGCCTTTTAATTAATTAATTTATTTTTTTGGCAAAGAGCAGCCATTCGATGGAAAATGTGTACCTAAATAGGGAAAGTTAGATGTAGATAACTGGTCACAAGATCTCATTATATAGACATTATATGCATATATATGTATATATAATAAAGTGGTTATATATGTAAATACATACATAAAGCCACTTTATTCATTTCTAGGCCTTTTGTGATGTTTGCCAATTTTTATACAAATTCTTTATCTTAAAATTAATCTTAAGAACCTTATATCACATACTTGGAATTTGTCTAGTTGAATGTAAGAATAATTTCCAAATATCTGCACACTAGAAAAAAATTAAAGGAAATTTAAAAAAACTGAAAATGTTCATCAACTGGTGAATGGATAACAAAATGTAGTTTATCTAACAATGGAATATTGTTTTGCCATAAAATGGACTGAGTACTCATACCTACTACAACATGGATGGACATTAAAAACACTAAGTGAAAGAAACCAAACACAAAAGGTTACATATGGTGTGATTCTATTCATGTGATATTTCTAGAATAAGCACATTCATAGAGACAAAGTAGATTCTTGGTTGCCAGACGCTGGGAAGAGGGGGAAATGAGGGGCTACTTATGGGTTTAGAGGTTTTTTTTATGGTGATGAAAATGTTTAGAATGAGATAGTGGTGATGGTTGCACAATTTTGTGAATATACTAAGAGCCACTGAATTGTACACTTTCAAGGGGTGAATATTATGGTAGGTGAATTATATCCCAATTTAAAAAAAATACAAATTGAAGATTCTGCACAAGAAGAAGATTTTCCAGAGGTTTTCTTCCAGCCAGCACTGACAAGTACAGAGAAGACAGTCGTTGGCAATCCCAGTCTTCAACACACTTGCCCTTGCTAGTCACTGTGTTTTATGGTAACCGAGCAGGACCAGCTAAATGCTTCTGCCCTCTTTGCCTGGACTGTGTGAAAGCCCATCACTGCTATGCTCCAGTGAGATAAAATCATTTATTTGGCGGCCGGGCGCGGTGGCTCACGCCTGTAATCCCAGCACTTTGGGAGGCCGAGGCGGGTGGATCATGAGGTCAGGAGATCGAGACCATCCTGGCTAACAAGGTGAAACCCCGTCTCTACTAAAAAAAATACAAAAAATTAGCCGGGCGCGGTGGCGGGCACCTGTAGTCCCAGCTACTCGGGAGGCTGAGGCAGGAGAATGGCGTGAACCCGGGAAGCGGAGCTTGCAGTGAGCCGAGATTGCGCCACTGCAGTCCGCAGTCCGGCCTGGGCGACAGAGCGAGACTCCGTCTTAAAAAAAAAAAAAAAAAAAAAAAAAAATCATTTATTTGTATATTAGCTTGTAATTTTTAAAGCACTTTCACTCCCACTAACTCATATGGTTCTCAAATGTTTTCTTTCCAAACATACTTATATTTTATACCCATTTATAGTTGTTCATCAAAACAGAAAAGTTTTATTTCTTATAAATGTAATGGGTTTCTCTTTGCTGTCTTTGCTGACACTTTTGTTTCACTCTCCTCTTTCTTCTAATACATTTTGCCCAGTTCTCCAGTACTGTGCATGTATGTCCAATTCTCCTGACTTTTTACATATCTGTAGTTCTTCATGTTTCTGCCTCCTGAGTCTTTATTTTCAAGTTTCAATGATTTACTCTTCATCATTCACCCTTCCCCTGAATAAGCTCAATAAGCTTTTTCTTCAAAACTGTAATTCAATTCTTTCTTTCCCTTAATCTTGGTTGAGTGACTCCAAAAATAATGTCATATCCCATGCAATGGTATTTGCTGCCCCTATCGAATATTTTTATTGTAGAACCATCATTTCTTAAATAAATAAAACATTTTGTAAGATATTTCTGTTTTATATTTACTATAAACTGGTTATACTTATTCCTTTATTTCTTGTAGACTCCTATATGTTATTTTTATATAGTACTCAGGTTTATTATTTATTCTCTAATAAGTATATATCTCCTTTAAGAGTACTTTGATAATTTCTTATTATAGTTTTTAGGTCCTCAATATTTACATTCCATTGATGATCTTCTGCATTTTATCTTATGGAAAGATACCCCTCTTCTATATTTACAAATCACCTTTTTTTGTAGCATGATTTGCCATTTCATCTTGGCCAGGGTGGAATTTGAAGCTTAGTCTCCAGCAGTTGCATTTTCTTCCATCTTGGGGCATAAGCCTAGTCTTTATAGCATCAATGCTATGGTACTCTTCTTTATGTCCCATTTTAATTTTGTTGGCATCCATAACAGCTCATGTTGCTCATTCTTTATATGTCTTAAATGCACAAATGATGCCTTGAAAGCTATGATTGCATAGCACCCTCTTTTCATTTCCCCCCATCTGTGTCTTGGATTTGGCTTCTACTTTATTGTAAGAGTGTCTACACACCATAAAACCATAAAGACCAATAGTCACATGGAGCCTTAACTATCTCCCCTCTTTCCTCATTTATTCCTAGGGAGTGGGGATTCACTTCATGTGCCCATGTAACATTTGCCTTGATTTTAGCAGTTTGTCTGGCATCTGCTTTTCATAGTCTTACAGAGAAAATCATCATTGGCTCAAGAACTAGACTTTGCTTAATCTAAACAGAACAAATATACTTCTTATCACCTTCCTTTGGTATCTTATCCTTTCTCTATCCAGTCCCTTGTCTCTTGCTTACCTTGTACCATTGATGACATGTCTGAATTCATCTTGAGATTACAAGCTCTTTTGAAGACTAAAATCAGATTGCATTCATATTTGCTACCTTCCCTATCCTCCCTCCAACCACAGTATCCAACACTCTGCACAGTACATTGTACATTATAATGTTCCAGCAAAAATTTGTTAAATACGATTTTTAAAATATTTATTTTTATATTAATCCATTAGCTACTTCTCACTTTTTGCCATACCACTGGATCTTAGTATCTTACTTTCCTCCATTTTGCCAACTTTCCTAATAGTATTTCTTCAGACTGCATTGTTATGGGTACAGGGTTGCCTTGTGGGGTGATGAAAATTTCTTGGGAGTAGTTAGAGGTGATAAGTTGCACAACATAGTGAATATATACTAAGTGTCACTGAATTGTACATTATGGTTAATAGGTTAATTAATGTTATGTGAATTTTACCTCAGTTTTTAAAACTGCACTACTATGAGTTAATAAAACAAAAAAACCCCCAACAGTTTATAAACAGTCTTATTCTTGTCTTTTTTTTTTTTTTTTTGAGACGGATTCTCACTCTGTTGCCATGCAGGGGTGCAGTGTCGCAATCTCAGCTCACTGCAACCTCCGCCTCCCGGATTCAAGTGATTCTCCTGCCTCAGCCTCCCAAGTAGCTGGAACTACAGGCACGTGACACCACACCCAGCTAACTTTTGTATTTTTAGTAGACACAGGGTTTCACCATGTTTGCCAGGATTGTCTCGATCTCCTGACCTCGTGATCCGCCCGCCTCGGCCTCCCAAAGTGCTGGGATTACAGGCATGAGCCACCGTACCCGGCCTCATTCTTGTCTTTTAAGATAGTGCTTGTATTTTTTTTTTTTCATGTACTTGGCTATTTTACCTTTCTCCCATATATCATTGAAAATAACAGCAAAAGGTGAGTCCAGCCAACTTTCTAAAGATTGGAACTCAGCAGTGAGGACATCAACATTTAATCACTGCTTATTTTTTGGCTGTAATTCCTACTAGTAAATCATTATCTTTTCACTCTTTTAATGATACTCTCCTCTAAGTGCCCATTTTTTCTTTTCTCTTTTCTCAGTACCTTTTCTTGCTCTTGAATTGAACTTTGCCTTACCACGGTGATCATGTCATATCTCCTGGGGATGCCATAAAGAAGACAGTAAAATAAAAAAATTAGCCAGGTATGGTGGTGGGCACCTGTAATCCCAGCTACTCGGGAGGCTAAGGCAGGAGAATCACTTGAACGCGGGAGGAGGAGGTTGCAGTGATCTGAGATTACGCTGTTGCACTCCAGCCTGGGCAACAGAGCGAGACTCCGTCTCAAAAAAAACAAAAGAAGAAGACAGTATTACTAGAGAACTTCAGTCATTAAGAAATTACTTGTCCCTGATAAAGGCCTGACCATTTGCACTCCTTTCTATTTTGATAGCGAGGGGTAGCAAATCAACCTCCAGAAACCGAAGGGAGAAAATTTTCCTCCCTGTGGGTTTTTGGAGTCAGATAGCCTCAGTTCAGATCCTGGTTCTGTCACATAGTAGCTGTGTGATCTTGGGTCAGTCACTTTGTAAGTCAAATTCCTCATGTAAAAAAAAAAAAATGAGAATAACAATAGTACCTACTTCCTAAGGTCCTTGTGAAGATTGCATGAGATAATGCATACAAATGTCGCTTGGAATTACACACATGCCTGTGTATAAGTGTCCATGTTCACACTTACTCTTTTTCTACTTGTCTCCTAGTATCTGAAACTACTCTTTCCCTCCCTTACAACAAACACTGAGCTACTTATGCCCCTGCCTGGGGAATGGCTCTTTCTCCCATTCTCACTATGCGTAAATAAATGCCAGCCAATGAAGCACCAAGTAGAAAAATGAGCATGGACTATATTTGATGAATTTCAGCATTATAAGAAAATAATACAGGAGCATGTGTCAGGCACAGGAAAAACAAACAACCTAATTCCTCTTTGTGATCCTTACTTTTGACTGTATTTTTTTTTTCACTACATAAAGCAGCATAGGAAACATAACTAGTGTGCAGAAATTTGGTTAAAACTGCTGTATCCCTTTAGTCTGGGGGAGAGAGTAGCCTTAAACTATAGATGAAAGTTATTCCACATGTTAAATAAGAAAATAGAAAATTGAGTTGTGCAATATTTCTGGGTTTTTTTGTTTTGTTTTGCTTTGTTTTGGCATGAAGGTGAAATCACCTGATGTGCTATCAGGAGGCAGCAGGGTTCAGAGGAAGCGCTTTGAATTGGGGGTTAGGAGATGTGGGTCCTGGCCCTGCCACTAACTGGATGACCTTCAACAGGCTACTTCTCCTAACTGGGGCTATGTGTTTCCTGAAAAATACAAACTGAATCTGCAACCCCCACCACCACCTATTCTGTTATTCATTTATTTTTACTCCAAAACTCCTTTCCACAGAACAACTCCACTTCTTAGGAATTAAAATATATTTTTTTTATCATTTTTTGTGGTGTATTACAAAATGGTTTTAGGTTAAAAAATTTTTAGATCAGATTTAATACAGCATCTATTAACATAATTTTAATAAAATCATTAATGTATAATCAGAATCCTATGTTTCCTTTTGTGACAACACTGGGTTAAAAAATACTGAATCATATTATCTCCAAGTCAGTGTTTGATGTAGAAAATATTTTTTTCAGGAATAATTTTATTCAGTGACATATGGCACTGTGATTGATTGATATTTACTTGGACCTTCATATTGAAGAGAATATCATGAGTGTGGATAACGTGGAGTGGCCTCTTTGAGGGGCATAATTAACTCTTGGTCAAAAGCCATTAAAAGTGTCAGTGTATGTTCTTAGAAAATATGAATCAAGGATTCTTTTTGTTAGAAATACGTAACTCTTAGTGCTGGTCCTAAATAGCGATTGGATGAATAGTTAGATGAAGAATGAGTTTATTTTAACTTCCCAAATATTTTCAGTTCATGTTCATGAGACTGTATATTGAAAATTTCCTTGATGCCTGCTGGAAGGAACCCCTGTGGAACTCAGAGAGAAGCAGTCCATGATGGCATGGGAATGGAGCACTGAGTGGAAGGATGCCAACACTAAAGTCACAAAGCCCACGTTCAAGTCATGCTATTCAACTTGCAGTGGGATAACTGCAAGTTATCACTTAACCTTGAGCCTCAGTCTCCTCATCTGTACAATGAGGATAATTATATATTTACTTCCTAGGGTTATCATAAGATGTAAATAAAATTTAGTATATGACATTACTTTTAAAAAGTATCACATTTGTCAAAAAGCATTTTCACAGGACAAGGGTGAGGTGATTAAGATGCCAGCCAGCCTAGTGGTCAGAATTTAAGGAGGCCCCTTCACTCTCAGGATCATACAAGTGCAATGTCAGCCTTGAAAGTGAGCACCTACTCAAAGTTTGAGCCCAGGCTCCTCACTTCTCTCACCCTCGTCCAGGTCCTGGTGTTTGGCCAAGTAAGCTCCTTTGAATAGGAGCCATACAGCTTCAGATGTGGGTCCAGTTTCTGAAAGACCGTTTTTGTTCACTTACACTTAGTAGGTCAGGAGCAACTTTTCCTGCTAGTTTCCAAAAAATATAATGCTACTGCTTGTATTAAACAATCTTCCTCTAACTTCTTTTTTCTTTTAATTGCCTTATTATGCTACTTATATCTCTGTGCATAGTTAGATGTTAGAAGATACATTAATTTTGTCTTCAGATATTCTCCTGGAGGTAGTATTTCATTATGACCTATTGATAAACAGTACCATGTCTGCATTATTATTTTCTGAAATTTGTAGTACTGAGGGGGAAGATCTTTTAGCTTTAGCTTCTTTAAATTGCTTACTTTCAAAAAATAAGATTGATAGACTGCTAGCTAGACTAATAAAGGAAAAAGAGAGAAGATCCAAAAAACACAATCAGCAATGACAAAGGGGACAGTGCCACTATTATGAGCACCTCTACACACACAAACTGGAAAACCTAGAAGAAATGCATAATTTCCTAGAAATATACAACTTCCCAAGACTGAACTAGGAAAAAATTGAAACTCTGAACAGACCAACAATGAGTTCTGAAATTGAATCAGTAATGAAAAGCCTACCAACCAGGAAAAGCCATGGATCAGACAGATTCACAGCTGAATTCTACCAGACATATAAATAAGAGTTGGCACAAATACCACTGAAACTATTCAGAAAAATAGAGGAGAAGGGACTCCTATCCAACTCATTCTATGAGGCCAACATCATGCTGATACCAAAGCCTGGCAGAGACATAACAAACAAATAAAGAAAAATTCAGGCCAATATCCCTGATGAGCATAGATGTAAAACTCCTCAACAAAATACCAGCAAACTGAATCCAGGAGGACATGAAAATGCTAATCCAATACGATCAAGTAGGCTTTATTCCTGGGATGCAAGGTTGTTTCAACACATGCAAATCACTAAATGTGATTCAATACATGGACAGAGCTAAAAACAAAAACTACATGATTATCTCAGTAGACTCAGAAAAGGCTTTCAATAAAATTCAACATTCCTTTATGTTAAAAACCCTCAACAAACTAGGCATCAAAAGAACGTACCTCAAAATAATAAGAACCATCTATGACAAACCCACAGCCCACATCATACTGAATGGGCAAAAGCTGAAAGCATCCTCCTTGAGAGCCACAACAAAACAAGGATGCCCATTCTCACCACTCCTATTCAACATAGTACTTACTGGAAGTGTTAGCTAGAGCAATCAGGCAAGAGAAAGAAATCAAATATATCGAAATAGGGAGAGAAGTCAAACTTATCTCTTTGCAGACAGTATGCTTCTGTACCTAGAAAATGCCATAGTTTCTGCCCAGACTTTCCTAGATCTGATAAACAACTTCAGCTGTTTTAGGACATAAAATAAGTATACAAAAATCAATAGTATTTCTGTGCATCAATAACATTCAAGCTGAGAGCCAAATCAAGAACTCAATCCCATTCACCATAGCCACACAAAAGGAATAAAATGCCTAGGAATACATATAGCTAACCAGGGAGATGAAAGATCTCTACAATGAGAATTACAAAACACTGCTGAAAGAAATTAGAGACAACACAAAGAAGTGGAAGAACATTCCATTATCATGGATAGTAAGAATCAATAGTGTTAAAATGGCCACACTGCCCAAAGCACTTTACAGATGCAATGCTGTTCCTATCAAACTACTGATGACACTTTTTACAGAACTAGGAATAACTATTCTAAAATCATACGGAATGAAAAAAGAATAGCCAAAGGCAATCCTAAGCAAAAAGAACAAAGCCAGAAGCATCACACTACCTGACCTCAAACTACAGTACAGGGCTACAGTAACCCAAACAGCATGATATGGTACAAAAACAGTCATATAGACGAATGGAACAAGTTAGAGAACCCAGAAATAAAGCCACACACTTACAACTGTCTAATCTTCAACAAGTTCAACAAAAACAAGCAACGGGAAAAGGACTCCCTATTCAATAAATGGTGCTGTCATAACTGGCTAGCCATACGTGGAAGATTGAAACTGGACCACTTCCTTTCACCATATACAAAAATCAACTCAAGATGTATTGAAGACTTAAATGTAAAACATAAAAGTATAAAAACCCTAGAAGAAAACCTAGGAAATATTAATACTATTCTGGACATATACCCTGGCAAATATTTCATGATGAAGCCTCCAAAAGCAATTGCAACAAAAGCAAAAATTGACAAGTGGGACTTAATTAAACTAAAGAGCTTCTGCACAGCAAGAGATACTATCAATGGAGTAAGCAGACAGTTTACAGAATGGGAGAAAATATTTGCAAACTATGCATCCAGCAAAGGTCTAATATCCAGAATCTATAAGGAACTTAAAAAATTAACAAACAAAAGAAAACCCATTAAAATTAGCAAATGACATGAATGGACACTTCTCAAAAGAAGGCATACACGCAGCCAACAAGCATATGAAAAAAATGCTCAACATCACCAATCATCAGAGAAATTTAAATCAAAACCACAATGAGATACCATCTCATACCAGTCAGAATGGTTATTATTAAAAAGTCAAAAAAATAACAGATGCTGGCAAGGTTGTGGAGAAAAGTTAACACCTACATACTGTTGGTGGGAGTGTAAATTAGTTCAGCCACTGTGGAAAGCAGTTTGGAGTTTTCTCAAAGAACCTAAAACAGAGCTACCATTTGACTCAGCAATCCCACTACTAGGTATATACCCAAAGGAATATAAATCATTCTACCGTAAAGATACATGCATGTATATATTCATTGCAGCACTATTCACAATAGCAAAGACATGGAATCAACCTAAATGCCCATCAGTGTTGGACTGGATAAAGAAAATGTGGTACATATACACCATGGAATACTATACAGCCATAAAAAAGAATGAAACTATGTCCTTTGCAGCAACATGGATGCAACTGTAGGCCATTATCCTAAGCAAATTAATGCAGAAACAGAAAACCAAATACCACATGTTCACACTTATAAGTGGGAGCTACATTGAGTACACATGGACACTAAGGGAACAATAGACATGGGAGCCTGCTGGAGGGTGGAAGGGTGGGAGGAGGCTGAACATCAAAAAACTATCTATCGAGTACTGTGCTCATTACCTGAGTAAAGAAATAATCTATAAACCAAAACCTTGTGACAAACAATTTCCCCAGGTAACAAACCTGCACGTGTCCCCTCTGAACCTAAAATAAAAGTTGGAAAGAAAAAAAACTGGCTGCTTTCAAGGTAGAAGCCATTTGCTTGCCAAGTAAAAAGATGTCACAGGTTATTATTTTTTAAAATCCCGTAGGAGAATGGATATGAAAGCAGTTCTTCCAGGCTCAGAGCCAGAATTCAAGAAGCAAATATGAGTTGCCCCTCTGTACAAACAGATTTTTCAAGAGTTGTTCACATGCCCACATGTGCTGGCAGAGGTGGGCTTTTCAGGATAACAGTTCAGTGACAAACCTCTCAATGAGTTATTTAAACAAGAGAGGCTAGTGTTACTAGTTACAGTTTCAGAGCTTTCTAAATTGCTTGCTAGTAGAGTTTTAAACTTTGTTGCCCACTTTTCCATTTGGGTTTCCTCATGCTGCTGTTAAAAGGTTTGACCCACTCTTAAATTTTGCTTTATGATGCCCCATACTTGTCTTTTAAATCTTTGCAGATACCCAGGTTTTATATCCTGAAATTTTATATTTGTCTCTGATGCTCCCATAAGCATTGGTGTGATTTTATTAGTGATATTTTGAAGCTAAATCTGTCAGAGAGGAATTGTGATTTTTTTAAAGATATGACTATTTAAGTCAGGCGCAATGACTAGCAAAATCCGTAGAAGCAGGAGAACTGGCAAGTAGGTTCCTCAGAAAATGTGATCAACAGTGTAAGTATTGATGAAATTCTTTCAAAGATTGCATTTTTTGCCCTTCAGTAGTTTAGAAGATGAAAAAAAAAAGGCTGAAGACCATTTTTTAAGTCTATTAATTTAATGGAAATTTAGGACATAGATGAAATGTGGTACTTTTAGCCCATTTTTGTTCTGTTGTTAAAGGTAGATATATTTATGGGTAAGAATTGCAGCACAGCAATGAACAACTATGTATCTACATCAAACTAAATATTTATCATTCAGGCATTTTCCTTTATTACTCAGCATTCTGCATGTTTTGGTTTATAAATTATCTCTCATAGAAACTGCTCAAATTGGGCAGGACATAGCTATATGCTAGATGTGTAGGTTGTTAGTTAAAGATGAAAAAATTTCAAATTGAAACTTAGGTAGCAAATCTGAAATGGGTATGAAAGCAGTTCTTCCAGGCCCAGAGCCAGAGTTCAAGATGAGTTGCCCCTCTGTACAGATTTTTCAAGAGTTGTGTAATACCACACAAATTTATCAGAAGTCAATGTCCTGGATGTCGAAGTTATGGGAAATTTTTCTTCTCCTTTTTTTTTTAACTTTGCCAAATTTTCAAAATGAGAATGTCATTTAATAAGGATTTATAATCCATGTTGCCTCAGCTTTCTTGGAGATGTGCTAAGATCTCAGTGGTGCTGCAAACCAGCATTGGGTGGGGCCAGAGGTGTCACTCATCAGCAGTTTAAGTTGTTGGGAGAAAGGTAAACTTGAGTACTGTCCAAACTGACATTAATATATATTCATTTGTCCATAATTCAACAACTATCTGTAGAATGCCAACTATGTGCAAAGCATTGTGTGAGGGGTTAGGCAGCCACTGATGAGCTCCAACATGGAGATTCTGTTCTGGGAGAATTCTTTAGATGCATTATGATAATTTCTACAAAGAAATTATAAGATTCTAAAAGAGCTTATAATAGCAGAATCTGACCAGGGAAAAGGGCAGAGAGACACTGGATGGTGACTATGAAGAAGTGACATATACTTTGAAATCTGAAGAGTAAGCAGGAATTAGCCAAATATGAGGGTGAGAAAAAGGGAGCATTCTTTTTTTTTTTTTTTTAATTTTTTATTGATAATTCTTGGGTGTTTCTCACAGAGGGGGATTTGGCAGGGTCATAGGACAATAGTGGAGGGAAGGTCAGCAGATAAACAAGTGAACAAAGGTCTCTGGTTTTCCTAGGCAGAGGACCCTGCGGCCTTCCGCAGTGTTTGTGTCCCTGGGTACTTGAGATTAGGGAGTGGTGATGACTCTTAACGAGCATGCTGCCTTCAAGCATCTGTTTAACAAAGCACATCTTGCACCGCCCTTAATCCGTTCAACGCTGAGTGGACACAGCACATGTTTCAGAGAGCACAGGGTTGGGGGTAAGGTCACAGATCAACAGGATCCCAAGGCAGAAGAAGTTTTCTTAGTACAGAACAAAATGAAAAGTCTCCCATGTCTACTTCTTTCTACACAGACACGGCAACCATCCGATTTCTCAATCTTTTCCCCACCTTTCTCGCCTTTCTATTCCACAAAGCCGCCATTGTCATCCTGGCCCGTTCTCAATGAGCTGTTGGGCACACCTCCCAGACGGGGCGGCTGGCCGGGCAGAGGGGGTCCTCACTTCCCAGTAGGGGCGGCCGGGCAGAGGCGCCCCTCACCTCCCGGACGGGGCGGCTGGCCGGGCGGGGGGCTGACCCCCCCCCACCTCCCTCCCGGACGGGGCGGCTGGCCGGGCGGGGGCTGACCCCCCCACCTCCCTCCCGGACGGGGCGGCTGGCCGGGCGGGGGGCTGACCCCCCCCCACCTCCCTCCCGGATGGGGCGGCTGGCCGGGCGGAGACGCTCCTCACTTCCCAGACGGGGCGGCTGCCGGGCGGAGGGGCTCCTCACTTCTCAGACGGGGCGGCCGGGCAGAGATGCTCCTCACCTCCCAGATGGGGTCGCGGCCGGGCAGAGGTGCTCCTCACATCCCAGACGGGGCGGCGGGGCAGAGGCGCTCCCCACATCTCAGACGATGGGCGGCCGGGCAGAGACGCTCCTCACTTCCTAGATGTGATGGCGGCCGGGCAGAGGTGCTCCTCACTTCCTAGGTGGGATGGCGGCCGGGCGGAGACGCTCCTCACTTTCCAGACTGGGCAGCCAGGCAGAGGGGCTCCTCACATCCCAGATGATGGGCGGCCAGGCAGAGACGCTCCTCACTTCCCAGACGGGGTGGCGGCCGGGCAGAGGCTGCAATCTCGGCACTTTGGGAGGCCAAGGCAGGCGGCGGGGAGGTGGAGGTTGTAGCGAGCCGAGATCACGCCACTGCACTCCAGCCTGGGCACCATTGAGCACTGAGTGAACGAGACTCCGTCTGCAATCCCGGCACCTCGGGAGGCCGAGGCTGGTGGATCACTTGCGGTTAGGGGCTGGAGACCGGCCTGGCCAACACAGCGAAACCCCATCTCCACCAAAACCAGTCAGGCGTGGCGGCGCGAGCCTGCAATCGCAGGCACTCGGCAGGCTGAGTCAGGAGAATCAGGCAGGGAGGTTGCAGTGAGCCGAGATGGCAGCAGTACAGTCCAGCTTCGGCTCAGCATGAGAGGGAGACCGTGGAAAGAGAGGGAGAGGGAGACCGTGGGGAGAGGGAGAGGGGGAGGAGGAGGGGGAGGGGCAGGGGGAGCGGGAGGGCAGGGAGCATTCTAAGTAGAGGGAATGGCTTGCTGGAAGGCCCAGAAATAGGAAAAAGAGTGGCAAGGCCAAAAAATGGAAAGGCCATTATAGCTGGAGCCAGGAGAATGAGAAAGTTACTGGTTATGAGATTTTAAAAATTTATTTATATTTTTTTAAAAAAGACACTCTGACTGCTCTGTGGAGTGAGATTAGAAGGGGTAAGAGGGGTACAGGGAGGAAGAGGCTATTACAGTTGTCCAAGTGGGAAAGATGGTGGTCTGTGTGGCAGTTGGGGCATCAGGCTTGGGCCATAATAGACAAGTTCCAGAGATAACACAGGAGATAGAGTTGACAAGATTGCTGTCTGGTTGGTTATGGGAAGTTGTCAAGAATGATTTCCATTAGCTGGCATATACAACAGCCAGAGCACCTCCCCTCATGACACCACTCTGAAGTGGACAGATCAAGAACGCTCACTGTCATTTTGTAGATTTGCAAACAAATAAATCAAGCAATTGAATGACAGCCCCATTTATGCAGTCATGCCAATTTTCCTTGACTCATGTATCTAAATCAGTGTTTGAACTGTGAAAACAAAAATTGTCAAGGTAGTTTCTGCCTTGTATAAGGAAGCCTGTTAAAGAACTGTTGTTTGCTTCAGGGTTTTCTGTTCAAATGTCCCTATTAACACTTGAAATGTCAGATGAGATATTACTTTGCTATTGACATTTCAGGCTCCAGGTTAATGACTATCTGTCAGGTATGGCAGCATACTCAGAGAACTGCTAGCTGTTTCTGACTGGGGGAACTTGGCTTAAAAATGTACAAGGTAATTTAGATACTCCATTCTTGACATTCATTTCAGTGGGCTGTGTTAATATTTAGTTCCTTGTTCTGATGATTTTATTTTTCCTCTGTATTGTTTCTGTTTAACTGCCATGGGAGTGACTGCCATCCCTAGCAGAAATTCCCAAAGAACAAGACAGTATGTATATGCAGAGATCACAGGAATGTTGTTTGTGTTCAGAAGTTCAGCTTTTATTTTTTCAGATATCACCTCAACCTAGGGGTCAATGGAAAGAGACACATTAGACTTAATAATGTTATTTTCTATGTAGGAAAAAAAATCAATGGGGAGGGTAAGTGGAAATTTGGCAGAGCACCGGGTAAGCCATGGCAGCTCTTAATCATGCTACAAAACTAGCTAAGGAGTCTGCCTTGAGAATTGATTTTTTTTAATTGAGGATAGTACTTTTTTGTTGTTGTTGTTTTGTTTTGTTTTTTTTTTTTTTTAAGGTAGAGTCTTGCTCTGTCACCCGGGCTGGAGTGCAGTGGCGCAATCTCGGCTCGCCGCAACCTCTGCCTCATGGGATCAAGCAATTCTTCTGCCTCAGCCTCCCGAGTAGCTGGGACTACAGGCGCACACCGCCATACCTGGCTAAATTTTTTTGTATCTTATAGAGATGGGGTTTCGCCATGTACCCAGGCTGGTCTCGAACTTCTGAGCTCAGGCAATCCACCCGCCTCAGCCTCCCAAAGTGCTAGGATTACAGGCATGAGCCACTGCGCCAGGCCTATTTAGCAATTTTTAAACTAGGGCTTTATTTGTTGTTTTCTTGGGATTTTTTGTTCTTTAGTAATGACACAAATATTATAAAAGATTCAGAATACCAAAAAGAAGAAAAAGGTCAATTACCCATCTACCCCAGAGGCAACCACTATTCATAGTTTCTTGGGTATCCAGGTATTTTCTGTGCATATATAAGTAGAGATAGATGATTGCTATATAAATACTAGTATAACATAGGTAACATTCCACATCTTGCTTTTTTCGCTCAGAAAGGCTAATTTCTAAGGCTAATTAAGGTTAATTTCTGCATTTGATTTTCTTATAGCCTAATATATGGTAAACTTTTAAAAACTTTTATAACATAAACTTTTATAAATTATAAGCCTTATAATTTATAAACTTTTATAAATATTTCATTATGCTCCGAAATATTTCATACGCTCAAAAAGAATGTATGGGAACATACATTCTTGGGAACAAGTTGTCTCTCACTCTCTCCACACAGCCCACCCACCACACGTCTATTAAATCAAACTTGTTAATTGTATTGAACAAATATTCTGTATCTGCCTAATTTTTGATCACTTTGTCTATCAGTTTCTGACAAAGTGATGTTAAAATTTCTCACCATGATTGTTTTGCCAGTTATTCTCCATTTGTACATCAGATCCATTCTTGGCCTTTCTCTACCAGCCTCTTTTGCCTCTGATTTTCAGCTAGGTTTTGTTGGTGGGCTTGGTACTATCAAATCAGAGAGCAGACAGAAAAAGAGGTCAGGGTATTTAACCTCTCACTACTGTCGCTTGCCCTGTCCCACATTCCCTCCCTGCACCACCCAGGGTTCTGGCTGCCATCCTCTATGGCTATAACTCATTCTAAGTAGCCCCTCCTCCACATTTCCAGTTCTCTCTGGCTCCAGTAATACTGTCCTCACCTCTTGTACTGTCATGCCTGAGAGAGTAATGTCATGCCACTCTTGCTAGTTCTTTGGTCCCTCATAGTCCCTCTTGTTCCTTCAACCTATACACCTCTGTAAATAGTACATTCATTACATTATCTTCAGTTAAATCTCTTAAGCTTGACAACTGTTTCCTTGTCAAGACTCTGACTAAATTTTCCATATCTTCTTTTAAGTCTGTTCATTTTTGTTTGTAAATTTCAAGGCTATATTGGCAAGTACCCATAAAATTATGACTAATGTATCTCCTTGGTGGATTTCTCCTTTTATATATTAATTGTTTTTTAAAAAATATTATTTTGTCTAACAGTAACTGATAAGCCAGTCTTCTTTTGGTTTGTATTTACCTAGCATAGTTGAGTTTTTTCATCTTTTGTTTTTCAACCTTTCTGTATTTTTTTGAAGTACATTTTTGAAGCATCTTTTAGAAAGTTTACAGACTTCTACAAAGCACAAGAAATGATCCATAAAGTAAACAGACAACCTACAGAATGGGAGAAAATATTTGCAAAGAATGCATTCAACAAATGGCTAATATATAGAATCTACAAGGAACTCAAACAACTCAACAAGGAAAAAAACAACCCCATTAAAAAGTGGGCAAAGGACATGAAGAGACATTTCTCAAAAGAACACATGCAAGTAGCCAACAAACATGAAAAAATGCTCTACGTCACTAATCATCAGAGAAATGCAAATTAACACCACGAGATACCATCTTACATCAGTCAGAATGGCTATTAATAAAACGTTAAAAAACAACAGATGTTGGCAAGGATGTGGAGAAAATGGAAGACTTATACATTGTTGGTAAGAACATAAATTAGTAAAACCCCTATGGAAAATAGTATGGAGATTTCTCAAATAACTAAAGATAGAACTACCCCTTGATCCAGCAATCTCACTACTGGCTATCTACCCAAAAGAAAAGAAATCATTATATAAAAAAGATATTTGCACCCTTATGTTTATTGCAGCAATATTTACAATAAGATATGGAATCAACCTAAGTAGTGTCCATCAATGGATGATTGGAGAAAGAAAATGTGACATATATATATCATATATATCATATCATATATTTATCATATATATGGGATCACTATTCATTGTTTAATGTTTTAATATATATTTTTACCTCAAATGTATTTTCAGTGCCTCAGATACAATTTAATCTTAAGTTTTCAAAGGCCTCCTAAAATAAAAAAAAAGTACACTTTCTTTTTAAGCTTTCTTACTTTCTGGTAGTCAGTTTCCCCCACAGTCTTCAATTTTACCCTTAGAATTCACAACCCCTCATCAGACCATCTGTGCTCATGGACTTGGACCTCTCTAGAGGGAGGCCTCGGGCTCGCCTTCAAATGTGCTGTGCCAGTATACCCACTGCTTATGACACCCCAAATAGGACTATGTAGTAATTCGTCTCCATCATACCGCAGTACTGGAGCAACACCCAACTGTGGGCATCAACGTTGGGCCAAGGATTCTTGGCCTTGCCCTGCTCTAAGAGGATTTTGGACAGAATCTTGTGCAGTTGAGCAGTCAGCTTAACATGGGGTCACTAGGCAGGTGTTTCAGAGCAAACTCTCACTGACAGGTATACCATGAATCAGTCTTCCTTAGAAGACTGCATGGCCAGAGCCTGGGACAACCTGTCCTGAGTTTGTTCGAGATGTATTCTCTTAAATGCTCATCTGACACATCTTTGCCGCCCTTAATTCTTTCCCACCTTTAGTTTTGGGCAGCAGCCTCTGGCATTCAGGGATACCATGACCTTAAAAAAACAGACACTATCATCAGGATCAAGAACTGACATTTCATGTACCAGTCCTTGGTGCCTATTGTGCCATCATTTTTCATGTTCACAGTGATTTGGCCTGCCACCATCTTGCCATGTTGCTGCCTGAAGGTCTTAATTCTGGCCTGCTTCTTACGCATCAGGTCAGCCAATATGTCTTTCAAATTCGTGGAGGAAGCACTGGCATGCTGGACAGCAAGAATACAAAAAGATGCATTCTTCATTTCCAAGAGTCAGGTGGCAACAGTGAGTAATGCCATGGCAGGTGAACTCCAGAATATAGTGGAGACAGAAGGAGGGAAGAGAGCTGCCTCAGGAATGGGAACCACCACTGCCTCTCCAGAGGTCATACCGATGAAGTGGACAAGGTTGAAAGGAGACACTTCATAATATATTTATTTTATATTAACTGAGCTTCCAAATGTGGGCAGCCTAGTTCAGTACATGTAGCACTGAATTCGTAATAAAGTACTCCTAACGTCAGTTCTGCTACTGATTGGCTGTGTAGTAGTAAGTAAACTATTTGTTGTTTCTTTGCCTCACTCAATCCTTTGGCCTTTAATTAGTAAAATATAAATGTAGCACAAGAGTTCTGGTCAGATCAGTCTTTAATATTTAATTTGAGGAATTCCTGGCCCCAGGGCCAGTTTTTATTTTCCAATAAAGTCCTCATGGGGCAGTGCATCAATACCATCTCCTTCTTGCTCCCTGTCCTCCCGTCGGCCCCACACTGCACACCCCAACCTCTTCCAAACAAGGGTTTTTCTGTGACCCTATATAAAATGATAGCAACTAGAAACAAAATGGGTGGACAACTCATGCATTCTATTATTTTTGCATATTTATTCAAATAGCACTTACACTTCCTTTCAAAAGTTGGGCTCCCCCATCATAGAGATTACTTCTGAGGACAATAAAGACGTTTAAAATAATGACAAAAGTGCCACAGAGATGATCAAATAGATTTGTGAGAGAAAAGAACTAAACCAGAGAACGCAAAACTTAGCTGGGGTAGGGAGGAGCTTACTGCAATAGTGACTTTGATCCTTGTCCTCACTAAGGTTAGGACAATAAGAAAGTAATCATGAAGCAATTAATTATGTTAGATACAGGCAGAGAGGTCTATTAAGTTACTAGAGGTCTATTAAGTTACTAGAAAGAAAGTTGTCCTTTCTGTCCTGATCTGTTACAGCCTTCCCAGAGTCAGAGAAGTGGACTGTCCCTTCAGAGCTCATCAAGTCCACCAGCTTCTCAGAGAAACGCTTACTAACCTGAGTCTTAAAAATGTCTCCTGAAGAAACATTATACTCTCCTTTAGTGTCTTATTTTGATGTCTTTTAATTCTTGCAGCAAGAACACATTAATGCCAAATAGAAACCCCTCTGCAGTTAAGCACATTTCCTCTTTCCTCTGGGAAGGAAGAACAGAAGATCACCAACCTCGACCTCGTGTGACATCCCTCAAATAGTAAATTCCTATACCATGTCTTTCTTTTCTTCCTGTATTTCCCTAGCCCTCACTGGGTCTAGGTCCCAAAACCTTAAGTATTGTTCTTGCCTCTCTGATTTTATGACGAATGGCAATCCTGACACCTCCTGATGCTGAGAAGTAGAGAATTCTTGACTTTATCTTTGTATTAAAAATTTAAATGCAATGGAATGTATGAGCAGAAATAGGCTATTTTTCTTCTACAGATCACTAATTGCAAGATTCTTTTCATAAAAACAAATATACCATTTTTCTATTGAAAGTACATTTTTTGTGAAGCATGAAAAAATTTAATCTCAAGCTCTGTAGCTGTCAGAGAAAAGAATGGCTCTTCTATTTTGAAATGGCTGTCAACAAATATGAGGACTGGGTATTGTTTCTCTTTTTGGTGAACTGTCAGGCTTCTCTTTATGAAGCTGGCATGTTACAGGTAGCTAAAGTAGCTTCTCATTGTAAGGAATTGGTACAAACAGTTGTTTCTCTACCTATGGCTTATAGTCCTCTTGCCTAAGGCTGAAAGGGTATTCTGAGTTGCATCATACTTAATGCAGAGAATTGAACAAAGTGCTGTTTTGCATTTATTTGCAAATTATTTTATTGGGGCAAAATTTGCATAACATAAAATGAACCATTTTAAGGTGAAAAACTCAGAGGCATTTAGTATATTCACAATATTTTGCAACTACCATCTATATCAAATTCCAAAATATTTTATCACCCCACAAAGAAAATCCATACCCACTTACCACAAGGCCCTAGAAACCATCTATCTGCTTTCTATCTCTATGAATTTACCTATTCGGGATATTTCATATAAATGGAATCATCCCATATGTGACCTTTGTGTCTGGCCTCTTTCCACTTAGCCTAATATTTTCAAGGTTCATCCATGTCACAGCATTCTTTTTTTATGACTGAATAATATTCTATCGTATACATATATCACAATTGGTTTATTCATTCATCTATGGATTGACACCTGGGTTGTTGCCACCTTTGACTATTGTGAATGTGCTGCTATGAACATTTGTGTACTATTATTTATTTGTTGTTTGTTTGTTTGTTTTGAGACGGAGTCTCACTCTCTCACCCAGGCTGGAGTGCAGTGGTGCAATCTTGGCTCACTGCAACCTCTGCCTCCTGGGTTCAAGGGATTCTCCTGCCTCAGCCTCCCAAGTAGCTGGGAGTACAGGTGCGTGCCACCATGCCCGGCTAATTTTTTGTATTTTTAGTAGAGACAGGGTTTTACTGTGTTACCCAGGATGGTATTGACCTCCTGACCTCGTGATCCGCCCGCCTCGGCCTCCCAAAGTGCTGGTATTTATTTGAATAACTGTTTTCAGTTCTTATGACTGGAATTGCTGGGTTGTATGGTAATTTTATGTTTTACCTTTTTAGGAACTGTCAAACTATTTTTCTATTTTTATTTTTGAAAGAGAAAACCCACAGCATTAATGAAATGAACTTATCTTATAAGGGAGGTATAGTCCCCTGAACCTGAGGAGGATTTTCTGAAGAATAAAAGGAAGGCCAGGCGCGGTGGCTCAAGCCTGTAATCCCAGCACTTTGGGAGGACAAGGCGGGTGGATCACCTGAGGTCAGGAGTTCGAGACCAGCCTGACCAGCTGGCCAAGATGGTGAAACCCCATCCCTACTAAAAATATTTTTAAAAACTAGCTGGGCATGGTGGCGGGTACCTATAATCCCAGCTACTCGGGAGGCTCAGGCGGAAGAATCACTTGAACCCGGGAGGCAGAAGTTGCAGTGAGCCAAGATGGCACCACTGCACTGCAGCCTGGGCAACAAGAATGAAACTCCGTCTCAAAAAAAAAAAAAAAAAGAATAAAAAAGATACATAGTTGTTCGCAGCGAAGATATTTTAGCTGACTGTCCTCTGCTCCTGAACAGACAGAACCAAAATATACTTGGAACAACAACAACGACAATAACCACAATCTCTATAAATATCAGGGGAAGGAATCTCAAATTAGCCGCAAAGCCCACTTAAGTTTTTGCCATGTTGTTTCTCTGAGATACTTCAATCAGCACAAATCAATTGCCCTTTGGCTATGTTCCTACTATAATTAACCTCAAACCTAACGATGAGAATTGGTTTAAATGAAGAAGCCAATTCTGATGAGGTATATTCTAAGGAAAACCTGAAAAACATTCTAGTTGGCAGAAGTCAGGTTTGTGCCCCTTTCTTCTTGTCAGCATAAGTATCTACCCTTTGAGTGTTTGACTAAAGTTAGCAAATTAATTACCATTTAATTATGATGTAGAAAGACATCTACCTATTTTCCAGAAACTGCTACTCTGTTATGGGTAAATTGGTATGAAGATTAATCTAATTTGCCTATTGTAGAAATAGGCTGGACTTTAAAAATTCATGCCTTATGTTCAGTTTTCAGAACGTTCCCATAGACATTGCCTTTTATATGACATTGCTATTGAAGATGTAGTGGAGCCCTGAATGATACTCATCCTACAGTGCCAATGAAAGGTTGTAGGAGACAATTCACCATTCCTATCCCTCTATGCTTGATAAAGCTGTGCTGGTCATAAAATGAACTTGTCTTGGTAAGGGAGGTACAGCCCTTGGAACCTGAGGAGGATTTTCTGAAGAATGAAAGGACCCAAAGGGGTGTGTATGGAATGGAGGTGTGTGATGGAATTAAAACTGTAACAGGATCAAAATGGAAACATTAGAAACAAAGACCTCACTCTTTCTTGGAGGTTTTGTTCAAGTCAGTATAATTGAGACAATATGCCCACATAGTGCACCCAGAAGATGAGCTCATCCATTGTGGATCCTGCCATGTTGTAATTCAGAATTACTCCTCAAAATTACAAAGCTGTTACAGTCTGAGTGGCAGCGTTGCCAGAGAATGAATCCTTAGAGAACCCTGGCTAGCCCAAGTCAGAGGAACCACTCCTTGGCTGCTAATCCACTGTGTCTATAATAGTTCAGCCCTGATCCCTGACATTATGCTGCCTGAGTCACATGCTCTTGGAGAAGATGACATCAGGTTTAAGTAGAAAGGTCAAAAGAGGACAGGCAGGCAGGGCAACTTGGGTGTAGGCAGATGAACCCTCGATCAGATTATTTAGAAACAGATTAATGAGAACACACTACAGGGGGTCTCACTGTCTTCACACAGAAAAAGACTTCTCCTTGAGGAGGGCTCACAAATTCCTGAGAGTAATGATTATGCCTGTGGAGAAACAAAATGTCCCTGAAGTGGAATTTTTGAACCCACTTATAGATAACTGGTAGTGGCAGACAGGAGAAAGCCTGATGCTGCAGGCTTCAAACATATTCAGGAAGATGTAGTTCATAGAGTAATTCATATTAAAACCTTAAGTCTCAATCTCTCCTTATCCCAGGTTATCACTTTAAGATATTAGGCTAGTTAGATCTCTAAAGTTTGATTAACATTTTCCAAGGACAGGAGAAATTATTCTTGCTATGGGAGTTGATATTCGTCTTTCAGTAATTTATCTCCTTGAGCTATTACAAAACACTGAATATATTGCTACTTTTAATATTTTCAAAAAATATTGGAAAATGCATCTGATGCAAATTGGTAACTCATGGCAATATTTTTGGATAACACCTGGGTTCACTGCCCACATGAGCTGAGCCCAAGCCCACATTATATGGTGGAAGTTGTCAGGCAATATCCTTTCAGCTGGCACACTGGGCCCTTCCTTTTCTCACCAGAGCATAGAACAAGTTTTTGGTAAATGTGCGAAGCTCATATGACTAATGAGACTTGGTTTGGCCCCTAATGAGATTCTAAGTCCCATTACGCCAAAATAGAAATCAGAGCATCACATCAACCTTGTGAAAGCCCCAAGAACTATTCCTCTCTCTGATATAGGGAGAATGAATTGCACAACCTCAATAAAAAAAAAATCCTTAAATGTTGCCATACTCACCAAATCCTGCATTCTGATCCCAGCAGCAGTAGCAAGGGAGTTTGTGGGAGGGCCCGGTTTCTCCAGTATCAATCCAAAAGGTCAGGAATGTGTTTCAGCTCCCATCAGGAAAGTACTATCAATTTACCACACATAGGGTTTACCTAATCCATTAGAAGCTATTTCTGTTTTGTTTGTTTGTCGGTTCGTTTTAAGAACTGTGTCTTGCTCTGTCACCTAGGCTGGAGCACAATGGCACCATCACAGCTCACTGCAGCCTCGACCTTCTGAGCTCAATGGATCTTCCCCCTTTAGCCTCCCAAGAAGCTAGGACATTTGCACACCACCAGACCCAACTAATTTTGTTTTGTTTTGTTTTTTAGATAGATGGGGTCTCACTATGTTGTCCAGGCTGACCTGGAACTCCTGGGCTGAAGCGATCCTCCAACCTTGGCCTCTCAAAGTTCTGGGATTATAGGTATGAGCCACTGCGCTTGGCCTAGAAGCTATTTCTGTAACCCATTTATTCCCAGATTCCCAGTCTATAACTACTATGGAAAGTATCCTTCCATTTCATACCAAAAATATTACAGTATTCTCTCCTATGAACCCACTTGCTGGAAATTCACCTCTCTCAAAGTGGTTTCAACTATATGTGAAACTTTACTGGTACTACCTTATATTTGGTCTAAAACAGAGCTCTCCCATGCTTCCTCTCTCATTTTTTTCAACTCATTGTTTTCACCTTCAGGAGAGCTCTGCTGTCATGTTCTCATATCTACCCACTGAAGCCCACTGTTATCCTGACTTCAGCCTCAGGAGAGATAAACTTTTTCCTTTGGTCCAAAGAAAACATCCTGATAATGATTCCTGCTTTTTGGTGGGGCTAGGATGAAGATGTAATACCTTTTGGGCCTAGGGGTTCTTTACCTGGCGTTTCTTATCAAAATATGCTGGTTGTTTCCTTCTCTGAACTGCTGTTGTCCCTGTTGCCACTCTGACAAAAATAGAAGCTTGATGTTGCAGCTTCCCTGGGCACAGCTTACTCCAGCATGAGCCTGCCTTTTCATACCTCAAAGTCCAGGATGAAATAGATCCCTAATACAGAGACAGGTGGAGATCCCTCCTTCTACAGTCCATAGTTTTAGTTTATTTCCCACATGGGGATTATCCACTTCCAAGGATGACTGATAGTGGGAACATTCATTCTCTCAAAAGAAAAAGCCTACTTCCACCCAACCATTCAGCCCAACAGGTGCTCCTTGGCCCCAACAATACAATCGCAAAATGGTCTAATATTCACCTCTTTCCCAAAGTCAGGGCTAGTGTCTTATCCATGGTCACTTTTTAAACATTTGTATTTTCTACGCTTATTATTTCTTAGTTACAGAGATCTCTTGGTCCATTAATTAGTACATCAGTCAGGGTTCGGCATGGGTCTGGAAAGAGAGGGCATACTCTATGTGTGCAATTGAGAGTAGTCAAGGCACTGTTTACAAGGCCCGAGCAGGGTTTGCAGAAATCAGCAATAGCATATAGTATCTGGAATTTGCAACAATGAGGGGCTATTACTGCTCATAATTCTGAAATGGAAAGGAGAAGATATGTTTACCAGAACTCACAAAGCGTATGGAGAGAACTGTGTGTCACAAGTGCTAGCTTTCAGTAGACAAACTCAGCCAACCTTGGGCACCCTGGTGGGGAGGAAGCTGGGGAATAAATACCCCGATCTTACTTTCCTCCATTTTCCACTTTCCTGCCACAGTGCTGCTCATCGCCACCCCACTCACCAAGCCCATCACTAAGCCAGAAGGCAAAGGTGCTTGTTGATGTGGTCAGTGTAGAGCAGCCTCCTAGGACCAGAGCAGGGTAGAAAAGGACAAAAAGTAGATCCGGAGGGGCAAAAGAAGTTACCTAATGAAATTTCCTATTGTGAAACTCAAGCTTTTTTTTCTCAATTTATTTCTTAAAAGTTGCAAGAAATCTTCTAGTGTTAGTGTAAGGATACTACAATTAGATTCACCTCATTTTTACCCCTTGATTTTAAAAGCTTTAACCATGTGCCCTCTGAATCATTGCTTTCACAAACCCAAAAGCTCTAATCATTTTTGTTGTTCCCTACTCAGCAGTAGCCCTTCGTCAAACATTTTATTGTAACTCTCTGCTCCTGAATATCTTCAATAATTTCCTTAAGTTTCAGCAACTAAAACTGCATACATTATTCTAGAAGCATACATCCCAAGGTAGGAATGGAAAATATGCTAATTAAATCATGAGAACTTTCAGGACAATAAAAGTTAAAATAAAACTTAAGGAAATAAGAAAATATAGCAATGTTAAGAATTGAAACAATTTAGAGGCAGTTAGGAATTATTAGGAATTAGCACCACATAGACCATAGACTTAAATTCATAGCAGGCCTTGGGGTGGAAGTTTCCATAAGTTTAATGTATTTCTGGTGGCTTGAAATTGATTCTATTTATTGGGAATATTTTTCATAGCGTAATCCAATACCACCCATGACTAGATATGAAATGTGCATGAATCTAGCCCCCAAATAAAATGTCAAATATGATAATACCACCAAAGCCTGAAGGGGATGGGACTGAGGGTAAGAATGGAGGAGGGAAAAAGCAGCTAAATTTTCCATTCTTTTTTTCGGGACGGAGTTTCGGTCTGTTACCCAGGCTAGAGTGCAGGGGCAAGATCTTGGCTCACTGCAACCTCCACCTCCAGGGTTCAAGTGATTCTCTGGCCTCAGCCTACCTAGTATCTGGGATTACAGGCATACATCACCAAGCCCGGGTCACACCTCCAGGGTTCAAGTGATTCTCTGGCCTCAGCCTACCTAGTATCTGGGATTACAGGCATACATCACCAAGCCCGGGTCATTTTTTTTTTTTTTTTTTTTTTTTTTGTAGAGACAGGGTTTCACCATGTTGGCCAGGCTGGTCTTGAACTCCTGACCTCAAATGATCCACCCCCCTCGGCCTCCCAAAGTACTGGGATTACAGGCGTGAGTGCCCGGCCAAATTTCCCATTCTGTTTAAGAATGGGTAGCTATTGGCCAGGCGAGGTGGCTCATGCCTGCAATCCCAGCACTTTGGGAGGCTGAGGTGGGCGGATCATGAGGTCAGGAGATCCAGACCATTCTGGCTAACACGATGAAACCCTGTCTGTACTAAAAATACAAAAAATTAGCCAGGAGGGTGGAGCCAAGATGGCCAAATGGGAACAGCTCCGATCTAGAGCTCCCAGCGTGAGCTGGGACAGCTGATTTCTGCATTTCCAACTGAGGTACCGGGTTCATCTCACTGGGGAGTGCCGGACAGTGGGTGCAGGACAGTGGGTGCAGTGCACCGTGCATGACCCAAAGCAGGGCGAGGCATCGCCTCACCCGGGAAGCGCAAGGGGTGAGGGAATTCCCTTTCCTAGTCAAAGAAAGGGGTGACAGACGGCACCTGGAAAATCGGGTCACTCCCACCCTAATACTGTGCTTTCCCAACGGGCTTAACAAACGGCACATCAGGAGATTATATCCCACACCTGGCTCGGAAGGTCCTATGCCCACGGAGCCTTGCTCATTGCTAGCACAGCAGTCTGAGATCAAACTGCAAGGCAGCAGCGAGGCTGGGGGAGGGGGGCCCGCCATTGCCCAGGATTGAGTAGGTAAACAAAGCGGCCGGGAAGCTCAAACTGTGTGGAGCCCACCACAACTCAAGGAGGCCTGCCTGCCTCTGTAGGCTCCACCTCTGGGGGCAGGGCACAGACAAACAAAAGACAGCAATAACCTCTGCAGACTTAAATGTCCCTGTCTGACAGCTTTGAAGAGAGTAGTGGTTCTCCCAGCACACAGCTTGAGATCTGAGAATGGACAGACTGCCTCCTCAAGTGGTTCCCTGACCCCCAAGTAGCCTAACTGGGAGGCACCCCCCAGTAGGGGTGGACTGACACCTCATACAGCTGGGTACTCCTCTGAGACAAAACTTCCAGAGGAACGATCAAGCAGCAGCATCTGCAGTTCACCAATATCCATTGTTCTGCAGCCACCGCTGCTGATACCCAGGCAAACAGGGTCTGGAGTGGACCTCCAGCAAACTCCAACAGACCTGCAGCTGAGGGTCCTGACTGTTAGAAGGAAAACTAACAAACAGAAAGCACATCCACACCAAAAACCCATCTGTACATCACCATCATCAAAGACCAAAGGTAGATAAAACCACAAAGATGGGGAAAAAACAGAGCAGAAAAACCGGAAACTCTAAAAATCAGAGTGCCTCTCCTCCTCCAAAGGAACGCAGCTCCTCACCAGCAACGGAACAAAGCTGGACGAAGAATGACTTTGATGAGTTGAGAGAAGAAGGCTTCAGAAGATCAAACTATTCTGAGCTAAAGGAGGAAGTTCGAACCAATGGCAAAGAAGTTAAAAACTTTGGAAAAAAATTAGATGAATGGATAACTAGAATAACCAATGCAGAGAAGTACTTAAGGGACCTGATGGAGCTGAAAACCATGGCACGAGATCTACGTGACGAATGCACAAGCCTCAGTAACCGATGCGATCAACTGGAAGAAAGGGTATCAGCGGTGGAAGATAAAATGAATGAAATGAAGCGTGAAGAGAACTTTAGAGAAAAAAGAATAAAAAGAAATGAACAAAGCCTCCAAGAAATATGGGACTATGTGAAAAGACCAAATCTACATCTGATTGGTGTACCTGAAAGTAACGGGGAGAATGGAACCAAGTTGGAAAACACTCTGCAGGATATTATCCAGGAGAACTTCCCCAATCTAGCAAGGCAGGCCAACATTCAAATTCAGGAAATACAGAGAACGCCACAAAGTTACTCTTCAAGAAGAGCAACTCCAAGACACATAATTGTCAGATTCACCAAAGTTGAAATGAAGGAAAAAAAGTTAAAGGCAGCCAGAAAGAAAGGTCGGGTTACCCACAAAGGGAAGCCCATCAGACTAACAACTGATCTCTCGGCAGAAACTCTACAAGCCAGAAGAGAGTGGGGGGCCAATATTCAACATTCTTAAAGAAAAGAATTTTCAAGGCCGGGCACGGTGGCTCATGCCTGTAATCCCAGCACTTTGGGAGGCCGAGGCGGGTGGATCATGAGGTCAGGAGATCGAGACCATCCTGGCTAACAAGGTGAAACCCCATCTCTACTAAAAATACAAAAAATTAGCCGGGCGCGGTGGCGGGCGCCTGTAGTCCCAGCTACTCGGGAGGCTGAGGCAGGAGAATGGCGTGAACCCGGGAAGCGGAGCTTGCAGTGAGCCGAGATTGCGCCACTGCAGTCCGCAGTCCAGCCTGGGCGACAGAGCGAGACTCCGTCTCAAAAAAAAAAAAAAAAAAAAAAAAAAAGAAAAGAATTTTCAACCCAGAATTTCATATCCAGCCAAACTAAGCTTCATAAGTGAAGGAGAAATAAAATACTTTACAGACAAGCAAATGCTGAGAGATTCTGTCACCACCAGGCCTGCCCTAAAAGAGCTCCTGAAGGAAGCACTAAACATAGAAAGGAACAACCGGTATCAGCCACTGCAAAATCATGCCAAATTGTAAAGACCATCAAGACTAGGAAGAAACTGCATCAACTAATGAGCAAAATAACCAGCTAACATCATAATGACAGGATCAAATTCACACATAACAATACTAACCTTAAATGTAAATGGGCTAAATGCTCCAATTAAAAGGCACAGACTGGCAAATTGGATAGAGTCAAGACCCATCAGTGTGCTGTATTCAGGAAACCCATCTCACGTGCAGAGACACACGTAGGCTCAAAATAAAGGGATGGAGGAAGATCTACCAAGCAAATGGAAAACAAAAAAATGCAGGGGTTGCAATCCTAGTCTTGGATAAAACAGACTTTAAACCAACAAAGATCAAAAGAGACAAAGAAGGCCATTACATAATGGTAAAGGGATCAATTCAACAAGAAGAACTAACTATTCTAAATATATATGCACCCAATACAGGGGCACCCAGATTCATAAAGCAAGTCCTTAGTGACCTACAAAGAGACTTAGACTCCCACACAATAATAATGGGAGACTTTAACACCCCACTGTCAACATTAGACAGATCAACAAGACAGAAAGTTAACAAGGATATCCAGGAATTGAACTCAGCTCTGCACCAAGCAGACCTAATAGACATCTACAGAACTCTCCACCCCAGATCAACAGAATACACATTCTTCTCAGCATCACATCACACTTATTCCAAAATTGACCACATAGTTGGAAGTAAAGCACTCCTCAGCAAATATAAAAGAACAGAAATTATAAAAAACTGTCTCTCAGACCACATGCAATCAAACTAGAACTCAGGATTAAGAAACTCACTCAAAACTGCTCAACTACATGGAAACTGAACAACCTGCTCCTGAATGACTACTTGGTACATAACGAAATGAAGACAGAAATAAAGATGTTCTTTGAAACCAATGAGAACAGACACACAACATACCAGAATCTCTGGGACACATTCAAAGCAGTGTGAGGAGGGAAATTTATAGCACTAAATGCCCACAAGAGAAAGCAGGAAAGATCTAAAATTGACACCCTACATCACAATTAGAAGAACTAGAGAAGCAAGAGCAAACACATTCAAAAGCTAGCAGAAGGCAAGAAATAACTAAGATCAGAGCAGAACTGAAGGAAACAGAGACACAAAAAACCCTTCAAAAAATCAATGTATCCAGGAGCTGCTTTTTTGAAAAGATTAACAAAATTGATAGACTGCTAGCAAGACTAATAAAGAAGAAAAGAGAGAAGAATCAAATAGACGCAATAAAAAATGACAAAGGGGATATCACCACCGATCCCACAGAAATACAAACTACCATCAGAGAATACTATAAACACCTCTATGCAAATGAACTAGAAAATCTAGAAGAAATGGATAAATTCCTCAACACATACACCCTCCCAAGACTAAACCAGGAAGAATTTTAATCTCTGAATAGACTGATAACAGGCTCTGAAATTGAGGCAATAATTAATAGCTTACCAATCAAAAAAAGTCCAGGACCAGATGGATTCACAGCCGAATTCTACCAGAGGTACAAGGAGGAGCTGGTACCATTCCTTCTGAAACTATCCCAATCAATAGAAAAAGAGGAAATCCTCCCTGACTCATTTTATGAGGCCAGCATCATCCTGATACCAAAGCCGGGCAGAAACACAACAAAAAAAGAGCATTTTAGACCAATATCCTTGATGAACATCGATGCAAAAATCCTCAATAAAATACTGGCAAGCCGAATCCAGCAACACATCAAAAAGCTTATCCACCATGATCAAGTGGGCTTCATCCCTGGGATGCAAGGGTGGTTCAACCTATGCAAATCAATAAACGTAATCCAGCATATAAACAGAACCAAAGACAAAAACCACATGATTATCTCAATAGATGCAGAAAAGGCCTCTGACAAAATTCAACAACCCTTCATGCTAAAAACACTCAATAAATTAGGTATTGATGGGACGTATCTCAAAAAAATGAGCTATCTATGACAAACCCACAGCCAATATCATACTGAATGGGCAAAAACTGGAAGCATTCCCTTTGAAAACTGGCACAAGACAGAGATGCCCTCTCTCACCACTCCTATTCAACATAGTGTTGGAAGTTCTGGCCAGGGCAATCAGGCAGGAGAAGGAAATAAAGGGCATTCAATTAGGAAAAGAGGAAGTCAAATTGTCCCTGTTTGCAGATGACATGATTATATATCTAGAAAACCCCATCATCTCAGCCAAAATCTCCTTAAGCTGATAAGCAACTTCAGCAAAGTCGCAGGATACAAAATCAATGTGCAAAAATCACAAGCATTCTTATACACCAATAACAGACAAACAGAGAGCCAAATCATGAGTGAACTCTCATTCACAATTGCTTCAAAGAGAATAAAATACCTAGGAATCCAACTTACAAGGGACATGAAGGACCTCTTCAAGGAGCACTACAAACCACTGCTCAATGAAATAAAAGAGGATACAAACAAATGGAAGAACATTCCATGCTCATGGGTAGGAAGAATCAATATCGTGAAAATGGCCATACTGCCCAAGGTAATTTATAGATTCAATGCCATCCCCATCAAGCTACCAATGACTTTCTTCACAGAATGGGAAAAAACTACTTTAATGTTCATATGTAACCAAAAAAGAGTCCACATTGCCAAGTCAATCCTAAGCCAAAAGAACAAAGCTGGAGGCATCATGCTACCTGACTTCAAACTATACTACAAGGCTACAGTAACCAAAACAGCATGGTACTGGTACCAAAACAGAGATATAGACCCATGGAACAGAACAGAGCCCATGGAACAGAACAGAGTGAGACTCTGTCTCAAAAACAAAACAAAACAAAACAAAACAAAACAAAACCCCATCAAAAAGTGGGCAAAGGATATGAACAGACACTTCTCAAAAGAAGACATTTACGCAGCCAAAAAACACATGAAAAAATGCTCATGATCACTGGCCATCAGAGAAATGCAAATCAAAACCACAATGAGATACCATCTCACACCACTTAGAATGGCGATCATTAAAAAGTCAGGAAACAACAGGTGCTGGAGAGGATGTGGAGAAATAGGAACACTTTTACACTGTTGATGGGACTGTAAACTAGTTCAACCATTGTGGAAGTTGGTGTGGCGATTCCTCAGGGATCTAGAATTAGAAATACCCTTTGACCCAGCCATCCCATTACTGGGTATATAACCAAAGGATTATAAATCATGCTGCTATAAAGACACATGCACACGTATGTTTATTGCAGCACTATTCACAATAGCAAAGACTTGGAACCAACCCAAATGTCCAACAATGATAGACTGGATTAAGAAAATGTGGCACATATACACCATGGAATACTATGCAGCCATAAAAAATGATGAGTTCATGTCCTTTGTAGGGACATGGATGAAGCTTGAAACCATCATTCTCAGCAAACTATTGCAAGGACAAAAAACCAAACACCACATGTTCTCACTCATAGGTGGGAATTGAACAATGAGAACACATGGACACAGGAAAGGGAACATCACACATTGGGGACTGTTGTGGGGTGGGGGGAGAGGGGAGGGATAGCTTTAGGAGATATACCCAATGCTAAATGACGAGTTAATCGGTGCAGCACACCAACATGTCACATGTATACATATGTAACAAACCTGCACGTTGTGCACATGTACCCTAAAACTTAAAGTATAATTAAAAAAAAAAAGTAAAAAAAAAAAAAAATTAGCTGGATGTGGTGGTGGGCGCCTGCAGTCCAGCTACTCGGAAGGCTGAGGCAGGAGAATGGTGTGAACCCCGGAGGCGTAGCTTGCAGTGAGCCGAAATCGCGCCAATGCACTCCTCCCTGGGAGACAGAATGAGACTCCGCCCCCTACACCAAAAAAAAAAAGAATGGGTAGCTATTAATTTTTGATGTTGATGTAAAAATGTAGGCTTAAATATGTCAGGGCAACCATTAGCACTGTAAAGATGTTAATTAAAACTTTTTTAAATTCTACTTTTTATTGATATATACTAGGTGTACATATTTTCAGGGTATATATAATTTGTAAAGATCAATTCAGTGTAATTAGAAGATCCATCACCTTAAATATTTGTCTTTGGCTGGGCACGGTGGCTCACGCCTGTAATCCCAGCACTTTGGGAGGCCGAAGCAGGCGGATCACCTGAGGTCAGGAGTTCAAGACCAGCCTGGCCAACATGGTGAAACCCCATCTCTACCAAAAATACAAAAATTAGCCGGGTGTGGTGGCATGCGTCTATAATCCCAGCTACTCGGGAGGCTGAGGCAGGAGAATCGCTTGAACCTAGGAGGCGGAGGTTGCAGGGAGCAGAGATCGTGCCATTGCACTCCAGCCTGGGCAACAAGAGCGAAACTCCATCTCAAGAAAAAAAAATCGTCTTTTCTTTATGCTAGGAACAATTGAATTATTCTCGTCTAATTATTTTGAAATATACAATAGATATTGTAAACTATGATCATCCTATTTATCTATGAAACACTAGGTTTTATTTCTTCTATCGAACTGTATATTTGTACCCATTAGTCAACCTCTCTTCATCCCCCTCACCCCACCCTTTCTGGTGCCTGTGGTAACCACCAATCTGTTCTCTATTTCATGATAGTCACTTTTTAAGCTCCTACATATGAGTGAGAACATGTGATATTTGTCTTTCTGTGCTTGGCTTGTTTCACTTAATATAATGACCTCCAGTTCCATCCATGTTGCTGCATGTGACAGGATTTCATTCTTTCTTATGGCTGAATAATGTCCTGTTGTATATATATAACACATTTTCTTTATCCATTCATCCATTAATGGGCACTTAGGTTGGTTCCATATTTTGGCTATTATGAATAGTGCTGCAATAAACTTGGAAGTACAGAAGTGTCTTTGATATGCTGATTTCATTTCTTTTGGCTATATATAACTAGAAAAATTGCTGAACATATGATAGCTCTATTTTTAGTTTTTTGAGGAACTTCTATACAGTTTTCCATAGTGGTTGTACTAATTTACATTCCCACCAACGGTGTATGAAGGTTCTCCTTTCTTCACATCCTTGTCAGCATCTGTTATTGCCTTTTTGACAAAAGCCAGTTTTAATTGGGGTGAGAGATCTCTTTGTGATTTTGATTTGCATTTCTCTGATGACTAGCAATGTTGAGCATTTTTTTTTATATTCTTATTGGTCATTTATATGTCTTCTTTTGAAAAATGTCTATTCAGATCTTTTGCCCATTTTTAAATTGTATTATTTGTTGTTTTGCTATTGAGTTGTTTGAGCTCCTTATATATCCTGGTTATTAATCCTTTGTCAGATGAGCAGTTTGCAAATATTTTCTTCTATTCTGTGGATTGTCTCTACCTTGTTGCCTCCTTTGCTGTGCAGAAGGTTGATGTAATCTCATTTGTCTTTTGTTTTGGTTGCCTGTGATTTTGAAGTCTTACACCAAAAATTCTTTGCCAAGACCAATGTCCTGGAGTATTTCCCCAATGTTTTCTTCTAGTAGTTTCATAGTTTCAAGTCTTAAATTTAAGTCATCAATCCATTTTATTTGATTTTTGCATATAGTGAGAGATAGAGGTCTAGTTTCAATCTTCTGCGTATGGTTATCCAGTTTTTTCAGTGCCTTTTATTGAAGAGCCTGTTCTTTCCCCATTGTATGTGCTTGGTGTCTGCGTTGAAATGAGTTGGCTGTAAATACATGGATTTATGTCAGGGTTCTCTATTCTGTTCCTTTGGTTTGTGTGTCTGTTTTTATGTGAGTACCATGCTGGGTATCAAAACTTTTAAACACTGTATGCGAGAGAAAAAGAATAACAAAATTTTACCATTTAGAAAAAAATCAGTAAAGGAAAAAATGTTCAGCACGAAAGCATAATGAGTAGGGAACATAAATTACAATGACAGGCATACCACATTTGTCTTCGTTATCCATCTGTAATTGATTTTTGACTCCTCTCTCACTCACCATGTCTGTGCAGTTGACTCACTTGATTTTTCCTTGGAAAAGTCTTGTATCTGACCTTTTCCATTCCCACTACCACTTCTCTAGTTCCCTGGAGCCTGTACTAATTAAGTAGCTCTAGCACAGCATTTTTTTCTTTTTTTCTTTTTGTTTTTTTTTTTTTTTTTTTTTGAGACAGGGTCTCACTCTGTCACCCAGGCTGCAGTACAGTGGCACGATCGTGGCTCACTGCAGCCTTGACCTCCCCAGGCTCAGGTGATCCTCCCACTTCAGCCTCTCAAGTAGCTGGGACTACAGGTGTGCACCACCATGCCTGGCTAATTTTTGCATTTTTTGTATGAGGTTTGGTCAGGTTGCCCAGGCGGGTGTCAAACTCCTGGGCTCAACACATCCATCTGCCTCAGCCTCTCACCATGCTAGGATTACAAGCGTGAGCCACCAGGCCCAGCCCAAAGCATATTCTACCTTGGCCTTACCCACAGCAATGAGCAATCTTCATAAAACATAACCTCACACCCCTGCTCAAAAGCCTTCAGAAGCTCCTCATTTCTCACCATCTACCCTCTTAGCTGGTTTTTGAGACCTTGTATAATACTATCCCAGTTAACTGTGTTTTGTCAATTCTAAGACACATTTTTTTAAAAGACCTTTGAAACACCTCTGAAATCAGAGTGCATGTTACAATCGATGGCAATCATGGTGTCTTAGATTCAATATTTCTTTTCCCAGTTTGCCCTGGCTATGGGATACCTCTATGTTAGAAAACGAGACTTCTCGCTTTGTTATGCCATGACTCATTCTTTTATAGCTCCAAACTTTTTTTTAGACTTCTCCCTCTGTCTGGGTATCCCTCTTCCTCTGCCTCCCTTAACATATCTCCCTGTCAAAATCAGCTCATCTTTAATAAGGCCCAGCTCAAAGGCCAGCGCCTCAAAAACTGCTTTATACACCACCTTAGTGGGAACAACCGTCCCTCTGAATCCTCTCAGTTCCTTCTTTGTAAGTCTAGCATCTGTTATCACATAGTTCTTTTTAGTTAAATACTTGCATCCAGATTCGGTCCTGCAAATTGCTTGAGTGGACAGCTAAAATTGTGACATTATATGAAAGAACATGGGTTTCTTTCACGAGGACATTTTGAATAATTTCATTACAATCTGTGAAGTACTACCATTACAGAACTCAGTGAGAATCCTGCTTTGAACTGCCCTCTAGAGGTAGTACATTATCAGTGAGCCAGAGAGAGACCTACAACCATGGATGGGTGAAAGACAGTGGCTGCTAACCAGCTGGGAAGGGGAGCTGCTGAGAGTGTTCCTTCATCAGCAGGACTCGCTAATTGGCCCTGTTTGTGGGAGTAGCTGTTGGAAGGGTCAAGCTCTGGGAAACCGTGTTGCTTGGAGATTGCCAGCCCTCTCCAGTTTGCTCAGATGAGTCACTGTGATGTCTTGGAAGGGTGGGGCCTGACTAAGTAATAGCTTCCCTCAGGAAATCCAGACTGGGCTGGAAGTCCAGGAACTCTGGGTCATTTTCCAGGGAGATACTGAGTATAACTGCATCCTGTCAGAGGGTGTAGTCTGGGAAAAGATGGCTACATGTCCATGTCATTGTCTGCAACAGGATTCTTCTCCATCACAGCTAATTTTGAACTCTCCCAAGCATAAATCTTTACTGCAATACATTCACAAAGCTTTATTCCCCCCTCCCTCTTTTTCTGAGTAAACTTCTGTGGCCACGAGAAGATAAAAGTCATCTCAGGTGTTCTCTTGCTAGCCAGGAAATTCTGTGACTAAATTTTAAATGACTTGTGAAATTTCCTGCTTACTTCTGCTTCCTAGGGCAAATGCCATTTTCTGTAAGTGCCTCCCTGTTACCTGACTTGACTTTCCATAGGCATCCCCTCCAGCCTCAGTCTGTGCCAACAGAGGGATTAGATTCTAGAGGCTCCAGGTCCCTGCCAGCTTCAACATTCTAACATCTGCTTGGTGCTCAACATAGCTTGCCTCCCAGGCACTGAGTTTACGCATTAATGAGTTTGAAGTTCATTTTCCTCTGAGGCAAATCAGTTGGCATGATGTGATCTGGGAATGTCCTTTGAAAGCTTTCCATAGGATGTGACTTCTCTCCATGTCTTCATACCAGAAGACCTTGCATAAAGGTCACAATTGTTGAGCTGATTTCACCTCAAGAAATCATTTTGTCTTAGAATTTTTTCCTCATTAAAAAAGTCGAGCACTTTGGGAGGCCAAGGTGGCAGATCACCTGAGGTCAGGAGTTTGAGACCAGCCTGGCCAACATGGTGAAACCCCGTCTCTAATAAAAATACAAAAATTAGCCAGGCATGGTGCTGCACATCCATAATCCCAGCTACTCAGGAGGCTGAGGCACGAGAATCACTTGAACCCAGGAAGTGGAGGTTGCAGTGAGCCGAGATCACGCCACTGCACTCCAGCCTGGGCAACAGGCGACAGAGCGAGACTCTATCTTAAAAAAAAAAAGTCATAGGCTGGGCATGGTGACTCATACCTGTAGTCCCAGCACTTTGGGAGGCCAAGGTAGGAGGATCACTTTTGAACTCAGGAGTTCAAGACCAGCCTGGGCAACATGGCAAAACCCCATCTCTACAAGAAATACAAAAATTAGCCTGGCATGGTGGTACACCCCTGTAGTCCCAGCTACTCCAGAGGCTGAGGTGGGAGAATCACCTCAGCCCAGGAAGTCTAGGGTGCAGTGAGCCAAGATCACGCCACTGCACTCCAGCCTGGGTGACAGAGTGAGACTCTGTTTCAAAAGAAGAAATCATAAAGATTTATTATAGAAAATATAGACATTATAGAAAATTATTAAAAAGGAAATAAGAATCACTTAAATGCAACTTCTCAGAGGTAATACTATTAACACCATGGCAGGCAACACAACAAATTTTCTTTGTGTGTATGATCATACGATTTTTTAGTGCTTGATACGGAATTGGAATCACACTTTTCAAACTGTTTTTTAGCCTGCTTTTTCCTATAATTATAAATGATTAACATTTCATTTGTCATTATGCAACAGTTCATAGAGTGGACTCTGGATCTATCTGAATTTGAATCTTGGCTCATCACTTACCGTGTGACCCTTGGGCGTGTCCTTTAACTGAAATAATTTCTGCAAATTCCTCATCTGTAAAATGGGGATAATAATGGCTCCTACTTCACAAAATGTTGTAAATATTTAAGTGAGTCAACATTTGCCAAGTACTTAGAACAATGCTGGCAGGTAGTGTGGGCTTTATGGGGCCCACACTACTACAACTACTATAACTACTACTACTACTACAGCTACTATAACTACTACTACATTTTCTTCTACAACATCATTTTAAGACTGAATAGGATTACATTGTTTGGTTGTGGCGTAATTTATTTAGTCAAAGTCCCATTCTTGAATAGAGTGTTCTGCTTTTTTGGTATTATAAATAATACTGCAACAAATACCCTCTTCTGTAACAGGACAGACTATGTACCAGGTAGGGGAGGAATGCAGTGATGGGGATGGAAGAACTATGTTTTACCTTCTTTGTTTTGAGCTTGGTGGAGAGGCAAATATTTTGATATCTCACTTTTGCCTGGAAGGCTGCTACTGAGAAACCATTCAGACTTTCTGGCATCAGCCAGTTAAATATTTGGTGGTCCTTGCCAAACTGAATCACCTGGATTCCTAACCTAAGATTCTGGTCAGAAAAGGATTCTTAACCACCCAGGTCATATACTCTGACTCTTTACCCAATTACCCAATTGCTACCATGGGTGTCTCAGCCACGTGGGCTCTGCTCCAAGGAAGCATTGGTGTGTACTCAGTGAACTGTAGTGGGTCCCTGGAGCCTCATTTTCCAGGCTGGTGGAGGTGAAGGTCCTGCTCTGCCTTCTCTTGGAGCTCTATTCCTGTGGTCTTCCCCCTCAATACTACTGGAGAGAAGGGGAAGGGACCCCTTCTGGTTTCTGTCCTTAGTTATGGTAATGATAATGATGCATTCTTGTAGAACGGGCGTAGTTATCTGTCTACAAACTGAGGGAATGACAGAAAAATTTCATGGCTTCATGGAACAACTTTATACAACAAAGCTGTGCCATTGCAGACCAACACTGCCAAGAAGAAACTTGCTGGGGTATTAGCAACGGATCGGATCACTTCCATGAAGATGTGCATGCGGGAGTGTGTCAAATGCCTAGTTCTTACAGTCTCTCAGGTGTCATCAACCAAACCACCTGCTTGGTTCTCAGCCCCTCCTAGCCAAAATTTATAACCTGACCACATTCTGGAAGACCCACAACTTCTAGATTTCTGCCTTTATTATCTCTTAGGTCCACCGGAAGGTTCTACCCACCTGCTACCCACTGTGGGGTTCTAGATAAATACCACTTCCTAGAGAATTCCCTTAATACATGGAGATGGAAGAGCTGTCCCCCAACCTCAACCATCTCCAAATCAAATGGTCAGTTAACCTGGTGCCAGGGGGTCTTTGTTTCTATCAAGTGAGTGGATATTCTTTTAGAATACAAGGATGAGGCCACTGACACTAGATAAAAATAGTTGTGAAATAAGCAAAACTAGTTTATACTTTTAGAAGTCAGGATAATGATTACCCTTAGTGGAAAGGTCAAGCTCTGGGAAACCATGTTGCTGGAAGAGGGTACAAGGGAGGCTTCTAGGGGGTGGATAACATTTTGGGTTTTGACCTGGGTGCTGGTTACATGGGTGTGTTCAATTTGTGAAAGTTCAATGAACTATACACTCATGATAAGTATACTTTTATCTATTAAAAAAATTTAAGTAGGAGATATTGATAAACCAAAAGAGCCCAAGGAGATCCACCTCTCTTAAGACTAGTGGTTCTTTCCTAGTAGGGCTACCAGATTTAGCAAATAAAAATACAAGACAGACAGTTAAATTTGAATTTCAGGTAAACAATGAATAATTTTTAGTTTAACTGTGTCCCATGCAATATATGGGACATATTTATGCTAAAAAAAGTATTCATTGCTTACCTGAAATTCAAATTTAACTGGTTGTCCTGCATGGCAGGATTTGATCTAGCAACTCTAATCTTAAATCTTCTAAATAAGTCTCTTCATCAATATAACAAAGTAAAAAAAGGATATCTATTGAATTATATATATGAAGCATATGTAGTCTTGGAAGGAAATACTAAAATCTGTAAATAAAGCATAGGAGACAAAGAAATGAGAAAATAAATGTTTTAATTTTTTGTTTTATCTATTCCTCATTCATTTCATATTTCTCTTCTGTTGTTCCTTGGTTTCTCATTCCCACATTCATATCAATGAAAATAAGGGAAATAAGACAAGTAAGAGAAATAAGATAATGCCAAATACTTCACACTTTCATTTAGTAAGTTTGAATTCACAACTCTGTTGGTCAATGTTTCTGAAAATATTGTTCCTGTATTTGTCTGTGTTTTTGTTTCTTATTTTTGACTGAACTATTTCCTCCCTATTTCACTCTCTTTTAGAACTTGGCCTGCAAACTTTGACCAGACAGAAGTTGAACCCTTCTCAGTCTAATCAGTGTTTTTCCTGCCTTTTCTTATCTTTAGGTTTCATAGGCTAAATGTGAAAAATCTATTTGTTGTTGATCTCAAAAAGGCCACATTTTCCTCTCCAACAATGTTAACTTATACATACCTGCTACATTTCAATTGTTTTTTAAACAAATATGAACCAAAGTCAGAATTCCATTTCATTTCCTTTTTTATGCTTCCTACTCTTAAAGATGAAGAAATTCTGGTACAAATTATTTGGTACAACTATGCTTTATCAGTACATGGAATTGAGTCCCCAAGATTTTGTGCTTTGATACATTTTCAGTATATATTGATGAATGGTAATAAAATAAAATTATTTCCTGCTTGAAAAGGCTCCTAAATTGTGACTTTGTCACCAAGAGTGTCATCCACTTTATTCAGAGTAAAATACTCAATAATTATTTTTATCATTTTTTTCATTTAAACAATAAATACATGTCCTACAATACTTGAGGAGAGAAAGAAGGGGAAAAGAGGGAAGTTGCATCAACATCAAAGAAAGATTATAAGGTACCTCTCAACAACCCGCCTTTGAAATCCTAACCATCTAAAGGCTAACTATCCTAGTCTTTTCAAGTTAGTAGTTTCCTGCAATATTGTCAACTAAAAAGTATATTTTTGATTGAATCACTTCACCAATCATTGATCTATTCTAAATGACTTCAGACAATAGTTTTCCTTTATTATCTTAGACACAACTGATTAACTCTTTTTCTATACCATAAAACAGACATATTTAACCTTAAACCCTCTGTTCATAAGTTTTGCTGTGAAAATACAGTAGAGAAGAGGAGGGAAGAATGATAAAGGTTTAATATGTGCAGAGAAGAATTTAAAAATATACACAGACAAATTAGTATGAAAGCATTATAAATAAGGTAGAAAACAACACTAATTTTCAAGAAATGGTATTAGCAGAAATACATAAATCAAGTAGCTCTGGATTTTTCAGAACACTCCATAAGCATTAGTGAATGGTCCATTAATCAATAAATGATGTATACAATTGCAGAATCCTTAACAACTCTAATAGTATTTTCAACTCTAATATTCTACAGCAAATGCAATAATGACTTTAGCAGCTAAATGAGCTCCCAGGAATGTGCTGGGTTGTTAGCAACAACTTATCAATTACTTGCCCTTGTAGTCTCTAGCATTCCTAACATTCAAAGGTCTCCAAAATCTGCTCCCTCCTACTTGTCCAACCTTATTTTCCACAACCCGCCTTGGGGGTCTGTTCTGATCAGGTCTTATTGGTTTCTAATCTCTGTACTCCTGGGGCTGTCAGAGTAGTACCTTTCCTACTTCCTCCTTGTCCCCTCAAATCCTCCCCACTGTTCAGGCCTAGCTCCATTCAACTCCCACCACCTCCATTAAATTCTATCTATCTATCTATCTATCTATCTATCTATCTATCTATCTATCTAATATCTATATCTACTGTAGTCTATAGCCATCTTTTCTTTTGCTTGGTTATATTTTTAAATTACTATCTGTACCACTAATATGGTATTTTATTATACATACCAGCTTATACCATCTTCTGCACTGTTTTCTTGAAGAGTTACTTAATATTCATGGGTATACGAACATATTTTTGTAAACTATAAAACATCTTACCAATGTAAAGTTTATTCCCTAGTTTATAGTCCCCTTGTGCATATATTTTTGTATGACATCTAGGAGAGCGCTGTATTCTCCAATTAATATTTTCTGATGAGTGAATGCATGGAAGACCACTGGAATTGGAGCTAAACCACCAGAGTTTGCATTTGCCACTTGTCACCTCTCTGACTTTGAACTAGTTATTTAATCTCCATGCCTCAGTTTTTTATCTGTAGAATGGGGATAATAATGGTATCTACCTCATAAAGTTGAGAATTAAATGAATTTATACATTTTAAGTGCCTAAAACAGCTTGCTTATGTAGCACATAGCCAGTGCTCAATAAATGTTAGTTGAATGAATGAATGAGACAGAATGCATTTCAATTAAAATCTAGAAACAACAGTGTTATATTTTATTATCCCTGGAACTGTCATTATAAGATAGTACATAATACATAAGAATGTCAAGGGAAATCAGTATATCTGTTTGAGATATAAGCCATTATGTATATATTTATTCCTAGATATATTTTTCAGAATGAAGCTTATATTCTATATTACTTAATTTGTACTTCTTAAATTTCAAAAATCATTTAAGGCCTATCTAAAAGAGATTTTAGTACAGTCACTTTTCTAAACATCACATTACTTTTAGATCTGAATAAATAATGATTGCTGAATATTCTTGACCTTGGTTTATACTGTTTAGAAGATGACACTTAAAAGCAGCAATTAATTCCAGTCAATTTGCTCTTGATATCTGTGTTGAACTACTTTTGCATATATTATGGGTAAATTTTGATGTAGAAGTTGACAGTAATAACTTCATGATGAACTTCTTGAAAACTATTTTCTTCTAAAATTTTACCAAAACATTTAACTTGCCTAAGTTAATTTAACAAGTTAAATGTTTTCATTTTTACCATTCCAGTTTCTCTCATACACACACATACACACACAGAGAGAATGTAAAAAAGATTTCCTGTAGTAATGATTTACACATACATCAGTTTTAAATTATGTCGTGATTTTTTTTGTTGTTGCTCTGTAGAGCCATCTGCTGGTCAATGCTGTGTTTTATATACTTATATTAAAGTTTTTCTCTGTGTAATGTAAGGCTCTAACAAAATCAGGCACTCCCAGTAAGAGTAGAGCTAGAAATCTGTGGCTCAAACAAAACTTGAAGAAAATGTCCTTCCAGGAATAATTATTGAGAGTAACTTGTAATAGTATACTGGAGAAAATAATCATTTATAGACAATGAGTAGGTCCTATATTTTTTTATAATTATTTCATTCATTCAGTAAATATTTGTAAACTTCTTCCTGCTAATAGAATAGAAAAATACACACACACACACACACACACACACACACACACACACACTTTGTAGTATATAATTTTTAAAAATCTTGTATAGATCATACCTTTCTACTTATTAAAGTTAACAAAGTAAACCAAAACTTTTTTATTCTCCTTTTGTATGTCAGTTACATTTTTATCACTTATAATTGGCATTCCTCCTTCAGCATCAGTATGAACTCACAGCCTTTTACAGTCTCAGCTGGTTTCAGTTACCCATTATTATTGATATTACTACTTCTTTTTCTTTTTTTCTTTTTTTGAGATGGAGTTTAGCTCTTGTTGCCCAGGCTGGAATGCAGTGGCACAATCTTGGCTCACTGCAACCTCCGCCCCCCAGGTTCAAGCGATTCTTTCACCTCAGTCTCCCCAGTAGCTAGGATTACAGGTGCCCACCACCACGCCCAGCTGATTTTTGTGTTTTTAGTGGAGGTGGGGTTTCAACGTGTTGGCCAGGCTGGTCTCCAACTCCTGACCTCAAGTGATCTGCCCGCCTTAGCCTCCCAAAGTGTTGGGATTATAGGCATGAGCCACTGCGCCCAGCCTACTACTTCTTTTCTGATACACAAATGTTCATAACCTGTTCAGGGGAGGCGTCCTTATATAGTGCCTTCTGTCCTCTAAGCATTTCTATCCTTGTATCCTATCCAAACATCCTGATGTTTCAGATCCAACATAATTTTTTCCTGCCCTCAAACTATGGAGTCAACCATCCCCCAAATTTCCTGGTTCATATTAATGGATAATAGAGACTAAAAGCTGGATGCTAAGGGTGCCCACGTGAGATTTAGTTGAGAGCAAAAATGCTATCATTGATGTTATTGTTGCTTATAACAGATCCAGATAAATATATGTTTTAAGGTTATGCATGTACATTCATTTCTCCCCACTGATATACATTTGCATTACATTTCCCTACCCAACTATTCTTGAATTATGTGGTTTTTTTTTACTATTACCATGGCATTCCCCTATGTAATTTAATGTGCCACCTTTGGTAGATATTTATATTAATTCCAATCTTTTGCTTTTAACAACTACGCAATGGAATCATTACAGGTAAACTTTACACATATTCATAATTATTACCTCGGAGCAATCTGCTTGAAGTTTTTTGTGGGTTTTTGTTTGTTTGTTTGTTTTGTTTTGTTTTCTCGAGACAGGGTCTCACTCTGTCACCCCAGGCTGAAGTGAAGTGGCACGATCATGGTTCACTGCAGGCTCTGCCTCCTGGGCTCAAATGATCCTCCCACCTCAGCCTCCTATAAGCATGCCCCCACCACACCTGCCTAGTTTTTGTATTTTTTGTAGAGAGGAGATCTTGCTATGTTGCCCAGGCTGATCTCAAACTCCTGGGCTCAAGCGATCTGCCCATTTCAGCCTCCAAAGTGCTGGGATTACAGGCATGGGTCACGGCTCCTGGCCTGCTTGAAGTTTTTGCTGTTACTGCTGAACTACAGAAGGCTAGGATGTTCCTAAGTGGGACTTACTGGGATGGTGTGAAAAAAGCACAGAATCAGGAATTAAATAGGGATTAAATATCTAGCTCTACATAAATCACTTAACTTCATTGTGTCTCAGTTTCCTCATTTATAAAAGTATGATAATGATAATTAGCCTTTCCAGCTGAATTTAACAGTTTTAAATAAGGTTTTACAATAATTTCTCTCCAATCTACTTCATGGGAAATTGTTTTACAGGTTAATTAAAATAACCTGTTAGAAGTGCTTTGAACAGGGTAGAACAGACTGGAAGAGACAGATGGTTCACCTCATGACTGTCCTTTGTGCATGGGTCCACTTAGCTGGAGTTGTCTGGTTTCTCCTCATGCCCTCATTCTTGACATCTTTAAACACTCATTCAGGGGTATCCACCACCATCTGAATGCAAAGGTGATAAGTACATACATTATAGGATATTGCTCACATCTGTCTTAGCTCCTCTTTGAAGTCTGTGCTAGTCACTTTGCAATGATGTTTTATGGCTTTTATTATTGCTTCTGTGCAGTACACTGGGTTAATAACGTCAAGTTGACCCCTTGGCAAGGAAGATTGAATAGGCCCTGGAAGTTTCTGGAGGTCTTTATTTCATATGATACTGAGCAGCTGAATTATGCACTCTGCATAAATAAGAATAAAATTTATTTCTATTTCAGAGATCTTATATCTGAAGAAATAAGAGAGGATGATGAGGAAATGTTGGATCGGGCCTACTTTAAAATTAAGAAACTAGGCATCAGAAGCAATGATGCTGTTTTCTCCACTGAATAAGGTTAACCCCCAACAGGCATTTTTCCCCTCAACCCCTTAGAAGTATCCCTCCTGAATACGTCTGTACTACTTGCATCAGGAGTTTCAGTTACTTGGGTTCACCACAGCCTGATAGAAGATAGTTGAAAGCAGATAATTCAAGAACTATCCGTCACAATTACCTTAGGTATTTACTTCACCCTCCTACAAATCTCAGAATATTTCGAGGCCCCCTTTACTCCACTGAAAAGCTTTTCAGTGGAGAAAACAGCATCAAAGAGTCTGATGCTTAGTTTCTTTTCTGAAGTTAGAGGGTTTGACCAGATTATCTAAATTTGTGAATTCTTCTGCTCTTTGAAGAAAAATTTACAGAGAAGAATAAACTAGTTGCTGACAATACCCTGGATCATTTTTTTAAAAAAGAAATTGATCCATTAAAATTAGATTCCCCCTCCCCATCCCAAAACAGACCCTAGTAATAATGCTTTGCCACTTTCCACAAAGCCCTGCAAGAGGGATGTCTTAGCACATTTTCTGTTGTTAAAACAGAATACCACAGACTGGATAATTTATAAAGAACAGAAGTGTATTTGGCTTACAGTTCTGGAGGCTGGGAAGTTCAAGAACATGGCCTTCATCCCATGGCAGAAGGCATCATATAGTCAAAGAGGGCAAGAGAGAGAGGGCAAGAGCTCATGAGACAGAAAAAGGAGGGCCCAACTCCTGAGATAGCTGATCCACTCCCACAATAATGGCATTAATCCATTCATGAGGACAGAAACCTCATGACCTAATCACCTTTTAAAGGCCCCACTTCCCAACATCATTATATTGGCAATCAAATTTCAACATGAATTTTTTTTTAATTTTTAATTTTTGTGAGTACATAGTAGGTATATATATTTATGGGGTATGTGAGATATTTTGATACAGGCATGCAATGCCTAATAATCCTATCAGGGTAATGGGGGTATCCATCACCTCAAGCATTTATCCTTTGTGTTACAAACAATCCAATTACACTCTTTTAGTTATTTTTAAATGTACAATTAAATTGATTTCTTTACTATAGTCACCCTGTAGTGCTAGCAAATACTAGTTCTTATTCATTCTTTCTAACTATTTCTCTCCCCAACCCCGCAATAACCCTTCCTAGCCTCTGGTAACTGTCCTTCTACTCTCTATCTCCATGAGTTCAATCGTTTTAACTTTTTTTTTTTTTTAGATGGAGTCTCGCTCTGTCACTCAGGCTGGACTACAGTGGAGCGATCTCGGCTCACTGCGAGCTCCGCCTCCCAGGTTCACGCCATTTTCCTGCCTCAGCCTCCTGAGTAGCTGGGACTACAGGCGCCCACCACCACGCCCGGCTAATTTTTTTGTATTTTTAGTAAAGACGGGGTTTCACCGTGTTAGCCAGGCTGGTCTCGATCTCCTGACCTCGTGATCTGCCCGCCTCGGCCTCCCAAAGTGCTAGGATTACAGGCGTGAGCCACCGCGCCAGGCCAATCGTTTTAACTTTTAGCTCCCACAGATAAATAAGAACATGTGATGTTTGTGTTTCTTTGCCTGGCTTATTTCACTTAGCTATAATGATCTCCAGTTCCATCCATGTTGTTGCAAATGACAGGATCTCATCCTTTTTATGCTGAATAGTACTCCATTGTATGTAAGTACCGCATTTTCTTTATCCATTCATCTGTTGATGGACACTTGGGATGCTTCCAAAATCTCGGCTATTGTGAATAGTGCTGCAATAAACATGGGAGTACAGATACATCTTCGATATCATGATTTCCTTTCATTTAGGTATATACCGAGTAGTGGGATTGCTGGATCATAGAGTAGCTTTATTTTTTGTTTTTTTGAGGAACCTCCAAACTGTTCTCCATAGTGATTGTACTAATTTACATTCTTACCAACAATGCACGGGGGTTCTTTTTTCTCCACATTCTCATCAGCATTTCTTATTGCCTGTCTTTTGGATATAAACCATTTTAACTGGGGTGAGATGATATCTCACTATAGTTTTGATTTGCATTTTGCTGATGATGAATGATATTGAGCACCTTTTCATATGCCTGTTTGTTGTTTGTATGTCTTCTTTTGAGAAACGTCTATGCACATCTTTTGCCCATTTTCTTTGATGGGATTATTAGATTTTTTCCTATTGAGTTGTTTGAACTCCTTACATATTCTGGTTATTAATCCCTTGTCAGATGGGCAGCTTGCAAATATTTTCTCCCATTCTGCTAGTTGTCTCTTCATTTTGTTGATTGCTTCCATTGCTGGGCAGAAAGCTTTTTAACTTCATGTGATACCATTTGTCCATTTTTGCTTTGGTTGCCTGTGCTTGTGGGATATTATTCAAGAAATCTTTGCCCACTCCAATGTCTTGAAGAGTTTCCTCAATGTTTTCTTTTAGTAGTTTTGTAATTTGAGGTCTTATATTTACGTCAAGCTTGTCCAACCCATGGCCCTTGGGCTGCATGCAGCCCAAGATGGCTTTCAATGTGGCCCAACAGAAATTTGTAAACTTTGTTTAAAAATTATGAGTATTTGTGCGATTTTTTTTAGCTCATCAGCTATCATTAGTGTTAGTGTATTTTATGTGTGGTCCAAGACAATTCTTCTTCTGATGTGGCCCAGAAAAGCCAAAAGATTGGACTCTCCTGAATTGTCTTTAATCCATTTTAATTTGGATTTTGTATATGGCAAGAGATAGGGGTCTATCTGAATATGGATATACAGTTTTTTCAGCACAGAATGTGGATCTGAATATGGATATACAGTTTTTTCAGCACTATTCATTGAAAAGACTGTCCTTTCTCAAGAGACTGTATGTTCTTGGCAACTTTGTCAAAAATGAGTTTACTAAAGATGTATGAATTTATTTCTGGGTTCTGTATGCTGTGCCTTTAGTCTATGTGTTTGTTTTTATGCGAGTACCATTCTGTTTTGGTTACTATAGTACTGTAGTATAATGTGATTCCTTCAGTTTTCTTCTTTTTGCTCAGGATAGATTTGGCTATTCTGGGTCTTTTGTGGTTCTGCTTAATTTTAGGATTTTTTTTCTATTTCTCTGAAGGATGTCATTGGTATTTTGATGGATTGCATCAAATCTGCAGATTACTTTGGGTAGTAGGACATTTTAACAATACTGATTTTTGCAACCCATGAACATGAGATATCTTTCCATTTTTTAATGTTCTCTTCAATATCTAGAATCAGTGTTTTATAGCGTTCATTGCAGAGATCTTTCCCTTTTTTGGTTAAGTAAATTTGTAGGTATTTTATTTGTAGCTATCATAAACAGGTTTACTCTCTTGATTTCTTTTTCAGATTATTTGCTATTGACATATTGAAATGCCACTGATTTTGTGTATTGATTTTGTATGCAACTTTACTGAATTCGTTCATCAGTTCTAATAGTTCTCTGGTGGGGTTTTTAAGTTTTTCCAAATATAAGATCATATTTGCAAACAAGGATAACTTGACTTCTTCCTTCCACTTTGGATGCCCTTTCTTTCTCTTGTCTGATTGCTCTAGTGAAGACTTCCAGTAATATGTTCAATAACAGGGATGAAAGTGGGCATCCTTGTACTGTTCCAGATCTTAGAGAAAAGATTTTCAGTTTTACCCCATTCAGTATGATAATAGCTATGGTTCTGTCACATATGGCTTTTATTGTGTTGACATATGTTTCTTCTGTACCCAGTTTTTTGAGGGTTCTTATCATGAAGTTATGTTGAATTGTATCAAATGCTTTTTCAGCATCAATTTAAATGATCATATGTTTTTTGTCCTTCATTCTCTTGATGTAATATGTATCACATTTATTTATTTGCACAAATCAAACCATTCTTGCATACCTGGGATAAATCTCACTTGGTCATGATGAATGATCTTTTTAATGTGTTGTTGAATTTGGCTTGCTAGTATTTTCTTGAGGATTTTTGCATCAATATTCATCAGAGATATTGGCCTGTAGTTTTCTTTTTCTGATGTGTCTTTTCTGGTTTTTGGTATCGGGATTATACTGTCGTCACAGAACGCATTTGGAAGTATTCCCTTCACCTATATTTTATGGAACAGTTTGAACAGGATTGGTATTAGTTCTTCTTTAAATGTTTCGTAGAATTCAGCCGTGAAGCCACTGGGTCCTGGGCTTTTCTTCGCTGGGAGACTCTTTTACTACAGCTTCGTTCTTGTTACTTGTTATTGGTCTGTTCAGGTTTGGATTTCTTCATGGTTCAATCTTGATAGGTTGTACATGTCTAGGAATTTGTCCATTTCTCTTATATTTCCTAATCTAGTGACAAAAGTTGCTCATAGTAGCCACTAATAATCCTTTGAATTTCTGCTCTATCAGTTCTAATGTCTGCTTTTTCATCTCTGATTTTATTTATTTGGGTCTTCTCTCTCTTTTTCTTAGTCTGCCTAAGGGTTTGTCAATTTTGTTTATGTTTTGTAAAAAACAGCTTTTCCTTCCATTAGTTATTTGTATTGTTATGTTCATTTCATTTATTTCTATGGCCTTGATCTGTATTATTTCTTCTACAATTTTGAGTTTGGTTTGCTCTTTCTTTTCTAGTTCTTTATGATGCATTGTTATTTGAAGTTTTTCTTTGTTTTTGGTGTAATCACTTATAGCTATAAACTTCCCTGCTAGTACTGCTTTTGCTGTACCCCATTGGTTTTGGTATTTTGCATTTCCATTTTCACTTGTTTTAAGACATTTTTAAAATTTCCTTCTTAATTTTTTCATTGACTCACTGGTTATTCAGGAGCACATTGTTTAATTTCCATGTGATTGTATAGTTTCCAAAATTCCTATTATTATTGATTTTTAGTTTTATTGCATTGTGATCAGAGAAAATGCTTGTTACTATTTCTTTTTCTTATTTTTTAATTTTTAATGACCAAAACAAAGCATCTAAAACCGCAGCTTCTGGAAGAACCACTTGTTCTTGCCTATCTTGTATCTCTCTTCAAACTTGACCTTGACCTCTCGTCAGGCCTTGCGTTTAAGAGCAGGATCTCTGAAGACATCCTTACTGATGACAGTTTTGTTCAAGGGGATATCCACAGAGTACCTTGTGGGCATTAGGTGATTATAGTTATAAACTCTCACAAAAGACTTGATCTTTGACCTCTTGGCGATCTTCTTCTTGCCCATGACAGCTATCACTTTGCGGGGGTAGCAGTCAATTCCAGCCACCAGAGGTGGCTGTAGGGGCGATCTGAGGTGCCATCATCAATGTTCTTCATGATGATGGCTTTGCGTCCAGAGTAGTGTCCAGCCAGGACAAGCGACACCTTCCCAGGTTTCATGAACTTGCCCATTTCAGCAGCAACCACTTGGGCCTACAGCAAAAAGGGCGTTTCTTACTATTTCAATTTTTTGAATGTTTTAAGACTTGTTTTGTGACCTAACATATGGCCTATCCTTGAAAATGATCCACATGCTGGGGAGAAGAATACGTATTCTGCAGCTGTTGGATGAAATGTTCTGTAAGTATCTACTAGGTTTATTTGGTCTATAGTGTAGATTAAATTCAATATTTCTTTGTTAATTTTCTGTCTGGAAGATCTGTCCAATGCTGAAAGTGGTGTGTTGAAGTCTCCGGCTATCATTGTATTAGGGTTAATCTCTCTCTTTAACTCTAGTAATATTTGCTTTATATATCTGGATGCTGCAGTGTTGGGTGCATATATATTTACAATGGTTATATCCTCTTGCTGAATTAACCCCTTTATCATTATATAATGACCTTCTTTGCCTGTTCTTTTTTTTTTTTTTGAGATGGAGTCTCACTCTGTCACCCAGGCTGGAGTGCAGTGGCACAATCTTGGCTCACTGCAACCTCCGCCTCCTGGGTTCAAGCGATTTTCCTGCCTTAGCATTCCAAGTAGCTGGGACTACAGGCGCATGCCACCGTGCCCAGCTAATTTTTGTATATTTAGTAGAGATGGGTTTTCACCATGTTGGCCAGGCTGATCTCCATCTCTTGACCTTGATCCACCCGCCTTGGCCTCCCGAAGTGCTGGGATTACAGATGTGAGCCACTGCGCCCAGCCCTTTGTCTCTTTTTATAGCTTTTGTCTTGAAATCTACTTTGTCTGATATAAATATCATATTATGATAAATATAATGTGATAAATATCATAATATGATATTTTAAATATGACATTTTGTCTGATATAGCTATTCCTGCTCTCTTTTGGTTTCCATTGGCATGAAATATCTTTTTCTATCCCTTTATTTTCAGTCTATGTGCATCTTTATAGATGAAATGTGTTTCTTGTAGGTAATAGATTAGTGGGTTTTGCTTTTTTTATCCATTCAGCCACCCTATGTCTTTTTATTGAAGAGTATAGCCCATTTACATTCAATGTTACTACTGATAAGTAAGGACTTGCTTCTGACATTTTGCTATTTGTTTTCTGGTTGTTTTGTGGTCTTCTCATCCTTTTTTCCCTCCTTCCTGTCTTCCTTTTAGTGAAGGTGATTTTCTGTGGTGGTATTATTTACTATCTTGCTTTTTATTTCTTGAGTATCAGTTGTATATTTTTTTGAGGTTACCATGAGGCTTGCAAATACTATCTTATAATCCATTATTTTAAACTGATGACAATTTAACACTGATTGCATAAAAAACACAAGCAAAGAGAAAACTAATAAAAACTATAACTTCATTTCTCTGCTTTTTAACTTTTGTTGTTTCTATTTATATCTTAGTGCAGCATCTATGTCTTAAAAAGTTGTTATAGTTATTGTTTTTGATTGGTTCATCTTTTAGTCTTTCTACTCATAATATGAATAATTTACCCAACACAATTACAGTGTTGTAATATTCTGTATGTTTTTTGTTTCTTTTCTCTTGCTGCTTTTGGGATCCCTTATTTATCTTTGATCTTTGGGTGCCTTGAGGTTCTTAAATCTGCTTGGTGTTCTATAAGCTTCTTGTACTTGGATATTTATATCTTTCTCTAGGTTTAGAAAGTTCTCTGTTATTATCCATTTGAATAAACTTTCTATCTGTATCTCTTTCTCTGCCTCCTCTTTAAGGCCAATAACTCTTAGATTTTCCCTTTTGAGACTATTTACTAGATCCTGTAGGCATGCTTCATTGTTTTTTATTCTTTTTTCTTTTGTCTCCTCTGATTGTGTATTTTCAAATAACCCATCTTCAAGCTCACTAATTCTTCTTCCTCATCAATTCTGCTATTAAAAGATTCTGATGCGTTCTTCAGTATGCCTATTGCATATTTTAGCTCCAAAATTTGCTCAATTCTTTTTAATTATTTCAATCTCTTTGTTAAATTTACCTGACAGAATTATGAATTCCTTCTCTATGTTATCTTGAATTTCTTTGAGTTTCCCCAAAATAGCTATTTTGAATTCTCTGTCTGAAAAGTCACATGTCCCTGTTTCTCCATGATTGGTCCCTGGTACCTTATTTTGTTCATTTGGTGAGGTCATGTTTTCCTGGATGATCTTGATGCTTGTGGATGTCTGTCAGTGTATGTTTGAAGAGTTAGGTATTTGTTTTGTCTTCGCAGTCTGGGCTTGTTTGTACCTGTCCTTCTTGGGAAGGCTTTCCATGTATTCAAAAGGACTTGAATGTTGTGATCTATGTTGTATCTGCATTGGGGGCACCCCCAAACCCAGTGACACTGTGGTTCATGCAGACTTGTGGAAATATCAGCTTTGTGGTCTTGGGTAAGATCTGGAAGAATTCTCTGGATAACCAGGCAGCGACTCTTGTTCTCTTCCTTTACTTTCTCTCAAACAAAGGGAGGGTCTCTCTCTGTGGTAAGCCACCTGGAGCTGATGGTGCAGTGATACAAGCACCACTGTGGCCACCACTGCTGAGACTGTGCTTGGTCAGACTAGAAGCCAGCATAGTATTGAATCTTGTCCGAGGCCCTCTGTAACCACTGCCTCCCTACCGCCTATATTCACTCAAGGCCTTGGGGCTCTACAATCAGCAGATGGCAAAACCAGCCAGGCCTGTGTCCTTCCCTTCAAGGTGGTGAGTTGCCCCAGGGAAATCCATAGGTACCATAGAGGTGTCAGGGACTAGAGACAAAAACCTTAGAAGTCTGTCGGTGTTCCATTGTTTGCAGCTGAGCTGGTACTCAAACCAAAAGATGCAGTCCTTCCCACTCTTCCTACCCCTTTCCAAAGGAAGAGGAGCCCCACTCCATGACCACCACCACCATAGGCCCATGGGGAGTACTACCAGACTACCACCAATATTTCCTTAAGGCTCAAGGACTCTTCAGTCAGCTTGTGGTGAATGCTACCAGGCCTGTGACTCACCCTTCGGAGCAGTGGGCTCCCCTCTGCTCCACAGCAGATCCAGAAATGCCATCCAAGAGACAAGTCCTGGAACTGGGAACTCTAAGAGCCCTGTTGGTGCTGTACGTCCCTGTGGCTGAGCTAGTAGCTAAAGTGCAAGACAAAGTTCCCCTCAGTTTTCCTTCTGCTTTTCTCAAGCAGAAGGAGCCTCTCACCATAGTTAATGCAGCTGGGAATGTGCTGGGTCTCACCTGAAGCCGGTACATCTCGGTCTCACCCAAGGCCCATGCTGTACAACTAGGGTATCATTGCTGGTTTCAGGGCCCAAGGTTTCTTTGGTCAGCAGGTGATGAATCCTGCCAGGACTAGGTCCTTCCTTTCAAGGCAGCAGGTTCCCTTCTGGCCCAGTGTGTGTCTAGATATGTTGTCCAGGAGCTAGGGCCTGGAATGGGTGCCTCTCAACTCTGCCCAGTGTGCTATACTGTGGCTGAGCTGATATCCAAGATTCAAGACAAAGTCCTCTTTACTGTTCCCTCTCCTCTTCTCAAGTAGAAAGAAGAAGGAGTTGCTTTTGTTGCTGTGAGCTTTGCTGCCTGGGGTTGGGGAGAGGTGGCACGAGCACTTTTTTAGCCACCCCAGCTGGTGTCACACTGGGTCACATGTCCCCCAAGTCCCACTGGCTCCAAGCCCAGAACAGCACTAGGAATTGCAGTCCTTGTGGCCTAGATAGCCTTTCATGTTTATTTAGGACCCCAGAGACTTCATTCAGCCTGGAGTGACAAGGCTTGTGGAAACTCAAATTCTGACCACTGGGATGGGTGATTCCCTTCTGGCCAGGGCTGGTCCAAATGCTCCCTCTGTGGATGAGTGTTGGCTGACCTCAACCTGGTTTTGCTTTCCACTGTGACAGGGCAGCACTGAGTTCAATGCAGGGTCTCACAATTGCTGTGCTGTCTCTCCTGTAAGCACACAGATTCTCCATGCTGTGCAGCCGCTGCTGAATGGGGGAGGGGGTGGCATCAGCTATTCAAGACTATCTTTCTTACCCTCTTCAGTGCCTCTTTCAGCTATGTAAAGTTAACTTTCAGCTATTTAAAATTAAAACCAGGTACCGTGATTGCTCACCTGATTTTTGGTTCTTACGACAATGCTTTTTTGTATAGATAGTTGTTCAATTTGGTGTTCCTCTTGGGGAGGTGATCAGTGAAGGCTTCTATTTAACCATCTTTCTCCACCCTGTCTCACTATGAGTTTTGATGGGGATATTCAGACCCTAGCAAGGGATGAACTTGGCCTAGAAGTAGCCAGTGTAGAAAAGATGAATGAAAACATAGTTTTGCTGAGAGAAGTGGTCTCTGCCTGCTGCCTACACTCTAAATTGCCTGCAAATGTTACAGTTTAGAACCTTGTAGTGGGGGCTTTAGGCCTTTCTCAAGCATTTTCCCTTAAAAGCTCTCTACCAGTGAGAAGAAAGAGAGGCCAGTCCCTAGGGAAAAAATTGATTAAAGGTGATATCTTTCCATAGAGGGCTATTGATTCAAAGTGCTCCATACAGTGGCCATGAAGCTTAGGGACAGAGACTATGTCCCTAAGCTATGAGTAACTATGGTTACTCATATCTGGGATCAGCAAGAATCCGACTAACTAGAAACCTACTAACGAGGTCGTGGAAGCTGCAAAGAAATGCTGGCCTAGCTTGCTGTCAGCCAGTGACTAACTGCTCAGCCCTCAGGCTCCTAAATCCACCTCAAAAGGAGATGGTTTATAAAATCTGTATAGGAATGGAATGCTCTCCCAAATATTAATAAGATGTGGCTATGGGGGATAATGAGAAGATTCTCCCATAGGGCAGAACCAGGACTGTCAGACAGATGGCTCAACCAAGGAAGTGACTCCACTGTCAGCATAGAGTACTCACCACTCCTGCCCAACAGGATTCTGCATGTGCCATGACTACTGACAGCTCCGTGTGTCATGTTCATAGTGTAGTCATTCTAATTCTCCACACACTGTACACCGAGAATGTAGAAGACAGATTAATTCCATGACTCCATGGGGAGCCCATATAGGAACTTGACAGGAATAAAAATCACTCAAGCTGATTGCAAGAATTGAGTTTAACCTGAGGGAAGGGATGACTCCCTCTAAACCAAGTATATATTTGATTAAAAGATTGAGTAGGGGTATTGGGAACCTAAAGAGATGAATTGAGGCAGATTATATAGGCCAGAGTCAACTGCAGAAACATAAACTAGATATTTTAAGCAAAGGTATTTAATGCACGGGATTAGAAATTTACGACATTTTAGGTAGGAGCAAGCTCCAGGCTAGGTCTTCAAAAATAAATCCTAGAATGACCCTGCGGAAGTAGCCACCAGAGATGTCATTTCTGCCACCATCATTGGAACTGTTGGTTTCAGAAGCATGTAGCAGGGATCAGGTAGCTCCGGCCACCACCGCCACTACTGCTAGCTCTAGAACTATGCTGACTCTCTTAGATGTGCATGCTCTACATCAGGCACATCCCTACCCATGAAGCTAGCGACTTGCCACTGAAATGCTGGCACAGAAAAAGCCAGTGCTTCTCTGCCTGACTGTGCCTGCCAGAAGAAAGAATCAAAAGAAATAGCAGAATCGCTTTCATCCTATCACTTCCAGGTCCCAACTCTTGCACAAGTGCATCTGATTAGCAAAAGCTAAATCACACAGGAACCTAGTTGGGAAAAGTAATTTTTAGCTCCCTAGCCTCTGCAGTACAAAAAGGTGCACTAAAAGGAGGGTAGAGTCAATGTTTAGTGAGCTAGTTGACCTTATCCCCCATGCAGGTACTGTAGGCTGGCTTACTTCAAATTAATTCCCTGCCCCATTCCCTTTTGTCTTCCTGTGCATTAGAGGCTGGAAAGATAAATCAATCAATTCTTAATCAATTCTCCAACCTCTTTTGCAATTGGGGTGCCCTGTGAAACAGTCTGACCAAGAGGATGTGAGTAGCAGTTTGATATGTGGTTTTGGGAAAGTATTGTTTCCCCCCTAAATGGAGAACAAATTAGCTGATGCAGCCTTTTGCTCTTCCCTTTTCTTCCTGCCTAGGATGAGACTGTGATGCCTGGATGTACAGCCATCTGTTGACCATAATACTGAAAGCCAACAAACTAAGAACGATGGAGCAGAAAGAAAAAGGCTGAGTCCTTGATTACTTTCGGCAACTGCAAATACCATAGATTTGGCATTTGCATTAATTTCTTGTTATATTAGAAAAATGAACCCCTATTTTCAAGCTTTATTTAGTTTTCAAATACTTGCAACCCACATTCCTAAATGATACACAGACTTTCCTGTCATAGAAAGATTATGAAGATGATATATCTTATATGAGAATACTTTTTTGAAGTGTTGTTACATAAACAAATATTTTGAAGCATCTACCAAAAATATATTTAATAAAATATATACAGGCAATATTCATGTAGATTTACCCACGCATTTACCCTATCCATTGCTTTTTCCAAGTTTCATCTGGATTTGTTTTCCTTTTGCTAGAGAACACTCTTTCATATTTCCTTTAGTGACAAATTCTGTCAATTTATAGTAGTCTGAAAATGCTCTTATTTTACTTCATTTTTGAGGGATATCTTCATCAGGCATAGAATTCTAGGTCGGTAGTAATTTTCTTTTAGCATTTTGAAGATATCACTGCATTTATTCTGACTTTCCTATTTCTGTTAGGAATTCAGCTATAAGTTTAATCTTATGGCTGTTTCTTTATAGTTTTTATTCTGTGGCTGCTTTTAAGACTTTTTTTCTTTGATTTTTAGTACTTTTATCGTCACGTGCATAGGCATGGTTTTCTTTGTACTTTTTTCTGCTTTGAATTTTTTTCTTTGTGGCTTTTCTGTTTGTATAGCTATTTTAACTATGGTTATTTTTAAATCTTTGGCTGATAACTTCAGTATCTGGATCTTCTGTGGATCTGTGTCTATTATCTGTTTTTATTCTTAGTTTTGTATGAAGTCTTGTCTTGATGTATATTGAGTATGAAAAACCATAGAGATAATTTGTGATCCTGAATGATGTTATCTTCTTTCACAGAGGATTTACTTTTGCTCTGAAGGGAATGGGCCTAGTGATAATATTAATCTATCCAAGTATTGAAATTATTAAAAGTGCCTTCATTCCCTGTAAGTCAGTGGTTCTCAATACTGGTTGCACATTAGAACCACACAGGAAGCTTCAAAAATATGCATGTGCCTGGACTCTACTTCAGAGATCTGATTCAACTGATCTGGAGTGAAGCATTGATTTTTTGTGGGGGAGTAGTTTTTAAAAACATTTTTTTGAAATAATTATGGATTCACAGGAGGTTGCAAAAAATGCACTGAAAAGCTCACGTAGCCCTTCCCTAAAGCTTACCCCACTGAATGCAAACATTTCACACAACTATAGTACAATGTCAAAACCAAAAAACGAACATTGGCACAATCCATAGAGCCTATTCAGATTTTACCAGTTATACATGGACTTGTGTACATATGTGTGTGTGTGTGTGTGTGTATGTGTAGTTCTATGCAATTTTTTCACATCTGTATCCTCCCTAAAAAGCACCACAAATGAGATACTCAACTATACCGTCACTCCCTGTGTTATTCCTTTATAGCCATACCCATCCTCTTTCTTTTCTAACCCCTAGCAACCACTGATCTGTTCTCCATTCCTGTAATTGTTCCACGATTGTTAGACAAAAGGAGTCATGTAATATGTATCCTTTTTTTTTGTTTTTGGTTCTTTTCACTCAGCATAATTTTGTAGAGATTTTTTGAACTATGGGGCACTGATAAATTTTTTAATCTTTGTAGGTAATTCTCATGTTTATCCATGATTGAGAACCACTGCTATAAGGGCTGGTCTGTTTCTGGTTCACTGTTACTCTTAGATCATAGCCTTTAAAAGTCCCAAACAAAAGGCTGAGGTGTTTTCCAGGGTCACTCCTCCTTTGTGGGCTTTTCCTAGCTCAAGAATCTTGCCAAAAGTTCTGCTCAACTTCTCATGCACTTAGATACCTTTCACTTTCAGAATTAGCAATTGCCTTGAAAGAAATGGAGACGAAATGCCCGGCTCCCCTTTGTAAACTTTCTTCTTCTTTTGGATTCTTGGCCCTGTAAATTCTCATTCCCTCAGTGGCTTTCTGATGTCTTTGAACAGATGTTTATTTTATATTTTGTCCATTTTGTGTGATTCTTATCAGTGCCAGGATTACTCCAAAATAACCTAGCCAGCTATTGCCAAAGATAGAACTCTATCTAATAATATCTAAGTAAAAGTAAAAAAGATTAGTCCTAGAGAAAATATATAGACCAAAGGGAAAGTAATCGTAAACTATGAGGAAGAATTGGTCATAGAGTATCTGATCATAAGGTTTTAATATTTGGTATAACTAAACCATAAATTTGTCTGTGTTGTATTGGGCAATGCTTTGTTATTAAATTATAGTTTCTATTCATCACATCACTACATTACACTTAAATAAATGATATTATTTCATATATTTGGTCTTGAAGGGGAAGATGGCTATCTCTTAAGACAAAACATGGCAACTGAATTCCTAAATAAATTATTAAACAGATTGAAACAATAGGCTGAAAACATTTTTATTTGCAAAACTTAGTATTTGTTAAAAGAGAAAACATTTTCTTACCATTCCACACTAGATTTAAATAGAAAATGCCAAATTTGGAGGACTAAGCATAATTTATATAAAACTGGAGTTGAAAGGAGTGCATGACAACATATAATGGAGATTTTTCTGCCCTTGCCACCCCCCTACCCCGCGAAGAAAGGAAATGAGAGAGCTTGAACAGCAGTTAGAGGATATTTTGGAGGGAACCAAATAAAGCATAGGCTTTTCACTTTAGAACCATTCCCTTACCTGCTCCATTATATACATGCCACCCACCTGGACTTAAATAAAGCCCAGATGGAGAGAGTATGATAGAAACACCCAGAGAGCTTTGAGGGAATCCCAGCCAAGGAGACTGCAGAACTCATAGGGAAGCCTAGAGTTAAGTGAGTTCAGCCAAGATTCTGAGAAACTCACTGCCTGGGTGGTAGAAGAGTCCCAATGAAGGAGGCATGTAGGCAGATGGGCCTAAGAGGGGCTTGGCAGAGTCTCACAATCCTGAGTAGTTCCAGAAGGCACTGAAAATTCCTGAGCTCCCAGCGGAGGTTAAAAAAAAGTGATGAGAGAACCAGAGGACAAAAGGAAGTTTGGGGTGGGGTTCAAAAGGAACCCCAAGACCAGGGCAGGTGAGAACCAGTTATACTCTCATGTAGACATAGGCTGGCATAAGAACAAGAGGCTGCTGCCCCATGCCAGGACATCTGCTCTGTCCCCAGGATAACTTAGATCACAGACACATACATACCTGTCAAGAAGGTGGGTATTCTCAGATCTTAGGGTGGACCAGATATTTACTTACAAGGAACTACATTTTAAACCAAACTTACTGAGCTAAAATATGAGGCAAGATTGAGTATTTTCCGTCATCAAAGAAAATGAGAGTCAAAATTTGAATTCATTTATAACACACATATTATATAAATTTTAAACCATTGAATGCTTTTTTTTTTTTGTAGCGTCAAGAACACTTAACATGAGATCTGCCCCTTAACAAGTTCCTAAGGGTACATAGAATACAGTATTGTTAACTATAGGCTCGATATTACACAGCAGATCTCTAGAACTTATTCATCCTGCATAACTGAAACTTTATACATATTGAAGAGCAACTCCCCATTTCTCTCTGCCCCAAAACAAAATTATCATTCTACTCCCTGCTTCTTATGAGTCTGACTATTTTAGATACCTAATATAAGTGGAATCATGCAGTATTTATCCTGCTGTGCCTGGCTTATTTCACTTAGCATAATGTCCTCTAGCTTTACCCCTCTGTAGCTTTTCTTTTTCAGGAATGTTTTGACCCTTGCTCCTTTTTCATTCTACCTGATAAACTTTGAACCAGTTTGTTAAATTTTCCAAAAACCCATGGCAAGCTTTGATTACTCTACATAGGTCTATATAGTAATCTTGGGAATTTTTTAAATGAAACAAAAAAAAAGTTTTAACCTGTTAAAGTTGCAGCCAAAGGAAAAAGCAAATACGTAAAATCAATCGCATTGTTCTTTTTATCCATGAGGAGAAAATATTTGTTTTCCCCAGACCAATGTGGCCTTGGGACTCTGATGTGGATTTGGCTCCTCGAAACCAGAGTTGTGATCAAGAACAGGGCAGGGCTGCCTGAGGCTTTGGGGACATGAGACAAATACAGAAGCAATGACAGTATTCTGGGGAAAAGTCAGACCTGGGAGCCAATAAAGCATACCCAGCTTCACGTCCAGCAGGAACTAGGTAGAAAGGCAAATTCCACAGCAACTGGAACTGGAAAATGGAACAGGTTCCTGAGGACAATTAGAAAAACATTTGGTAAGATTGCCTCAGATGGGGATGCAGAGTGCCAAGTCCTTATGAAATTTTGCCTGTATTTGGGGAAGAAGTTTTTATAGGGACCAAGTTTGTTGAGACACTTAGGAAGACTTTCTCAAATAAGACTTTTTATAGACTGTACAGATATATGATGGAAATGTTTCTTATCCTCACAGCAAATGCTGTAAATGAGTAATGGGTTTTTGATATGCTGTTATGGGGCAGGGGCATGGAGATGTGCTTTTCAGGTGTCCTGTTAGAAGAACCTCTTGTGGAGAGTGTAGCTGACCAATAGCCTCCAGCCTCTCCCACCAATGACTGGTGGCACAGTGGAGATACTCAAATCAGGCCATTCCTGCCTGATGGGGATTCCTTTAATGGGCAACTCTGGCTCAGGGACTCCCATCAGCCTGGCCAAAACTTGCTCAGAACTGCAGTATTTGAGACTCTTCCTACCCAATCTTCTTTCCTTCTCTCTCTCCTTTCACATGTGTCAAGCTGATATTGTGGTCTGAAAACAATTCCTACTTCAGCTCCCTACCACTTTATCCTTCACAGGCATTTTCTCCAATAAATCTCCTGTGTATCTATCTAATCCCACCTTGGCCTCTGTTTAGAGGAGTCAATTTGACACTATTTTCTAAGTGGTTTGGTATCTCCTCTATACTTTACCCCCACCCACACACATCTGCATACTTGTACATTTATCAAGCACTTAGGTACCTTATGCACTTAAGGTATTATGCTAATTAACACATATTTATATTATATTTAATCCTTGTAAAGAAGTGCATAGTTTAAAATGGTTAAAATGGGCCAAGAGCAATGGCTCACACCTGTAATCCCAGCACTTTGGGAGGCTGAGGCAGAAGGATCACTTGAGCCCAGGAGTCAGAGACCAACCTGGGCAACACAGGGAGACATCCCCACCCTGTACCTACAAAAAAAGTTTTAAATTAGCCTGGCATGGCGGCACATGCCTATGGTTCCAGCTACTCAGGAGGCTGAGGTAGGAGGATGGCTTGAATCCAGAAGGCTTCAGTGAGCCAGGATCATGCTACTGCCCTCCAGCCTGGACAACAGAGTGAGACCCTATCTCAAAAAATAAAATAAAATAAAATAAAATAAAATAAAATAAAATAAAATAAAATAAAGGCTTCAGTGAGCCAGGATAATGCTACTGCCCTCCAGCCTGGACAACAGAGTGAGACCCTATCTCAAAAAAATAAAATAAAAATGAAATAAAATAAAAAATAAAGTAGTTAAAATGGTAAATTTTAGGTTATGCATATTTTACCACAATTTTAAAAAGTAGAAAATCTTGGTCTCTCAAGAAAATAAAATGTCTTCTTGTTTAGACATTTATATTGTTGGAAATTTTCTTTAAACAGGAGAAAACACTATAGTTTGCATGTTTTCTATGCAAATATTTCTATGACAATTTCCCCAAGTATGTTTATTGTGTTCACATCCTCTGATTTATATAGTAATTATAAGCTCATTAAAGTAATGCTTCTCAGAAGAACAAAACAAAACTGAGGATATAGCCTTAGAGTAAACTCAGTTCTTTCTTTTTGATCCAAGATGAGCTGTACAAGTATTCAGCTTTCTGACAGATCTAATGACAAATTTTAGAATCTGCAGGATTGGCTGGACAAACAAGACTCCCCGTGTGTCATTCCAAATAGGCTTCCTCTCTTTGATGGGGCAGTTCAATGTCGAGGCCTCCAAAAAGTCCTAGAGGGCAGGTACTCTATGTCTTGCTTAGGTTAGACCCCCTATAATGTAGAGATCATACATGTTAATGCCACAGTTGACTTCTTTCTAGTGGAATTTGAGGAGTAAAATCAAGCCTTTTACTTGGAAAAATGGATATCCCACCTCCCCACAGAGACGGACTGAGAGAGTGCCCACTGACAAAGCCAGAAAACTGGGTTTATTTGAGCATGGGAGTGACTAGCCAGGTCACCGAAGTGTTTACATCACACTCAGAGCATGGTAAGGGTCTGTTAGTATAATTGAGTAAGCACTGATTTAGGCCTTGCATTGTATATAACGAGTATTGAGAGCTGGGATTTTATGTTTCTGCTAGTTCTTGGATATTATATTAGTCTGAAAAGCAGGTACCAATTTGGGATTAAATATGCAAAGATTGGCGGGGTGTGGTGGCGTGCACCTGTAATCCCAGCTACTAGGGAGGCTGAAGCACGAGAATCACTTGAACTTGGGAGGTGGAGGTTGCAGTGAGCCGAGATCGCACCACTGCACTCCAGCCTGGGTGACAGAGTGAGACTCCGTGTCAAAAAAAAAGGCAAAGGTTATATTAGGGGGACCACTTGTGAAAGAAAATGAAGAGGGAGCCAGACAAGGCTGGGTGAGCATCGGCTAATAAAGCAAGTCTGACGCTGGGTGAAGGAGATAGAGAAGGTAGGTTGGGTAGAAGCATCCTACACTGCTGGAGTTTAAGAAAACTTCAGTTAGGCTGTTTGGGAGTCCCTAAGCCAAAGTAGCCGTCAGAAGACTCCCGTGCCTCTGAGAAATGGGACTGTTAGTATCCCTGCTGCACTTTGTCATTGGCTAGGAGCAGCCTGTGGGAAGCATGGCCTGGGAACAAACGTGATGATGGATTTCAGAGTCAGGAGCTGGACCCTTAATCAATTACACTCTATGTAGTTGGAGGTCTAGTAGGCACACCTCATGGCAGTCAGAGATAGGAGAGAATCATGCCAGCAGAAGAAAGAGGATCCCAGCTACCCTCCTGGGCAGTCTAGGAATTACTCTAGCCTCTCTAAAAATCTCAAAGCTGAGCCTGAGTAGGGACAGAATTAAAGGTTCGAACTGTGCAGTGGGATTCCCCTCTTTCATTCCCTTCTCTGAGGAATACTTTATGTGTAGCAGTGGCAACTATGCCTGTTACTGGTTCTCCAAAAGCTGAACTTTTTATTTAGCCTTCCCTTTTCCCTAATTTTTTCCTACTTTTTTTTCCTCTCTTTCATTTCATACTTGTGCCTTAGATGTGCTCCCACTACCCCAAGGTAATAAGAGATTGCTACCCTTGTTATTTACGATGTTAACTTGGTCTGAAGGTGAGTGTGATTAGTAACCTCAGATGCCATTTCTGACCAGGTCCCAGACCTTGAGGCAAGTTGGCAAAGGGCAGATGGGAACATAGTCTCCAGTAACTGTTGGTTCTCATCACCGCTTTCCTCCATCTCATTTTCTCTCTTCCTCCCTGTTTTTTATACCATATACACTTTACCTCTATACACACTCACCCTTGGGCACTCACATTCCTATAATCTTCCTGCTGCATTGCTATTTTGCTCTGTCTGTAATTTTCCCTCATGGTCCCAGACCTGGCATTCAAGGGCAAGAAATTAAAAAATCTAGAAGCCACCTTTCCCAATGTACTTGGTCCTGGTACTTGTAGCTACTAGATCCCAGGATCACACTTTCCTTAGGTTCTAACTCTGTTCAAGATTCATATAGATTCTCCATGGTGGGCAGTCACTGGGATGGGAGAACAGAGGAAAAGGGGCTCTGTAGCCAGAGCCAAAGTATACCAGACAGCACTGGCTGTGTAGCAACGCCACGACTGCAGCAGAACTGAGGGAAGACCTGGTGATATAAAAGCCTGGCACCTTGAAAGAGCTCTCTGGAAGTCAAGATTCATAAAATTACATCATGTTAGAGCCTTTGAAAAGCTCTCCTCCCCTATGCAAATGTTCCATTTTATCAACGTTACAGATTGTGCTCTCTGTGGCTGAGATATCAGAGAAATGGTAAGCTTATTTGTTATTTTTATCAATAATACCTAACAATTATTATCATTTTCTTAACTACCTCATTTAATCCTCACAGCAATCCTAAGGGGTAGATACCATTATCTACCTTTCTATAGTTGAAGAATATGAGCCTTATAGAAAATAAAAAACTTCCCTGAGTTCACACAGCTGGTAAGTAGCAGACCAGGATTCAAACCAGGAGCTCCATGTACTGTCCTGCAAGCTGTGCACTGGACAAATCCTGGGGTTGCTATTCACAGACCATGACGTGGATGGTGCTTCCTGGAGTTGTACAGTGCAGGAGCCCTGACCAAGCAAGAATGCATAAGCACAACACTGGGGTTTTGAGCAAATGCATGTAACAAGAGAAGAGCTTTTTAAATGTATCTAACAAGAGAATATACTCTTTAAATTAAAAATTAGGCTGGGCACGGTGGCTCACACTTGTAATCCCAGCACTTTGGGAGGCTGAGACGGGTGGATCACCTGAGGTCAGGAGTTCAAGACCAGCCTGGCCATCATGGCAAAACCCCATCTCTACTAAAAATATGAAAATTAGCTGGGCATGGTGGCACGTACCTGTAATCCCATCTACTCGGGAGGCTGAGGCACAAGAATCGCTTGAACCCAGGAGGTGGAGGTTGCAGTGAGCCAAAATTGCACCACTGCACTCCAGCCTGGGTGATAGAGTGAGACTTAGTCTCAAAAAAAAATAAAATAAAATAAAATAAAAAATTAGACATTGTAGAAGAATCGGGTTGCTTAGATTGCATTTAAGCACATATCCATGTTGTGCTTAGACATTTTACTACTTTGTACTCTGCAGACTTTAGCTGCTATTTATATCCTGCCAGATTTCATAGTTTTACCTTCTGGATTTCTAAAGAAAATGGGTAGAGTTCAGAGAAGCTAATGACGAATCTTTCTCCCTAATGTTTTGCCTGAGTATGGATCTTGGGACATCACTATCTACTTCATACCAGAAAAGAACAGATGTGTTACTGACCTAAGCATTCGACAGAAGTTTACCTAGCAATGCTAAGTAAGTGTTAGTGTTTTGTGTAACTCGGTGCTGTTGACCAGGGTCTAGCCAAAAGCATGCTGGCAGTAGTTCCCAAATCCTGTGCTTTCTCTCCTGGGAAAGAAGGGTTATTCTAGAAAGCAATTTAGTGTCCCTAAAATTACACCAAGCACTAATATATGGGTGATATGCCAAAATCAGATTTAGATCTAATTCCTGCCTATTAGAGTCTGTCACAAAATAAGAAAAGATATAAACCTAGAAGAGAACCAGGAGTGTACAGAAAGGAGGAGGGGAGAGAGGGAGAAAGTTGTGTAGAAACAGAAGAGGAAAGAATCGAAGTCTTCAGTTTACCCTGGAAAGCGGGGGCAGGGAGTAGTGTGGGTGATAAATCTTCTACCATCCTATTCTCACCCCATTTGTGGGACTGCCAGCAGGGGAGGGAAGCACAGACCTTGGTCTTGTGTCCTGCCCATGAATATATATTTACGTTATAAATAAAAAGTATAATTTCACACTTTTGGTCAGTACCCTGTTTTACTAAAAGTACAGATCTGGATTTTCTTTTGGGGTAGACGGTTCTTTTGGGGTTGGGTTAGGAATACTCTGAATGGTTCTTTAGTTATGCTAAAACCTAATCCAGAAAAAACAGGTATAGAACAATATGAGCTAAAACTTTCCTGCTGGTTATTGTAAAACAATTGGTTTATGGAGAGAATCTTTTTTGTTGTCTTCTCCATTTTTCTGGGAACACTGAACCTGCAGTTTTGAGGCTTGGGGAGTGGTGGGAGAGGGGATGCAGGAGAGAGTTAGAGATGACCCCAGCCAGGGAGAGATGGCCAGGGACAGCCAGGGACTCCTGCAAAGGAGGGTAGCCAGTGGGCTCTAGGAACAGAGACATCTGACATCTCACTTTGTGTCCTGTTCTGCCGTATAGTGGCCACCTATCTGTTGCCATTCCACTCACCAAAACCCTTTAAAAGGCTTTTGTTAATCATCACAATTTAGTATTAGACTTGAATTAGCACTCATTGCCTTAGGGAATTCCAGTTTTAGAACAAAGAGAACTGGAGAAAGGGCCCAGCATCCTGGAGAAGCACTAATCAGATAGAGAAAAGTGGGGAGTAGGAAGGCATCCAGAGTGTGTGAACATTCCCTGGCAGCCCTAAGAAACATATGAGAAGGGACTGGAGCATGGGGTTTGAGTTACTTTATTTGAATATTAAAGGAAGGAAACCTGGATAACATGAAGACTACTTGGGTTTCCCTAGCCAGAATCCAGAGGGTGCAGCAAGTATTAGCTAAAGCCAGCAGCTCTTCCTCCTGGGATATCATGGGACCCTATCCCTATATATTCCCTGTTCCTCTGCATTCTCCAACCTACCCTGCAAAAGAGACCCACAGAGGCTTTCTAGAGTTTAATGTAGCTCTAGAAGAAGAAGGAAAGAGAAGAAGAAAACATGATAACAGGGAGAGAAACTCCAGAAATGTTCTGAACTGCTTTTGAATGTGCGTAATATAACTCCACCTTGAAAAGTGGCCAAAAAAACTGAACAAACAAAAACTGGCAACAACAAAACAACCAAATCCACAAGCAATTAACTATTACTGTTAAAATGCTAGCAAAACATCATTTCAGAGTTCCATCCAGAAGTCACTGGATTGCTTGTTCAGGTTTTTGCAATGACTTTGCATGTGGTTTGAAGTTCATACCTATCCCCAGGATCTCTGCCAGCGCTGTTCTGCCCTAGAGGACAAACCTATGCCAGCCTCACCCCATGGCGAATAAATGGGTGTGTGAACATCACTTGCCAAATTCTGAAATACAACCATGTCAGTGAGAGACCACACACAAAAGTAACAGACAAGTTTGTTCAGGGGCCCACACATTTTCATAACAGTTTTCTTGGCATATACTTGACATAAACTGCTCTTATTTAATGCATATAATTTAAGTTTTAATGTATGTATGCACCCCTGAAATCGTCACTACAATCAAGATAGAGGACCACCACTTTAAAAAGTGTTTATGGGTGTTTCCAGGAGATGGTTCCATTTAGCAAAGTATCTCATCAAATGAAATAAACTTCCCCAAAAATATTTAACGAAAAGCATCTGCATTGTGATTACTTAAGCTGCTCTTTTTTATGGGTCTGTTGGGCTATATTGGTGGGAAATTTGACAAGGTTCCAATGCTGATTTCCTTGATTCTCCAGCAATGAATGTCTGTGGAATTGAGAGTGTGGTGTGGACATATTGACATGGGGTAGGATTTGTGGTAAGGTTCCGACACGTTCAGCATTTCCACTCCCCATGTTAAGCAGATGAAAATGGTGGGGTAGAAAGAGAAGGAAGTGAAAAATGCCCAGCACTGAGAAAGCTTGGCCATAGCAGGAACTTCAAAAGATCCTGGCAGCCAGGTGGTCACACCCTGGGAGAATCAGTCATTAGCACACAGGACTAAACTGTTTGCAGCCTGAAGGCAGCGGCACAAAATTCAGTTCTGCAGGATTATGCGTGAAATGAATTCACCAAAACAGTAGGGAAGTTTGAAAAGGAATAAAGCATTTCTTTCAAACTGGAGTTTTAAACATACACGGAGAACCAATTCCATGTTCTCAGTCACACATCTCTGCTTTCAGAGCTTCTCTGTTTCTGAAATACAGCAACTGACCCTAGCAAAGTGAAATGAAAACACACAGCAGGCAGTGAAATCAGCCTTCTAAATCCTAACTCCTTCCTGCTAGCAGTAGAGCTCAAAAACTATTTGAATTTGCTCTATTTGAGCTCTTGCATTTCAGAAGAGTATCTCCAGGCAGAGGACATATTTCATTTTCAGGAAATGAAAAGCATTTCATTTTCAAGGAATGAAAAAATGTCTGAAGTGTTCTATTACTCATTTAAATAACATTAACATTCAGGAGGGATATATGTAAAGGTCCTTAGTATCTAAAATTATGTCTTCATTTTGAAACACAGAAGTTTCAGTGTAAATATCCTACCCTGAATTCCTCAGAGTAACAATCACTATGGCAATACCACCACATGTTGTGCAGATGTCTGCCCAAAATCAGTTGTTGACTTAAACCACAATTCCTAAAGATTTGGATTCACACGTAGGAAGTGACACCACCAAACCATAAAATTTCTGTTTATAGTATCAAGTATCTTGGTAAAGGCTATGCAGGGATCTGCCTTCCTGTGTAGGGAAAGTCTACCTTTCTTGACACATCAAACTTCTATAGAGAATTGTCTATGCTTATTCCCTCATGTCCTCCCCTAAGCCCTTCCTCCATGTCAACTTCTATAATATATGTGTACCAGCACCATGCTACTGAAATTGTTCTTGCCAAATCTCCAGCCACCTCCTAGTTGTCAAATTCAATAGTTTATTTGCAGCCAATATCCTTCTTTACCTTTCTGTCACATTTGTGCAGTTGACCACTGCTATGGGTTGAATTGGGTCCTCCAAAATTCACATGTTGAAGTCCTGACTCCTAGTATCTCAGTATGTGATCTTATTTGGAAGCAGGATCATTGTATAATAGATGTAATTAGTTATGATTAGGTCATACTGGAATAGGGTGGACCCCCATATCAATATGACTGGTGTCCTTATAAAAAGGGGAAATTTTGAGACAGACATACACAGAGTGAAGATTGTGTGAAGAGATACAAGGAGGATGCCATGTGAAGGCAGAGATTGGGACGATGCATTTACAGGCCAAGGAACATCAGATTGCCAGCAAACCACCAGATGCTAGGAAAGAAGCCTAGAACAGATTCTTCCCTCACAGTTTTCAGAAGAAACCAACACTACTAACACCTTGATCTTGGACTTCTAACCTTGAGAACCATGAGACAACGCATTTCTGTTGTTTGAGCCACCCAGTTTGTGATAGTTTGTTACAGCAGCCCTACTGAACTAATAGAACCATAATTCCTTTAAACTCTCTTATCCTAGGCTTCTGATAGAGAGAGCACTCTCCTAAGGGATTCTGTCCAGCTCTACAATCATTTATTTCTTCTCAGTCCATCTCACTTTCTCTATCTGCTCCCTAAATGTATGTTTGCTAGAATGCCATCTTCATCCTCTCCATGCAGAGGCAGTGTAGTGTAGTGGTAAGAGCATAAGTCCTAGAGTCAGATCTCCTTGTTGGGTGACCTGGGGCAATGTGTTTGATCACTCTGTTGATTCAGTTTCCCTACATGCAAACCAATAATTCCTACTTGAAAGGGTTATTCTAAGAAGTAAATTATTATATATGTATATAAAGTGCTGAACATATAGGTGCTCAACTAACTTGCTATAATTATTATCTTCTCTTCTTATTTTCACATTTTCTCTCTCATAATCTTAGCTTCTATTCTGGTAGTGGACATTTGTTATATCTTTTGGCTACACTGCCCATTTCACCCCCTTCCCTACATTAACAGCTTCTGCCTCCTGTAATAGACGATAGACTGCTAGTCATGTTTCCAGCCTCACTTGCAGCTATGATGCAAGCATTTCAGTTGTACCCACCATAGACTGAATTGGGAGCCGGTGCAGAAAGAAGGAGTCCCTCATGGAGCTCTTTTGCCAAGGATGGAAGCAGCACCTCCAGTATCCAGGGGCAGTTGCAGCAGAGCTGATGGTAGTGCCCAATCCCACATATTGGCAGTGTTGATGGTACCAGCTGCAGAGACAGAGCCCAGTCCTGCAATGTGATTTGAGAATTGTTTCTTGTCATATAGTCTCTAATCTTGGTTCTCTATCTTCCTGGACATTCTTCCAGCCACCCATTTTCACTAGTAAATTATTTTCCTACTTAAACTAACCAGGATTGGTTTCTATTGTTTGAAACCAAGAACTTTGATGGTCACAACTTTGGTTTTAATGACCACTCACGTACTGATGATGCCTAAACTGAGATTGTCAGCTTCTACTTCCCACTTGGAATTCCATCTGAGCCTCTCTATCTGCATGTTCTAAAAATGATATTGAGACAAACATGTGCCTAACCAAATGTAATGATTTAATTATCTCAAACTTCCCTAAACTGTATTTTCTCAATTTAATGAAATTGCTAGATGCTCAAATGCCCTTCAGTACTGCTTGGGTTAAAGGTGCGGTGGTTGTTGATATATGAGGGAAAATGCCCTCTTGACTTCTCAAACTGTGATGTCTGTTTCTATTAAAAACATGAAAAAAAATCCACAAATGCATGATGTGAACATCAATTATCAAATTTAAAAATTCCCATTCTAGTTCTTCCATGATAGCATGATCGAGTATTTTTATCTAAATATGAAAGTGCAACATTACAACATCCAATTAATCTATAACCTCCATCCAAATGTTTTAGTCACACAACACTCAGCTTAGAAACTGAATTCACCATGAACTCTGCCCTCTTTCTCAAACTGTATTCAGTCACCAACTTTTATAAATCACACCTACAAAATCTTAAATCCTCCATGTCCTTTCTCCATTTCTATAGCCAGAGTTCAAATGATCATATCTCATCTATAATCTGCAATTGCCACTTTACAGGAGTTTCCATCTCTGCTTCCTCTCTCTCTACTCAGACTGAGTCAGGCTGGGAGCCAACCCACGCCAGCATTCATGATTGCTTTCCTCTCTGATGTTTCCTTCCAGTTATCTGTATCTAGTCCTAAGATAGAGAAGGAGTACATTATGCAACTGGTTTTATAAAGTTCCAAGTATGTGCTTCAAGTGTGAACCAGAGATATTGAAGAAGTTGGCCTCTTTGTTCTCCAGTTCCCTTATAATAAAATTTCCCAAAATAATAGTCGTCCTGCATTGTAGCTGCCAACAGTAGCAGAGGGCAAGGGGCAGGGTACAGGGAAGCTACCAATTAGTAGTTAAAATGGTTAGCTGTCCAAACACAAGATACTCTCCAGAATCTCTAATCTACAGAAATTATATTTATGAAAGAAGCCCAAAAAAGCAGCCAACAGATTGTTGTGTTGTAAGGCAGGAAATGACCAAATGGAAGCAGGTATGACATAACATGGCTAGGGCTGTTCACCTTGAGGTACCTCATGGCTGGTGAGCTTTTTGTCTCTCAACAACAGTGGCATGGGCATCTGTGGGAGAAGGTTTAAAAGTAAAGAGCACTGTTTTCAGACTCATGAAAGAAGATAACCTTTACTGACTACCTACTGTTGGGATGCAATTCTCCATGAATATTTTCACATTTCTGCACTGTTTGGGCTTTCTGAACAAAGAACACTGGCAAACTCGGTTAAAGAATGATTGAATGGCAAACACACCTAGGAAATTAGAGATATAGTACTGTTCTGGAGAGATTTAGAGGCTTATCTTTCCTGGAGCCACCTACCCCTCTCTCCAGGAGACATTTGCTTAAATTCCAGAGCAAAGATAAGCTCTCTCTCTCTCTCTCTCTCTCTCTCTGGAAGAGATGATGGGCAGATAATCAGCAGCCCATATAAAGCTCCAAGTCTCATGACTTTGGTATTCCTCTCCTGTGCTGCAACCCTGGCTCTTATCATGGGCTTAACATGGTAGGCTCTTCCCATGTTGCTCTGTAGGGCTTGGGGAACCAGTGCTAAGATACTGTGTGAATAATGAATGGTATGTTCTCTGATCCAGAAATCTCGTGTTTTCTGTCATAAATATGAATTTATGTGTGTGTATGCATACATACATATACATATATACACAAACAGACCATGTGGTAAACGTAGCACTATCTAATTTAATCCTCAAAAAACCCTGCAAGTGGTATAAACTATTATCACCATTTACAGATGAGGAAACCAAAGTTCAGAGAGGTAGCTGTTTGCCTAAGGTCAATCTGATAGGTGGCAGAGCTATGTTTCAAATCCAGCTATTTACCACCAAAGTACGTGCTGTTTATACTCTAATAATTTGTACTCTGTACTGGCTTGTTGTGGCACATAGGGCAAGTCATTTGACCTCTTTGTGCCTCATTTTCCCTGTATTTAACATGAAAAGATTAGATTATGTGACCACCATGATCCATTCCAATTTCATCATTTTAAGATTTTATGCTTCCCCTCTTACCTTGTCTCTAAGTTCTCCCTAAAGGCAATTTCTCTCTTGCCAGCTGTTCTATTATGGATCCCTATGCACAACATATATACCTTCGCCTTCACATCTTTGTCCCAGTGATTTTTGCCACCTGGAAGCTCCCCTTACTGACTTCCATTCATCAAGGTCCTGTTCATCAATCAAGGAACAGGAATCATTAAGATAGCCTTGGTGATGGCTCTCCCCACAGCACCCACTGTCTGCAATATTCAATTACCCTGTATTGTATTTAGCATCTATTATGTCAGCTACTATTTTGTTTGTTTCGTAGATAACTTCAAAACACAATGTCAGTGTATAGCTATTTATCTCCATAGATTGACAACCGAACATTGTAACAGAAATTGTGTGTGTATTTAAGATGATTCAAGCAATACATGTCATGAATGATACTTAAATATCCTTTTGTTTTGTTCAAGCAGCAATAATTACAGCAAGTATGTTCATTCTATCATTATTTTGACAAGCATGTATTAAGTCCCACTTTTTGCCATGCATTGTACTAGGTGATAAGAACATTGTCATGAAAAATAGATGTGGTCCTAGCCTTCAAAAAGTTTACAGTCTAATGAGTAGGATATGGAGGACAGACATTAACTGAATACTCACTAAGGAAACAGCATGTGGCAAGAACCCAACAGCTTATAAGGAATTGAAGCCTCAATTCTGTAGTCTGAGAGGAAGTGAATACTACCAACAACTATTTGAGTAGGCTTAGAAGTAAATCCTCCCTAGTTGAGTCTTTAAATGAGATGTTCCCAGATGACACTTTCATTGCAGCCTTGTGAGAGATCCTAAAGCAAAAGACCCAGCTAAGCTGTACTCACAGAACCCATAAAAACTGTGAGATAATAATTGTGTGTTGTTTTAAGCCAGTAAATTTTGGGGAGATTTGTTGCATAGCAATAGATAACTCATACATTCACACAAATGAACTACAGATGATGTTAAGTAAGTGCTATGAAACAAAAGTCAAGAATGGAATGAGAGATTATAACAGGATTTCCTAATTTAAATTTAGGTTTAGATCTCCACTAAATGGAGTTAAATTTTATCAAATAATGTCATTAAATGGTCATGTTTAGTGATAAGGAAAAAATATTTGCAATAATAATTTATACTTTAATTCTTATATGAAGAGTTCTCACTAAACTCCACTACTAAATCTTTTTGAAAATAATACTGTGTTACTAAAATGTTATTCAAAATTAACCATACTTCTGTGTCCCTGAAATTTTCATTATCTGATAATACAAACATGTTACTTAAACACAGAAATCAAAAATAGTTTAGAATTTGATATCTCATTTTGGGACTATTCAAGGAGCTGTAGTTTTTTTATATTTCAACTTTTATTTTAGATACAGGGGGGTACATGCATAGGTTTGTGACATTGAGCTTTAGTTTTGAGGTAATAGAATAACAATATAGAGCAGAGGAGATAAATTGGACTGGGAGGCAGGAAGCCTGTTGGAATGGACACTTGTTTTCATCTGCCTATAGCCCATCCCTTTCTTACATCCATGTTCTTAGTAAAACTACTCTTCTCCTACTCTCTGTAATTTTGCTGCAACTACCAATTGCAATTCAAGCAAGCCTTATCAGAGTTCTTCCCTGGAATTCTTTGCCTTGAAACTGGGAAAGGAATTTTTTCTTTCTCTTTGATTTGTGAATTTTAAGGGTGGAGCTTAGATTTACCAGTGTGGAGGTAGGGGCATCCCAGGGACTTTGACCTTGAGTCCCAACTTAGAAATTGATCTAGGACTTGTAGTCCTGGTAAATTAATTAATAATGAATTTTTTTAAAAAAAGAAAAAAGTAAACAAATCAACTCCAAAATATCTAAGTTACAGCTTATCATTATATTGCCAAAGATAAAAGGCTACATTTACCTTTGGGAATCAGAACTCTTGGTTTTGTGAAAAATACTTTAGTGGATCTTTGGCTGTGAAAAAATAATCTAAAAAGAGATAAGGGTAAATATAATATACAGCATATTATTTAAAAGCCAAATTGTGGCCAGAGTTGTATCTTTGCAAAGATTATTAAAATGATTGGATTATTAAAACGAAAAGTTTTCTGTGTTCTTCAGAGTAAAAGAGAAGTTGGGATCCTAGACCATGAGAGAGCAAGCTGGTCCTACAACCTTGCCACAGACCAGGGGCTAAGGATGGAGGTGGCCATTAGAGGATACTCTGTGGAAGCTCACGGGCTCATATATAGTTGTATCTACTGTATTAGTTCCTCTAGGGCTACTCTAACAAATTGCCACACACTAGGTGACTTAAAACAACAGAAATGCATTCTCTCACAATATAGAGGCCAGAAGTCCAAAATCAAGGTGTCCTCCCTCCCAAGGCTCTAGAGGAGAATCCATAGCTTGCTTCTTCCAGCTTCTAGTGTGTATAGGCCTTTTTTGGTTTGTAGCTGCAATACTCTAACCTCTGCCTTCCTGGTCACATTGCCTCCTCCTCTTGTTTGTGTGTCTGTCTCCTGTGCTTTTTTGATATAATATCCCTCTCTTTTATAAGGATACACGCAATTGCCCACCTGGATAATCCAGGATAAGCTTCTCCTTTTAAGATGCTTAACTTAATATCACATCTATAAAGTCCTCTTTTCCGAATAAGGTAACATCACAAGTTTCAGGGATTAGGATGTGTCATTTAGGGGACCACTGTGCAGCTCACGATATCTAGTTTTAATGTTTTTCTCTCGACCATTATTATAAATTCTTTCTGATATCCTGAAACTTCCAGTTAAACGTGGTTAGACCTAGTCTTATTTTGACAGAAGAGCTCACTTAACTCTTTTAGCTCATTTCTGGCCACAATTTAGCTTTTAAATAATATGCTGTATGCTATATTTACCCCATCTCTTGTTAGATTTACTTTTTCACAGCCAAAGATCCACTAAAGTATTATTTACAAAACAAGAGTTCTGGTTTCCAAAGGTGAATATAGCCTTTTATCTCCAGCAATATGATGACAACTATAGCTCAGATATTTTGGAGTTGATTTGTTTACTTTTTTGTTTTGTTTTTGTTTTAAATCAAGACGACGAAAGTCCTAGATCAATTTCTAAGTTAGGATTCAAGGTCAAGTTAGTGAGAGGAGAACTGAGGAAACAAAAGCAGTGGACCAGAGCCTGTCGGCCAGCTGAGATGATCAACAAAAAGTGGCTCATACTTGTGGAACATGTCAGCATTTCTCAGGGATTCCCAGAAACACTTGGATCCAGCAACCCAATAAATCACAGGACTTCCTGCCATTACACAGGTTGGGGGTGCAAACTATTGTTATTTGAGCATTAAAGGCCAGGGTAGCTCCTGACCTTGGGAATTGCTAAGTTACATGTTTTCCTAAATTTTTCATAATGTTTTGATTTTCTGATAAATAAGAATAAATATAAATTTTGGGGTCCTGTTTGATTGAAATACCACACTCAGTGCTTTTTTGAGTGGTTTCTTCTTTGGTATTCTCTGCTGTTTGTCCTATACAGCTATTTTTACTAACTACTGATCTTTCTGCATAGTTGGTACATAGGTCTGATTACCCCATCACAGAAATGGAGAGGAAAAGTACCTGGCTGACAAACAGCTGACACATCCCCATAAGGACTTTCTGAAGCTATTTTACTCTGTCTTTTTCCAGGGATGCATTTTGACATTAGACAGAGATTATCCAGGGCAGAGATTATCTGGACCTTGTGTACTCTCCTTGCACTGTTTCAGGGTATATATGAAGCAACTCTATTCAAGCCATATAAAACACACATTGGAACTTTTCTTAAAACCAAGAATCAGAATCAAAGGTATAATGTGAAGCAAGATTACGGCAATGGAGTTGTAGAACACTACTCAGACCCATAGAGAACAATGGGATGTTCATAAAGGGTGAACCTTCAGTTTTTTGAAGCTAAAAAAAATGCCATTAAAAAAATTATAGATTGTCCTTTATCTTCTAGAAGGAAACTAGAATTTGTCTTGGGGGAAAACCAGTTAGGAAGGCAACTTTGATGGAACCTTTTAAATTAAGCAGATATAAAGCAAGGTTTGTGCTCCACAAACCTAGAGATGCCTGGGTGTTGTAGGTGGTGAGGGGTGGACAGGTCCCTGCCAAGCAGAGGCCAGCTGGACAGGGAACCAGACTGAGGGACTCTACTGTAAGGATGGGCCTGTGGGTTCTGAGAGTAGCTACCTTCACAATACTTTTATAACTTTTTTCTATTTACAAACAATGGGAAATAGACTCAGTGTTTTTGCACTGAATGTTTTCAGGAACAAATTAATGACAGTAAGTGGGAAATGCCAGTATATCTCAAATCCGCCCGCTTACCACCACCTGCACCACCTACATTCTAGTCTGTCATCATTTCTTGCCTAGATGATTGCAGTTGCCTTTAAATATTCCTCTTCCCCAGTCTATTCTCCACAGAACAACCAGAGTGACTTTTTAAAAATATCACTCAGAGGCCGGGCGCCGCGGTGACTCACGCATGTAATCTCAGCACTTTGGGAGGCCGAGGCGGGCAGATCACGAGGTCAGAAGATCGAGACCATCCGGGCTAACACGGTGAAACCCCGTCTCTACTAAAAAATACAAAAAAATTAGCCGGGCTTGGTGGCGGGTGCCTGTAGTCCCAGCTACTCAGGAGGCTGAGGCAGGAGAATGGCATGAACCCAGGAGGCGGAGCTTGCAGTGAGTCGAGATCGGGCCGCTGCACTCCAGCCTGGGTGACAGAGCGAGACTCCGTCGCAAAAAAAAAAAAAAAAACATCACCCAGAACCTGTCTCATCTGTACGCAAAACCCTCCCCAATAATTCACAGCCATAATTATAATAAAGTAGCCCTTACCATGGCTTGAAAGCCTCACACAACCTGGCCCTTACCACCCTCCCCAGCTTCAGCTCTTAGCACTCTGTCACTAACTCCACTCCAGCCATCCAGGCCTTCCAGCTTTTCCTTTACTTTGTGAAGCATGCTTCAACCTCAGGTCTTTGGCACTTACTTGGAATTCCCTTCCCTAGATAGTCTCATGGTTATTTCCCCCACTTTGTTCATTTCACCAAATGCCATCTTCTTGTAAAAGGCTCTCCTGACTACTCTTGTCTTAAAAGGCAGACACCTTTCATTCCTCAGCCCCCTTGCTCTTCTTCACTTTTCCTTCATTGAACTTTACTACCTTGATAGCCTTTGTTTATTATTTTATTGTCTGTCCCTACGTTGAATGTAAGTTCATGAGGACAGTCACAGTCTTGTTTCATTTATTGCTCTGTCTTCAGCACCTTGAATAGTGCTTGGCACATAGTAGGTACTCAGGACATTGTTTTTGATGCTGTTTTAGTTGCTCAAGTCGGCTTTTAATCTTGACTTTGTCTTCTCAGTCTCCATTCTATACATGGCTCCTGAGTAATTTCTGACTAGCTGCTCTTAGCTCTTGAAATATATCCCAATGTTTGTGTGTCTCCTTGGCTTTGGCCCATTTCTGGCTTCCAGTCAGTTTCCATGGCCCTCTCAGCCCGCCTGTAGCCCAGGTATTTGGCCTTGGCACTTCCCAATGCTAATGCCAGCCATTCTCCATGAATCTCAAGAATCGTGAATTTCTGTGACTTCCAAGCCACCAACCCAGTCTGCATCTGGGGCCAACCAAGCCTGACCCACTGTAGGGCTCTAGGTCTGAGGCAGGGAGGCAATCAGGGTATGGCCTCACTCTTCACTGGAATTGGGGAAGTAGACAGGTTGTTGCAGCAAGATCTTAAGATACTGATACCCAATGGTCAAAAGTGCTACTTGGGATCTTCCTGTTTTCCCAGAACTGGCAACTGGAACTCACAGTTGAGAACAAAAGGCACCAAGTACCTGCATTCTAAGTTCAGAGAAATAGGAGCTGTGATGTCAGCCAATTCCCCACAGGGCTTGCAAAGAGGTTCTTTTCAGCAGAACCAGCACAATAATCCCCCGTCCTTCATCAGATTAATTTATATTAAAGGGTAGGAAATCCTATTTCTGAGAATACATCCTACAGAGTCATTTGCACCATGTGATTTGATGTATATACAAGGTTACACATTGCAGTTCATAAGGAACTGGGGAAATAAATGATATGATGCATACATACAATGGAATACTGTACAACTGTAAGGAAAGAATGAGAAAGTTCTTCATGTATTAATGGGGAAATATCTTCAAGATATATTGTTAAACTTTAAAAAAGGTTTAGAACAGCATATATAGTATTACACCTTTTGTGTAAAAAGGTAGTAAACAAGGACATATATAGATTTTGCTTCTATGTGCATCAAGAACCTCTGGAAGGATGCACAAAAGCTAATAATAGTGATCACCTAAGAGTGAGGTGTGTGAACAGACAGAGGACAGAAGTAGTTTCTCTTTTGAATCATGTGAATGTATTAAAATATAAAAATTAACCCCTCTTAAAAATGAAAAATAAGAAAATTATCATGTACTGAGATGGAAAGATCTCTAAGACATAAGATTAAGCAAAAAAAATTATAGAAGAGTGTATAGCAAGGTGTTATTTAAATATATATATATATACGTGTGTATATATATACACATATGTAGCATGTATATATGTGTTTGTAATACTAGAATTTCTGTGGCAGAAGACACTGGTAATAGGCTTTCCACTGGAAAAGTAAACCAGATGGCTGGAGAAAGGGAAGGGGGTAATACGAAGAGAGAGCAATGCTCACCAAGTTCTCATTTGGTGAAAAGCCAAAATGTGTGAAAATGTGAGTTATGAGTCACACTTTCTCTGGGTTATGAGCCACACTTTCTTTGTGTCTCCCATTTGCTTTTTAACATTTCCTGGCCCCTTTGCAATTGGGCAGACCCACATGCATGGTTTTGGCCAATGAAGCATGAGTACAAATGACATGAGCCATTTCTGAGCTGAGATGGTGAAAGTCTGTGAGTGATTCTCTAGTCTCTCATCTCTGGCTTGGTCTGGTTACTAGAATGGGGCTGAATATTCTGTGGGAGATGAGTGGGCTCAGGCATGAGGAGCTGAGAGCAAAGGCAAAGCTTAATCCCAGTACAGTCAGTCCCCCATATCTGTGGTTCCACATTCACAGATTCAACCAACCATAGATTCAAAATATTTGAAAATTAAAAAAAAATAAAAATATACAAAATTTAAGACCAATACAGTATAACAATTATTTGCATGGCATTTACCTTGTACTAGGTATTATCGGTAATCCAGAGATGATTTAAAGTATGTAGGGGACGGTGCATAAGTTATATGTAAGTATTACACCATTTTATATAAGGGCCTCAACTATCCATGGATTCTGCTATCCCTGGGGGGTCCTGGAACCAATCTCCCACAGACACTGAGGGACAACTGTGCATATGTGGCTAAAGAACATGTTCCTTATTGTGGAAAGTTTGTCCTTTCACATCAAGCTTTTCCTCTGAAAGGAGAAGACAAGAGAGTGAGGAAGGAAGAAGGCATCCAAATATTCAGCAACATGAGAAAAATCCATCCTCTGATCAGTGGACATCTCAGCCTGATTGTCCACATTTTCATCTTCCAATTAGTGACAAATGCCTTGCCCATCTAGACCTACGGTCATTTTTTAAGTGGACAGAAATAATTTTAACTATTTTAGCCCCAAGAACCTCTATTCTGCCACTGCTTGTACCATAATGTTACAATCTTTTTCTCTCTGTGCCTCGTTTTAGATTATTTTTATTGTCTTCTCTTTAGCTTCATGGTTTATTCTTTTGCAATATCTAACCTGCTATTTAATTCTGTCCAGTAAAATTTTTACTTCAGATATTTTATTTTTCATCTCTAAAAATTTATTTTGTTTTTTACCCCAAGGTTTCTGTGTCTTCCATTTATCTCTTTATTGTGCTCATATATTCTTTAAAATCCTTGAGCTTATTTATATTATTTCTGATAAGTCTTTTAAAGTTCTTGTCTAACTAATTTCATCATCTGTCATTTCTGGGTCTGTTTCTATCAACTGATTTTTCTCTGGGTTATGAGCCACACTTTCTTGTGTCTTTGCATGTCTAGTAATTTTTTTTTTTTTTTTGAGATGGAGTCTTGCTCTGTTGCACAGGCTGGAGTGCAGTGGCACGATCTCAACTCACTGCAACCTTTGTCTCCTGGCTTCAGGTGATTCTCGTGCCTCAGCCTCCCGAGTAACTGGGATTATAGGCACCGCCATTACACCTGGCTAATTTTTGTATTTTTAGTAGAGACGGGGTTTCGCCCTGTTGGCCCGGCTGGTCACGAACTCCTGACTTCAAGTGATCCACCTACCTCAGCTTCCCAAAGTGCTGGGATTACAGGCATGAGCCAACGTGTGTGGCCTCTAGTAATTTTTATTGGATATTGGACTTAAATTTTACATTGCTGAGTGCTGGATATTTTTGTATTCCTTTAAAGATTATCTTTACACTAGCAGAAAGTTATTTTCAGATTAGCTTAATCTTTTCCAGACTTGCTTTTAAGGATTTTTGTCAGGGAGTTTATCTGGAGTAGCCTTACTCTAGGTCTAGTTTAGTCTCCCTATTAAAGTAAGTTTGACCTATCTGGGGTGTCTACCGAATTCTCCATGTATTCAGCAAAGTCTCTTCACTCTAGTTGGTGGGAACCTGATTCAGTCCCAATCCTGTGCAAGCTTTGAGTTATTTGGCTTCCAGTGTCCCAATAATTACTCTTTCCCAGCTCTTTGTTCCACCTCATAAAGTTTCCTCCTTTACATGCACAAATTGATAGTCAAAGTCTGAAAAGGACCTCTATATAGATTTCTGGATCCTTTTTCACTGTAAAGCTCCCTTCTGTCCACTATTTATGATCTCTGTCTCTACTCAGCAAGACCACCAGGCTCTGTTTGGGTTCCCTCTTCCTGAGCTACTGCCAGGAAATTGCTTCCAGGAAGAAAGCCAGAGCAATTGAAGGATTCATCTTATTTATTCCTTTCTCTTGAACATCATAGTACTGCACTGCCTATTATCCAATATCTGAGAATGGTTGTTTCTTTTTTGTCTCGTTATCTAGGTTTTTTACCGGTAGTTGGGGAAGAGTGCAGACTTCTAGTAGTTACCCCTTAAGGGCCACAGTCTTACTTTAAACTCCCTTATCTGGGATTGCATCCATCCATATGCTCTACATTTTTGCTGAGAACAAATAGGATAAAGATCAATGGCCCACACTGAGTTGGACTTAAGTTTTCCAACCAGGTACTAAGAGCAGTTTAACTTGTAGTAAATTTGGCACATTTTATCTTCAGAGCCAACTGCATTTCATTTCTGAATCCTTTTATCCTCAGGTTCCTGCATTTCTATCAAATCTTTCCTCAGAAAGCCTAAAACATTTTAGAAGTGATCAAGCCTTAGCAGAAGAAAATGAAGCTCCAGTGCTGATAAATTGCAGCAGATGGTAGAGACTTTGTGGCAGGCGAGGAAGCCATCTGGTGGGATCCTTCCACACAGTTGCCTACTTGTAGACCCAGTGACAGTCCTGATTTCAAGCAAGTGAATTCTTTCCTTCTCTTCTCAAATAAAAACACACCTTTGCTTGCGTTGAGATCTGCTTCAGCTGAGGGCTTTCCTGTTTCTCAGTAATAAGTTCAAGTACTTGAATTTTACAAAAGTTTGTGAATTGCATAAGTGTTGTGACCCACCTTCACCCAGAGGTTGTGCCAACCAAGTTGCTGGAAGCCATACACAAGCCTCCAAAGTTAACTGGACATTGTGTCTGTGTCTGTGTCTGTGTGGGTGGCCAGGGAGCTTATACTGGGCTAATGTTCTGTTCTTGCTAGAGCTTCACAGAAGCCTTCTGCAAATGCATCATGCCAGTGTCCATGTGTGGAACCATCAGGGCCACTTGCATCTTTCAATATTGCATTATCTGAACAAATGGCCCTTCAGAATTGCAGCATTTAACTCACTGATTAAACCAGACTGTGGGTTTAAATTAATCTTTTTCTCCATATGGAGCCACGGCTTAAATTAGGCTGTTTATATCCTTGAGGAAAGTTATTATAGCTCCAGGAACACACGGCCAGATAAGAAGCATGCAAAAATCATCCTGATATAAGTCATGTGCTTATTGAAATTGTATTCATTCTTCAAGGTTAAGCTCAGATACCACTTTTTATGAGAAGTTGTGATGGGTAGTTTTACATGTCAACTGAGTTAGGTTATAGTACTGAGTTATTAGATCAAACATTAATGTAGATGTTGCTGTGAAGGTATTTTGTAGATGTGGTGAACATCTACGATCAGCTGACTTTAAGTAATGATTACCCTCAGTAAGGCCGGTAGACCTCATCAAATCAGTTGAAGGCCTTAAGAGCAAAAACTGAGGTTTACCCAAGAAGAAATTCCATCTCAAACCTGCAACATTAACTCCTCCAGAGTTTCCAGCCTGCCTGCCTGCCTACCCAATGGATTTCAGACTTGCCAGCCCCCACATTGCACATTGTATGAGCCAATTTCTTATTTCTTAAAATAAGTCTCTCTGTGTGTGTGTGTGTGTGTTGTACACACATATAAAATAGATTTTGTTTCTCTGGAAAACCCTAATTGAAACGGAAGCCTTTTCTGACATCTCTAGACCAGAGTGACTTCCCCTTCCTCTGACTTAGCACTTAACTGTACACTACCTTTATTTTTATAATTTCATGTCTTCTATCCCCACATATTTTTGGTATGTATTTATAATATACCCATACTTGTTAAAGGACAGACTAAACTGCTATAATTAAGAAATTCAAAAGTATAGTGGCTTTTAAAAAAATAGAATTTTCCTCTCTAAACATTCCAGAGGATGAGCAGTCCAGGCTGACAGGGTGGCTCTGCTCTACACGGTCGGAAAGCAACCTAGGAACCATATTGTTGTTCTATCATCTCCAAGGGTGTTGTCTTTATTTATAAATGTCTTTATTGATAATGGTCTCAAGTTTGTCTCTTTGTATTCGAGGGAGACAAATTTCCAAAGCCCTGTACATCCAAGTCCACTGGGCTACTGCCAGTTCCCCACACTCCATCTTTCAGCCTTCTTGGCAAGGCATCTGGCAAAGTATTTTAAAAGTACTTATGTTGTTTTACCTCTTACTAACAATACTACAATTGTAATCATGTCTTTCCACCACAGACTTTGCCAACCCCAATGCATTGCACCTCTCATTGCATGTGAATGATGGCTCCTGTTCTATTCTCTCACCTTCCAACACCATGAAGTCCATGCCAGCTGGTCAGTTGCTAAGAAAACTACCTATGGTTACCAAGAAGGACCTCCAGGAAACTTCAGATTGCCCAAGGATCACTATAAGAAGTAAGAGCATCAATTCAGGATCCTTTTCACTTCACTTATCTTCCTCCAATTTTTACTCACAGCTTCCTGAGTCATACTAAGAACATATTTTTTCTTCTTTATCCCAGTTATCTCCCTAAAAGAAACTTAAGTAGGGTGAACATATGGATCATATAAGACAAGTAAAGAAGCCATGGGAAACTCCAGTACTAAAGTCACTGGGCGGGGCAAGTCCTGAAGGAATGATAGTGGGGACCACCTCCCTTCAAAATGTTTTTCAGTGGGATAAAGTCATTCACTAAAGCAGAAGTTCTCAAAGTATGTGTGGTCCCTGGACCAGCAGCATAAGCATCATTGGGGAACTTGCTAGAAATACCAATTCTCAGGCCCCAACAGTGTCCTGAGTTTGAGTCATAAACTCAGGGAGTGGGGTCCAGCAATCTGTGTTTTAATAAGTCCTCCAGGTGACTGACTCAAGCTAAAGTTTGAAAACTACTGTACTGAACAAATCTTGGGAAACTTCATGTCATTCCATCTTGAGCAAAGGTCTTGGACGTAACATCCAAGCTGGTTATTCCATTATCTCATTCCAGACCCAGAGAAGAAGGCACAGCCTCTGCTGGATTCTTGGCTGTACACACCACTGTCTCAGGGGATCTCTCTGTAACACATCAACTGGTCTTCTCCTCTTATTGCCTTTGCTTCTCATTCCTGACCCCAGAGGTTGTCTGTCAGACTTGGTTTAAGCCTCTCTGGCCAAATACTGTATCTGTTGCTTTATCTGGTCTGTCTCTTTGGTTTCTGAACAAACCTTTCCCTTGGATCCTATATCTGTTTCCCTTTTGCTCCAAGTCCTGTAGCCATTGATCATTTCTGCTCTACTCCAGACCCCTCCCCACAAGCCCCCCTTTCTGGGAAAAGGAGTCAGAGTACCAAATTAAATTTTTCCATTAAAAAAGCAAAACAAGTTAATAGGCTGGCTGAGCAGGGGAATGATATTTGATGAATGATGAAATTTAAGAAGGACAAATATTAGGTATTTCTATGGAAAACAGTTATTCAGTTCCTTAGAAAATTAAGCAGAGTTATCTTATGACCTAATAATTTTACCATAGCTGTATATACCCAAGGTGTTTGAAAACATATTCCCACAAAATCTTGTACACAAATGTGTTTATAGCATCACTATTCACAATAACCAACAGGTGGGAAAAAATCTAAGTGACTATCAACTAATGAATGGATAAACAAAATGTGGCAAATACATACAATGAAATATTATTCAGTCATAAAAGAAGTCCAGTTGTTACATGTTACCACATAAGTGAACCTTGGAAACATGCTAAGTGAAAGAAACCAGACACAAAAGACCACATGTTGTATGATTCCATTTAAATGAAATGTCCATGAAATGAAATGTCCAGAATAGACAAATAGACACAGAAAGTAGTTTAGGGATCTACTTTCCCCATCCACCAAGGGATGGGGAAGGGGAGAATAGGGACTAGCTGCTAATAGGTATGGGGTTTCTTTCTGGGGTGATGGGAATGTTCTAGAAGTAGGTAGTGATGATAGTTGCTCACCATAGTCAATATACTAAAGTGTACATACAAAATGGTGAATATGTTATATGAAGTATATATCTCAATTTTTAAATGCTATCAAAGAAAAAAAAGTTGTGTTAAGTATTGTACTTGGGCCCAAAACATCATATGAGTCCTAGCAATTGGTAAACAGCAATCCATGTGAAAATGATATGGGATTTTTAGTTAACTGGAGCCTAAACGAGGTAATTTTGCAATCTAACTGCTGAGAACACTAAGTTGATCTTTGATTGGAATTGGCAGTGTTCCACTTAAGGAAGAAGGTAGTCATTCTTTCTGCTGTGTTCACCAGAGTGGACCATTTCTAAGGTCTTGGATTCAGTTATGGGCATTTAAGAATGTTGCCAAAATTCAGCAGTAAAAAGAGATTAACTACTTATTCGTGCAACAAAATGGATGAATCTCAAAAGAATTATACTAATGAAAAAAGCCAGACACAAAAGTCTATACATTTTTTGGTTTCCATTTATATGACATTCTGAAAAAGACAAAACTATAGGTACCCAAATCATATCAGGGGTTGCAGGTTGTCAGAGGATGGAATTGACTGACTAGGGGCACCGTATTTTGGGATGATGTAAATACCTTGATTGTGGTGGTAATAATTACACAACTATACATTTCCCAACTCATTGAATGACATACACTTTAAAAGGATTAATTTTATTGTATATAAATAATACTTCAAAAAAAGAATACTGATGAATTTTAAAGTGACCAACGAGTCCAGATTTGGCCAGTATTTTCATTTTAGCACATGAAAGTCCCACATCCCTGGGACACCCCTAAGCCTCAGATAAATTGGAGTTAGAGTGGCTAGATAGTGAGGAGTTTGAAACCATGAGAAAAACTTAGGGGGATAAGAGTAAAGATTTGTCACATGCCTGACAGATTGGCCCACAGGGAAGCCCTAGATCATACAGAGAGGCAGATTTTGGCTCAAAAACCAAAGAATGTTCTATGATACTCTCCTATAGGCAGACGGGCTGTCTTAACCAGAAGAGTGTTCCTTTTCCTAAAAATATTCAAGGAGCTATCCGGGGCACCTGTAAGGGAGGTTTTTGGAAGGAATTCATGCATCAGTAAGAAGTTGGGTTACATCATTCATTCTCAAATGGTAGTATGCAGAGCTAAGGAAGTTGTTAGAGATATAGATTCTTGAGCCCCATTTCTGGAGTTCCTGATTGGTCAGGTTTCAGATGGGGCCCAAGAACCAAGTTTTTTTTAATTAAACTTTTTATTTTGAGATAATTATAAATTCACATGCAGTTGTAAAAAAAAAATGATAATACAGAGAGGGTCTTGTATCCTTTACCCAGTTTTACCCAGTGGTTACATCTTGCAAAAATATAGTACAATATCAAAACCAGGATATTGACATTTATACAGACAAAATAAAAAAAGGTTTCCATCACCTGAAGTTGTCCTTTTATAGGCAGTCACTTTCCTTTCACTCTCACCCACTCTGGAAACCACTAGCTTGTACTCCATGTCTATAATTTCATCACTTTATGAATGTTATATAAATGGAATCATACAGTATATAACCTTTGGGGATTGGCTTTTTTTTCACTCAGCATAATTCTCTGGAAATTCATCCAGGTTGCTGTATACATCAAGACAGGCTATTTGAAAATGCATAGGCCGGGTGTGGTGGCTCACGCCTGTAATCTCAGCACTTTGGGAGGCCGAGGCAGGTGGATCATGAGGTCAGGAGTTCAAGACCAACCTGGCCAAATGATGAACCCCATCTCTACTAAAAATACAAAAATTAGCTGGGCGTGGTGGCGGGCACCTGTAATCCCAGCTACTCAGGAGGCTGAGGCCAGAGAATCGTTTGAACCCAGAAGGCAGAGGTTGCAGTGAGCCAAGACTGCACCATTGCACTCCAGCCTGGGAGACAGGGTGAGACTCCATCTCAAAAACACAACAACAACAACAAAATGCATGATCAGAGGAGACAAAAGGAAAAAAGAAGAAAAAACAATGAAGCACACCTACAGGATATAGAAAATAGTCTCAAAAGGGCAAATCTAAGAATTAATGGCCTTAAAGAGGGTGTAGAGGAAGAGATAGGAGTAGAAAGTTTATTCAAAGGTATAATAAGAGAAGTTCCCAAACCTAGAGAAAGATCTCAATATCCAAGTACAAGAAGATTATAGAACACCAAGCAGATTTAACCCAAAGAAGACTACCTCAAGACATTTAAAAATCAAACTCCCAAAGATCAAGAATAAAGAAAGGATCCTAAAAGCAGCAAAAGAGAAGAAACAAATAAGATGCAATGGAGCTCCAATATGTCTGGAAGCAGACTTTTCAGTGGAAACTTTACAGGCAGGAGAGAGAGGAGTGATATATTTAAAATGCTGAAGGAAAAACAAAGTTTTACTTTAGAATAGTATATCTGGTGAAAACATCCTTCAAACATGAAGGAGAAATTAAAAACTTTACCAAGCGAACAAAAGCTGAGGGATTTCATTAACACCAGACCTGTCCTACAAGAAATGCTAATGGAAGGACTTAAATCAGAAAGAAAAAAAAAATGTGAACAAGCAGTATGTAATCACCTCAAGGTACAAACTTGCTGGTAATAGTAAGTACACAGAAAAACACAGAATATTATAATAATGTAACTATGGTGTGTAAACTACTCTTAAGTTAAAACATTAAATGATAAATCAATAAAAAATTGTAACTATGACAACTTAGACATAGAGAGTACAGTAAGATACAAATGGAAACAACAAAAAGTTGAAAAGCATGGGAGGAAGGGTGAAGTTAAGGCATAGAAATTTTATTAGTTTTCTTTTTGCTTGTTTGTTTATGCAGAGTTGTTATCAGCTTAAAATAATAAATTATAAGATAGTATTTGCAAACTTCATGGTAACCTCCAACCAAAAACCATACAATGAATACACAAAATATAAAAAGCAAGAAACTAGATCATATCATTAGAGAAAATTACCTTCACTAAAGGGAAGACAGGAAGGGAAGAAAGAAGGAAGAGAAAACCGCTAAACAACTGGAAAACAAATAACAAAATGGTAGGAGTAAGTTCTTATCAGTAATAACAATGAATGTAAATGAACTAAACTCTCCAATCAAAAGACATAGAGTGGCTGAATGGGTGAAAAACAAGAACCAGTGATCCCTTGCCTACAAGAAACACACTTCACCTATAAAGACACACATAGACTGAATGTAAAGGGATGGAAAATGATAGTCCATGCTAACGGAAACCAAAAAAGAGCAGGAGTAGCTATACTTATATCAGACAAAATAGATTTTAAGAGAAAAACTGTAAGAAGAGACAAAGGTCACTAAATAATGATAAAGGAGTTAATTCAGCAAGAGAATATAACAATTGTAAATATATATGTGCCCAACACTGGAGCACCCAGATATATAAAGCAAATATTATTAGAGCTAAAGAGAGAGATAGACTCCAATATAATAATAGCTGGAGACTTCAACTCTCCACTTTCAACATTGGACAGATCTTCCAGACAGAAAAATAAATAAATTACACCAGACTTAATCTGCACTATAAACCAAATGGACCAAATAGACACTTTCAGAACATTTCATCCAATGGCTGCAGAATACACATTCTTTTTCTCAGCACTTGGATCATTCTCAAGGGTAAACCATATGTTAGATCATAAAACAAGCCTTAAAACATGCAAAAAAAATTGAAATACTATCCAGCATCTTCTCTGATCACAATGGAGTACAACTAAAAGCTAATAACAAGAGGAATTTTGGAAACTATGCAAATATATGGAAATTAAATAATATGCTCCTGAGTGATGAGCGTGTGAATAAAGAAATTAGGAAGAAAATAAAGCATTTCTTGAGACAAGTTATAATGGCAACACAACATACCAAAACCTTTGTGGTACAGCAAAAGCATTACTAAGAGGGAAATTTATAGCTGTAAGTGATTACATCAAAAAGAAAAAAAGCTTCAGGTAGACGACCTAACAATGCATCTTAAATAACTAGAAAAGCAAGAGCAAAGCAAGCTCAAAATTGGTAGAAGAAAAGAAAAAATAAAGATAAGGGCAGAAATAAGTGAAATTGAAATGAAGAAAATAACACAAATGATTAATGGAAGGAAAAGTTGGTTTCTTGAAAAGATAAACAAAATGGATAAACCTTTAGCCAACTAAGAAAAAAAGAGAGGAGATCCAAATAATCAAAACAGAGATGAAAAAGGACACATTACAGCTGATACTGCAGAAACTCGAAAAATCATTAGTAGCTATATGAGCAACTATATGCCAATAAATTGGAAAATCTAGAAGAAATGGACAAATTTCTAGATGCATACCACATACCAAGATTGAACCATGAAAAAATCCAAAACCCAAACAGACCAATAACAGGTGACAAGATTGAAGTCATAATAAAAAGTGTCACAGTAAAGAAAAGCCCAGGACCCAATGGCTCCAATGCTGAATTCTACCAAACATTTCATGAAAAACGAATACCAATCCTCCTAAAACTATCCTAAAAAATAGAGGAGAAGGGAGGCCGGGCACGGTGGCTCACGCCTGTAATCCCAGCACTTTGGGAGGCCGAGGTGGGTGGATCACGAGGTCAGGAGTTCAAGACCAGCCTGGCCAACATGGTGAAACCCTGTCTCTACTAAGAATACAAAAATTAGCTGGGCATGGTGGCAGGTGCCTGTAATCCCAGCTACTCGGGAACCTGAGGCAGAGAATTGCTTGAACCCAGGAGGCGGAGGTTGCAATGAGCTGAGATTGCGCCACTGCATTCCAGCCTGGGTGACAGAGCAAGACTCTGTCTCAAAAAAAAAAAAAAAAAAAGTAGAGGAGAAAGAAATACTTGCACATTCATTCTGTGAGGCCAGTATTACCGTGATACCAAAACCAGACAAAGATACATCAAAAAATAAAACTATAGGCCAATATCCCTGATGAACATTGATGCAAAAATTCTCAACAAAATACTAACAAACCAGATTAAAAAGATCATTCATCACTCTTTCTATGCCTAGCACAACCATGGCTTTGGTCCTAAGAAGCATCTGAAGTGAGTACCAGCTCCAAAGCATTGGATGCTGGATAAATTGATTGGTGTGTTTACTCCTCATCCATCCACTGGTTCCCACAAGTTGAGAAAGTACCTCCCTGTCATCATTTTCCTAAGGAACAGACTTAAGTATGCCTTGACAGGAGATGAAGTAAAGAAGATTTGCATGCAGTGGTTTATTAAGATCAATGGAAAGGTCCAAACTGATGTAACCTACCCTGCTTGGATTCATGGATGTCATCAGCATTGACAAGACTGGAGAGAATGTCCGTCTGATCTATGACACCAAGGGTCACTCTGCTGTTCATCATATTACATCTGAGGAGGCTAAGTACAAGTTGTGCAAAGTGAGAAAAATCTTTGTGGGTACAAAAGGAATTCCTCATCTGGTGATTCATGATGTTCACACTATCCACTACCCTGATCCCCTCATCAAGGTGAGTAACAGATTCAGATTGGTTTGGAGACTGGCAAGATTACTGATTTTATCAAGTTCAACATTGGTAACCTGTGTATGGTGACTGAGGGGTGCTAACCTGGGAAGGATAACCAGGGAGAGACATCCTGGATCTTTTCATGTGGTTCATGTGAAAGATGCCAGTGGCAACAGATTTGTCACCCACCTTTCCAACATTTTTGTTATTGGCAAGAGCAACAAACCATGAACTTCTCCTCCCTGAGGAAAGGGTATCTGCCTCACCATTGCTGAAGAGAGAGACGAGAGACTGGCAGCCAAACAGAGAAGTGGGTGAAATGGTCTCTAGAGACATGTTAGAAAGCTTTTTGTACTTAATTAAAGATAATATAGCATGAAGAAAAGATCATTCATCATGACCAAGTTGGATTTATCCCAGGAATGCAAGGATTGTTGAACATACACAAGTCTATGAATATGATACATCATACCAACAGAATGAAAGCCTAAAACCATATGATCATTTCAACAGATGCCAAAAAAAGCATTTGATAAAATTCAACATCCCTTCATGATAAAAGAAAAACCTCAAAAAACTGAGTATAGAAGGAACATAACCTCAACATAATAGAAGCCATATATAACAGACCCACAGCTAGTATCATACTAAATGGGGAAAAACTGAAAGCCTTTTCTCTCAGATCTGCAACACAACAAGGATGCCCACTTTTGTCACTGTTATTAAACATATTACTGGAAGTCCTAGCTACAGCAATCAGAGAAGAGAAGGAAATAAAGGGTCTCCAAAATGGAAAGGAAGAAGTAAAATTATCATTGTTTGAAGATGATATGATCCTATATTTGGAAAAACCTAAAGACTCCACACACACACAGACATATGCACACAAAAACTGTTACAAGATAAACAAACTCAGTAAAGTTGAAGGATACAAAAATCAACATACAAAAATCAGTAGCATTACTGTATGTTAACAGCAAGCAATCTGAAAAAGAAATCAAAATACTAATCCCATTTACAATAGCCACAAATAAAATAAAATCCCTAGGAATTTTCCAAAGAAGTGAAAGATCTCTATAATGAAAATTCTAAAATAGTGATGACACCAAAAAAAAAAAAAGAAAGAAAAGATACTTCATGTTCATGGATTGGAAGAATCAGTATTGTTAAATGTCCATACTACCCAAAGCAATCTACAAATTCAATGCAATCCTTATCAAAATGCTAATGGCATTCTTCGCAAAAACAGAAACAACAATTCTAAAATGTATATAAACCACAAAAACCCACACTAATCAAATCTATCCCAAGCAAAAATAACAAAACTGGAGGAATTACGTTACCCAACTTCAAATTATACCACATCAAGATAGGGTAAGAAAAAAAATTATACTACAGCGCTATAGTAAACAAAACAGCACGGGACTGGCATAAAAACAGACATATAAACCAGTGGAACAGAATAGAGAGTCCAGAAACAAATCCCCATATGAACTCATTTTCAACAAAGGTGCCAAGAACATATATTGGGAAAAAGTCTCTTCAATAAATGGTGCTGGGAAAAATGCATATTCATATGCAGAAGAAAGAAACTAGACCTCTATCTCTCACCATAAACAAAAATCAAATAAAAGTGGATTAAAGACTTAAATCTAAGATCTGAAACTATGAATCTACTAAAAAAATATTGGGGAAAGTCTCCACGACATTGGTGTAGGCAAAAATTTCTTGAGTAATACCCCACAAGCACAGGCAACCAAAGCAAAAATGGACAAATGGGATCACATGAAGTTAAAAAGACTTTGCACAGAAATGGAAACAATCAATAAAGTGAAGAGACAACTACTAGAATGGGAGAAAATATTTGCAAGCTGCCCATCTGACAAGGGATTAATAACCAGAATAAGTAAGGAGCTCAAACAACTCTATAGGGAAAAATCTAGTAATCCAATCCAAAAAATGGGCAAAAGATGTGCAGAGACATTTCTCAAAAGAAGACATGCAAACAACAAACAGGCATATGAAAAAGTGCCCAATATCACTGATCATCAGCAAAATGCAAAACAAAACTACAGTGAGATATCATCTCACCCCAGTTAAAATGGTTTATATCCAAAAGACAGGCAATAAGAAATGCTGGCAAGGATGTGGAGAAAAGGGAATCCTCATACACTGTTGATGAAAATGAAATTAGTACAACTACTATGGAGAACAGTTTGGAGGTTCCTCAAACATCTAAATATAGAGCTGGGTATATACTCAAAAGAAAGGAAATCAGCATATTGAAGAGATATCTGCACTCTCATGTTTATTGTAGCACTGTTCACAATAGCCAAGATTTGGAAGCAACCCGAGTGTCCCTCAACAGATGAATGGATAAATAAAATGTGGTACATATACACAATGGAGTACTATTTAGCTATAAAAAGAATGAAATCCTGTCATTTGGAACAACATGGATGGAACCAAAGATCATTATGTTAAGTGAAAAAAGGCAGGCACAGAAAGACAACCATCCCATGTTCTCATTTATTTGTGGGATCTAAAAATCAAATCAACTGAATTCATGGAGATAGAGTAGAAAGATGTTTACTAGGGACTGGGAAGGTTAGTAGGAGGTTAGGAGGAAGATGGGGATGGTTAACGGGTACAAAAAATAGTTCGAAAGCATGAATAAGACCTAGCATTTGATTGCACAGCAGGGTGACTATAGTCGATAATAATTTAATTGTACATTTAAAAATAACTAAAAAAGTATAATTGGATTTTTTGTAACACAAAAAATGAATGCTTGAGGGGATGGATACCCTACTCTCCATGATGTGATTATTACGCATTGCATTCCTGTATCAAAACATCTCATATTCCTGATAAATATATACACTTACTATGTACCCACAAAAATACAAACAAAATATTTTATTTCTTTTTATTGTCAAGTAGTATTCCATGGCATGGATGTGCCACAATATGTTAAACCAATTATTCACCTGGTGAAGGACATCTAAGTTTGTTCAAGTTTTGGACCATTATAAAGAAAACTATATAAACACTCATTTGCAGGGTTTTGTTTGGTTTTGTTTTGTGTTTTTCAGAGAGTCTCACTCTTTTGCCCAGGGTGGAGTGCAGTGATGTGATCACAGCTCACTGCTGCCTCAACCTGCCAGGCTTAAGCAATCCTCCTGCCACTGCCACCTGAATAGCTGGGACTACAGGGGAACACTGCTACATGCAGCTAATTTTTCATGTGCAGGTTTGTATATTAACATTACATCTGGCCGGGCATGGTGGCTCACACCTGTAATCCCAGCACTTTGGGAGGCCGAAGTGGGAGGATCACAAGGTCAGGAGATCGACACCATCCTGGCTAACACGGTGAAACCCCGTCTCTACTAAAAATACAAAAAATTAGCTGGGCGTCGTGGCGGGCGCCTGTAGTCCCAGCTACTCGGGAGGCTGAGGCAGGAGAATGGCGTGAACCTGGGAGGCGGAGCGTGCAGTGAGCAGAGATCGCGCCACTGCACTCCAGCCTGGGAGACAGCGAGACTCCGTCTCAGAAAAAAACAAACAAACAAACAAACAAAAACAACATTAAATCTTGATCTCTCTGGAATAAGCGCCCAAGAATGCAACTTCAGGGTGATATGGAGGTTGCATGTTTAATTTTTCAATAAACTGCAGTATTGTTTCCATAATGTTTTCCATAATGACTGTACCGTTTTACTTTCCTACCAGCAATGTGTGAGTGATCTAGTTTCTCCACATTTTTGACAGCATCTGGTTTTGTCACTATTTTTTATTTAAGCCATTTTGTTACGTTTGTAGTAATAACTCATCATGGTTTTAATTTGTATCTCTAATGGCTAATGATGTTAAATACCTTTATATGTTCTTGACACCTGCATATCTTCTGCTATGATTTAAATGTTTTTGTCCTGTGAAACTCATGTTGAAATTTAATCCCCAATGTAACAGTATTAAGAAGTGAGGACTTGCCATGGATTAGTGGGTTACCATGGTAGTGGGTTAGTTAACATAAGAATGGGTCTGTTATAAAAGCCAGTTTGACTCTCAGTGTGCCCCTCTCACCTTGATCTTAGACTCCTCAACCTCTAGAACTATAAGAAATAAACTTCTAGGCCAGGTTAGGTTGCGCACACCTGTAATCCCAGCACTTTGGGAGGCTGAGGCAGGAGAGTTGCTTGAGGCCAGGAGTTTGATAGATCAGCCTGGGCAACACAGTAGACCCTGTCTCCACAAAATTATTTTTTAAATTAGCCAAGCATGATGGCGCATGTTTGTAATCTTAGCTACTTGAAAGGCTGAAGCAGGAGGATCTCTTTTTTTTGAGATGGAGTCTCACTCTGTCACCCAGGCTGGAGTGCAGTGGTGCAACTTGGCTCACTGTAACCTCCGCCTCCTAGGTTCACTCCACTGCACTCCAACCTGGGCAACAGAGGATTTTGAATTATGAATTCAGTTTACTTAGTAGCTATACAATGTTTCAAATTCTCTATTTCATATTGGATGAATTGTGTTTTTTAAGAAATTGATTCATTTCACCTAAGTTGCCAAATTTCTGAACATAGAATTGTTCTTAATATTCCCTTATTATTCTTTGAGTGTATGCAGGTTCTATAATGATATCCCTGTTTTCTTCTTGATATTACTAATTTGTGTCTTCTCTCTGTTTTTTCTTTTCAGCCACCCTAGAGGTGTGTCAACATTACTAATGTTTTCAAGGAAACAGTTCTTTGTTTCATTGATTTTTTCCTTTTTTTTTTTTCTTTTTTTCGAGACAGAAGCTCCCTCTGTCACCCAGGCTGGAGTGCAGTGGTGTAATCACGACTCACTGCAACCTCAAACTCCTGGGCTCAAGTGATCCTCCCACCTCAGCCTCCTGATTAGCTAGGACTACAGGCATGTACAACCATACCTAGTCAATTTTTTAAATTTTATAGAGACAGAGTCTCACTATATTGCCCAGACTGGTCTCATAATCCAGGCCTCAAGCAATCCTCCTGCTTCTGCCTTCCAAAGTGTTGGGATTACAACTGAGAGTCACTACACCCAGCCCACTTTTTCATTTTTTAAAAGCTTTATTGAGGTATAATTGATAAAATTGTATATATTTAAAGTGTACAAGATGATGATTTGATATATGTATAGATTGTGAAATGATTACCACAATGAAGTTAATTAACATAATCATCGCCTCACATAGATACCTTGGATGTGTGTGTGTGTGTGTGTATGTGAGAGAGAGAGAGAGAATGAGAGAGAGAGAATGCTTAAGATGTACTCTCATAGCAAATTTCAAGTATACAGAACAATATTTTTAAGTATAATTCTCACACTGTACATTAGAACCTCAAATTGTATTCATCTTATTACTGAAGGTTTGCACCCTTTGCCCACCATCTCTTCATTTCCCACAGCTCCAGTCCATGGCAACCACCATTCTACTCTGTTTCTATGAGATCACAATGGCAGTATTTCCTTCATTTTATGACTCAATAATATTCTATTGTACATACATAACACATTTTTTATCCATTGATAAAATCCAATCCAATGTTCATCCATCCAATGAACATGAGAGTGTAGATATCTCTTTAAGATACTGATTTCCGTGACTTCAGAGCTATACTCAGACTTGGGATTGCTGGATTATATAGAAGTTTTATTTTTAGTTTTGTAAGGAACCTCCATACTGTTTTCTATAGTAGCTATACCAATTTACATTCCCACCAAAAATTTGAGACAGTTTTCATTTATCCACATTTTTGCCAACGCTTGGTATCTTTTGATATTTTTTATTAGAGACATCCTAACAGATGTGAGATTATCTCTCATTGTGGTTTTGATTTGCATTTCCCTGATGGTTAGTGATGTTTAGTACCCTTTCCTGTATCTGCTGGCCATTTGTGTATCTTCTTGGAAAAATATTCATTCAGGTCTTTTGCCCATTTTGAAACCAGATTATTTGTGTATTTATTGTTTTTTTGTTTGTCTGTTTGTTTTGCTATTGAGCTGTATGAGTTCCTTATACATTTTAGTTGTTAGTCCCTTATATCAGATATATTTTCTCCCATTCTGTAGGTTGCCTTTCCATTTTGTTGATTGTTTAGTTTGCTGTGCAAAAGCTTTTTTTTTTTTTTTTCTGTTGTAGCCACTGGTTTTTTTTGTTTGTTTCTTTGTTTTTGTTTTTTTGTTTTTTCTTTTTTTTTGTGAGACGGAGTCTTTCTCTGTCACCTAGGCTGGAGTGCAGTGGCATGATCTCGGCTCACTGCAACCCCCATCTCCCAGGTTTAAGCAATTCTCTGCCTCAGCCTCCTGAGTAGCTGGGATTAAAGGCACGTGCCACCATGCCCAGCTAATTTTTTGTATTTTTAGTAGAGGTGGGGTTTCACCATCTTGGCCAGGCTGGTCTTGAACTCCTGACCTCATGATCCACCCTCTTTGGCCTACCAAAGTTCTGGGATTACAGGCATGAGCTACCGCGCCCAGCCGCCACTCTTGTTTGTTTTTGCTTTTACTGCCTGTGCCTTTCGTGTCATAGCCAAAATATCACTGCCAAGACTAATGTCAAGGAGCTTTTCTCTTTTTCTTCTAGGAGTTTTACAATTTCGAGTTTTACACTTAAATGTTAAATCCAATTTGAGTTAATTTTTGGAAGTGATGTAAAGTGGGGATACAGTTTCATTTCCTTGCATGTGGATATCCTGTTTCCCAACACTGTTTTTTGAAGATATTATCTTTCTTCATTGTGTATTCTTGAAGCCCTTGTCAAAGACTGGTCGACTGTACATGTGTGGGTTTATTTCTGGGCTCTGTATTCTGTTCAATTGCTTGGTGTGTCTGTTTTTAGGCCAGTATTGTACTGTTTTATTACTATTTGTAATGTAGTTTGAAATTAAGAAGTGTGATGCCAGCCTGGACAACATATTGAGACCCTGTCTCTACAAAAAGTGAAAAAAGATTAGCCAGGCATGTGGTATGTACCTGTAGTCCCAGATACATGGGAGGCTGAGATAGGAGGATGTCTTGAGCACAGAGATTGAGCCTGCAGTGAGCCATGATTGCACCATTTCACATTGCCCTCCAGTCTGGGCGACAGAGTGAGAATCTGTGTCAAAAAAATAAAGGAAGTGTGATGCCACCAGCTTTGTTTTTTCTCAAGATTGCTTTGGGTGTTTTGGGTCCTTTGTGGTTCCATCCAAATTTTAATATTGTTTTTACTATTTCTATGAAAAATGATGATAAAATTTTGACAAAGATTGTATTGAATCTATTGATCACTTTGGATAGTATGGACATTTTAACAATATTCTTCCAATCCATGAACATGGGATATCTTTCCATTTGTTTATGTCTTCAATGTCATCGTCAACGTTTTGTAGTTTTCAGTGTACAGAGCTTTTACCTCCATAGTTAAAATTATTCCCAAATACATTAATTTTTTTGATGCTATTGTAAATGGGATTGTTTTCTTGATTTGTTTTTTGGATAGTTCCTTGTTGAAATGTAGAAACTGATACAACTGATATTAATATGTTGATTTTCTATCCTGATATTATATTTCATTTGTTGATTACTTCTAACCAATTTTTGGTGAAGTCTTTAGGATTTTCTATGTACAAGACCATATCATCTGCAAACAGCAATTTTACTTCTTCCTTTCCAATGTAGATATCTTTGATCTGTTTTTCTTCCCTAATTGCTCTGGCTAGGACTTCCAGTACTATGTTAAATAGAAGCGGCAAGAGAGGACATCCTTGTCTGTCTTGTTCTACTTCTTAGAGGAAAACCTTTCAGATTTTCACCGTTGAAATGATATTAGCTGGGAGCTTGTCATATACGGCCTTTATTATGTTGAAATACATTACTTATGTGCCTAATTTGTTAAGAGTTTTTATCATGAAACATGTTGATTTTTAAAAATGCTTTTTCTGCATCTATTGAGATGATCATATAATTTTTATCCTTTATTCTGTTAATCTGGTGTATCATCTTTATTGATTTGTGTCTATTGAACCATCCTTGCATCTCACTTGATTATGGTGTTTGATTCTTTTAATGTGCTATTGAATTCAATTTGCTAGTATTTTGTTGAGAATTTTTGCATCTGTGTTCATCAGGGATATTGACCTCTAATTTTCTTTTTTACAGTATCCTCATCTGGTTTAGGTATTAAGGTAATGCTGGCTTCATAAAATGAGGTTGGAAGTGTTCTCTCCTCTTCAATTTTCTGGAAGAGTTTGAGAAAGATTGGCATTAATTCTTCTTTGAACATTTGGTAGAATTTGCCAGTAAAGCTACTGTTCCTGGTCTTTTCTTTTTTGGGAGATTTTTGATTACTGATTCAATGTTCTTATTATTTATGTCTATTCAGATTTTCTATTTCTTCATGTTCCAGTCTTGGTAGTTTGTATGTTTCTAGGAATTTATACATTTCTTCTAGGTTATCCAATTTACTGATGTATAATTATTTATAGTAGTTGCCTATGATCCTTTGTATTTATGGAGTAGCAGTTGTAATGTCCCCTGTTTATGATTTTCTTTATTCAAGTCTTCTCTGTTTTTCTTACTTAATTTAGCTAAATGTTTGTCAGTTTTCTTTATCTTCTCAAGAAACCAGCTCTTAGTACCATTGATCTTTTCTATTGCTTTTCTACTCTCTATTTCACTTATTTCTGCTCTGATCTTATTTTCTTTCTTCTGATAACTTTGCACTTAGTTTATCCTTTTTTAGTTCCTTAAGGTATAACATTAGGTTATTTATTTTGTTACATTCCATAAGTTTTGGTATGTTGTGTTTTCATTTTTATTTGACTCAAGATATTTTTAAATTTCCCTTTTGATTTCTTCTTTTATCCATTGATTGTTCTGGAGTGTGTTGTTTAATTTTAACATATTTGTAAATTTTTCGGCTTCTTAAATTTGTTAAGACTTGTTTTGTAGCCTGACATATGATCTACCCTGGAGAATGTTCCATGTGTGCTTGAGATGAATGTATATTCTGCTGCCATTGGATGGAATGTTCTGGATATGTCTGTTAGGTACATTTGATCTAAATTGTAGTTCAAGTACAATATTTCCTTATGGATTTTCTGCTTGGATGACTGTCCATTTTGAAAATGAGATGTTAAAGTTTCTACTATTATTGTATTGCCATAGATTTCTCCCTTTAGGCCTTTAATATTGGCTTAATATATTTGTGTGTTCCAATACTGGGTGCATATTTACAATTGTTATATCCTCTTGATGAATTGACCCCTTTATCATTATTTTGACTTATAGTTTATTTTGTTTGATATAAGTATAGCTATCCCTGCTCTCTTTCAGTTTCCATTTGCATGGACTATCTTTTTCAATTCCTTCACTTTTTCAGCCTATGTGTTTTCTTAAAGTTGAAGTGAGTCTCTTGTAGGTAGCATATAGTTGTATCTTTTTTGTTTTTGTTTTTGTCTACTCAGGCAGTCTATGTTTGCTAGTTGACTGGGGGATTTAAATCCCCCTTTTTTCGAGATGGAATCTTGCTTTGTTGCTGGAGTGCAGTGGTGTGATCTCAGCTCACTGCAACCTCCACCTCCCAGGTTCAAGTGATTCTCCTTCCTCACCCTCGTGAGTAGCTGGGATTACAGGCATGCACCACCATATCTGGCTAATTTTTGTGTTTTTAGTAGAGACAGGGTTTTACCATGTTGGCCAGGCTGATCTGGAACTCCTGAACACAAGTGATCCACCCGCCTTGGCCTCCGAAAGTGCTGGGATTTCAAGCATCAGCCACTGCACCTGGCCGAATTTAACCCATTTAAATAAAAAATAATTGTTTATAGGTAAGGACTTACTATTACCATCTTGTTAATTGTTTTCTGGCTGTTTTTAGTTCCTTTGTTCCTTTCTTCCTTCTTTCCTGTCTTCCTTTGTGGTTTGATGGTTTTTCCATAGTGGAATGCTTTGATTTTTTTCTGTTTATCTTTTGTGTGTCTACTATAGATTTGTACTTTGTTGTTACCATGCGGCTTCCATAAAATATTATATAATTATAACAATCTATTTTAAGTTGATATTAACTGAACTTCAACTGCATACAAAAACTCTACTCTTTTACTCGCCTCCATTTTATATTTTTGATGTCATAATTTACATTTTTTGTTTTTATATTATGTATCAATGAACAAATTAATGTAGCTTTAGTTATTTTTAATGCTTTTGTCTTTAAACCTTTATACTATTACAATAATTAGCACATTCTGAATTTGACTATATATTTACCTTTACCAGTCAGTTTCATACTTTCTTATGTTTTCATGTTTCTATTAGTGTCTTTTCATTTTAGCTTGAATAACTCCCTTCAGTATTTCTTACATGGAAGGTCTAGTGGTAATGAATTCCCTCAGCTTTTGTTTGTCTGGGAATGTCTTTCTCTCTCATTCATTGCTGAAGGACAGCTTTGCAGGGTAAAATATTTTTGATTGGCAGATTTTTTTCTTTCAGGACTTTGAATATATCTCACTCTCTCCTGGCCTATAAGGTTTCTGCTGAGAAGCCTGCTGGTAGCCTTATGAAGATTCCCTTGTATGAGATGAGTTTATTTTGTCGTGCTACTTTCAAAATTTTCTCTGTCTTTGATTTTTGACAGTTTTATTATAATGTGTTTTGGTGAAGTCCTCTTTGGATTGAATCTGTATGGGGATCTATGAGCTTCATATTCCTATATATCCATACATATCCCCAGACTTGGGAAGTTTTCAGACATTATTTCTTTCAATAAGCTTTCTGCATGCTTTGCTCTCTCTCTCTTCTCCTTCTGCAACTCCCATAATGTATACATTGGGCTGCTTTTTGGTGTCCTATAATTCAAATATATTTTCTTCACTTTTAAAAATTTCCTTTTTTATTTCCCTAACTGGATAATTTCAAATGACCTGTCTTTGAGTTTATACTTTTTCCCCTCCACTTGTTCAAGTCTGCTGTTGATGCTCTCTATTTCATTTTGCATTTTATTCATTGCATTCTTCAGCTCCAGTATTTCTGTTTCTTTTTTATAATTTCTATCTGTCTGTTGAACTTCTCGTTTTGCTCGTATATTGTTTTCCTGATTGCATTGAGTTGTCTATCTGTGTTCTGGTATAGCTTACTGAACTTCCTTTAAACAATTATTTTGTATTCTTTGTTTGGCAGTTTGTAGGTCTTTATTTCTTTGGCATTGGTTCTTGTAAAATTATTGTGTTCCTCTGGTGGTATTGTGTTTCCTCTTTTTTGTTCTCATGTTGATGTCTGTGTATGTTTCCACTATTTTTGTTGTTGTTGTTGTTCTCATGTTGATATCTGTGTATTTTATGGAGCAAGCCTTTCTTCCAGATTTTACAAATTGGTTTTTGTGGGGAAAGACCTTCAACAAGGCGGTGCTGTGCTGGTGCAAGGGCACTGGAAGAATGGGGTGATGGTTTCAGCTCTATAGAAGGAACAGTGGTGTAATATCTGTGCAGCTCTGTCAGCTGAGATCATCATCAGTAACGATTGCAGGGGTCCTCAACATACATAACAGCCTATCCTTTTGTGGGGGTGCTCAGCAGTATCTCTCTCTCTGGGGAGTCTGTGGCAGCAATGACTGTTCATTATCTCAATAATGAAAGATGCCAGTGTCCTCTGCAGAGCAGGATGCTGGGGTTGGCACCAATGAACACTACAGGGTTCTCCACAGTGAAAGCTGCACAGAGTCTGTGGCTGTCATCAGGGCTATTGAGTTCCTGAGCAGCAAAGGTTGCTGGAGTCCTCCATTGAGCAGGCCACTTGGGGTTACAATGGCACCTGCAGCATGGCTGATAAAGATAGCCCCTATGCCTTGCCTTTACTCCCAGCCATCTCCAGATGTCTCTAATTAGCTAATCTCCTTAGCAATCTTTTCTGTATGGTTATTATCTTTTTTTGCTCCACTGTATTGCTGTAGTTTTTAAACGGACATTTGAGCCCTCTCAGGGCTATTTTTATCCTTGGATAGCTGTTTAATTATTATTTTTTGTTAGAGGAGGGAGGCTGTTATCTCTTACTCCTCCATCTTGCTGACATCATTCCTCTCCCTATTGTTTTTCTATTTTCAATTTTATTGGTTCCACTTTTATGTTTATTTTTCCCTTCTGCTTGCTTTTTTCTCTCTTCTTTTTCTAGCTTCCTTAGGTGGAAACTTAGATCATTAATTTGAAACTCTTCTTTTCTAATGTATGCATTTAGTGCTATAAATTATTTTCTCAGCACTGCTTCAGCTGTGTTTCACAATTTTTTTAAAATTTATTTTGAGATGGAGTCTCACTCTGTTGCCTAGACTGGAATGCAGTGGCGCAATCTTGCTCACTGCAACCTCTGCCTCTCGGATTCAAGTGATTCTCCTGCTTCAGCCTCCTTAGTACCTGGGATTACAGGTGTGCACTGCCACACCCAGCTAATTTTTTGTATTTTTAGTAGAGATGGGGTTTGACCATTTGGCCAGGCTGGTGTCGAACTCCTTACCTCAGGTGTTCCATCCACCTAGGCCTCCCAAAGTGCTGAGATTATAGGTGTGAGCCCACAATTTTTGATATATTATATTTTCATTACTTGTTTACTTTCCAAGTATTTAGTGATTTTCCTATTGTCTTTCCATTGTTGATTTCTAATTTGACTTCACTGTGATCAGAGAACATACTCTGTATTATTTCAGTTCTTTTAAATTTGTTGAGGTTTGTTTTATTGCCTAGAATAAGGTCTATCTTGGTACATATTCAGGAAAACTTGAAAAGAATGCATACTTTGCTGTTTGGAGGGTAGAATTCTGTTGGTTGATGTTGTTGAGTTCTTCTGTAGCTTACAGATCTTTCTGTCTCATTGATCTATCCATTGTTGAGAAAGAGGTGCTGATATCTCCAACTATGATTGTGTATTTGTCTATCTCATTAATCCTATCAGTTTTTGCTTCACATATTTTGCATCTCTGTTGTTTGGTGCATACATATGTAGGATTGCTATGTCTTCTTGGTGGAATGATCATTTTATCATTACATTAAAGGCCTTCTCTGTCCCTGGGAGTTTTTTTCTCTTTATCTGATATTAATATAGACACACTTGCTTTCTTTTTGATTAATGTTTGCATGATATCTTTTTTCATTCTTTTACTTTCAACCCTGTCTCTATCATTATATTTGAAGTAAGTTTCTTGTAGACTGTATGTAGTTAGGTCATCTTTTTAAATCCCTTCTTTCAATCTGTCTTTTAACTGATGCCTTTAGACCATTTTCCTTTAAAGTAATTATTGATATATTAGAGTTTAAATCTGCCACTTCATTTTTGCTTTCTATTTGTTTCCTCCGGGTTTTGTTTCCATTTTATTTTTCCTTAATTCTTGTGGGTTACTTGAATACGTTTGTGAATTCTATTTATTTAGATACAGTTTTTTGAGTGTATCTTTTTGTTATAATTTTTTCATGGTTGCTGTAGATATTGCACATCACTTATGCTTAGCTTTTCTGATTTTTCATTTGTTCCAAGCATGTTCATAATTTCTCATTGAAGCATTTATAATAGCTGCCTTTAAATCCTTGTCAGATTTAAATCATAACGTTTCTGTCATCTCAGTATTGGCATCTATTCATTGTCTATTTTCATTCAGTTTGAAATTTTTTAGTTCATGGTGTGACAAGTAATTTTCAATGGAAATCTGGACATTTTGAGTATTACATTATGAAACTCCAGATCTTAGTTACATGTTTTGTTTTACATGGCTTTCTCTGACAGTGCTACGGCAGGAAGGGTGGGGGCACCACCGCTTTATTGCCAGCTGAGGGTAGACATTTAGGTCCCTCCCTCAACCTCCACTGATACCCAAGTGGGGTTGAGGGCTCCTTGTTACTGCTGGGTGGGAGTGGAAGTTCCAACTCTCCACTAAGCCTTTACTGATACTTCCTGACTGAAAGGGGTAGGAGTGTGTCATCATTGCTTCCCGCATGGCCTCCACTGCCACCAGGAGGGAGGTGGCTTTCTTTGCTGATATAAGTCCTTACTGTCCACTAGCTCTCCTCTGATACCACATAGCATGTAGGTGGGAGAGGAGTGCCTCATTAATACCGAGTACGGTGGAAGTCCAGACTTCCCATGTAGTCTCCACTGATACCGTAAAATTTCTCAAATTTCCTAGTGGGATGAAAGTCATAGAATTCTACTTGGCCTTCTCTGATACTTCCCCAGTGGTGGGGTTATGATGCCTTTTTACAGCACGGCCTGAGGGGAACTTTGGGCTCCCCATTTGGCATTTGCTGGTGTAGCTAAGATGGGGTTACAGTTCTTTTCTGTGGTGTAGAGCAATTATTGCCTAGAAGTTTTTTCTGTTGCAAAGCTGCCCCCTTTCCTGCTCCTTTGGCTAGAGAGAGCAGACTTATGATGGGCTTTTTTCTTTGTTTGTCTGTGCCTGTTGGTGTTTCCACTTTGCTGGCTTCTGGGATCTATACAAGGTAAAAATAAAGCCCAGAGAACTCACCACCATGTTACTCCTTTAGTTATACTTAGAGGAAATAATAGATGAAAGAATGTCTACTCTACCTTTCTAGAAGCTAAAGCCCTGTGAAACTTTTTGTTTTGTTGGGTGGTTGTTGTTTTGTTTTGGAAACTCATTGTTGAGTCCAAGTGTGGGACCACTAGACTAGGTAACTGTGAAGCCCATTCCAGCTCCAAGTTGGTTTTCTGTATTGTGGTCCTGGATCTGGGTTCTTAGGAGGCACTTTGCAGGCATTAGGTCAATTGGTTGCTAAGCCAGTTGCCATAGGATGTGCCCTTCTCTCAGACCCCTGTGATTGTCTATTAAAAAGTTGAGCAGCTGCTGTAAAGGACATTATTACCAACTCCCTTAGGCCACATACCAAGATGTCAAATTGGGAGCTGGTCCTTTGTATGGAAAAACTGAGGCCTCCTAAACCAGATGGTATCTAAACTCACAGCTGTGAATTTCCTCATAGAACAGAAGCTTGAAAAATTTTCTGTTTTGAATCTTAAACTGAAACCTCTCTATTTTAAGATCACTCTGTCTTAGTTTTTCCTCAGTTGAAACTTATGCTTTTTAAATCGATTATTTTAAGATAGCTCTGTTGTGGTTTCTGTTTAGAAAGTCATACATAGAATTGTCAGAAGGTATGTTCATTAGCAAAATATTTTATATTATATTTGATATTATACAAAAAAGATGATATCTATTCTCTCTCACTGAGTGAATGTAATTATCTTTATGATATTCATTTTGTTTTGAAAGTGGAAAATAGCATTTTTTTCTATTGAGAAAAAAATTTTTTATCGCTATAAAATAGAAAAATAGTAGTTACCATTATCCTATTTTGTAGAGCAGAAAGCTGGTATATAGACTATATATAACATTACTGAAACAGGAGATTTTCCCTGACCCCTTTGCGGGCCTCGGCGACAAGGCTGCCTCAGCTTTCTCAGCCCACAGCTCTCAACCCCTAGCAGGACCAGGAGCACGCAGGTGGGCGGGTGCCAGGAGTCCTCGCGGCAGGATCCAGTCTGGGGATACCCATGACCCCTAAAGCCCCAGAGGGTGTGCGTTACAGTGCGCTCTTTTAGTTTTGCCGTCCGAGGACGGCTCAAGTGTTAAACAGCTCAGTGGGCCCTCTGCGTTTTTGCGTCAGGCAGTTGCTCTCCACCAGGAGGGCAGAGGGTCAGTGTGACAGCCTTTAGCATCTGCAGACATGGCACCCAAGCTCTTGTTCGGCGTCCAGGAAAAATCAGGTCCCACGAACAAATTGAAGGGTGGTGAATGCAGAGGATTTTATTGCCGATGGAAGTGGTGCTCAGCTGGAAAGGGAATGGAGCGGGAAGGTATTCTTCCCTTCAAGTCTGGCAGTCTCTGGAGGGACTCTGCTCCGAAGTCCCACTGTCAAGCCGTCCCGTTGAAGTTAAGCTGCTTCTCTCCAATGTTCAACTACTCCTTCTCTTTTCCCTTTATCTGCTCTCTACCAGTGGAGCCTAGGGTTTTTATGGGTACAAGATGGGGGGCAGGTCGGGCCATGGGTGGTTGGAAAAGGCAACGTTGGAGTGGTAAAACGGGAATGCATGTTCTCACTTTGGGCTGTGGTTCCAGGCTTGAAAGTGGAGCTTCGCAAGGGACCCCGCCCTTTTCTGCCTAGAATTTCTCTGCCTCCTGTCTTTATCATTACAGATATGATTTTCAGTATTTTTAAAGAACGAAAAGAAGTTTCTCTATGTCTCTCTAATCTCTGTGTCTCTCTAATCTAGTCACTGACTAGGGTGTAAAAATCGTCAGTGGAATACTCCTTGAATATTATAACTCCAGATCATGACAATCTTGGGGGAGGTTGACAATACATGAGCTTTGTCTTTTCAACTAAATGTTGTGTTCTAGCAATCCTGTTATTGGAAAACTGAGAATAAAAATTATAGCATTTGAGATTAATGTTTTAGAAAACAAAATAACTAAGGTCAAAGCAGAAAAATTACTTATTAATGGAAGTAGTCACCAAATGTGTCATTCAACTAATTCTTGGATTTTGTTGTTGTTGTTGTTATTTATATATTTTATTCTCTTGGGCTTTTTTTTTTTTTAATTATGCTTTAAGTTCTGGGATACATGTGCAGAACGTGCAGGTTTGTTACACAGCATGACATGTGCCATGGTGGTTTGCTGCACCCATCAACCCGTCATCTACATTAGATATTTTTCCTAATGGTATCCCTCCCCTATCCTTGCACCCCATGGCAGACCCCAGTGTGTGATGTATTGTATTTCTGGTTCTAGATCCTTGAGGAATGGCAACAATGTCTGCCACAATGGTTGAACTAATTTACATTCCCACCAACAGTGTAAAATCGTTCCTGTTTCTCCACATCCTCTCCATCATCTGTTGTTTCCTGACATTTTGATGATTGCCATTCTAACTGGTATGAGATGGTATCTCATTGTGGTTTTGATTTGCATTTCTCTAATGACCAGTGATGATGAGCTTTTTAAAATATGTTTATTGGCTGCATAAATGTCTTCTTTTGAGAAGTGTCTGTTCATATCCTTTTTTAATGGGGTTATTTTTTCTTGTAAATTTGTTTAAGTTCTTTGTAGATTCTGAATATTATCCCTCTGTCAGATAGATAGATTGCAAATATTTTCTCCCATTCTGTAGGTTGCCTGTTCACTCTAATGATAATTTATTTTGCTGTGCAGAAGCTCTTAGGTTTAATTAGATCCAATTTGTCAATTTTAGCTTTTGTTGCCGTTGCTTTTGGTATTTTGGTCATGAAGTCTTTGCCCATGCCTATGTCCTGAATGATATTGCCTAGGTTTTCTTCCAGGGTTTTTACGGTTTTAGGTCTTACATTTAAGTCTTTAATCCATCTTGAGTTAATTTTTGTATAAGGTGTAAGGAAGGGGTCCAGTTTCAGTTTTCTGCATATGGCTAGCCAGTTTTCCCAACACCATTTATTAAATAGGGAATCCTTTCCCCTCTGCTTGTTTTTGTCAGGTTTGTCAAAGATCAGATGGTTGTAGATGTATGGCCTTATTTCTAAGGCCTCAGTTCTGTTCCATAGGTCTATATATCTGTTTTAGTATCAGTACCATGCTGTTTTGGTTACTGTAGCCTTGTAGTATAATTTGAAGTCAGGTAGCATGGTGCCTCCAGCTTTGTTATTTTTGCTTAGGATTGTCTTGGCTATATGGGCTCTTTTTTGGTTCCATATGAAATTTAAAGTAGTTTTTTCTAATTCTGTGAAGAAAGTCAATGGTAGCTTGATGGGGATAGCATTGAATCTATGAATTACTTTAGGCAGTATGGCCATTTTCACGATATTGATTCTTCCCATCCATGAGCATGGAATGTTTTTCCATTTGTTTGTGTTCTTTTATTGCCTTGAGCGTGGTTTGTAGTTCCCCTTGAAGAGGTCCTTCACATCCCTCTTCACATCCCTTGTAAGTTGTATTCCTAGACATTTTATTCTCTTTGTGGCAATTGTGAATGGGAGTTCACTCATGATTTGGCTCTCTGTTTGTCTATTATCCGTGTATAAGAATGCTTGCGATTTTTGCACATTGATTTTGTATCCTGATAGTTTGCTGAAGTTGCTTATCAGCTTAAGGAGACGTTGGGCTCAGACGATGGGGTTTTCTAAATATACAATGATGTTATCTTCAAACAGAGACAATTTGACTTCCTCTCTTCCTGTTTGAATACCCTTTATTTCTTTCTCTTGCCTAATTGCCCTCGCCAGAACTTCCAATATGTTGAATAGGAGTGGTGAGAGAGAGAGCATCCTTGTCTTGTGCCTGTTTTGAAAGGGAATGCTTCCAGCTTTTGCCCATTCCGTATGATATTGGCTATGGGTTTGTCATAAATAGCTCTTATTATTTTGAGATACATTCCATCAATACCTAGATTATTGAGAGTTTTTTGCATGAAGGGGTGTTGCATTTTACCAAAGGCCTTTTCTGCATCTGTTGAGATATTCATGTGGTTTTTGTCATTGGTTCTGTTTATGTGATGGATTACGTTTATTGATTTGCATATGTGGAACCAGCCTTGTGTCCCAGGGATGAAGCTCACTTGATAGTGGTGGATCAGCCTTTTGATGTGCTGCTGGATTTGGTTTGCCAGTATTGTTTTGAGGATTTTCACATCAATGTTCATCAGGGATATTGTCATGAAATTTTCTTTTTTTGTTGTCTCTGCCAGGTTTTGGTATCAGGATGATGCTGGCCTCATAAAATGAGTTAGGGAAGCGTCCCTCTTTTTCTATTGTTTGGAATAGTTTCAGAAGGAATGGTACCAGCTCCTCTTTGTACCTTTGGTAGAATTCGGCTGTGAATCCATCTGGTTCTGGGCTTTTTTTGGTTGGTAAGCTATTAATTCCTGACTGAATTTCAGAATTTGTTATTGGTCTACTCAGGGTTTGACTTCTTCCTGGTTTAGTCTTGGGAGGGTGTATATGTGCAGGAATGTATCCATTTCTTCTAGATTTTCTAGTTTATTTACACAGAGATGTTTATAGTATTCTCTGATGGTAGTTTGTATTTCTGTGGGATCAGTGGTAATCTCCCCTTTATCTTTTTTTATTGTGTCTATTTGATTCTTCTCTCTTTTCTTCTATATTAGTCTGGCTAGAGGTCTATCTATTTTGTTAATCTTTTCAAAAAACCAGCTCCTGGATTTATTGATTCCTTGAAGGGTTTTTCTGTTCTAATCTGCAGTTCTGCTCTAATCTTAGTTATTTCTTGTCTTCTGCTAGCTTTTGAGTTAGTTTGCTCTTGCTTCTCTAGTTCTTTTAATTGTGATGTCAGGGTGTCAATTTTAGATCTTTCCCACTTTCTCCTGTGGGCATTTAGTGCTATAAATTTCCCTTTAAACACTACTTTAGCAGTGCCCCAGAGATTCTGATACGTTGTGTCTTTGTTCTCATTGGCTTCAGAGAACTTACTTATTTCTGCCTTAATTTCGTTATTTACCCAGTAGTCATTCAGGAGCAGGTTGTTTAGTGTCCATGTAGTTGTGCAGTTTTGAGTGAGTTTCTTAATCCTGAGTTCTAATTTGATTGCACTATGGTTTGAGTGACTGTTTGTTATGATTTCTGTTCTTTTGCATTTGCTGAGGAGTGTTTCACTTCCACATATGTGGTCAGTTTTAGAATAAGTGCAATGTGGTGCTGAGAATTTATATTCTGTTGATTTTGGGTGGAGGGTTCTGAACATGTCTATTAGGTCCACTTGGTCCAGAGCTAAGTTCAAGTCCTGAATATCCTTGTTAATTTTCTGTCTTGTTGATCTGTCTGATATTGACAGTGGGGTGTTAAAGACTCCCACTATTATTGTGTGGGAGTCTAAGTCTCTTTGTAGGTCTCTAAGAACTTGCTTTATGAATCTGGGTGCTCCTGTATTGGGTTCATGTATATTTAGGATAGTTAGCTCTTCTTGTTGTGTTGATCCCTTTACAATAATGTAATGTTCTTCTTTGTCTTTTTTGATCTTTGTTGGTTTAAAGTCTGTTTTACAGAGACTAGGAATGCAACCCCTTCTTTTTTTTTTTTCTGCTTTCCATTTGCTTGGTAAATATTCCTCCATCCCTTTATTTTGAGCCTGTATGTGTCTTTACACGCGAGGTGGGTCTCCTGAATACAGCACACTGACAGGTCTTGACTCTATCCAATTTGTCAGTCTGTGTCTTTTAATTGGGGCATTTAGCCCATTTACATTTGAGTTTAATATTGTTTTGTGTGAATTTGATCCTGTCATTATGATGCTAGCTGGTTATTTTGCCCATTGATGCAGTTTCTTCATAGCGTTGATGGTCTTTACAATTTGGTATGTTTTTGCAGTGGCAGGTACCAGTTTTTCCTTTCCATATTTAGTGCTTCCTTCAGGAGCTCTTGTAAGGCAGGCCTGGTGGTGAAAAAATCTCTCAGCATTTGCTTGTCTGTAAAAGACGTTATTTCTTTTTCATTTATGAAGCTTAGTTTGATTGGATATGAGATTCTGGGCTGAAAATTCTTTTCTTTAAGAATGTTGAGCGGGGCTGCGCCGGAAGTGGCGCGCGGTCGGACAACTCATGGCGGCGGCAGCAGCTGCTTGGGCGCCGTGCGGTGGTGACTGAGCTACGAGCCTGGCAGCAGGTGTGCGCCGAGCCCCGGCCTGGCCCGGCCCCCGCGTGCCTCCCAGGCTCCGCACCCCTGATGCTGCGCGGGTGCTGAGCCCACTTCGGCCAGGACGATGGTTAAGTATTTCCTGGGCCAGAGCGTGCTCCGGAGTTCCTGGGACCAAGTGTTCGCCGCCTTCTGGCAGCGGTACCCGAATCCCTATAGCAAACATGTCTTGACGGAAGACATAGTACACCGGGAGGTGACCCCTGACCAGAAACTGCTGTCCCGGCGACTCCTGACCAAGACCAACAGAATGCCACGCTGGGCCAAGCAACTATTTCCTGCCAATGTTGCTCACTCGGTGTACATCCTGGAGGACTCTATTGTGGACCCACAGAATCAGACCATGACTACCTTCACCTGGAACATCAACCACGCCCGGCTGATGGTGGTGGAGGAACGATGTGTTTACTGTGTGAACTCTGACAACAGCGGCTGGACTGAAATCCGCCGGGAAGCCTGGGTCTCCTCTAGCTTATTTGGTGTCTCCAGAGCTGTCCAGGAATTTGGTCTTGCCCAGTTCAAAAGCAACGTGACCAAGACTATGAAGGGTTTTGAATATATCTTGACTAAGCTGCAAGGCGAGGCCCCTTCCAAAACACTTGAGACAGCCAAGGAAGCCAAGGAGAAGGCAGAGGAGACGGCACTGGCAGCTACAGAGAAGGCCAAGGACCTCGCCAGCAAGGCGGCCACCAAGAAGCAGCAGCAGCAGCAACAGTTTGTGTAGCCAGCCCACCACCACCACAGCAACCCAGACAGCTAGGCTTAGCCCCTCTGCCCTCCCTCCATTGTACTTTATCATTAAAAATCAACTTCCAAAAAAAAAAAAAAAAAAGAAAAAAGAAAGAATGTTGAGGGGTGAGGGGAGTGGGGAGGGGGGAGGGATAGCATTGGGAGATATACCTAATGCTAGATGACGAGTTAGTGGGTGCAGTGCACCAGTACGGCACATGTATACATATGTAACTAACCTGCACATTGTGCACATGTACCCTAAAACTTAAAGTATAATAAAAAAAAAAAAGAATGTTGAATATTGGCCCCCAGCCTCTTCTGGCTTGTAGAGTTTCTGCAAGCAGATCCACTGGTAGTCTGATGGGCTTCCCTTTTGGGTAACCCGACCTTTCTTTCTGGCTGCCCTTAACATTTTTTCCTTCATTTCAACCTTGGTGAATCTGATGATTATGTGTCTTGGGGTTGCTCCTTTTTAGGAGTATCTTAGTGGTGTTCTCTGTATTTCCTGAATTTGAATGTTGGCCTGCCTTGCTACGTTGGGGAAGTTCTCCTGGATAATATCCTGAAGAGTGTTTTCCAACTTGGTTCCATCCTCTCCATCACTTTCAGGTACACCAATCAAACGTAAGTTTAGTCATTTTACATAGTCCCGTATTTATTGGAGGCTTTGTTCATTACTTTTCATTCTTTATTCTCTAATCTTGTCTTCACATTTTATTTCATTAAGTTGATCTTCAATCTCTGATATCCTTTCTTCTGCTTGATCAATTCGGCTATTGATACTTGTGTATGCTTCACGAAGTTCTTGTGCTGTTTTTCAGCTCCATCATGTCATTTATGTTCTTCTCTAAACTGGTTATTCTAGTTAGCAATTCCTCTAACCTTTTTTCAAGGTTCTTAGCTTTCTTGCCTTGGGTTAGAATGTGCTCCTTTAGCTCAGAGGAGTTTGTTATTAGCCACCGTCTGAAGCCACCTTCTACATCAGTTAATTTGTCAAACTCATTTTTCATCCAGTTTTGTTCCCTTGCTGGTGAGGAGTTGTGATCCTTTGGAAGAAAAGGGGTGTTCTGGTTTCTGGAATTTTCAGCCTTTCTGTACTGGTTTTTCCTCATCTTTGTGGATTTATCTACCTTTGGTCTTTGATGTTGGTGACCTTCGGATGGGGTTTTGGTGTGGGTGTCCTTTTTGTTGATGTTGATGCTATTGTTTTCTGTTTGTTAGTTTTCCTTCTAACAGTCAGCCCCTCTGCTCAGGTCTGCTGGAGTTTGCTGGAGGTCCACTGCAGAGTCTGTTTGCCTGAGTATCACCATCAGTGGCTGCAGAACAGCAAAGATTGCTGCCTGTTCCTACCTCTGGAAGCTTTGTCCCAGAGGGGCACCTGCCAGATGCCAGCTGGAGCTCTCCTTTATGTCTGTTGACCCCTGCTGGGAGGTGTCTCCCAGTCAGGAGGCAGGGGGTTCAGGCACCCACTTGAGGAGACAGTCTGTCCCTTAGCAGAGCTCAAGCACTGTGTTGGGAGATCTGCTGCTCTCTTCAGAGCTGGCAGACAGGAACGTTTAAATCTGCTGAAGCTGTGCCCACACCCACCCCTTCCCCCAGGTGCTCTGTCCCAGGGAGATGGGAATTTTATCTGTAAGCCCCTGACGGGGGCTGCTGCCTTTCTTTCAGGGATGTCCTGCCCAGAGGGGAGGAATCTAGAGAGGCAGTCTGGTTACAGTGGCTTTGCCAAGCTGCAGTGGGCTCTACTCAGTTCGAACTTCCGAAAGGCTTTGTTTACACTGTGAAGGGAAGACTGTCTACTCAAGTCTCAGTAATAGTGGATGCCCCTCCCCCTACCAAGCTTGAGCATCCCAGGTAGACTTCAGACTGCTGTGCTGGCAGTGAGAATTTCAAGCCAATGAGTCTTAGCTTGCTGGGCTCTGTTGGGGTGGGATCCGCTGAGCTAGACCAGTTGGCTCCCTGGCTTTAGCCCCCTTTCCAGGGGGGTGAACGCTTCTGTCACACTGGTGTTCCAGGTGCCACTGGGGTAGGAAAAAAAACTCCTGCAGCTAGCTCGGTGTCTGCCCAAATGGCCACCCAGTTTTGTGTTTGAAACCTAGGGCCCTGGTGGTGTAGGCACCTGAGGGGGTCCCCTGGTCTATGGGTTGCAAAGCCTATGGGAAAAGCGTAGTATCTGGGCCGGAATGCACCATTTTTCATGGCACAGTCCCTCACGGCTTACCTTGGCTTGGGGAGGGAGTTCCCCGACCCCTTGCGCTTCCCAGGTGAGGCAATGTCCCACTCTGCTTTGGCTTGCTCTCCATGGGCCGCACCCACTGTCTAACCAGTCCCAATGAGATGAGCTGGGTACCTCAGTTGGGAATGCAAAAATCACCCACCTTCTGCATTGATCTGCCTGGGAGCTGCAGACCAGAGCTGTTCCTATTTGGCCATCTTGCCAGCCACTTCCTAATCCTTGTATTTTTATGTGAACCAGTTACATGGTGCTAATATTTGAAATCGATAATAATTATTGAAAGATCTCCTTAGATACAAAGCATGGTGCCAGGCACTGTTAAAGAATAGAAGATGTAGATCCTTTTTTTCAGGTGCTTACAATCTAGTAAAATAGGACATAGACCGAGGAAGAGTAAATAATGACAGCAGTTAAGTTCAAAGGGAGGCAATGCTGCAAGGAAGTGCATGACCAGTGGCCACATGAGTTAGCTGTACCAAAAATCTATGAAAGCTTTGAAGAGGAAGGCTCATTTTAGATTGAGCTTTATAGAGTAGATGATAATTGAATCAAGTCATCAAGGGTAGGAGGGATGTGGATATATGAAGGTAAAGAAGGTTGGGTACTCCAAGTCTTGAAATCCCTTCTGTTAAAATCTTTTAAAAGGAAGCTGGATAATTTTCTCTGATGATCTGTTACCCATGACCCAACATACTGATATCAGTTTAAAACTCCTCTCTGCCCTTCACTATTTTTGCGTGCTCCCTAAATGGCCAGCCAACTAACATGGATTGGAGGAAGGGAGTGGTGGTCAAGAAACAAAGAAGATGACAGAATAAAGTCCTCCTGGGAGACCTGATAGTGGTTCTGTTTAATTTTACATTTTAACACGGATCAGGATGAAATAGATCCTCTTCACACCATACAATTTACAACCCATTTAAAACAAAAAATGATTATCCAGGCTGGACGCAGTGGCTCATGCCTGTAATCCCAGCACTTTGGGAGGGTGAGGCGGGCGAATCACTTGAGGTCAGCAGTTTGAGACCAGCCTGACCAACATGGAGAAACCCTGTCTCTACTAAAAATACAAAATTAGCTAGGCGAGGTGGTGCATACCTGTAATCCCAGCTGCTCAGGAGCTGAGGCAGGAGAATTGCTTGAACCTGGGAGGCAGAGATTGCGGTGAGCGGAGATTGCGCCATTGCACTCCAGCCTGGGCAACAAGAGCGAAACTCTGTCTCAAAAAAAAAAAAAAAAAAATTACTATCCCACTTCTATCCTTCTATCAAAAGTAACACATTTTAAAAGGCCCACAGTACCCATGCTTCAAAAAGTGAACCAAGGGCATGCAGAATTGTCAACTAGAGCTCAAGAGTGTTGAATAAGAAATCGTTCCAGCGTGGTGGTATCAGTATCTAAGGGAGGAACATAGGGGATAATCACTGATCATTTCACAATTGCAGTAAATGAATTCAGGAAAGAAAAAGAAAATGCTTAACACCTGGGCAATTAAATTCTTAATAATAAATTGGTGATGAGACTCGAATGTACTTTGTGTGTTGAAGGAAAGCAATGAAGTCCATTTCTACCTTAGTTGCCGATTGTACTTCCCGTTAAGCTATTAAGTTCAAAGGTGCAGTTTCCCCCCAGGAAATAAAACCTTCCAGATAAAGCTTTCCCAGTTCTTCATTCCACTCTGTGCTGGCTGAGTTTTCATTCTAAGCACTTGCTTGAGCATTTTGGGGAATCTTCTTCTCAACAGGGCGTTGATATTTGAGCAGAAAAGAAAATTGTTCTTATTTCTGACTCAAAGGTGGTATATTTACATAAGCCCCTCTTTCATTTAAATCTGTCTTAATCCTCAAGGATTTAGTAATTGAAATGCAAAATGCATTTTTTTATCAATGGAAAAAAAACATAAGAGAAAACAAACAGTACAGATAAAGAATTTTTAAAAACTATTTTCTTTTTTATTTTCATGTTGTCTTGCCTAAAAGCAGTGTGGTTTCAAGATAAGTGTTTGTATTTACCTGATCTGGGTTGAAAACAAATGTGTACATATATGCATATGAAGGGGTTCAGAACATGCCATTCTAAAATATGTTGCTTTGGCATGCTGATTATTTTGAGCTAAAAGAAATTGAGAACCAACTCTTTATCTCAACTGCCTAAAATAAAGTATAAATTTCCTCTTTTATAAAGGAAATTTACATTTATAAAGGAAATTTTCATTAGTAAAGGTATTTGTTCCAGGAAGATGGCCATCCCTGAAGACAACTTTTATCACCTGAGAGACTCTTATCTGTATAACAAGGCAGGCAACTTTTATTCACTATACATTTCCTCCTCTAGCCTTCCCACAATTTGCCTCCACCACCCCTGAGCAGCCCCAAACCCCTATTCCTTTCTGTAACCGCAGACAATATGAAAGTCTCAATCACCTGGCTGCTTAGTTTCATATATCTGTGGGACTCCTATGTGTACATATGTAATTATTTTTCTCCTATTAATCTATGTCAGTTTAATTCTTAGACCAGCCACAGAACCTAGAAGGGTATAAGAAAGCATTTTTCCCTCTCAAACACGTATGAAATAAGGAAGATATGAGGTTATAATTTCATTTGAAAGTACAATGTAATCATTTTAATCTTATTTTCAACCCATCTCTAAGTTCAAGATAATTTTGAAAATCCTTATTTTCAATTTCATAGCTGAATTGAAAGGCAGCTGGTCTACATTATCACTCCAACAAATACATTAAAACATGGTTAATTATCTCTTATGGCTGCAAGAGCATGGCCAATGTGGAATTTATTCTGTGTCTTGAATGGCTTTCTTGAGAGTTATTACAAATTTTTCCTGTGGTGAGGTGCTAATTACAAGTGCTCAGTTCTGCCCCAGAAGACCTGCTGCCAAATCAGAGACAAGGCAAAAGCTCCTGGTTTGCATCCATTTCTAAATTTGTTTTTCCACCTACTCCAGCTTTATTTTTACTTTTGGGGATGTTAGAGAAAGGCATTTTGTTTTTACAAACAAAAAATTCTTAAACCGTAAATATCCTTGTCATTACTTCAATTAAAAAAAAGCATTTTGTTGGATAATCTCAAAGTTTCTTCTAGCTTTAAAATCCTTCTATGGATTGTAATTTTATTTAGTCCTTTTCACATTATCACTAATATCCTTATTTGCATATACTTTTTAAAATAATGATTTTTTTCTTCTCCACGTGGGTTGCTGTGTTTAAATAATGCTACTTATTTGCATTCTAATATAGGAGGAAGGGAGGAGAGTAATATGGTCTCTTTCCACATAAGCAAAGTTGTCCACTAATCAACATTATTGGCAATACTAAAGCCACTAGAATCTTAAAATTATTTCGTTTTTGTTTTATATTTCTTATTTTATGCTATAGAGTAAAGGATATATAAAAGACTCAAAGGTGCACATTAGACTTACTTTTGCATGTTAAAAAGAAATCTAGCCTATTAGGCTAAGGTGAGGGTCTAGCATGGACTGGCTCCTACTTACCTCTCCAATTCCATTTTCAGCCCCTTTACCCTCCCTCCCTTAATTCCCCCAGTTTGTTTTAGGCCTAAACAGACCTTTTCTTTCCTAAAACAGGAGGAGTTTTTTCCAGGCTCAAGGCTTTTCCATTTATAATTCCCTTTGTGAGGTAAGGAAGGAACTCCCCCTCTCCCTTCTTATTCTTCAGATCTTGGCCTTAAATATCAATGCCTCAGAAAGATTTAGAGAACCATCCCTATCTAAGTAGATTCTCACCTCTGTAAGTTTCTTAACATTGCACTATTTCCTGCAAAGAATTTATTGTACTATATGTGTGTTATTTATAGTATGTTCCATAAAGATAGAATTCATCAATGTACCTGGAATTAGCACAATGCCATGCACAGACTAATCTCTCTGTTGAAAAAATAAATGAACAGGAGAGCATTAACTCTGAGCAACTTTATTCTGGAAATGCCCCAGCTCAAGCCTGAGAATATTATTATTACCAAGGTAACTTCCAGCTAGAATAAGTAGTGCTATGAATTTAGCTCTATGGTGAAACGAGAAAGCTTATTCTCAGGGCCACAAAGTAAGAGAAGAAGCATGAGTAGAAAATCATGCACACATAAATCATGTGCAGAACCCAGGTGTAATCCTAAGGGTTGTGGCTGACACCCCTCTTGAAATGGCCTCATTGCCTGGGGTGGCACCTGAAGTTCTTGGTCTTGTGGCCAAGGAAAGCAAGGACACAAACACACCAAGGGTGAGGTTAGAGCAGAAGTTTAATAGGCAAAAGAAACAGCTCTCTGCTGCAGAGTGGGGTCCCCAAAAGTGTTGCCATTCTGCAGGGAAATGCAAGGGTTTTTATAAATGAGTTAGTGGGGAGGGGGTATCTTATTTACCTAGGGCATGAAAAACAGGTTAGAACCAGGTGTGCCATCTGCACAGAGCACAAATCTCTGGCAGCCCCCACCCCTACCTTTTATTATGCAGACGGCTCCTTGGCCTGAGCTTCTTCGCATTGCTTATTTCTTTCCTACTGTGCATGTGCTGAAAAAGGGGAGGTAGATCCCGCACGGTGGACATGCCTGGCCCCAGGTACTCCTTTTTTGTTGGTGCGGCTGCAGGCATCTCCCCATGAGTATGTCGTAAAAAGGAAAGGAATGTGCTCACTAAGGCCCATTGTGTTTACTGGGATCCACCGTATGTATGTGAAACTTGCCAATTACCCAGGAAGCTCCACCTCTGTGTCATAGCTGCTTCCTTATCTGTGTTTGCAGCCTGATCTTCCAGGCTGCTCTTTGTTAAAAGGTAAGTGATTTCCTGGGCTGCTTTTTGTTAGAAGGGAAGTTCTGCCGAGAACTCTTTGCCCTGTCTGCCTAGCTAGTGTCTTTCTACCTCCTCTCTCACTATAACAAAAACAGGTTAACAAGAGAAAAGCCTAACAAACTTATTTTATCAAAGTTTTATGTGATACGGGAGGCTTCAGAATGAAAATCCCCAAACCTAGGGAAAATTGTCTGTTTTTATGCTTAGGTTCAATGAAGAATAGACAGTTGCGTAGAAATGTGATTGGATACAGGGTATGATCTAATGGTAATCAACTGAGGGGAGAAACCTAGCAAGGCCTGTCTGTTCAGATTCTTGAAATTCCTCTCTGGGAAGCATTTCATCCTCCAAGGTATGGGGCAGAATTCCTATGGAATGAGGTTCTTCAAGTGAAAAGGGAAAAAGAGGTCTTTCTAGGTTTTATGACTTGTTTTGGGGAACAGGAGTTTTAATTGCTATGAGTCACCTTGGGGAAGAGGAATACTAGTTTATAGGCCTGCTTTGGGGAGGAAAAAGGATGGGAGACAAGAGGATAAGAGAAGGTCAGAGAGAGACTTTGCTTCTGTGGTTCTTCCAGCCTCTTTCATTTCAAAGTACTCAGCATACCAAAGACATCATACCTTGGGCTGTTGTGTTCTGAGCCCTAACAGTGCCATCTCCCTCTAAGTATAAAATGATAGAGTTCATCTAGGCTTCATTAGGAGTAAGACTAAGTGGGTAAACATAGGAGTGGAGGGAAAGTTTGCCATTTGCCTTCTGAAGGTTTGCTGAAATGAACTGACAGTAGGGAGATTAACAGGAGAAAAAGGCATACAAATTTATTAACATGCAAGTGTGTACAGAAGCCATACAAAATATGAAACTCAAAGAAGGGTCAGATGGTTGAGGTTTAAAAATCTTCTTCATAGGGGAGAGGGAATGGGGGATGTGGGCAATTTTGAGGGGTAGTAAATGATTTTCAGGATAATTGAATGAGCCCAAAGAACAGACATTGTTCTGGAACAAAACTTCATTCTGAGCACTAGGGGAGGTGGTGGGATAGTGACGGTCAGAACTTCCCTGTGAACGGAGGTTCTTATATTATGTAAATAAAGTCTCCCAGGTAATCTCTTGGAGCTGCTCTCAGAAAAATGAATAAAAAGTCTGTCCGAGCATGGTGATGATGTTTAGTCTTTTCTCCAGTGGTTAATCTTGCCTAGTTATTTGATGAGATTCCTAGGGAGGGGGTCTTAAGACAATTGCATTTCTTTTGAAAGAAGTTTTCCTCAGTCAGACAAGGGAAATACCAGAGATAACCTCTCCCTGTGCTTGGGGTTTGGGGTAGAAATAAGAGAAGGCTAGAAACTCCTCGGTTCTTAGCCTTTCCAAGTTCCTTTAATTCAGAAGTGTTCGGCATGACAAAGCATCATACTTTGGGGTATTGTTCTCTGCACTCCAACAGTGGAAGTGGTGAATAATGTTGGTGTTTCTGCCCAGATTCCTTTTAGCACCCATGCTCCCATTCCCTTGGACTTTCCTTTGCTTCTAACAGCTAGCATCTGGGGTTCTTTTTGGAGGACTGTGCCTGTACTGCTACAGCCTGCTTTGCTGGCAGCATAGAGAGCAGGCAATGGCTGGGAATTACATTCTCCACCCCCATCCCATGATTGGGAGGTTTGGGAGTATGAAATAAAAGCCCCAGGCTCCTTGCCTAAGAACAGAAGTTTCCCTGATTTCATCAGGCTGGAGCCATCCTTGGCTAGATGCACCATTGCTTGGCTTCCTCCTTTTCCCTGCTCCTGCTCTTCTTCCTTAGAGATTTCTCCTGGGAGCACTGCCTTAGTAAATCACATGCATTTGAATCCTCAGAAACCTCATTTTAGGGTCTACTACTGGAGGACTAGTCTTAAGACAGTGGGACAAAAGTTCTTGGGATTTTCCCCCCTTAATCAATATGCACATGTTGACTACCTATGTGTAAGGCAGTCTAGAGAAGCAGAGAAGAGCATTCTAAGCAAAGAGAACAGCCAAACAAAGGCATGGAGCCATGCACGTGACTAACTGTCCAAGTACTTTAACATGGCCAGCATGGAAGGTATGGAAGGTACAGGGAATAATAGTCAAAGACGGGGCTGGAAGGTGTCACTTGAGGCCACATTATAATAGACTTTGAAGTGATGCTAAGAAGTAAAAAAAAAAAAAGAAAGAAAGAAAGGAAAAGAAAAGGAAAAAACCTATGGGGAGAAAAAAATAACATTTTTCCCCTACCTGCCTAGGTCCTAGCCTCCATCTCGGGCCCTGGAAATCTAACTGACAAAAGACAGATTAACAAAAGAAAAACAGAATTTACTAACACATGTAGTACACATACATGTGGGAGAAACTCAGTGATGAGTAACTGAAAACGATGGTTAGAATTTGAGTTTATATAGCATCTTCACAAAAAACCAGCCCATTTAGATGTGACAAGACAAAGGAAAAGGTTTTAAGCTTTCAAGGGTGGTAAACTGTGGAAAGGTAAGTGTATGGGGGAAACAAAAGGAATAAGGTTTGTTTTCATATGTCCATGTCAGTGCCAACTTTCTGTCTTCTTCATGGTCATGAAACTTCCCTAGGAGAGAGGATTTATGGCAGTCCTTATTTTCAGAAGTTTCTGCTTTTAGTCAGACAAGGGAGGCGCTGGGAAGGCTGCTTCTGTATCTGTTGAATCTGAAATGACTTTAGCTCAAAATACTTCTTATGCTAAAGTGGCATATTTTGGGGTGGCGTATTTCGATCCCCTACAAACCCAATAAGTAAATTGAGCCCTTACCATGTGCTTTCCATTTAAATAATCCTCACAAAAACATTTTAAAGGTTGTACTATTAATATCCCCATTTTGTATCTGAGGGAGTCAAAACGTAGAAAGGTTGTTTAAGGACACCTAAAAAGAGTCAGAGCTGGAATCCAAGCTTGTCTGACTTCCAAGCCCATGAGTTGGTCTATTCTTCAAAAAACGTGAAGTAAAATGTCGTTGTTAATCAGTAACTCTAGAGCAAGTCTGGATTGGACTAGGGAGAGAGGGGAGGCATAGACTCCAAACTGAGCTCCCATTTCCATTGTTATTGCAGAAGTCTTTTATGAAGAAATAATGATGGCTTGGACCAGGGTGATGGTGGTAAGGACATGAGAAAACTGGATGGTTTTAAAGATGTCTATTCTGCTTAAAAGTGCTTTACTCAATTGTGCTACCCAGGTCAGGCTATGAGTTTGATTTAGAATACGAGTCTATTCCCAGCAGAGTTAGAGGGCAAATTGACAAGAACCCATTTATTCAACAATGTGTATTGAACTGTCACTATATTGTGCTGGATGATACCAATTAGGTGACACTACTGGAATGAAAGCGTATATATTTCTACTGAGTCAGTAACCATTTTAGTTTGTCTAAGAACCCACCAATATTCAGAAATCAAAACAGATATGTTTCTTGTTTTGAGGTTTGTTTAAAGCCATCAAGATCATAAAGATGATGAGTTCTCATACCAATTTCACAAGGACAACTAGGAACTTATTTTTGTTGCTTTTTGTTTTTCATAGTCAAATTCTTAAGCTTACATACCAAAAAGGTACTTTCTAATATATTTTTCCCCTGGTCAACATTTCTTGAGAAATATTGTGGCTGGTTTAATCAAGGTATTGTTAAAAAAAAGTGGGGGGTTAGAAAGGACAGTTAAAATGGTATTAAATGTACATATAATATCAAATCCAGAAGGCTGCTGCTTTCATAACAAACTAGATTCAACAGTATTAAAAAAAATCTGCTGTGTTTTAGGAATTTATCCTGCAGATACACTTGTACATGTATGAAATAACCAACTTACAAAAATAGTCCAGCATCTTTATAGTAGTAAAAGATTGAAAAGAATCTAAAAGTCCATCAATAGGAGACTGGCTAAATAAAGTTTGGTATATCCATTCAACAGAGTACTACATAACTTTAAAAATGAATGGGGTGGCTCTGCAGGTATCTATATAGCTTTTATGGTTTTTTTTGAGACAGGGTCTTGCACTGTCACCTAAGCTGGAGTGCTGTGGCATGATCTCAGTTCTTTGCAACCTCTGCTTCTGGGGCTCAAGTAATCCTCCCACCTCAGCCTCCCAAGTAGCTGGAACCACAGGTGTGAGCCAGCAAACTGGGCTAATTGTTTTATTTTATTTTTGTAAGACGGGGTCTTGCCATGTTGCCCAGGTTGGTCTCGAACTCCTGAGCTCAAAGCGATCTGCCTGCCTGGGTCCCCCAAAGTGCTGAGATTACAGGCATGAGCCACTGTGCCTGACGCTAAGTATCTATATAGCTTTAAGATGTATTACTAAAGGAAAAACACAGAGTGCAGAACAGTGTGTTATAATTTATGTACAAAAGGGGATGGTTACATGCACACACATATATTTACATACATACTTTGGTTATGCATTGAATGTTTCTGAGCTATAGGCCATGGGACAAAAACAAGGCTTAAATGGGTGGGAGTCAGGTGAGCAAAGAACACTTCTTTTCACTATGTATTCCTTTTTTTTTTTTAATTCTCAAAATAAATATGTGTATTTTTTTCCCTGTAAGGATAAACAAAAATTTGGTTTTCATTTAACACCATTTCATTGATTTTCTAATGTATATATAACTTTTATTTAAATTATGATTTAACTGGCAGTGGAATTATAGGGTTTTTCCCCCACTCCTTCTTTATGTTTTATTAGAATTAAATAAAGCTGCACTGGCTATCCACTTGTTGTTCAGGAAACATTACCAGGGTCATGATCTGCAGAGGTCAATATTCCCTTAAGGTTTAGGTTTATACAGATTGTACCTCTTTTGGAAAGCTTCTTAATCTAACTTTATTGGCTTAAAATGTAATGTCTTTTGCCCTGTAATGCATCCATGTATCATTTCCTCAAGTACTAGTAAAAATGCTTAGGAAAGGCATAGGCTTTTCACATATTATCATGCTGCTTGAAGACACAACTTCCTGGGCCTGGACTCCATTAAGAGAAGGAGCAACAAAATGCTTTGTTCTCTTGGTAAAGGTGATGGAAGTGAAGAGCATTAAAAAAATGGCATAAAGAGATAATCAGTTTCACAGTGTGAATATTCAAACCGAAACCCATGCTTCAAAGGCAAAGTTGGTGAAAAATTACTTGTTTCTACAAGTAATCTAGATCTCTCCAATAACTTTCATATATACATACTTTCTTCATATAACATTTTCTTTTGTTTTTTAAAAAGACAATCTTGCTCTGTCACCCAGACTAAAGTGCAGTGGCATGATCATGGCTCACTGCAACCTTGACCTCCCGGGTTCAAGCGACCCTCCCACCTCGGACTCCCGAGTAGTTGGGACTACAGGTGTGCACCACCATGCCTGGCTAATTTTTTATTTTTAGTAGAGATGGGGTCTCACTACATTGCTCAGGCTGGTCTGCAATCCTCCCACCTTAGCTTCCCAAAGTGTTGGGATTACACGCATGAGTCACTGCACCCAGCCAAGATTTTCTTTTTAATTCTACATGAAATTAGTTTTCATGCTTCCAACTAATTGCTCTTCTAAAGATATGTTTGATTCATTTGTTTTTTTCTTTTCTGGCTTATATAAAGTGGATAGAAGGTAATGATAGAGGAAACCAACAGGAAGGAGTAAGAGCATGTTTTCTTTCTCTTCTGCCATCCAGTCCCCCTCTAGTACCCTTTATTAGTGTGTGTATATATATATATTTTGTTGTTGTTGTTTTGTTTTGAAATGGAGTCTTGCTGTCACCCAGGCTGGAGTGCAGTGGCATGATCTCGGCTCACTGCAACCTCCCAGGTTCAGGTGATTCTCCTGCCTCAGCCTCCTGAGTAGCTGGGATTACAGGCATGCGCCACCATGCCCGACTAATTTTTGTATTTTTAGTAGTGACAGGGTTTCACCATGTTGGCCAGGCTAGTCTTGAACTCCTGACCTCAAATGATCTGCCCGCCTCGGCCTCCCAAAGTACTGGGATTACAAGCATGAGCCACCGCGCCTGGCCCATTAGCACATTTTTAACAAGGAGCAGCTGGTAAAGAAATGTGGCTTGCCAAATTCCAGTCCTAATGTCACGAGAATATAGAAGGGAGTGTTTGGAACTGAAAGAAAATAACAACTGGTACAATTCATACTTACTTTATACAAAATTTTGTTCATTCTATATGAAATTTTGTTTTTATGCTTCCGATTAATAGTAGTCCTAAAGGTAGTTTTACTCAACTTGCTTTTTCTTTTCTACATCATAAAATGATCTAGGTAATTTTTAATTTTTTAAAAAGGAGATGGTCTCGCTCTGTTGCCTAGGCTGGAGTGCAGTGGCGTGATCCTAGCTCACTGCAGCCTTGAATTCCTTTGCCTAGGTGATCCTCTTGCCTTACTTTCCGGAGTAGCTGGGATTACAGGAATCCACCACTGCACTCAGCTAATTTTTAAATTTTTTTGTAGAGATGGGGTCTTGTTTTGTTGCCCAGGCTAGCCTTGAACTCCTGGCTTCAATCAATCCTCCTGCCCTGGCCTCCCAAAGTAGTAATTTTAAATAAGTCCAACCAACAAATATTTGAGCATCCATGAAGAGTACTATGTTAGGCCTGGAGATATTTATTAATACAATATTGCCTATTACATGTGGACAGTGTGTTAAGCATGAGGATGAAAAGATAGAAAATGCCTTCTGCCATCATAGGTTTGGGGAAAAAACAAGACTATTAAAAAAACTCCACTATTTTTCTAGTAATAAGCTTAGTTTATTACTTACTTCTAACATCATAACACTATGCTAGTGTTACTCCTAACACTAGCATAAACTTCTGTGGTATTTAGTGGTTTTGAAATATAAATGATTCCTTATCTGCTAAAAAGTAATACCTCCAGTGAAAACCTATTACCATTTTTTTAATATAATGAAAATATTCTAATTTCATCCAATGGCATAACACTGTTAACAATATTATCTGCAACTTATTTAATATTAGTAGCTAGCCTTAAAATCAAATTATCTACAAAGCGTAAACCTTTAAGATTTTAAAAATATGGTATTTGTTCAACGTAGGTAATGTTTACAAATATATGCTGAAATAGACTGATTCATTATCACAAGGTGGGTTTCTATATTCTATTTAAATACGAGATTTATGCTTTATCTTTCTAGCCTTACTGCCTTCCCCTGGTTAAAAAAATGTATATATATCTATCTCAAAATTATTTAGGCAACCTGGGAAACATTCGAGTTTGTTTTCTTTTCTTCTTTTTTTTTTTTTTTTGAGACGGAGTCTCGCTCTGTGCCCAGGCTGGAGTGCAGTGGCGCCATCTGCTCACAGCAAGCTCCGCCTCCCGGGTTCACGCCATTCTCCTGCCTCAGCCTCCCGAGTAGCTGGGACTACAGGTGCCCGCCACCACGCCTGGCTAATTTTTTGCATTTTTAGTAGAGATGGGGTTTCACCGCGTCAGCCAGGATGGTCTCGATCTCCTGACGTAGTGATCCGCCCGCCTCTGCCTCCCAAAGTGCTGGGATTACAGGCGGGAGCCACCGCGCCCAGTCCTCTTCTTTTTTTTGAGACGGAGTTTCCCTCGTAGCCCAGGCTGGAGTGCAGTGGCGCAATCTTGGCTCACTGCAACTTCCGCCCCCCGGGACAACCTATTCTCCTACCTCATCCTCCCAAGTAGCTGGGATTTCAGACCTGTGCCACCACGCCTGGCTAATTTTTGTATTTTTAGTAGAGATGGGGTGTCACTATTTGCCCAGGCTGGTCTCAAACTCCGGACCTCAGGTGATCCACCCATCTCAAGCTTCCCAAAGTGCTGGGATTACAGGTGTCAGTCACTGCGCCTGTCCGCAAGTTTGCTTCCTGAATAGACACTAAATATTAGCTAGAAACAGAGTCTGAGTCACTTTCATTTGAATATATATTTATTTAGAATGCACACTAACAGCATGACGATAAACTGTCATTCACAAACCTGTACCAAGAAGCACGTAATCTTTAAAATGTGTTGTTTTTCACAAGTAATTTAAGTATAGCATTATTATTATTTGGTACTTGAGTCAAAGACGACATTTAGATTCTTCAGCTTTGAAGCATTTAGTAACATCATTGTCTAGTCAGGCAGAGGAAAGAAATTCAAAAGCACTTTCTTTTTCTTCTGTCAGTTCCTTTGCAGTAAGATCCATCTTCTCACGTGAGAAATCATTAATAGGGAGACCTTCAACAAACTTCCAGGTCTTATTCTGTTTGAAAATAATGCAAATAAGAGATTTAAACTGGAACTGATCTTTCAGTAAGCAACAACCTTGTTTGAACTTATATTTAGAGGTATATCGTTTTAAAGTCTGATTCTAAAGTAAATAAAAATCCAGATTTTAATTAATAGATAATTCTAATAAAAACTCAACACTTGAATTTTAAACCCCTTGAATCTAAAAAAAAAAAACTTCAAAAATGACTGACTTTAGCACAGTTATAATAAAGAACAACAACACTGAAAACCATTGCTTCATTTAGAAATATACTATTTGTAGGTCTCTAATACTAGAGGCATAATAACATAGTGTCTAGTGGGAAGAGCTGAATCTTCCTTTCCAGATTAATTTCAATCATAAAAACTTTCAATGACCTGAAGCTGAAATACATATAGTTTTAAAGCTGAGAAAAATGTCTATTTTAGTAAAGGAACAATTTTCTAGATTAAGTGATAACATTCTGTTTTCTTTTTTGGGGGACAGGGTCCCGTTCTGTTGCCTGGTGGAGGGGTACTGTCATGGTTCACTGCAGCCTTGATCTCCTAAGCTCAAGTGATCCTCCTACCTCAGCCTCTCAAGAACCTAGGACCACAGATGTGTGCCACCATGCCCGGCTAATTATTTTATTTTTGCAGAGAGGGGGTCTCACTATGTTGCCCCGGCTGGTCTTGAACTCCTGGGCTCAAGCAATCTTGCCACCTTGCCCTTCCAAAGTGTTGGGATTATAGGCGTGAGCCACTGTGCCTGGCCAATAATACCATTCTTAAGAGAAACATATAACTACTTCCTCAAAGAAGGGAAATAGCTCCAAAATACCTTACCTTGATTACAACAGGGAATGAGTAGAGCAGATCATCAGGAACACCATAGGAGTTGCCATCAGAGATAACACCCATGGACACAAACTCTCCCTGAAAATAACAATGTTTCACATACTCATGATGATTAGTTTACACAACTGACACATGAACTAATAAAATTAAACCAGGTGACCCTTTCTTACTATGTTCATAACATCATTACTGTGTAAGGAACTATCATCAGCACCAGGTACTGGTGACAAGGTAACTTTCATGGATATTATTTCATTCCACGCTTCCATATCATATGTGAAGTAGGCCAGGGAAACCTAATCCTCATTTTACAGATGAGGAAGCTGTGGCATAGAAGAAAAAAATTCACCCCTACTATGTATCAGGCATTGTGCCAGGTGTTTTCCATGTGCAATCTCCTTTAACCCTCACAACCCTGTGTATAATAGTAATGTCATGTAAAAGATGACAAAACAGCTCAGAAAGGTCAAGGCTAACAAACCCCGAAGTTTACTTGTTAATAGGCAGCTGAGCTGAGAAATGAACCTAACCTGACTGACTGCTAAGGCTATATTCTTTTTATATTATATCATCAGGCAACAAAAATAAAATAGAGTGACCTGTGCAAATCACTAAATCCTTACCTCTGGGGTTCCAAACCAGATGTCCCTGACGTGGTCACAGATGGCTTTTGCAGCAGACATGGCACTGGATAGTTTTCGAGCCTTGATGACAGCAGCGCCACGCTGCTGCACAGTCTGGGAAGGGGGCAGGTGAAGGCAGCAGTATTACTTGGTCATGATAGCAAAGTTTTCATTAATTCCAAGTCGACCTTGGGGTGAAAAGCTATGACCAGAGCTTAATGTTTCCCCTCCAAAATCATGCAACAACCCAATGTCAGCCTTACCAATCCTTCTGGAAAAAGGAAACTATGTATCTCCATACAAAGTTTATCATAGGTCAGACAAAGACATGGATCTTGGTATAAATCTCAACTGCTGTCACATCAGATCACACTAGATCATGACTGGCTTACTATGATCCCGAAAGTATGCAGTCATCAGAGCAACTGTGAAAGACCTGCCCTCTTTAAGGTTTTCTGTCCTAAGAGTCTCTCAAGAGTTCTTTACGCTCAGTGTTAAGAAGGCTCACAGATTTTTCTTACCGTGACAAATTCTCCCTTGAGCCAGCTGTCATCTTTCAGAGCTTCATAAACACCAACTTCCTTTCCTTGCAATTTCACCTTGGCATGGTTGACATCTGGATACTGAGTCGAGGAATGGTTTCCCCAGATAATGACATTCTTTACATCATTAGCAGTCACACCAAGTTTAAGAGCAATCTAGTTAAATTGAAAACAAATACATTACTGAGACAAATGGTTTTTATTTCCAATTGGGACCTGTTTTGACAAATGCCCTTAAATAAAGATAAAAAGCTTCTGAAATTTCAAGAGAACACAAGAGTTATATTGACTTGTAAAAAATGTAAATTTATTGCTTGGCAATTTCCTACAACAGCTTAACAGTGGTAACAACTGTGGACTTGAAACCTTATGGAGTAGAATGTTTAAGGGTATGAAGCATCCCATAGTTTGTGGTTAACTTATTAGTACAGTAGGTGTATCAAACATAAAACATTAATCGTTACTATTATTTATCAATTTACTATTTCTTGAATATGTAAATGTGATCTTTTGTTTCACTGTTAATGTTTACTTGGAGATGTCTTCTCAGTGCTTCTGAGTAATCAGGTATTTAGGCACTTTATATTTAGGTAAAATTTTTATTATATACCATATAGAAATTAATTTTCAAATAACCCTAAATATGAAATTTTAGAGTTGGATAGGACTCAAATTACCAAGATATGACTGTCCTCATTTTATATATCAGGAAACTGAAGGAAAGAGGTTTTATATATGTGTATGTGTGTGTGTGTACACACATATATACACTCTAAAATTATAACATATGTAACAATCTCTAGCTATAACTCCAGAAAGCACTTTAGGGTCCTGCAATGCCTTGCAATCACATGTAGTACAGTAGCCACAAAAAAGGTTAGAAAGTTATGTCTTGGGCTGGGCATGGTGGCTTACGCCTGTAATCCCAGCACTTTGGGAGGCCAAGGCGGGCAGATCACCTGAGGTTGACAGTTCGAGACCAGCCTGACCAACATGGAGAAACCCTGTCTCTACTAAAAATACAAAGTTAGCCGGGCTTGGTGGCACATGTCTGTAATCCCAGCTACTTGGGAGGCTGAGGCAGGAGAATCGCTTGAACCTGGGAGGCGGAGGTTGCGGTGAGCCAAGATCGCACCACTGCACTCCAGCATGGGCGATGCAGCGAGACTGTCTCAAAAAAAAAAAAAAAAAAAAAAGAAATGTCTTGGTAGATTTAAATAAAATCAGCCTGCTTGTTATTTGTCTGATAAGTTTATGTGCAGAAAATAAATTATGATCAGGTATATGTATAATTTGTTCCTAACTAGACAACAGAATTTATGATGAACCAGAAGGGAATGTGGAAAAATATTTTAAGAAGCTGATCTGTTTTGGTGACATTGTGGGCAATTCTTCCTTCCTCTGTGTCCCAAAAAGAATGGGAGAAGAAACTAGTTGTGCCAGAGTCTGTAGCTTTAGCACACATAAATAAAGCATTTGAGTATTTACCATGTAAGAAAAGGAATACACTTTGATATTTTAAGGAAAATTTTAAAATAAGGGTAATAACAGCTCCAAACTGAAACAACTCAAATGTCGTTCAAGAATGGTTAAATATGCCAGGCGCGGTGGCTCACACCTATAATCCCAGCACTTTGGGAGGCCGAGGTGGGAGGATCAGGAGGTCGAGATGGAGACCATCATGGCCAACACGGTGAAGCCCCGTCTCTACTAAAAATACAAAAATTAGCTGGGTGTGGCAGCGTGTGCCTGTAATCCCAGCTACTCAGGAGGCTGAGGCAGGAGAATCTCTTGAACCTGGGAGGCGGAGGTTGCAGTGAGCCGAGATCGTGCCATTGCACTCCAGCCTAGGCGACAGGGCGAGACTCTGTCTCAAAAAAAAAAAAAAAAAAAAAAAAAAAAAAAAAAAAAAAAAAAGAACGGTTAAATAAACTGTATTATGTCTTACATAGGCAATGGAATAAATAAAAGGGGTAAGTGGAAAAACAACAAAAAGAAACAAACAACAACCTGGATGGATCTTAAAGGCATTAAACTGAGTGAAAAAGAGCCAGTCTCAAAAGGTTCCTTACTGCATGATTCCACTTTTGTAAATTCTCAAAATGACAAAATTATAGAGGTGGAGTGCAGAAAAATGATGTCAGGGACAGAGGGTGGTGTGACCATAAGGGAGAGTATGAAGGAGTTCTTTTGTGAGTGATGAAGAAATTCTGTACCTTGACTATGGGGGCAGTTACAGGAATCTACACTTGTAATTAAATGTCATAGAATCATTCATAAAGACACAGAAAAAAATAAGTGAATATAAAACTGGTGAAACTTCAGTAAGTCTAGTTAATAGTATTGTGTAGTTCATCAACTTCCTGGTTTTGATAATACTCTGTAGTTATGTAAGGTACCATCAATGGGTGATGGGTACATGGGCCTTCTCTGTACTATTTTTTTGCGACTTTTGAGTCTAAAATTATTTCAAAATAAAAAGCAAAAAAAAAAAAAAAAAAAAACCCCAACCAACCAACCGAAAAGGATAAAGATGAAAAAAAAGGCCATTACCTAAAATGTCTGCAATGACTCGACTGGTCTTCATACTAATTTATTCAGTTAAGTAAGAAGTAAACTGTCTTTACTTTCACTCCCACTCTTAAACTAGTTGAGACTGCTTTCTTAAATCCTAAAATAGTTAAAAGTTTACTTAAAAATTTATGTTTGTGATATTGTAAATCACTTTTGACCGATCTAATCCCTGCAAGTCTTGCAAGTATTAGGACTATTATCTACAATATTTGCATTAGTCTCCACAAATTAGTTCACAGTTGGGTTTCTGGGGTACCCAGCTATTGATCTGCTTAGCCTGTGGGATAGGGTAGAGTGGCACGCTGTTCAATGAGTACCATTTTTTACGTCTGCCATGACCAGAAAGAACTGGGGAAGAAACTGCTCTTATATTTATACTTAAATTTAGCTGGTATGGTATATAGAAAAAGATAAATTTATACCTTGAACAATTAACTCAAGATATATATTACCAGGAAGTTAGAGCCTATAACTTCCCTGAATGTCTGCTTCAATGCTCCCAAGTACAGTGAAGACAAAATGCCTCTAGGCCTCTCCACCCTCAGTCCTCCTTGGCTCCCATGCCTTCCTTTGTTCTTGTTGCCCTCCTCCTCTTGCTCCTTCTATCTCTTGAGCTAATCCAGTTCTGTCTGGACAGCAAAGGCCAGGTACTTTGCATCCAGCAGATATAGTTTCTTAATATGATTCATGTCACAATTAGTCTAAATTAATACATACCCAGGATAACAGCTCTTTGCTCCCTTAGACACTCATGTCTGTCACATAGGTCTGTTAAAAGTTTTTGATTAATTCTCCAGCCCTAGTAATTTTCTTACAAGCTAACTGGTATCATTGTCAAATTACCTTATCTGGTATCAATGTCAAATTACCTTATCAGCAGACATAAATACAGCACTGGTTTGCAAATACACAGGCAAGTTCTGCAGGTGTTAAACAGTCCCTAAGTCGCTAAGGCCTCTGAATTCCAAGACAAAAATATCTAGCAACCAGTCCTGTAAGAAAAACTTATCTTTGGGTTTGTTATTTTTCTCACTGGATAAACAACTTCTTCTAGAGGAAGAAAGTGCTTCTTCAATGACTCCCTAAAAGCTCTCACTATGCCAGATTGACATGCTGAAACAATGCCTAGCCAAGGTCCCAGGAGTAACAAAGAACATGTCCCCAAGTGAAGGTTAAAGTCTGAGGAGATAGCACTTTCTTTCCTCTTTGCTCATTCAGACTTGAGCCCTGCAGTGAGAACTGTTTCAGGCACCAGGACAAAGTATCTCTTTGAAGTACCTTTGGAAGCAGAATTTTCCAATGCCTGTCTCCACCAAAGCCTCAGGTGAAACAACAAAAAGTGGTTGTTAGTGTCATTGTTGTAGGAACTTTCTTGTTGTAGGAACTAAATAAGTCACTTTCTGGCAATCCAGAGTTTGCAACTGTAACATGTATAATATCTCTTCCTTTACAACTGTCCCACAGAACTCAAACTGCCTGCCATTCAAACAAACTCCTATTCGTTCTCAGCTACCACCAGACCCAGCTCACAGCCTATAGCCTCTCAGGGAATATTTGCACTTTAAGCTAAAAATTTAAGGGTTGTTATCCAACAACCCTCTAAATTAGGAATGTTTAGGCTGTATGCTTCTTAGAAAGAAGAAATCAACTAATAATAGCAGCCAACCTTTCTTGTATTTACTATGTGCAGGCACCATGCTAAGGGCTTAAAACAGATCTTATTTAATCCTCATAAGAACTCTCTGAGGTAGATACAATTATTACATTTTAAACATTGAATATACTTTCTCAAAATCACAGAGCTAGTAAGTGGACTAAGGTTAGTTGATACCATTAGGTAAGAACATACATAAGGGTTTGGAGTCAGGCAAATCAAGGTGGCTCCGTAATTTATGAGCTGTATGACTCTGAGCAGGTTCTCTGACTTCCCTGGGCCTCAGTTTTCTTACCTAATGCAGGGATAATATGAGATACCCATATGGTTACTATAAAAATTAAATGGAAAATTACATGTATAGCATTCAATTTACAGTAGATGCTTAACAAATGTATATTCTTTTCTCTTTCACTAGGCATTCCAGAGCTGAAGGATTATTAATTCTCAGGTTAGGGCAGTAGTGCTTCAGCTTAGACCTCACAGCATCTTCTGGTTAACAACAATTTTTTTTTGAAACTAAAGTTATCTTCTCTAGAAGAAAAAGCACTGAACTCATAGACCTATCTAGCAGTGATGACCTACAGACAAGAAGGGATGGCCAGAAAAGCATTAGGGCAAAGGAAAGAGGTTCTGTCCAAGAACGGGCACCAGGACCAGTTAGATCTGAAAAAGCCTAGGAAACTAGCTCAGATCAGTTGCCTGGCTTCTAATTTTTTGAAAAGCTATTGTTAATTCCCTGGTCACTGGCTCCTTGGCATACTTATCTATGGCTCTAAGAGTAAAGAAAATTAGCAACAGACTTTAGCTCCTAAGTAGTGAAAGGAGGAAATTTTACAGATACACATAGAATATTAAAAAGACATAAAATGAAAATTAAATATAAAATTAAAAATTAAAATCTGAATTTGATGGCTTAGCTGCAGCTAAAATAGAAGCAGAACCACACAATCACACAAAGCTCAAGTCTTTGTTTATATGAGATTATATGTATCTGAAAAAATTAAACTAAATTATGTACCATCATGTATAACTAATTTTTAACCACTGTAACAAGAGAACATTAGTAACTGCATTTCATTATAGTTAGCAATTGAAATATAGTTAAAGACGAAATCAAGTAGGAAGTCCAGCCTCTGGTCCTTTAAGAGAATACATTTAAAGACTCCCTAACAAATGAATAATAATTTACTTTTAATTTAATAAAAGTAATAGGTTCCTACTAAACAAAAACAAGAAAAAAGCACAAACTCAGATTCAGTTATTTTAAAAGTGAGAGAAAAATGTTTTAAAGTTGAACAACCACAAGATTTAAAATATATTTTTCTTACTTGAGCTTTAGCTCGGTTGTGATCCAAACGAGTCAAGCAACTGAAGTTCTCCTTGGGGATGGATGGAGCTGACTTGGAAGCAGTCAGGCAGTTGGTATTGGCTGGATTACCCACAACAATAACCTAGGAGGAATGGAAGGCACTGAAGAGTTACAGACTATATAGTTACTAACTAATCTATGTTAAAATTTGACTGAAAATGTCTAACAGGTAGCCTTTGTACAGGGGAGGCTTGGGAAACACCAAATACAATATAGCATAGGAAAATGCATTTTAAGTTATAAAAATCTTTTATAAAATGGTAATAAAAAATTTTGAAATAATATCAGATTTATAGAAAAGTTACAACCATATTACAGAGACTGACTCCCATATATCTTTTTTTTTTTTTTTTTTGGTACCTCTTTTGACAAGCTGTAGACAAGATACTTCATTGTCTCTAAGTAGTGCAGTGCTGGCAAATATTTCTCACGAACAAGGACGCTTTGAAGAAGTGGAATTACTGTGCAAGGAGTACTTTACCTCCAAATAGCCTGCAATTTAGCAGTCTGAACAATCTTCTAATCTTTTACTGGCACCTGTGGATTTCTATTAAACTCATTTATACTATTTTCTGTGATGACAGAAAATAAGTTAACTATTTAAAATGAAGTGCACAGAAAGCAAAAAATGCAGATATCTATGAAATGTTATTGATAGAACATTATAATGGGCAACTTAAAAAATCTTAAAAAATTTTCTTTCACCTTTTTTTGAAAGATAGGAAAGTATATGGAAATCAGTTAAACCTTTAACCGGCAAGCCTATTTGCTGGGTGACAATTAAGTTCTAGTTAATTGATAGTTCACTAATAAAAGAAGGTTTGGCTGGGCGTGGTGGCTCACACCTGTAATCCCAGCACTTTGGGAGGCCAAGACAGGTGGATCACCTGAGGTCAGGAGTTCGAGACCAGCCTGGCCAACATGGTGAAATCCCGTCTCTACTAAAAATACAAAAATTAGCTGGGTGTGGTGGCGTGCAACGGTAGTCCCATCTACTCACGAGGCTGAGACAGGAGAATCGCTTGAACCCGGGAGGCAGAGGTTGCAGTGAGCCAAGATTGCACCACTGCACTCCAGCCTGGGTGACAGAGCAAGACTCCGTCTCAAAAAAATTAAAAAAATTAATAAAAAATAAAAAAGGCTTACTGTAATATTAAGACATATTAGAATCTAAAGTAAATAGTTTGAACACAAAGAGAGAACTATAAGTCATACTGACTCAATTCTTCAAGAGACAAGCATATTAAAATTCCTCTGCATTAAGAAAATCTGAGCATTCAGAAACCACTATCTTCTATTCCTGAGAATAAACTTACCTTACAGCTAGCTATCTCCTTTCACAATCACACACAAATTTAAATGTCTAAATAAATATTCCCACGCAGCAAAAATGCACCAGAAGATCCTGTGCCTTCTCTATATGTTTAAGAACTAATACTAAATTTTCACGTTATACTAATAGGAAAAATATTTTTGAGCACTCTGAATATAGATTTCTATACTGTAAGAAAAAACCCAGAAAGGGAGAGCTTATCAAGCAAAACTCTAGAGCCGTATTTACTGATGATTGTACAGAACTAGAAAAAAGGGCAAATAATTTTGGTTTTGCTTAAATGCTAAAAGCATAAGTTTCAAATGCTAATAATGAAAAATCCCATAAAATACAGCATTGGTCACCTTAACTGACTTCTTGGCGTATTTATCTAAGGCTGCACCCTGGGATTTGAAGATTTTCACATTTGCTTTCAGTAAATCTTTTCTCTCCATGCCTTCCCTTCTTGGCATGGAGCCCACAAGAATGGCCACATCCAGGTCTTTGAAGGCAACGTCTTCTTTATCTGTTGCGATGACATCTGTGGACATGGCAATAAATACGCAGAGCTACTTAAACATCAAAGTTTGAAGTTTTCTTTTTCATATTGAATCTACCCATTAATTCTTTCACTTGTTGCAAGTGTTTACATATCACACTGATATACATTTCAGGAGCCTGAGAAAGATAATATATTAATTTAACAATCATAACATTAGAAATGTCAATAGATTTATTTTGCTTTTCCTGTTTCAATAATTACTTAAATGTCAAAACTCCATAGCTTTTATCTTTTATAATCATATATGATGCAAGGTATAATGATGACTTTTGAAGTGACACTTGTTATTCACACTAATTACCACACAACACAAAAGAGCAACTAATTCACCTAACCTTTAAATTACAATTACTTTAAGGTCTAAGACACCAATCACAAATTTAAAAATAATAAATGTTTATTGAGGAGTTTTGTGCCAGGATAATGCTAAGAGATTTATATTACTATCAAATTTAATCTTCTGATTTTATAGATGGAGACACTGAGGTTTAAAGAGATTAACTCGCCACCATCAAAAGATAATGGAGCTGTAATTCCAGCCTAGGTTGGTCCAGAGTTCAACCACTATGCTCCAGTGCTAGTACAATAAGCAAACATCACTTGCTTTTTGACTAAAGAACATAAGTCATCGCACTTCTTTGTTGATTGTATTAAAAAAGCTATGACCAACATTCAGCATTTTCACTGGAAAATTGGCTAGTTGCATCATAGTCAAGGCTGCCATAAGTCTGAAAATGGGCATAGACAGGAACACCAGTTGGAGAAAAAAAAATTATCTTCCTCTTTCCCAGTCACATGTCCTTATTTGCTGAACTTTCCCTTCCCTGTCATATTCATATCTGGCAGAGGACAAACCAACAGCAATCTGGGCCCTTTAGAGAAAAAGCACAGGGAACTCAGCAGAGAAAGGAATACAAATGGGAAAAAGCAGCAAAGCTGATTTGGAAAGAGCTGTGGGTGAGAAAAGGGAACCAACAGAATAGTGTGGGCAGTCATGTATTCTTCCACAGAACTTTGCAACCAAAAGACTTAGATGGCAGAGTATCCCTTCTAGCAAATGTTTATTCAACAGATGAAGAATTTTAAGGAAAGTTTTTCTTGGAAGGTATGTATTATTTTGCTTTGTGCAAACTTCTAGGAGAGTATCATTAATTAATCCTTACCAAAAGAAAGACTATGATGAAGAAATAGCTGAAGAAAAATATTTAAATTAATTTAGAATATTTTAATAAACTTTTCGATCAAATTTAAGGCTTCCTTATTATATCTGTGTTATAGTTCAATGATTTGCAAAGGCCCTTAGCTGAGCTCTTCTGGGTTTTTTCAAACTATAGAGCATATGGTAAGGACAATTTACACTATGTCTCAACCTGATGATTGGTAGATGGGATGGGGACCGTGTAAGAGGAACCAACCAACTTCCAGAGCAATGTATAGCTATGAAGGACATCCTTCAAAACTGAGAAAGTTTTCCATTACAGGATGCTACTATTACCAGTTAAGCAGACTCCATAACAACACAATGTAGACAATTCCTACGTTGTCTATAATGTGTGTGTGTGTAGACAATTTCAGGTGTATAACCCTTGTGCAATATTACACTTAACTGGTATAATAAATTATATACACACACACATTGGGGAAAAAAGGATAGTCCTTTACCTGACATTGATTGTTGCTCATTTCTTACCCTTATTTATCCTTGGTATACATAAGTAGTTAATAAACAGTGGTAGTTCAAAATAAAAAAATCCTCTTATGAAATAATTTCTAATTGAGAGCCTTTAACAAAAACCTAAAACCTGTATTTTGTAAGAAATCAAATACCATAAAATCCCTTCTCTACTCCCCAACCCACCTTTCAGGAGGGGAAGGGCACAGTCTTGCAGTTCCATTAGGACACCGTCCAGGACACCCATCATGGGGGTGATATCCAACAGCACAAGAATTATAGGCTACCAAATAGCAAGGACAGCATCTGTTAGTGTAGGCTATTTCATTTAGACACAAGAAAGTCTTTTCACATAGTTTTTATTTGGTATGTACATGCATGTAATTCCCATTAATTAGTCATGATGATTATTTTAGGAGGTCAGGTATCTAGCACTATGCCACTTTCAGAAAGAAGGATGCTATAAAACCAGCATTGGTTTGCTAACAGACACAGTGAGAGGAATCACCACTACTCAATTTTAACAGTATATGAAAAAAACATTAAACTGAGTGACATGCTATAGCTTGCTCTTATTGTTAATAGCTGTATATTTGATTTCAGTTCATGGAAAGCTAAGTACAGTATCTGACATGAAAGAATAATTCAGTATCCATGGGTCAAGAAACTGAATAAATGAATACCTTAGAAAAGGATTTTAGTGTATATTAATCAGGCTTGCTGGAAGTCGGAGTGCCTGCTTCAGCGGGGAAGCAGATTTCCTTACTCTTTTGGTTCCAAAGGCCATTTATGAACAAGGGAGTGCTTACTGAGTAACTCTCTCCCACATGACTGTAAGTTACTGTCATTAGTGATATCTCCCATTGACTGACACCTGCTGGTTGCACCAAGTCAACTGAGTACAATATATGGAAGAGTTCTCATTTGCAAAGTGTTTTCAGTGCCTGGAGGCGTACATATAAATACCTTAGTAGCTTCCATTTATAGCAATGTGCCTATTACATTTACTGGGATTACATATTCCTTCACTGTTTAACAATTTGTGTACAACTAAATACAGATTTTTATTAACCATATTCTTACTCTAATAACTTAAGATTTATAGACACCTGTTCCTACCTGATCTTTACCAAAGACAGATCCATTTCCAATACTGTACAGCAGTGAATATGCAATTTGACCAGCTGCTCCAGTCACAAGGACTCTGATTGGTTCAGACTGTAATGAAAAAGACCCATTAACATCTTTAAGTACTACTGTACCTTAAAAATATCCAGGATTTTAATCTATAGTAAGAAATCCACATACTTTAAAAGTGAATGTAAAATTTTAAAGTCCTTTTGCATCTGGCTCAGTAGAAAATGAATGTGCTGCATATTTACGTGGTGTTATTTAACTCTCACCATGTAGGGAGCTAAAAGTGTTATCCTGGATTTACTTACATAATCTTATCCACCTTTTTTGGGATATTTTACCACTAAAATAGGCTCAACAATGTTGATGTGTTCAGTATGTGGTGATCCAAACCCTGGCAGCCACTAGAGCCACACAAATCCTTATTATGCAAAGCCCCCACTCCCATCTGCTCAATAGAATCTTCATACCAAGAAGAAGAGTGAAAGAGGCTAAAACTTTCCATTTACATTGAGCCAAAACATTTAAATAAGACAATTAATCGTGCTTCAACTTTGTCTGGAGGAGGAAAAACAAGATTTTTTATTTCGGGAGAAACAACAGCAACATGTAGTGACAGACAGCTGACAACCTGATTCCAAGGGAAAATTATTTTTAAAAGCAAGGAGGGAAGACATACAAACAGAGATTTCAACAGTTCCTGAACAAAATACAGACATAGAAACAAAGATAACTGATATTCAAAGTGATGACTCTGAGTAAAAAAAGACTAAGCTGACAGAATTTTAAAAGATAGAAATATATCTATTAAAAAGAACAAAACAATAATGTTTAGAAACGTAATGGGTAGGTTTAGTTAGACAGAAAAATTCAGTTAAGGTGAACCATTCCTTTCCCCGATAATGCTGGGTAAATGTACTTCCACTGTCACCTTTACCCCTACCTGCATGGAGAAATGGTCCACTGATGTGACTAAGCCCAGAAGTGTTTGGTTTCTTTTTACTTAAAGTTCCTTCTTCCAGATGAGAGTCACGTCTCTGAGACGAAACAAGGATGGATAGCCTCGAAGGCTTCTTTCAAGCTTCTGACACTAAGCTCTGAAAGTTAGCAGCACTCAGCAATTTGGTACTCACTCATAGAAGTCAAAGAAAAAAAAAAATTTCAAAAAAGAAGTGTCAGGCCAGGGATGGTGGCTCATGCCTGTAATCTCAGCACTTTGGGAGGCTGAGGCAGGCGGATCACCTGAGGTTGGGAGTTTGAGACCAGCCTGACCAATATGGAGAAACCCCGTCTCTACTAAAAATACAGAATTAGCTGGGTGTGGTGGCAGGCATCTCCCAGCTATTTGGAAGGCTGAGGCAGGTGAATCACTTGAACCCGGGAGGCAGAGGTTGAGTGAGTGGAGATCGTGCCATTGTATTCCAGCCTGGGCAACAAGAGCGAAACTCCTTCTCAAAAAAAAAACAAAAAACAACAAACAAAAAAAACAAAAAGTGTCAACTGGTGTAGAGAAATGAATTTGATCATAGCCAACTACATACTACACAATTTTTTTTTTCTAATTTATTACTATTTATAGAAAAATCTTTAATGGCCTACACGTTTTTCATTCTGTCATTTTCCCTTCTTTCCTTGAAGTAGAGTAGGTGAGGAAAAGGGAATACAGGAAGAAATTATTACTCCCTTTCCCTTTAGAATACGAGATCCTTAAGGACAGGAACTTTGTCTATTTTATTTACTGCTGTATCTCAATTGCCTAGAACAACACCTGTCCTGTAGTTGGAACTCTGGTATTTGCTTGAAGGAATAGCTGGGTCCTGTAAAACTATCAAAAAGATGGAAATGTATAAGAACTGTTTGAAAACATATGTAACGTGCTTTAAAAAATTTTTTAAGATATTTTATTTATTTAAGCTATTTCAGGCTGAGTGCAGTGGCTCACACCTACAATCCCAGCGCATTGCGCGGGGGGACAAGGCGGGTGGATCACTTGAGCCCAGGAGTTCGAGACCAGCCTGGGCTACATAGTGAAACCCTGTCTCTTAAAAAAACAATTTAGCTGGGTGTGGTGGCAGATGCTGTAGTTCCAGCCACTCAGGAGGCTGAGGTAGGAGAATCACTTGAGCCTTGGAAGTTAAGGCTACAGTGAGCCATTACTGTGTGAGTGCACTTCAGCCTTGGTGACAGAGTGAGATCCTGTCTCAAACAAAAACTTTTTCATATATACTATGAAAACAAAAGGTATTTTATTCATATATATTATGTATTGAGAAAACTGGAAACTTAGTGACCACAATAGTTCCAACTATAGCTAACAAAATTGTCATTAGTACTAATGATATTACCTTATAAATCCACTGATGAACTGTTTTCTCATTTAATTCATTCATTAAACAAAACATCATTAAGTTCCTATCATGTACTTGGTACTATTTTAGGCCAGGGAATCCATTGGTGAATCACGTGAAGGAAACAAAAAGGATACACCAATTTTCTAAAACAGGGGGCTAGAGAAGCAGTAGAGAGTAGTAATTAAAGAGATGGACTCTGGAGCCAGACTTTCTGTGTTCAAGTCCTGGCTCCACAACTCATTAACTGCATGCTCTAGGACAAGTTACTTAACCTTTCTGTATTATTTCCCCATAGTAAAATGGAGATAATAATAGCAATTACCTAACAAACAGAGTAGTTTTAAGGATTAAAAGAGTTAACACACAAAGCACTAAGAACAGTACGTAGTGAGTATTTATAAATATCATCACAGAATTTTCCTCTAAAGACTTTAATAGCCTGTGGTTTTCTATTTACATTTCTGTTGCTCTGTATTAGGCCATGAAGCGCTCTTGAGAACAGTCTGTCTTTGATATGGATTTGCATTTCCACAAAAAGTATTTGTTGAATGAAGGAAGGTTAGGGTATAAAGTATGAACAGATACTACTTCAATGAACAGCAAACTAGGATAAGAAAAGGGGGGCTGAAGAGAGTGAAGATCACTATCTATTAAGTTTAACTTCCCATAAGGTCACCTATATGGTTAGAATAATGCAGTCAATTTTAGTAGCTACTTAAAAACATGTTCACAGTATCACAGTCCTTAGTGAAGGGGTTGTGGCCACCTAATGAACAGTTAATTCCACCTCAGCAGTTTTCTTCTGTGTCTTTGGGGAAATTACTTTCCCAGGTAGGTAATTCCATCTTATTAATGGTAGTATGAGGCTTAGTGTTTGAATGTCTGAAGATGAAACAGAGAAAGAAAAGTCCATGTATGGTTCTTTCTGCTCTTCTGCAACATTGCAGTTGAAAAGCAGGAGGGTGGGAGAGTCCTGCTGACTTTCACAATGTTATAGTGTGAACATAGGTTACTATTCTTTGCTCAGATATCTGGGCAGTGTGCCAAGGTCCAAAAAAGGAACGTCTTTGCTCTTAGCAGGGCACCAATGACTTTCCTGCAGATGCAGGCTCTGTGCTAACTTCTCAGCTATAAAGATTGAATTTAAGTGTCTGTTATTCCACAGACAGAGCCACATATTTCTTTTTCACTTTCAAATTTATATATATTTCTAAATTACATGTATTTCTATAACACAAAAAACTAAGCAGTACCATTTAGATTCCTTCATACAGTTTATTTTGCTGTCACTCCCTACAGACAACAAGCAAAGAATCCTCCGCTTTGAATGAGCTTACAGAAGAAGGCTCTTTTCTAACTCTGTCCATTCACACACCCTCCTGAGGGGGCAGGGAAATTGAGTCATGTGTGAGTTTGCTGTCAGTTCCAGCAAACTGCCAGACAAATTCTTCCTCATGTTCTGTCTCTGTGTTATCTGGCACCCCAGTGACCTTCCAACGGTGGGGCCTTGCTAGGGAAACTAGCTAAGAATCTGGGGCCCAAAATCTCTGTGACCTTGGGAAAATTATCTGACCTCACCAGACTACATTATAAGAGTAGATAATATAATCTCCAAATTCCCTTTTAATTCTACAATTCCAGTATTTTGAATGGCAAGGAATAAAGCTATCAAGTAATCTACATGCTGATAACATATTTGAGTTTGTATATGCAGTATGAACTGGTAACTTCATCCGGAATCTCAGCTAGTAAAAATAAGTTTTCAGGGAGTTGAGTACACTGTCTCTCCCCCGCTGCGAGACCTCACTGCGGTGGTCCCTATAAAAATAAAAATTCAGAAAGACTTGGTAAGTGTAAGACACAATATAGAAAAATGGCAAGAGTGTGAGACTCTTGGAGCAAATCACATTCTCTTTGGGTCTCGATAAACTCCATTTTAAGATCTGAAGTGGGGAGATTCGTCAAGATGACCTTTAAAAGATCCCATTCAGTTCTAAAAGCAAAAAGTCCAAGGTTATCAGATAATAAGTACCTCTGCTTTCTAGCTAAGGTTATTAGGACAGAAACTACCGAAACCATAATTTAAATGACTAATTATGTGACAAAACATTTAGGAAACCTAGGTTTAACACCTACTGGAAATTAGTAGCTGTCTCCACTGGCCCCGTTAGACAGGCAGAGAGAGTAATGCCCTTGCCTTGAAAACGTGTCTTTTCAGGTTCTGGGAAATTTCCAATTCATTCAAACATTTCTCCACATTCTCCAGCCGTTTTAGTATTTTGCAGATAAAGTAGGAAAAACAGTCGCAACTATAAATACAAGCCATTGTATTGATAGTATGAAGCGATTTCTCTGAGTTTGATGACAAATGTCACCTTCAAGCAGTACGCAGATTATTCCTACGCCAGAGTTCCTTCACCAACTCTCCCCCTCCCCCTCTCTTTCAGCAGAGACAAGCGATGGAGATGCAGGTTACCCAGGTCTTCCATGACAAAATGGTTACTCTGTTACATTTAAGAGAGGTGCTTCTGGAATTCACAATATACAGTTCAATAAAGAATATTTGCAGTAGTTATTTAGTTAGTGATGCTGTCACTTCAATATATCCTGGCATTACAAAAAAGGTCAATGAACGGGTTCCAAATAACATTTTGAGAAATTAGATATGGCGGAAACACGTCTGCTGCAAACGCAGATCGTAATCTGGAGCACCTGGTAAATACTACCTTTCCAGCTTTTTGCTTTCAAGGTCCCTGTGACAAAAGCCGTTATAAACACTGTGGGCAAATGAGGAGAAAAAGGGGTTAGGACCCAACCTTTCCCTCCCATCGCAAACCTTATCGTCCTTATCAAACACCGTAACGTCCTTTGGAAAATAGCTGCAGCGTCGCATTTTGTCCTCCCGTCATGCAGCAGGATTAAGATCGCTCCTCTCCCAGGACAACTACTTCTCCAGAGTCCTCCTAAGAGCGCCCCATACCCCGCAAGGTGGAAATCAATCCCTTCCCATTACTGGGTCACTGCGGCAATCCCCAGAAGATGAGTCCGAGCTTGCCAAAGGGCGCGAAGGACAGTGCCTTGCACAGCTGCCTCCCAAAAGTCCCTAAAGTGCAAGAAACCCCACTCAAGGGCGCGAGGGCCAGAGGTGGGCAGGAACCCGGGGCCCACACTCACCATGATTGAAAACTGCGGGGACAATTTCAACAACTGCAAAATGAGCCTCAGAGAGTCAGGTCACCTCTACCGCGGAACTGACTCGGAGAGGGCGAGCGGTGTTAGCGAGAAAAGGCTCCGCTCCCGACGCGGCGCTCTCTGGGAACTGTAGTTTACGCTGCCCTGGTTGTGGCGCAATCTCCAAAGCATTTCCTTCAAGTGTTGAACTACACTTCCCGATACCAGAGGTTTTTTTCAAGCTCTTCTCACTGCGCTCTGCGCCGATTGCAAAGTAGTCCCTGAGGATGAGCCCCTGTGATTGGAGGACGACAACAAACGGATGGTTTGGGCTCAGGAGGAAAGGACCTGCCTGATGGAGCCCGGCAATTGGCGGGAGAGATAGCGTGTGTAACTCTAGGGAGGGGAGAATCACCCCTTAGCGACATCACCCCCACGCGCGTGACTGAGACTGCATCCTCCCATGAGGGTAAACGTGGGAGGTAAAGAGACCTTCCGCTGCGTAAAGCTGGATCGACCCGGAAACAAAATCTTTTAAAAAACGATTGACACTCTGGAGGGGCGGGGGAATTGATAAGTTGGGACGACCGGACAGCTTCTCAGGTTGCTAAGCGACGAGGCGGGAGCGCACGCACACCCTGGCTGCTTTGTAGCACCTGAGGAAACTGTGGCGGCGGCGGCGGCGTCCTGGAGACCCAAGAGACCAAGCGAGCGTGTCGCTCCCTCTCGGGTCCGAGGACCTAGCCTAGGAACCTTCTGCCCGGGGTAGTGTCTGGTGATGAGGCGAGAGTTTTGCTGGGACGCCTACTCCAAAGCGGCCGGGAGTCGCGCTTCTTCCCCACTCCCGAGACAGGTGAGCCCTGGCCCGAGGGCAAGGGGTTTTCTTTTAACCTTAGGATCCGGAATGCGGTTGGTGCGCCGTCCCGCTTTGCTTTTATCCGCTGTGCGGATGCCTGCAAGCTCGCCGGTCCCTTTTCTGAGCGGAGTATGAGGGCTGTGGGAATGCAGCTATTTTGGAGGGGGTGGTGCCCTGGAGTAGGTGCACCCCCGACCCCAAATGGAGCTCTTCCAGAGTTATATCAAAAATATTTATTGAGCATTTACTTTGTAGGAGGTGAGCCTCTCCCTTCCAGGAGGTCACAGTATACGGTTCTAATTTGCTCTAAGCCCTCCGTGAATGTTGAGTTTTGTCCATTCCCTTTTGGAAGAAACAGGATGCGCCTTAAACCATCTTGAGTCTTAAAGTTATGCCAAACAGGCATTTCTAAGGAAAGACTGGCGACTGAAGGGGAGACACTGGTTGTTTAGTCAGTCAGTCTCAGCTGGTAAAACAACTTAAGAGGTTCTCTTTAAAATTAATGCTGCCAAGAGAATTGCTGTGCTTTTTGAAAGCTTGTTTCTTGTGGATGTTAAAAGGAAGATATGATGCTCGGGAGTAGCATACACAGCATATACGTAATGAAAATGAATAAAACATCTCTATTAGATAACATTGTTAGAACTTCCGTTTTTTCTCTGTCACTGATAAATGAATGCCAAGTAATATCTTTCAATTTTTCTCTATTTCAGTTTGGAGGATTTGCTATTTTTGGAAAGAAATGTAATGCTTTACTTTTAGCATTTATTAATATCATACCTGAATGACTCTCCTTGTATCTCTTTATTCATTTGGCTCTCAGACAACATACTTTCCTGGTTTTCCTCTTTTGTTACTGGTTCTCAGTTCTGCGGAGTTTCTAAATTTTTTTTAGTTGTGATCTCTTAACATTGGGGTGCCTGTATTCTCTGTCTATACTAAATCCCTCAGTGAGCTAATTCATAAGTTGCATCACTTCAAATGCTACTTTTAATGTCAAAAACTCTCAAATTTATGTGTCTAGTCCTGAATTAGTAGGTGTGCATTATTCTCAAACCTAGGTTCTCTGAGTTTTACTTTTTACTCTGAGCAGTTACGAAAAATTTCTTCCATTATCCTCCTAAATGAATTCTTCTACTAGCTGCTAACAGAAAGATTTTTCCATGTTGTTGTCCTTAAAAATATCATGATTTTACCTAATGTAAATGACGAGTTAATGGGTGCAGTACACCAACATGGCATGTATACGTACATATGTAACAAACTTGCACGTTGTGCACATGTACCCTAGAACTTAAAGTATAACAAAACAATCTCATGATTTTTGTCCTCGATTTACAGTGAATTTTACAAGGGAGACTTTTTATAACCAGAATTCTCACTGCAGTCCTATAGCAGGACAGGACATTCCCATACTCCAAGAAGGCCACAAACATGTAAGCCCCCGTATTCCCATCCAGTCCAGATATACAGAATTGAAGTCACCTGTGTGGTAGTTCACGGGCCTTGTTCTGTTTATTGCTAGTTGCCCTTGTAAATCAGGTTAAGGAGCATATTAGCACTGATTGTAAGTTACTTTTCTCAGGTAATATAATACACTGCAAGAGAAGATGTTTGGTAAGGTGGGTATATCAGCACATTTCCAATTATACTAATAAGATTGTCTGTGTTCTCTTCCTTTTGAACCGTCTTTGGTAATAGCTAATGTCAAGTAGCACAATATGTCATTGCACTTTCACTGTGAGTTTGAATCTCCAGGTGGTTTGTGAATGTGTTGCAGACATTCATTTTTTGTTAAGGCAACAAACAGAGCATTAAACTGTTATGCTATATTTGGAGTTATGCTTAACATTTTTTTTGCCCAGCCTCGCGTTATTTAGTAAGGTAATATTTAATTCAAATTGTAGAAAATGTTTGAAATACCATTCTAACAACATCCAGCAAAGATATTAAAGGATCATTAAGTTTCAAATCTCTGAAATAGAATGTTGGCTCTTGATACCCAAGGCACTTTGGAACTCACAAGATCTTATGCTTTTTTATAGTATACAATTATTTAACCACAGCTAGGCGTGGTGGCTCACACTTGTAATCTCAGCACTTTGAGAGGCTAAGGCCGGAGGACTGCTTGAGTCGAAGAGTTTGAGACCAGCCTGGGCAATATACTGAGACCTTGTCTCTACAAAAAATTTTTAAAAAATTAGCTGAGTGTGGTGTTGTGCACCTGTAGTCCCAGCTCCTCAAGAGGCTGAGGTGGGAGGGTTGCTTGAGCCCAGTAAGCAGAAGTTGCACTGGCATCACTGCACCCCAGCCTGGGCGACAAAGGGAGATCCTGTCTCAAAAAAAAAAAAAAAAAAAGAAAATTATTTAACCTCATATTAATTTTATCTCTAGCATATATAAAATTGTTATAGATCTAGTTAAAACTCATTCATCTTAATGTTTTCTTTAATGAAGTTCTATTACACTTTTAAGCTATTTTATAACAATTTTGTTATAATCTGGTTCCTTTTTGTTGAAAGTAACAATGTAATATTTAGAGAGTACTATAATGTAAAGATGCCTTTACATTGCTGTCTGTCTAAGTAGCTACATTTTTAGAAATATGTACTTTACCATAGGATCATGTATTTAGTAAACAGCCATGTTAGATAATGGAGTGTGATTGAAAATAGGATTATTTATAAAGCAAGGTTAAGACTTGTGAAATAAATCAGAGACCAAATTATTACAAATATTTTTTAAAGGAAAGATTGCAGAGCTAAATAGTTGACCTTAGCTGAAAAAAAAAACTTTGGCTTTTTACCCTTTTTAAAATTTAAGTGTAATGCTAGGTATCTTGGAAATTATTTGTTGGCTTAAGTGACATGCAGGACATTTTTGAAAGTATTCTCAAGTAATTTCTTAAAATGAATATGTAGTATTTTAAAAATAATTATTACATTCACTTTAGTGAATCTTAAACGTAGTAATTCCAAATTTAGTTATGGCAAAAATAAAAGTGCTTGTAATTTAATTTAAAACTGTAGTCTCAATGAGAACCACTTTATTACTATGTCTTACAATTTTATACATACACAATTTGTACACATTTTAAACTATAACATTTGACTGGAATTTTCAGGAATGGTGAAATACAGGATATTTTAATAGGATAAAAGTTTTAATCATGATCATTACGTAGTCAAGTTGCTTTGAGTGGTCAAGTGGTAGAATTGAGTGGAATAATTTGCTAGGACCTCCTCTTTTAACTTTAGTTAAACAAGATAAAACATTATTCATCAGGATTCTGTTTGATAATTACATGTTTCCAGAAGTATGAGCTACCTAACCTTGAGTTTTTTTCAAGTGAAAGGAGCAGAATTTATTGGTCTTAACTTTACTACCTAGCTGTGTGACCTTGAACAAGTTTCCTGGTCTCTATAAATCTTCATTTATTAATACAATGAGGCTAATAACACAGAGTGATCATTATATCTGGAAACGTAATGTAGCAATTCCATTCCTTTACATACCCATTTAAATCAAGAGATGTACAAGATGTTCATAAGCACTGTTTCTAAGAGCACAGCTCTAGAAATTACCCATATGGCCATCAATAGGAAAATGTAAAAATATATTGAAAATGAATAGAACATAGCTACACACCAACATGGATTCATTGAAATCCATTGGATTGATTGAAAATGAATTCATTTTCATTGGATTCATTGAAAATGAATATAGCTACACACCAACATGGATGAGCATCAAAAATACAATGTTAATTGAAAAAAGCAAACCATATAATAATATATACATTATGATTTAATTTTTATAAAAATTAAAAATTTGCAACAAATACTGTTGTTCACGATTTCAAACCCATCTGGTAAAACCATAAATAAGAGCAGAGGAATGATTAATCAGAATTCAGGATAGTGGTTGCTTGGGGAGGAGAGTAGGAGACGGGGTACTGGGGTCTTCAAAATATTAGTGATCTACTTCTTTTTAAGCTGTGTTAGTATGTGGGTATTTATTCATTCATTTATTTATTTTGAGGCCATCTCACTCTGTTTCCCAGGCTGGAGTGCAGTGGTATGATCATATCACTGTAGCCGCGATTTCCTGGGCTCAAGTGATCCTCCTGCCTTGGCCACCCAAAGCGCTGGTATTATAGGCATGAACCACTGCACATAGCCTGGTTTTATTTTTTGTTTTAGTTTAAGACATACATATATCTCTGGCCACTCTTTTTTTTTCTTATTCTTCTTTGAGATGTGGTCTCGCTAGGTTGCTGAGGCTGGTCTAGAACGCCTGGGCTTGAATGATCCTCCTGCCTCAGGCTCCCAGGTAGCTGGGACTACAGGCACTGACCACTCATATGTATCCTATTTTATATGAAACATGGTGACTTAGAACTTTATCTTTTATTATTGAACAACAAATTTGAGAGAGAATACAGTCACTCATGACACTAGTACCCTAAAATAACTATTTACATTTTTCAAAATTTCTTTCTTTTTTTTTTTTTTGAAACGGAGTCTTGCTCTGTCGCCAGGCTGGAGTGCAGTGGCGCAATCTTGGCTCACTGCAAGCTCCACTTCCTGGGTTCAAGCAATTCTTCTGCCTCAGCCTCCTGAGTAGCTGGGACTACAGGCACGTGCCACCACACCCAGCTAATTTTTGTATTTTTATTGGAGATGGGTTTTCACCATGTTGGTCAGATGATCTCGATCTCTTGACTTCCTGATCCGCCCGCCTGGCCTCCCAAAGTGCTTGGATTACAGGCATGAGCCACCGTGCTCTGCCAGGTTTTCAAAATTTCAAGGTTAAATTTAAATGACGTCTTGCTATTTGTCTTCAATTTGTCCCATTTGTTCTCTGTTCTCTCTTCTTTTCTTCCTTCTTTTTGATGAATTGAAATTTTTTACAATTCCATTTTATCTCCTTTATTGGCTTATTGACAGTAACTTTATTTTAGTGACTGTTGTAGGGTTTATAGCATACATCCTTTATCATAGTGTATTTTCAAGTGATATTATACCATTTCATGTATAAAAACCTGCCAATAATTTACTTCCATTTCTCCTTTCCTGACCACTTTACTTTTACATGTTATGAGCCCCATACAACATCATCGTTATTTTTGCTTAGTCAATTATTTTTAAAAGAGATTTAGTGAGAAAATATCTTAAATATTCATCAATATGGTTACTATTTTCAGTCTTTTAATTTCTTTTTATAGATCTGTATTTCTAATATAGTATGATTTTTCTTCTGTCTAATGTAGTTCCTTTTTAAAAATGTTTCTTGTGGTTAGGATTGGCTACTGAAAAATTCTCTCAGCTTTTGTATGTGTGGAAAAATGTTTGTTTGAAAGATATTTTCACCGGATATAGAGTTCTAGATTGATAGTTTTTTCTTTCAGTACTTTGAAGATCTTGATCCACTGTTTTTTTTCATTTGCCTTGTTTCTGATTAAAAATCTACTATCATCTTTATCTTTCTGTATTTGTACTTAAGTGTCTGTTTTTCTCTGGCTGCTTTTAACATTTTTCTCTTTATTACTGGTTTTGAGTAATTTCATTATGATGTGCCTTGCAAGTGTAGTCTTTTTTATGTTTCTTGTGCTTGGGGTTCATGGAGCTTCTTGGATCCATAGGTTTATAGTTTTCAATGAATTTGGGGAAATTTTGACCTTGTTTCTTGAAATACTTTTTTCTGTGTGCTCTTCGATTCTTGCGCTGTTTTGGGGATGACAGTTATATGTATTTTGAGCTGATTGAAGTTGTCTCATGGCTCATTGATGCTCTGTTTATTTTTAAAATTATCTTTTCTTTCTAGGTTTCATTTTGTAAAGTTTCTGTTGCTAGGTTTTCAAGGACACCAGTTTTTTATTTTGCAATGTCTAATATGCTATTCATTCTATCCAGTATATTTTTTATTTCACATATTGTTTTTATGTGTAGAAGTTGGATTTGGGTCTTTTAAAAAATATCTTTCATGTCTACTACATTTGTTTAACATGTGGAATACAGTTATAATCATTGTTTTAATATTCTAGTCTCCAGGTTATAACATGTCTGCCAGTCCTGGGTTGGTTTTAGTTAATTTTTATTTCCATTATGGGCCATATTTTTATGCTTCTTTGGAAGTCTGGTAATTTTTTTTATTAAATGTCAGATTGCGAATATTACATTTCTTTTTTTTTTTTTTTAAGATAGGGTTTTGCTCTGTTGCCCAGGCTAGAGCTAGTGGCCAGTGCAGCCTCAACCTCCTAGGCTCAAGCAATCCTCCATCCTCAGCTCTCAAATAGCTGGGACTACAGGTGTGCACCACCATACCTGGCTAATTTCTTGTAGTTTTTTGCAGATACAGGGTTTTGCCATGTTTCCAGGGCTGGTCTCAAACTCTAGGACTCAAACGATCCACCCGTCTCAGCCTCCCAAAGTGCTGGGATTATAGGCCTGAGCCACCATGCCCAGCCTGAATGATTTTTATCTTTCTATAAATAACTTTGAGCTTTATTCTGTGATGCAATTAAATTATTTGAAATTAGTTTAATTCTTTCAAAACTTGCTTTTAAGATTTATTAAATATTAGTCAGGATCTGAGTATTGCTCAGCTACTAGGGGTAATAATTTCCTACTCCTGAGCCAAGACTTTTCTGTGTACTCTACCCAATGACTGTGAATCACAAAGTTTTTCTGTCGGGCTGGTGAGAACAGGCACTATTCCCAGCCCGATATGAGTGCCAAGCACTGTTATCTGTAATCATTTCTAGTTGCTCTTTCTCCAGCCTCATGGTTTGATCATATGCATGTGCTGTGAGTACTCAGCTGAATTCTCAAGCGGAACCCTCTGAAATTCTCTGGAGTTCTCTCTGTATGATTCTCCCTCTCCAGGGAACTAACTACCTTGTCTTCTCCAGTTTTTCAGTTCTGTCTGCTCAACTCAAGTTTGCCGGGCTACTCCTGGTTTCCCCTTCCTTGCACTGTACATTCTCTCACACAAAGACATATGGAAATATGTCTTATGGAACTAAGCTCTAAGACAGCTTTGTATGCCTTCTACGTTGGTTTTTAGTTCCTACTTTTTGGTGAAGAGAAGTGCTCTCTCTTACAAGCTCAGCTATTTTTTTTAGTCTTTTATTTTGAAATAATTTCAAATTTACTGAAGAATTGTAAGAATAGTAAAAAGAACTTCTAAGGCCCCCTCAGTTAGATTTACCTTTTAAACATGTTGTCACATTTGCTTTATCACATGTTCCCACCACACTATCCCCTTGATTTTTTCTGAATCATTCGAGAGTAACTTGCAGACAATGTGTCCTTTTATATTCCTATATTCTTCAGTGAATATATTCCAAGAACAAGGCATTCTTTTGCTTAACCATTATACAGTTAAGAAACTTAACATTGATGTGTACAAGTATCTAATATACTCTCCTGTTGACACGCTGCCAGTTGTCTCAGTAATGTCTCATAATGTTTTTCCCCTCATACAGGATTGTGCATTTAATTTAGATGTCATATCTCTTTAATCTCCTGTAATCTGGAACAGTTTATTGGCCCTCTTTGTCTTTCATGACATTGACATTTCTGAAGAGTATAGGCTAGTTTTTTGGAGACCATCCCTCAATTTGGGTTTGTTTGATGTTTTTTTGTGGTTAAATTCAGGCTTGCATTTTTGGGAGGAAGATTACATAGGTGATGTTGTGGCCTTATCAGAGCATTAAATCAGTATGTCTTATTATTTATGATGTTGATTTTAATCATTTGGTTAAGGTATTCACCAGATTTCTTTACTATAAAATTACTATTTCTTCCCCCTATAATTAATAATCAGTGGGGACATACGTTGAGACTACATTAATATCCTGTTTCTCACCAAACTTTTACTCATAGTTTTAGCACTTATTGATTATTTTTGCCTGAATCAATTATTACTATGGTTGTAAAATGATTTTCAAAGTCTGTCATTTTTTCACCACTTAGTAAATGGCATTCTACTGTAAGTTTGAGTTTTTCCTTCTCATCTGCCTTTGTTTGCTGCTCCTACATATAACAAATACTACAGACTGAGTGATTTATAAAGAATAGAATTTTATTTGGCTCATAGTCCTGGAGGCTTGGAAGTCCAAGAGTGTGGCATTGGCTTCTGGTGAGGGTCATCTCATGGCAGAAGTCACCACATGGCAAGCAAGTGTGAGAGACAGAGAGGAAGGGGGCTGAACATATCAGGAGCCCGCTCCCACAATAATTAACCCATTCTCCTGATAGCAACATTAACCAGTTTATGAGGACAGAACCCTCATGACCTAATCACCTCTTAAAGTCCCCACCTTTTAATACTATTACAATAGCATCAAATTTCAACATGAGATTTGGTGTAGACATCCAAACTAGCATTATCTATCTTGTCTGTCTGTCTGTCTGTCTATCTGTGTATCTACCTACCTGCCTACCTACCTATCTAATCTATCTACTCCATTTGGATTCATGACTTCTCATTTTATTCAGTGGATTGCATCAGTACGAAAGGCTTTGTTTTTCTTTAAGTGATTGTTGATGATTTTTTCTTTTTCTTTTTCTTTTTGTTTGAGATGGAGTCTAGCTCTGTTGCCCAGGCTGGAGTGCAATGGAGTGATGTTGACTCACCACAACCTCTGCCTCCTGGGTTCAAGTGATTCTCCTGCCTCAGCCTCCTGAGTAGCTGGGACTACAGGTGTGTGCCACCACACCCAGCTATGTTTTGTACTTTTAGTAGAGATAGAGTTTCACCATGTTGGCCAGGCTGGTCTCAAACTCCTGACCTCCAGTGATCCACCCACCTTGGCCTCCCGAAGTGCTGTGATTACAGGCATGAACCACTGTGCCCAACCAGTTGATGACTTTTTTCTAATTTGGCATGACTTAATAAGAGGAAATGAGCTAAACATCAAGACAGATGATCTTTGATTTAGCATCTTTTATTTAACACTTATTTACTGGCCTCCAGACTGTGTGAGGTGCCCATTCCTAGTCCATTCAGGTTTATGTGTGGGGCACTGTTGGAGAAGACTTATGTTTAGAGCACACATGATCTTCTATTTAGCACTTTTAGTGAAAAGTGATATAAGATGCCCTTTCAATTATTTTCTGGAGAACGTAAGGAACAGAGACCACCTCAGATGCTTTGTCATAGGATGCTATAGTGTAAGGATATGCATGATAATAAGAGACAAATCTTGGCCACTTAGGAAGACCTCAGGGGAACCCAGGGAAAGCCAAACTGTGAGATTCCAATCCTATTCTCTCCTCTCCTAAATAGGAACAAATAGGGCCATTATTTGAGCCTCATTAAGAATAAGTGAATCTCATGGAGAATAGAATCGATAGGCCATTCTAGAATCTCAAAATGTTATGGGTTCTGTGTTACCTGTCCTAGCTTCGGCAGTCCACAGATCTTAATTCTAGTGTTTTATCAATAACCTAACTTAATTTTTAAAATCTTTCTGCTTTTCTTCTTGCTCTTAATTATCTGGGTGTCCATAGTTCCTTAGAGAGACAGAGGTAGATTGGCCTGGGAGTTCATCGCTGCTGTTGTTTTGGCAGAGCTTCCCCTCCTAAGTTTCCCGTTTTACTTACCAACCTCCAGGCTATGTCAGGTGCCCATTCCCAGTCCACTCAGGTGAGGGCACAGTTGGAGAGGAATCATGATGTTTAGAACACATATTTCTTTTCATGGAATATCTTGTGGCTCCCCTTGTGGTAGGGTTGGTGGAAAGTGCAGTTTTCATAAGTTGCTACTATAGATATAATTGGCAATATGGATTTGCATCCTGTTCTTCATCCTAAAGACAGAGTCCTACTCAGAGCTGTGCGCTGTCTGTAGGTAATATAAGCTAAGTGGTTTACTTTTTGAGTTATTTTCGGGATACTAATATGGTGAGATTTATTTAAATTTATTTTAAATAATGATAATGCTGAAAATTGGTATAAAACTGGGACAAGGATTTCCAGTAATTTGATACCTTGTATTATTCACTAAAATTGTTATGAAACCATGACTGTTAATTGAGTCTGCCTTATTAATTTGGCCTGATTAAGAGATATAAATATAACACAGTGTATTTTTTTAACTTTTCTGTTATTACCGCATCATTTAGTATTTCCTTAAAAGAGCTATTCAGTATTTCTGTGAACATCTGTGTAGATTGTTTGCAGTTAACATTTTCCTGAAGCCAAAACTAGACTTCCCACAATGTATAATTTACCTTTGAAGATTTCCTGTGTTGGGTATCACTTGTTCATGTGTTCTTGTTATTTAATATGAATGAAATATTAATAACTAATTGTTTAAAGTGCAGTATTTAAGTTAATTCCATGTATAATTAAAAAATTTAAATACATTAACATTTCACAACATAGTCTATGATTGGGATTAGGACTGTTTGTGTTTGCTGTTCAAATATTCAGTATAATATTTGATATTTGGATAAACTGCTATTTTTCATATCAAGTATATTTGTTTAAAATTTTAGAGGGGATATACCAGGGAGCTTGGAAAATTTGTATTTGACATAAAATTATTTGATTATTTTCAGATATTAAAAATGTAGAACAGTTTTTGGCAATCTCACAGGCTTACATGACTATTAGATTTTGCAGGTTTGCATCCTTTAATGATATGTTACTTTTTCTGTCTACATAAAATATTTAATTTCTGGGTCATGCTTGAAATGGGATAAAGGAAGGGAAAAATGAGATGAGATGCCTTTTCACTTCTTTTCTAGAGAACATAAAGCTGCTTCATTTCCATTCAGCAAACTCCCCCAAACAATAAACTTTATTTAGAGGAAACATATCTTTAATTTAAGGTACAATACTTTCCATGTACATTGTGTGAATTGTTAAGGGTGTTGACAGTTAAAAAGCTGTCTGACTGAACCAATTATTTACAACAAGCCCAGGCCAGCCAGAACTACTTTGGGAAGGGATATAGACTTACTAATATAAGGCAAGATTACTCTAGAGACATGAAGTCTGGGTTTTGGCTTCAGGAAATATCACTTTGGAAATTACACTTTAGGTCAGATTAAATATAAAAAGTTGAAATATGCATCTAAAATGAATTAAGTTACCATATTGACTAGAACTTCTTGATTGCAAAGGGATCTTTAAAAAGCATTTTTATTACTGTTATTTGAAATTACATTCAGAATGTTTGAAACTGCATCGTGGAACTACCTTATAGTGAAGACTTCAAAAGAACATGGTCTTTTCTGGCTATGAAAATCTGATTTTATTATTAAGTTGCCTGTGAGAAACCTGTTAATGATGGATATTTATATATCATTTATGATATAATTAGAAGTATATATTTGGTCTCTGCCCCTGGTTCCTGGCACACAACAACCCAAACCCTTGGAATCTCTAAAGTGATAAGTGTTTTTTGTATGCTAGTGAGATGACTGGTAGCTGGAGAGTCCTGGATAGCCTCAGGATTGGGGGGCTGGTTGCCAGAGGAGCCAACTGTGATTAGAGGGTTGGCTCTTTCAGCTGAACCCCACAACCTCTAGAAGCTGAAGGTTGGATAGATTCTCTCATGACTATTGATCTAATCAATCATGCCTACATAAAGAAACCTCCATAAAACCCCAAAAGGACAGGGTTCAGAGAGCTTCTGGATAGTTGAACAGCTGGCGGTGCCTGCAGAGTGGCATGCCCAAAGAGGACATGGCACTCTGTGCCCCTTCCCACATGCCTTGCCTTATGCATTTCTTCCATCTGGCTGTTCATCTGTATCCTTTGTAGTAACCTTTATAATAAATGGATAGGTATAAGTAAAGTGTTTCTCTGAGTTCTGGGAGCCACACTAGCAAATTAATTGAACCCAAAAAGGGGTTCATGGGAACCCTGATATATAGCCAGTTGGTCAGATGCGCAGGTCACAACATGGGGTTTGTGATTGACATCAGAAGTGGGGGGTGGGGGACAGTCTTGTGGGACTGAGTCGTTACCTGTGGGATCCGATGTTATCTCTAGGTAGATAATGTCAGAATTGACTTAAATTATAGGACAACGCATTTGGTATCTGCTAGAGGATTGCTTATAGTGTGCAGAGAAATGCACGTACATCTGGTATGAGAAATGTGTTGAGTGGTGTGTGAGGGTAGGAAAAACACTTTGGTTTGTCCTGTCTCTATACTGTGTCTAATTGAAAAAATAAAATTACTTAACTGTGTGCCTGTAAAAAGGAAATAAACTCTTAATGCCAAATTATGAATTGTGCTTTCATTGTATTAAAATAGTTTACAACTAGATGAAGAGTTAAAATGCCAGAGTTAGTCTAGGATTCATGTTATTTACTGGATTCATATTCTAAATAATATAAATTATCTCCCATTTAAATATTGGCACAGTTATTTTCTATATTGTCTATTATATACATACGCACACATGTGTTTGTATATGCTGAATGCTGTATACTTTATATGTGTCTCTATATCATATAGTAAATAAGACATTTTTAGTAGTATACAGTATACTGTATAGTAAATAAGATATATTTAGTAGTATACAGTATATATACTGTATAGTAAATACCTTTGGTAGTATACCGTATATATACTATAGTAAATAAGAGATCTTTAGTTATATAGTATATATACTGTATATACTATATATACAGTGTATATACTGTATATACTATATATACAGTGTATATACTGTATATACTATATATACACTGTATATACTGCATATATACTGTATATACAGTGTATACACTGTATATACACTGTATACAGTGTATATACTGTATATATACTGTATATACCGTGTATATACTGTATATACTGTATATACTGTATATACCATATACAGTATATACCATATATACTGTGTATATATGTACATACTATATATATACATACTATATATGTGTATATAATATGTATTATGTATAGAGAGACATACTATCTATAGTAGAGAACAATACATTTCTAGACTATTTCTATTATGTAACATAGAGAAATAATCATTGTATTGATCCCAAGTCTGTTTTGTTATGGTAGTTGTCCCCTAGGCAGCCCTCCTTTGCCATGTTTTTCAAGGTTGCATTACAGAATTACTGATGACAGATATGTATGTTGTCTTTCTATTTTAACCCTCTACCAAGCAGACCATTTTTAAAGGATAAGGTTAAAAAGTGAATATGATCATGATTCTCAAAAAAATATAAAATGATAATTTGTCAAAGATTATATTTAACTCAATAATGATATTATGCCAGTTGAAGTACCACGTATTGAATGCAAAACTGGCAAAACTGATGAATATCCACTGAGAAATAATCAGTTCCATTTTACAGGACATAATTTGCATTTCTATGGACAGGAATTATTTGTATTATTATCAGTTTTCTACAACTTTTCTCTCTACTGAGTTGTAGCATGGCCTAGTCAATGACAGACAAATGGACAAGCTAGCCAAAACACTCACTGAATTTCAGTCTTTTACATTTTTTTTTCTTATTGTTCAATACTGGTACCCCTGGTACTTCATATTAGCTTGATTTTAGTAGCTTCAGTAGAGTAATTGATTCATGTCTACCCATGTTTTTAAGTTATTCATGTCTACCCAAGATGGAAATTCTGTGAGGGTAGGCACCTTAAAATAAAATGCATGAATCTATAAATGAATAAAATGATGTTCTTGGTATAAAAGCACAAATTGATTGGTTAAAAACTGTGTCCTGATTCAGAAAGTAGAAGAAAATAGGGATTTTCTAAATCTAATCTTATTTCAGTTGCTATCGGGGGAAATTCAGCCAGATATCGGGTAAAATTCACCCCCGATATTTCACGTAGGTTCTTTTCTATCTTCCCTAAGTGTCGGCCAGTCTGAGAAATAAAGGGACAGAGTACAAAAGAGAGAAATGTTAAAGCTGGGTGTCCGGGGGAGACATCACATGTCGGCAGCTTCCGTGATGCCCCCTGAGCTGTAAAACCAGCAGGTTTTTATTAGTGATTTTCAAAAGGGGAGGGAGTGTATGAATAGGGTGTGGGTCACAGACATCACGTGCTGCACAAGGTAATAGAATATCACAAGGCAAATGGAGGCAGGGTAAGATCACAGGACCAGGGTGAAATTAAAATTGCTAATGAAGTTTCGGGCACACATTGTCATTGATAACATCTTATCAGGAGACAGGGTTTAAGAGCAGACAACCAGTCTGACCAAAATTTATTAGGCAGGAATTTCCTCGTCCTAATAAGCCTGGGAGTGCTACGGGAGACTGGGGCTTATTTTATCCCTACTGCTTCTACCATAAAAGACGGCTGCCCCCTGAAGCGGCCATTTTAGAGGCCTACCCTCAGGGACGCATTCTCTTTCTCAGGGATGTTCCTTGCTGAGAAAAAGAATTCAGCGGTATTTCTCCCATTTGCTTTTGAAAGAAGAGGAATATGGCTCTGTTCCATCTGGCTCACTGGCGGTCAGAGTTTAAGGTTATCTCTCTTGTTCCCTGAACATTGCTGTTATCCTGTTCTTTTTTCAAGGTGCCCAGATTTCATATTGTTCAAACACACATGCTCTACAAACAATTTGTGCAGTTAACGCAATCATCACAGGGTCCTGAGGCGGCATACATCCTCCTCAGCTTACGAAGATGATGGAATTAAGAGATTAAAGTAAAAACGGGCATAGGAAATCACAAGGGTATTGATTGGGGAAGTGATAAGTGTCCATGAAATCTTCACAATTTATGGTCAGAGATTGCAGTAAAGACAGGCATAAGAAATTATTAAAGTATTAATTTGGGGAACTAATAAATGTCCATGAAATCTTCACAATCCACATTCTTCTGCCATGGCTTCAGCCGGTCCCTCCGTTCAGGGCCCCTGACTTCCCACAACAAGTTGCAATGAGGGAGCCAGTTATATAAAGGAATCCAGCAACGAATCCTTTTTTTTTTTTTTTTTTTGAGGCAGGTCTTGCTCTGTTGCTCAGGCTAAAGTTCAGTGGCATGATCATGGCTCACTGCAGCCTCTACTTCCTGGGCTCAAGTGATCCTGGTCTCAGTCTCTTGAGTAGCTAGGAGTACAGGCACATGCCACCAGCCAATTAAAAAATTATTTTTTTTAAGAGACAGGGTCTTGCTATTTTGCCTGGGCTGCTCTCAGACTCTTGGCCCCAGTCAGTCCTCCTGCCTTGGCCTCCAAAAGTGCTGGGATTATAGGTGTGAGCCACTATGCCTGGCCAATGAATACTTTTGAAGAGCAGAAATCCTCTTCTAACTAAAGTTATTTCTTGCCTTATGTGTTTTAAAAATGAGAACTTTGTATATCAGATTTTAAGTTGGGCATAACTTTTCACTCCAAAATAATTAGAAGCATTGAACCAAGGAAAAAACAAGCATGACAAGTTATTTTTACAAATTTCTCATATTGCATGATTTTGCCCTCTTTACTCTCTTGCTAGTGATTTATGCTGTCCAACTTTTTTTTTTTTTTTTTTTTTTTTTGAGACAGAGTCTCACTCTGTCACCCAGCTGGAGTACAGTGGTGCAATCTGGGCTCACTGCAACCTCCACCTCCCAGGTTCAAGCGATTCTCCTGCCTCAGCCTCCTGAGTAGCTGGGATTACAGGCGCCCGCCACCATGCCTGGCTAATTTTTGTATTTTTAGTAGAGATGGGGTTTTGCCATGTTGACCAGGCTGGTCTCAAGCTCCTGACCTCAGGTGATCCGCCCACCTTGGCCTCCCAAAGTCCTGGGATTATAGGCATGAGCCACCATGCCCCGCCTACTGTCCAATTTATAATTAATAACAACATATTAGAAATAACTTACAGCTGGATACCCTTTTTATCTGGGGCAAATACTACACATGATAAGGTAGTTTCTACCTATCTACTCCTGGCAGTTAGACTGAGCCAATCAGATAGTTCTGCCCAGAGAGCTTACTCTTAAGGAAACAATTGGTGTTAGATTAGTTAGATTAGATGAAGTAGCTGTGGAATAGTTGTGAGTCTAGCAGTATGGTGGTAGGGAGTGAGGAAAAGTATTCAGTGGGTTAAGGGATATGGGACTGGAATACACGATATGGGATTTTTGCCATTCCTTGCCTCCTTTGGTTTCCTCTGGAGCCTGATTATCTATACGTCCACTGCTTCTGTGATTTGCCTGATTTCTTTGCAGTAATTTTCCTTTCTGTTAAAGTTTACTGGAGTTGGTTTCTGTTGTTTTAAACAAAGCGAGAAGAAGAAAAAACCAAGTACATGATTATGTGTCTGGGCAGATGATCATTATCAAGTTTACATGGGAGAGAGTAAAATATATATAAAATATATGTGGGAAAAATAGAAACAGTGCTGAAATAATTAGGTTGCTGAATTATAACCCAGTAGACTACATGAATTAATTTATGGTATGATACGAATAACTATGAATATATCATGTTGAAGCATTGTAGTTCATCTTTCACCTGATGGTCTTGTGTCCAAGAATGTTTGAATATTTAAAACTTTTCTGGCATCTTAAAATACGAGCCACTTCTAGTAATGGTGGAGTAGGTCATATTGAACTAATCCTTTTACAGAAAACCATGATAAATTCTGGACAAAATACAGAAAACCCACAACTCTCTGAAGGCACTGGAGAGTGACCATAGCAGGCATAAACTGAAAGGAAGTCTATACTTGGAAAGAGGGAGTATCACCGAATAAACAAAAATGAGGTTTTGTTGCCAGCAGACCTTCACTGCAAGAAATGCTAAAGGAAATTCTTCAGGCTGAAAGGAAATGATACCAGATGGAAACTTGGATCTGAGGAATGGAGAACTCCAGAAATGGTAAGTATATGGGTAAATATATTTATTTCTCTCAATTAAAAAAATGACTAAGTTTAAAAATTATAACATTCTTCTGTGAGGTTTGTGGCATATGTAAATATAGTACACTGATTTATTTTACACATGAGGAAAGTGACACATGGTAATGTTAAATAATTTACCCTGACCAGGCGCGGTGGCTTATGCCTGTAATCCCAGCACTTTGGGAGGCCGAGGCAGGCGAATCACGAGGTCAGGAGATCGAGACCATACTGGCTAACACGGTGAAACCCTGTCTCTACTGAAAAAAAAAAATACCAAAAATTAGCTGGACCTAGTGGCACGCACCTGTAGTCCCAGCTGTTCAGGAGGCTGAGGCAGGAGAATTGCTTGAACCAAGAGGCGGAGGTTGCAGTGAGCTGAGATCGTGCCACTGCACTCCAGCCTGGGTGACAGAATGAGACTCCACCTCAAAAAAAAAAGAAAAAAAAAATTTACCCAAAGTTTCATAAAGTGTAAGTGGCAGAGCAAGGATTTGAACACAGTGTGTCTAACTTCAGAGTTTATGCTCCAAGCTACTATATTATACCACCTCAGAAAATGAAAACTGAATTAAACTTCATGACTAGCATATGGCAAATAAAATACAATATATGAATAAACTAAATTAAAGTATTTGTCAAAAATATGAAATATGAGAAACATTTAATTCCCATCTCTAGTGTACTTGGCATTCTGTTTTTCCTACATATAATATATACACTTCAATTTCTCCCCTGTAAACATGATAATGATCATCTACCTAGATGTATCCCTGTGGTTAATCCCTAGGGCAGGTAATACCTATCCCAAGTTCATCATCCCTTGGCTTTATTTTGTCACTTAGCCCTTCCTTTGCTCTCACAACCCCTATTTTAATATGTTTGACTGGAAAACAAGAGCCAACAGCCTAGAGTAGGAAAGCTAAGGGAAAAGTTGATGAGGTGAAGGTTAAGGGGAGGATAGAAAAATCAGGCTATTCTTTGGTGGGGAAGGACATAAACATCCATCAAGTTCATAAAAATTCTCTGCGTTTTGTCCAGTTTGAGAATGCATGATAATACATATGTTTTCAGACCTTTTTTAAGTAGCAAAGAACCCTTTTTCCAAGTTAAATATTTCATTTTATTGCAGTGTATAAAACAAATATATTGTTTACACGGGTGTTTTTGTACTTTTACATTTATAAATATTTGCATCAAGTTAATGGGATTAGCCATTTTTTGAAAAAGGCCAAATTTGAAAATGAGAGTTGTGGATGTCAGTTGTGATTTTAGTCTCAGCACCCAGTTATTTCTGTAGTTTTAGTGAATAAGTATTGAGATAAGTGGTGAAAATGGCCCTACTAACAGAAGCAGGGAGCCAGTCATTCAACCACATCCTTAACCCCTTTTCTTGAGCTGTCTTTTGTGATTTTAACTATATATAGGTACTCAGGGTTCAAAGCATATGAGAGAGTCTGAAGGTGTTTTAAAACTACCCATTGGGGTACTTTCAATGCTATATATAGTCAGATAGTCCTTTCTGAGGGCTTCTAAGTAAACTGAAAATATGCTTGCTAGCCCCATCTACCAGGATACAGCAAATTTCATGTAGGTGGGGAATTTGGGGGGAAATAGTTATCAACACAGTGTTAACTGGCTACTTGATTCTGCATGTCAGTGGTAGCTCTGACCCACTGAGCCCTTGCCCACGTGAGTTAGCAAATGTTTGTGAGGAAATTGAGTACAGGCTCCCAGCACTAAAGCTATAGAAGGAAGAAAGCCAGGTGTTCAATATCAGGTAGGATAGTGCTTGTAATCTTTGGACCTTCCCGTCTTTTTTTTGAATGACATTGCTTCCTTGGGCTTTCCCATTTTGCTGGATCTTTCTTTTTTGCATTGGTGACATAGTATAGCTTTAGCTAGATATATGTGAAACAACACATAACATATATAAGGCCAAAGGAAAAAAAAATACATGTATCTGCTCTCCAGCTTAAGAAATAGAACATTAACAGTGCTTTTGAATCACCTACAGATCCCTTCCCAATTGCATTCTTCTTTTTCCTCACCAGTGATAACCATTGTCTCAAGTTTTTAGTTAATTATTCTCTTGGTTTTCTTCATAGACTTTTCATTTGTATTCTAAATAGAAGGTTTCATTTTGATCATTTTTGAATTTTATAGAAATTAGCGTTTTTCTGCAGCTTGTTTCTTTGTTCAACATTGTTTTTGAGAGTCATCTATGTTGTTTTCTACCTTATACTTTATTTGTTCTCCATTTTCCATTTAATGATATTTAGGTTGTTTCCAGTTTTTAACTATTTCTAACATTGGTACTATGAAAAATAAAGTAGAGATTCCTCTTCAAAGACTTTCCTCCCCATTTAATTAGGAATAAATAGTAACTTCTCTTAGAAGCAAAATTTGTTCAAAGACCTGTGCTAACATTCTTAAATATCTGCTAGCCGTGATAAAGAAATCAGTGTACTTTATGTTGTTAGCTCTCACAATTTAGCCTAAATATTTGCCCTGGCATGCTTATACTGGTCCAAGCAAGCATTAAGTCATAGCCTGTTTCTCTTCCTTATTTGAAGGTGTTTTTACCTTTCTTAGCATTCCACAAGTTACTTCCTCCTTCCTTTGTTCTCCTCTGCCTTTGCCTCTTTTAACAAGTTCTAAGTTGCTAGCCAGTCGGGACAAATACAAAATGTGAGGTCCCATTCCAGCCAATGGAAACTGGACACAGCAGTAGGGTGGACGCATCAGGTTATAAATGACCCTGTCTCCTTTGTTTGGTGTACTCTCGTGGCAAAACTGCTGGTGAGTGTACCCTTTCTGCAGGAAGTAAAAATGGCCTTGCTGAGTAAATTAAATTTATGTTCAAGTGCTATTTCTTTACGGCAGTGGGAAACAAGCGTTTCAAATAGTACTATGTGCACTTTTATAAATATCTCCCATTACAAATGAGAGGCTGTTGTGGAATTTTTAGAGCTCTTTAGAGAGAGAGGTTTTTTTTTGTTTTTTTTTTTAGGAATTTATTCAGCATTTATAGTCAGAGACTTCTTCCTTCTTTCTAACCTAAAGTAGTTATATTACTCTTAAACTTGTTTCCTTTTATTCTAGAAGGCATAGTAGTTGAACTAGATTGCTTGGGTTAAAAATTCCCAGCTCTCTCATGTTTGTTTAGTCTAGGGCAAGCTAATTAATCTCTCTGACCTTGTGCCTTCACCTGCAAACAACCTCATATGGCTGTCATAAGGATCATTGAATTAATATATGTAAGTGCCTGAAACATGGCAAACTTTCAGTAAATGTTAGCTCTTATTATTCTTAATCTACCCATAATGGAAGTGGAAAAAGCTGTCATTATTTTTTATGGGATACCCATTTGTACACTTAAATTCAGTACTCCTCAACCCTATTCTAAATTCAAAGACATACTTATTGGATTTTAATTCAAATTATATCAAAATGAGGTATATAAAAAATTATTTATTCAATGAGTTTAATATCTACTGGATGCCTGGCATCGTGAAAGGCACTGGCCAAACAATGGTCAACTAAATTGACATGGTTTCTGCCCTTAAGAAACATCAGAGTCTAACAGAGAATAAAGATCAAAAAAAATACACAAATATCGAATTTCAAACTGTTATTAGTGCTATGAAAATAAAGAATATGGGCTATGAAGGGGAAAAAAACAAGGGATGTCTACTTTAGAGGGAAGGATTGGGGAACGCCTCTTTTAGCAACTGATATTTAAACTGTAACTGTAGCTAAGTAGGGGGAAAAGTGCTTCTTACAGAGGGATCAGCATGTGTCCAGCTCCTCAGGTGGGAGAGAGCCTGGCGTATTGGGGGCTCAAGAGAAGCTAGAGAGGCTAGAGCTTAGTGAACAAAGTGGGAGCTGCATGAAGTTAAGTTGAGAGTGTGATATAATGGGAAATGAAATATATACTTGGTCTTTGTTCTTGGTTTTTAGCACATAGCTTCTAAAACCCTTGCAATCTCTGCAGTTGATAAGAATGTCTTTTGTATGCTAAGATGACTGGTGGCTGGGGGTCCCTAGATAGTTTTGGAATGGGGGCTGGTAGCCAGAAAGACCAAGGGAAGGATAGGGTTTGAATTTTCAGCCCCACTCCCTGACCTCTAGGGGAGGGGAGAGGGGCTAGAGGTTGAGTTCAGTCAGCAATGTCCAGAGATTTAATTATTCACGCCTATTAATGAAACCTTTAACGCCACTAAATAACAGAGTTCAGAGCTTCTGGGTTGGTGAACACATTGCAGTGCTGGGAGGGTGGCAAGCCAGTAGAAGGCATAGAAGCCCTGTCCTAACCTTTCTCCCCACAACCACACCACCCCCGACCTCAACTCCACCCGACCCCTGCTGCCATTTGCCCTGTGCATCTCTTGCATTTGGCTGTTGCTAAGTTGTATTCTTTATGATAAACTGGTAACAGTAAGTAAGGTTCCTTTCTGAGTTCTATGAGCCATTCTAGCAAATTACAGAACCTGAGGAGGGGGTCGTGGGAACCCTTGAATATATAGCTAGTCAGTCATAAGTATCAGCAACAACATGGGACTTGCAACCAATATCTGAAGTGAGGACAGTCTTGTGGGACTGAGCTCTTAAACCTGTAGAGTCTGTTGCTAATTCTGGATATTGTCAGGATTGAACTGAATTGTAAGACATCCAGTTGGTGTCCAGAGAATTGGAGAATTGCTTGGTGTGGACAACCTCCACACATTTGGTGTCAGAAGTGTGAACCCAGAAAATCTGAGACAGGTCTCAGTTAATTTAGGAAGTTTATTTTGCCAAGGTTGAGGACGCGCCTGTGACACAGCTTCAGGAAGTCCTGACAACATGTGCCCAAAGTGGTCACAGCACAGCTTAGTTTTACACATTTAGGGAGACATGAGACATCAATCAATACAAGAAAGAAGTACATTGGCTCAGTCTGGAAAGGCAGGACAACTTGAAGCAAAGGCAGGACGACTAGAAGTGGGGAGAGCTTCCAGGTCACAGATAGGTGAGACACAAATGGTTACATTCTTTTGAGTTTCTAATTAGCTTTTCCAAAGGACGCAAATCAGATATCCATCTATCTCAGTGAGCAGAGGAGTGACTTTGAATTGAATGAGAGGCAGGTTTGCCCTAAGCAGCTTCCAGCTTGAGTTTTCTTTGGTGATTTTGGGGGACCAAGATATTTTCTTTTCACAGACGTATAAAAACAGATCAGAGTGGTACATTCAAGGTCCTGCAAACCAAGTAAAGGGAAATGGATGGGAATTCTCGGAGAATTTGAGGTTGGAGAAGAGAAGGATCCATTTTATATCTTAAAGGATCTGTCTGTAGCATAGAGAAAGTACTGAGTATAGATGAGTTAGGAGACTGTAATAGATTGTTGAGGTAGAAGATGATGGTGGCAGTGGATATAAAACTAGACATTCAGAAATATTTAGGATATAGAATAGACAGGACTGGGCGATGGCTATATATGTACCTGCAGATGGTGAGAGAGAGGGAGATGTCAAGGATAAGAGTTTTGACTAATCAATCTCCTTTGCAAAGTTTTAAATTGTGTTTGTGGTTTTTTATTCAACCTGCTCAGGTTTACAACTTTTCTCTTTAGTTATATAACCTATAATATAATTCAGTATTTTTTCAAAAATAGAGGCTTAACTAATGTGGGATTCCAGGTTATATATGGTGATTTCCTGCTTGCTTTTTAAGATTATCTATCAATATAGTAATTTATTCATTAATTCCTTGAGAATTTACATTTAGCAAGGCATTGGTAAGATACAATGATTCAGAAGTGAATTGAATGAAAGCACAATGCTCAACCACTGACACCTTATTTTTCTCAGTGACTCCTTGATGTTTTATTATACTATAATTCATATCCTATAGAGTTTAAATATTTCTTTAATTTTCTAAGGTTATTTAAAATACATACCTGTGTATTTTCAAGGTGTATATCTCCAGCTTATATTCTGTTGGTTCTGACCAACAGTCATCCATACATTTATTCAAACTCGTATTGAAGCGAATTGAATTTTCAGTCTATGTATTCATAACAAATTCATAAGTTTTATAAAAAATAACGCATTACTTTTTTTGGTCTTAAAACAATATCCTGCAAGCTTTGAAGGTTGAAAATTTTAAGTCTAATAATCTGGGATTTGATAATCATTCTGTGTTCAGCCTTTTCATGACCTTAATGCTTTAGGATAAATCTTGTTTTGCTTTCATCATTCTGGACAGTAGTCTGATCTTTTTAAAAAGTGCAGTTTTGGCCAGGTGCCATGACTCACGCCTGTAATCCCAGCACCTTTGGAGGCCAAGGCGGCAGATCATGAGGTCAGGAGATCAAGACTATCCTGGCTAATATGGTGAAACACCATCTCTACTAAAAATACAAAAAATTAGCCAGGTATGGTGGCACGCGCCTGTAATACTGACAACTCGGGAGGCTGAGGCAGTAGAATTGCTTGAACCTGGGAGGTGGAGGTTGCAGTGAGCCAAGATCGTGCCACTGCACTCCAACCTGGGCGACAGAGCAAGACTCTGTCTCAAAAAAAAAAAAAAAAAGGTGCAGTTTTAAGCTTTAGTAACATCACAAGTATAAATACTATAGATTTAGAAAGAACATCATTTGAAACTTTAATTATTTACATTTGTTTTATAGTCATTTATCTTTGTTAATTTTGAATAACGAAATTTTAACTTTGATTTTTCATTTCAGTTGATTGAAGATCAGCAAACATTGAAAAAAAGTTAATTGTGCTATCTGGTTAGCCGAACTCAAACTCACGATGACAGAAACAAGAAAACTCACTTCCTGTCGTAAGAAGGAGGTTCCCCACAGACATTGAATTAACAACTGGATGAAAACTTCAAGGAAACTGGGTCCATAGTTCACAACAAGCCTAGATCTGGGAGATGCCAGCAAGCAGAAAAACTGTGGCTGAAATTGAGGCAGTGTTAGCAGAGTCCCAAAAGCATGCACTGCACATTTGCTGAATTGAATATTCCAAAACCACAGGTTACAGAATTCTAACAGTGAAATTCCGAAGCATACCTAAATGTATAAATGCTACAAGTTAACCAGGCTGAACTTGGCTTCTGTCATCTAATGAAATGAGAAAATGAAATTTCCAAAAATATTCTTGACAAGTTGACCCTTATAATGAAGCACCTTTCCACCTAAGTGACAGTGTTTTCTGTCAAAAGTACTTCGTTTTATGTACAGAGAAGCCACCAAAGTTTAGCAACATGAGAATCCCCAAAAGTTAATGTTTGGTGGGCCATTAAGGAATCTTGCATTACCAGCCCTCCATTTTTATTGTGATATAATTCATATACCCTAAAACTCACCCTTTTAAAGTGTACAATTTAATAGTTTTTAGTATACTCAAAAGTTTGCCACCATCGCCACTGTCTTAGCCCATTTTCTGTTGCTAGAACAGAATACCTGAGAGTGGGTAGTTTATAAAGTGAAGAAATTTATCTCTTACAGTTCTGGAGGCTGACAAGCCCAATTTCAAGGGGCTGCATGAAGGATGAAGTCCTTCTTGCTGTGTGGTAGAAGGCATCATATGGTGAGAAACAGGGAGTGTGTTTTCTTTCTCTTTTTTAAGGCCACAGTCCTTTTGCACTAGGGATCTACCCTTATGACCTCAATTTAACCTGAATTGCCTCCTAAGAACCTATCTTAAGGGATACATTGAAACCATAGCAACCACTATCTAATTGAGAACATTTTTATCAACCCAAAAAGCAGGCCTATATGCATTAGTAGTCATTCCCCATTTCTCCCTCCCTGCAGTCCCAGCAAGTAATCTACTCAGTGTCTCTATGGATTTGCCCCATCTACACATTTCATATATATGAAATTATACAATATGTGGCTTTATGTGTCTATTGGCTTTTTCTTTTTGAAGAACCTCTAATCAGTGATAAATTTTACTTGGCAGTGCTTCCGTATTTTTTCATTTCCATACTACAGTGGTTATTCCATTAAATGATGCTATTTTTCAACAAGCAGAGGACTTGTTATACGTTCCATATGTGGCATTTTCTGGATGACACTTTTTCAGACTAGTGAATTAGTAGTAGAAGAGATCGTGTTGCTTGCTGTTCTGTGTCTCACTTGTTCTATTAACATTACAATTTTTTGATGGAGTTATGTTAAAACTGTCGTATATGCATCAAAACCTTGTTCTTTGGATGGTCTTAAGACTAGAATTAGAAATGCAATCCTTTCAGTCATTGCACCAGCAGTGGGCTGTATGTATGTATGTATGTATGTGTGTGTGTATTTGTGTGTATACCTACATATATTTCCTACCTCTGATCTCTGAGAGGACTTAGAAGCAATGACAGTCTAGTAGCAGTGAGCACACTAGTGTCCACATCTCTATTTTTAACTATCATTTTCCACTAAAAGGGTTCAGGGCCTCTTAGAGAAATAGCTTGCTGTGCCAGAAAACAATGAAATGTTGAGAGAATGATAAAACCATGTCAAAAGCACACAGGAGCAAGCTTGAAGGAACTCCAGTGGCCAAATCTGGGACATTTTGAATGTCAGAATAAATAATAATACATTTAACTCATTAAGTAAGTTGAAATTCACAAGTACATACATGAAATTTATAAATAAGTTTCAATTGGAAAGCTCTACCTTACAGTATAATACCAACTTATGTAGAAAAATGTTGGAATTAGAAAATCATCTTTGGCAATTCTCATAGTAATAATTTATTTGGGCAGAATCATCAGTGGATTCTGTAACTGGTAGGTGAAATTTTTGTTGGAAATTTTTTATTTTTAAAAATTTTATTATTTTTAAAGTTTTAAGTTCCAGGATACATATGCAGGATGTGCAGCTTTGTTACAAATGTGTGCCATGGTTGCACCTATCAACCCATCACCTAGGTATTAAGCCCCACATGCATTAGTTATTTATCCTGGTACACTCCCTCCCACCACAACCCCCGACAGGCTCTACCCAGTGTGTGTTGTTCCCCTTCCTGTGTCCATGTGTTCTCATTGTTCAGCTCCCACTTATAAGTGAGAATATGTGGTGTTTGGTTTTCTGTTCCTGTGTTAGTTTGCTGAGGATAATGGCTTCTGGCTTCATCCATGTCCCTGCAAAGGACATGATCTTGTTCCTTTTTATGGCTGCATGCTATTCCTGGCATACATGTGCCACATTTTCTTTATCCAGTCTATCATTGATGGGCATTTGGACTAATTCCATGTTTTTGCTATTGTGAATGGTGCTGCAGTGGAAATACATTTGCATGTATCTTTATAACAGAATGATTGATACTCCTTTTGGTATATACCCAATAATGAGATTGCTAGGTCAAATGGTATTTCTGGTTCTAGATCTTTGAGGAATCATCACACTGTTTTTCACAGTGGTTGAACCAATATGCATTCCCACCAACAGTGGAAAAGCTTTCCTGTTGCTCCACAGCCCCGCCAGCATCTGTTGTTTCTTGACTTTTTAATTACTGCCATTCTGACTGGCAAGAGATGGTATCTCATTGTGGTTTTGATTTGCATTTCTCAATGATTAGTGATGTCTAGCTTTTGTTCACATGTTTGTTGGCTGCATAAATGTCCTCTTTTGAAAAGTGTCTCTTCATGTCCTTTGTCCACTTCTTAGTGGGGTTGTTTTTTTCTTGTAAATTTATGTTCCTTGTAAATTCTAGATATTAGACCTTTGTCAGATGGATAGATTGCAAACTTTTCCCATTCTGTAGGTTGTTTGTTCACTCTGATGATAGTTTCTTTTGCTATGCAGAAGCTCTTTAGTTTCATTAGATCCCATTTGTCAATTTTTGCTTTTGTTGCAACTGCTTTTTTTTTTTTAATTATTATTTGAGATGGAGTCTGGCTCTGTTGCCAGGCTGGAGTGCAGTGGCATGATCTTGGCTCACTGTAACCTCCGCCTCCCGGGTTCAAGCAATTCTCCTGCCTCAGCCTCCCGAGCAGCTGGGACTACGGGTGTGTGCCACCACGCCCAGCTGGTTTTTTGTATTTTTAGTAGAGACAGTGTTTCACCATGTTAGCCAGGATGGTCTCAATCTCCTGACCTCATGATCCGCCTACCTCGGCCTCCCAAAGTGCTGGGATTAGAGGCGTGAGCCACCGTGCCTGGCCTGCAACTGCTTTTGACATTTTCATTGTGAAATCTTTGTCCATGCCTATGTCCTGAATGGTTTTGCCTAGATTTTCTTCTAGGGTTTCTGTAGTTTTGGGTTTTACATTTAAGTTTTTAATTCATCTTGAGTGAAATTTTGCATAAGGTGTAGGAAAGGGGTCCAGTTTTAGTTTTTCTGCATATGGCTAGCCAGTTCTCTCAGCACCATTTATTTATTATACTTTAAGTTCTAGGGTACATGTGCACAACGTGCAGGTTTGTTACATATGTATGCATGTGCCATGTTGGTTTGCTGCACCCATCAACTGGTCATTTACATTAGGTATTTCTCCTAATGCTATGCCTCCCCCAGGCCCCTACCTCCCAACAGGCCCCAGTGTATGATGTTCCCCTCCCTGTGTCCATGTGTTCTCATTATTCAACTCCCACCTATGAGTGAGAACATGCAGTGTTTGGTTTTCTGATCTTGTGATAGTTTGCTGAGAATGATGGTTTCCAGCTTCATCTATGTCCCTGCAAAGGACATAAACTCACCCTTTTGTATGGCTGCATAGTATTCCATGGTGTATATGTGCCACATTTTCTTAATCCGGTCTATCATTGATGGACATTTGGGTTCGTTCCAAGTCTTTGCTATTGTGAATAGTGCCACAATAAACGTATGTGTACCTGTCAACAGCATTTATTAAATAGGGAATCCTTTTCCCATTGCTTATTTTTGTCAGGTTTGTTGAAGATCAGATGGTTGTAGATGTGTGGTCTTATTTCTGAGATCTCTATTCTGTTGCATTGATCTATGTGTCTGTTTTTGTACCAGTACAATGCTGTGTTGGTTACTGTAGCCTTGTAGTATAGTTTGAGGTCGGGTAGCATGATACCTCCAGCTTTGTTCTTTTTGCTTAGGATTATCTTGGCTATACACACTTTTTTTTGGTTCCATATGAATTTTATTTTATTTTATTTTATTTTCTTGCGACGGATTTTTGCTCTTGTCACCCAGGCTGGAATGAAATGGTGCGATCTTGGCTCACTGCAAGTTCCACCTCCCAGCTTCAAGCGGTTCTCCTGCCTGAGCTTCCCAAATAGCTGGGATTACAGGCATGCGACACCACGCCTGGCTAATTTTTTTTGTAGTTTTAAGAGACAGGGTTTGGTCAGGTTGGTCTCGAACTCCTGACCTCAGGTGATCCACCTGTCTTGGCCTCCCAAAGTGCTGTGATTACAGGTGTGAGCCACCATGCCTGGCCCCATATGAATTTTAAAGTAGTTTTTCTAATTCTGTGAAGAATGTCAATGGCAGTTTAATGGGAATAACATTGAATCTATAAATTACTTTGGGCAGTATGATCATTTTCATGATATTGATTCTTCCTATCCATGAGCATGGAATGTTTTTCCATTTGTTTGTGTCCTCTCTGATTTCCTTAAGCAGTGGATTGTAGTTATCCTTGAAGAGGTCCTTCACTTCCCTTGTTAACCATTATGTTAAATATTCCTAGATATTTTACTTCCTTTATAGCAGTTGTGAATGGGAGTTCACTCATGATTTGGCTCTCTGCTTGTCTATTGTTGGTGTATAGGAATGGTTGTGATTTTTGCACATTGATTTTGTATCTTGAAACTTTGCAGAAGTTACTTATCAGCCTAAGACACTTTTGGGCTGAGGTGAAGGGGTTTTCTAGATATAGGATCATGTCATCTGCAAACAGAGACAGTTTGACTTCCTCTCTTCCTATTTGAATACCCTTTATTTCTTTCTCTTGCCTGATTGCCCTGGCCAGAAATTCCAATACTATGTTGAATAGGAGTGGTGAGAGAGGGCATCCTTGTCTTGTGCTGGTTTTCAAAGGGAATGCTTCCAGCTTTTGCCCATTCAATATAATATTGGCTGTGGGTTGTCATAAATCGCTATTATTTTGAGATAGATTCCATCAATACCTAGTTTATTGAGAGTTTTTAACATGAAGGGATGTTGAATTTTATCAAAGGCCTTTTCTGCATCTATTGAGATAATCATGTGGTTTTTTTCTTTAGTTCTGTTTATGTGATGAAATACTGATTTGCATATGTTGAACCAGCCTTGCATTCCAGGAATGAAGCTGACTTGATCGTGGTGGATAGGCTTTTTGATGTGCTGCTGGATTCGGTTTGCCAGTATTTTATTGAGGATTTTTGCATTGATGTTCATCAGGGATGTTGGCCTGAAATTTTCTTTTTTTGTTGTATCTCTGCCAGGTTTTGGTATCAGGATGATGCTGGCATCATAAAATGAGTTAGGGAGGAGTTCCTCCTTTTCAGTTGTTTGGAATAGTTTTAAAAGAAATGGTACTAGTTCCTCTTTGTACCTGTGGTAGAGTTCAGCTGTAAATTCATTTGGTCCTGGCGTTTTTTTGGTTGGTAGGCCATTTGTTGCTGCCTCAATTTCAGAACTTGTTATTGGTCTGTTTAGGGATTCAGCTTCTTCCTGGTTCAGTCTTGGGAGGGTGTATGTGTCCAGGAATTTATTCATTTCTTCTAGATTTTCTAGTTTATTTGCGTAGAGGTGTTTATAGTATTCTCCGATGTTTGTATTTTTGTGGGGTCAGTGGTGAGCTCCCCTTTATCATTTTTTATTCTATTTGATTATTCTCTCTTTTCTTTTTTCTTTTTCTTTTTTTTTTTTTTTTTTGAGACAGAGTCTCACTCTGTTGCCAGGCTGGAGTGCAGTGGTGCGGTCTCAGCTCACTGCAACCTCTGACACCCTGGTTCAAGCAATTCTCCTGCCTCAAGCCTCCCAAGTAGCTGGGATTACAGGCACGCACCACCACGCCCAGCTAATTTTTGTATTTTTAGTAGAGACGGGGTTTCCCTGTGTTGGCCAGGCTGGTCTCAAACTCCTGACCTCAAGATCTGCCCGCCTCACCCTCCCAAAGTGCTGGGATTACAGACGTGAGCCACCACGCCTGGCCTCTTTTCTTCTTTATTAGTTTAGCTAGCCGTCTATTTTGTTAATTTTCAAAAAACCAGCTACTGGATTCATTGATTTTTTTTTTTAAGAGGTTTTTATGTCTCTTATCTCCTTCAGTTCTGCTCTGAACTTGGTTATTTCTTGTCTGCTTTGATTCTCTAGCTCTTTTAGTTGTGATGTTATGGTGTTGATTTGAGATCTTTCTAGCTTTTTGATGTGGGCATTTAGTACTATAAATTTCCCTTATGACACTGCTTCAGCTGTGCCCCAGAGATTCTGTTATGTTTTCTCTTTGTTCTCTTTGGTTTCAAAGAACTTCTTGATTTCTGTCTTAATTTCATTATTTACCCAGGAGTCATTCAGGAGGAGGTTGTTCAATTTCCATGTAGTTGTATGGTTTTGAGTGAGTTTCTTAATCTTGAGTTCTAATTTGATTGCACTGTGGTCTGAGAGACTGTTTTTATAATTTCACTTCTTTTGCATTTGCTGAGGAGTGTTTTACTTTCAATTATGTGATAGATTTTAGAGTAAGTGAATGTGGCACCGAGAAGAATGTGTATTCTGTTGTTTTTGGGTGGAGTGTTCTATAGATGTCTGTCAAGTCTACTTGATCCAGAGCTGAGCTCAAGTCCTGAATATCCTCGTTAATTTTCTGTCTAATATTGACAGTGGGGTGTTAAAGTCTCTAGCTGTTATTGTGTGGGAGTCTAAGTCTCTTTGTAGGTCTCTAAGAGCTTATTTTGTGAATCTGGGTGCTCCTGTATTGGGTGCATATATGTTTAGGATAGTTAGCTTTTCTTGTTGAATTCAACCCTTTACCATTATGTAATGCCCCTTCTTTGTCTTTTTTGGTCTTTGTTGGTTTAAAGTCTGTTTTGTGAGAAACTAGAATTGCAACCCCTGCTTTTTTTGCTTTCCATTTGCTTGGTAAATTTTCCTTCATCGTTTTATTTTGAGCCTTTGTGTGTCTTTGCACGTGAGATGGGTCGCTTGAATACAGCACACTGTTGGGGTCTTGATTCTTTATCTAGCTTGTCATTCTGTGTCTTTTAATTGGGGGCATTTAGTCCATTTACATTTACGGTTAAATGAGTGAATTTGATTCTGTCATTGTGATGCTAGCTAGTTATTTTGCAGACATGTTGTAGTTGCTTCATAGTGTCATTGGTCTTTGTACTTCAGTGTGTTTTTGTAGTGGTTGATAACGTTCTTTCCTTTCCATATTTAGTGCTTCCTTTAGGAGCTCTTGTAAGGAAGGCCTGGTGGTGATGAATTCCCTCAGCATTTGCTTATCCAAAAAGGATTTTATTTCCCCTTCACTTATGAAGCTTAGTTTGGCTGGATATGAAATTCTGGGTTGGAAATTCTTTTCTGTAAGAATGTTGAATATTGGCCCCCAATCTCTTCTGGCTTGTAGGGTTTCTGCTGAGAGGTCTGCTGTTAGTCTGATGGGCTTCCCTTTGTAGGTGACCTGGCCTTTCTCTCTGGCTGTCCTTAACATTTTTTCCTTCATTTCGACCTTGGAAAATCTGATGATTATGTGTCTTGCGGTTGATCTTTTCATGGAGTATCTTACTGGTGTTCTGAAAACTAAAAAAGCCAGAGTGCCTCTTCTCTTCCGAAAGATTTCAACACCTCTTCAGCAAGGGCACAGAACTGGATGGAGGCTGAGATGAATGAATTGACAGAAATAGGCTTCAGAAGGTGGGTAATAACAAATTTCACTGAGCTAAAGGAGCATGTTCCAACCCAATGCAAAGAGGCTAAATTTGAATGTTGGTCTGCTTTGCTAGTTTGGGGACATTCTCCTGGATTATATCCTGAAGTATGTTTTCCAACTTGGTTCCATTCTCCTTATCTCTTTCAGGTACCCCAATCAATCGCAGGTTCGGACTTTTTACATAACCCCATAGTTCTTGGAGGTTTTGTTCGTTCCTTTTCATTCTTTTATCTCTAATCTTGTCTGCCTTTCTTATTTCAGCAAGATAGTCTTCAAGCTCTGAAATTCTTTCCTTCACTTGGTCTATTTGGCTGTTAATACTTGTAGTTGATTTGTGAAGTTCTCATGTTACGTTTTTCAGCTCCATCAGGTCATTGATGTTCCTCTCTAAACTGGTTATTCTGGTTAACAGCTGCTGTGATGTTTTCTCATGGTTCTTAGCTTCTTTGCAGTGGATTAGAGCATGCTCCTTTAGCTTAGAGAAGTTTGTTATTACTTACCTTCTGAAGCTTACTTCTGTCAATTCATCCATCTCAGCCTCCATCCAGTTCTGTGCCCTTGCTGGAGAGGATTATTTGGAGACGAGGCACTCTGGCTTTTTTATTTTTCAGCATTTTTTTCACTGATTCTTTCTCATCTTTGTGAGTTTGTCTAGCTTCAATCTTTGAGGCTGCTGACCTTTGCATGGGGTTTTTTGGGGACTTTTTTTGTTGATGCTGTTGTTGTTGTTGTTCCTTTCTGTTTGTTTTTCTTTTAACAGTCAGACCCCTCTTCTGTAGGGCTGCTGCAGCTTGCTGGGGGTCCACTCCAGACTCTGTTTTCCTGGGTCCCTCTCACACTGGAGATGTCACCAGTGGAGGCTGCAGAACAACAAAGATGGCTGCCTGCTCCATCCTCTGGGATTTCCATCCCAGAGGGGCACCGACCTGATCCAGTGGGAATGCTCCTGTATAAGGTGTCCTGCAACCCCTGTTGCGGGGGGGTCTCACCTAGTCAGGAGGCACGGGATCCGGGACCCACTTAACCAAGCACTCTGGCTGCCCCTTGGCAGAGAGGGTGTGCTGCACTGGGGGGAATCCCACTGGCCTGGACCGCCTGGATTCTCTAGAGACAGCAGGGGAAAAACTAAGTCCGCTGATCTACGGAGATCATGGCTGCCTCTCCCTGCAGGGGTACAGTCCCAGGGAGACCAGAGTTCTGCCCATAAACCCCTGGCTAGAGTTGCTGAAATTCCCTCAGGGAGGTCCCCCCAGCTAGTGAGGAGGGATGGGTCAGGGTCCGGCCTCAAGAGGCAGTCTGGCCACAATCTGCCACAGGCACTGTGCTATGCTGTGAGGAATTCCTCCCGTGTCCAAACTGCCCAGTCTCCTTGGCACTGGCAGGGGAAAAATAGCAGACCAGAGCTGCAATGATGGCTGCCGCCCCTCTCCCTGGGAACTTGGTAGTCTTAGGCAGTCTCCAGCCAAGTGGCTGTAAAGAATCTGCACATCTCTGTGCGTTAGACTAAGGCCCTGCTGGCATGAGCTCATGAGGGGATCTCCTAATTTGTGGACTGCTCAGATCTGTGGAAAAAGTGTGGTTTCTTGGGCAGGGTAGCACAATTTCTCACCCCCTCTTGGCTGAGGGGTGGGAGCTTCCTTTCCCCCATGTAGCTCCCAGGTGGGCTGTCACACCACCCTGCTTTTCCTCAGTCTCCATGGGTCTCACCAGCTGCCTAGTCAGTCCCAGTGAGAGAACCTGGATACCTCAGTTGTTGGTTCAGGACTCAATCACCATTTTTGTTCTTCTCAGTAGTAGGTGAAATTTTGATGAGGAGGATACTTGCATAATTTCATAATATCTGCCCACAAAATATTTATTAATCTTTTTTTTTTTTGAGACGGAGTTTCGCTTTGTTACCCAGGCTGGAGAGCAATGGCGCAATCTTGGCTCACTGCAACCTCCGCCTCCTGGGTTCAAGTGATTCTCCTGCCTCAGCCTCCAAAGTAGCTGGGATTACAGGTGCCTGCCATCATACCCAGCTAATTTTTTGTATTTTTAATAGAGATGGGGTTTTGCCACGTTGGCCAGGCTGGTCTCGAACTCCTGACCTCAGGTGATCAAGTACAACATATTTATTAACTGGGGGAAATCATGGTAGACACCAATTTACCAAGTGACATAAGTTGCCAACCCCAATAATGGGACAAGTTGACATTGTGTGCCTCCTGATATAATGAACCTAGAAGAGCATGGCATCATTTCTGCAGTATTCTTGCCAAAAATACATAAGCCACATCTAATTCCAAGGAAACATAAGAAAAATTCAAAGCGAAGAAACTTCTATAAAGTAACCAGCTTTATGCATCAGAAATGTCAAAATCAAGAGACAGCAGGAAGTGTTCCAAATTGAAGTGGACCAAAGAGACATAACAGTGAAATGCAAAGCATGATCCTGAATTGGATCTAAACATTATTGGAACAATGGGTGAAACTGGCATTTGGTCTCTGGTTTAAATGGTAAAATTGTGTTGATAGTAAATTATTAATTTTGATGGTTGTACTGTGGTTATGTGAAAGAGTGTCCTTGGTTTTAGGAAATACACACTGACATATCAAGGGGTAATGGAGCATTGTGTCTGCAACTTAATTTCAAATGGCTTGAAATAAATTTGTGTGTGTTTGTGTGTATAAGAGAATGTTAAATTGAATGAGGTAAAATGTTAATTGGGGAATCTGGGTCAAGGGTATAGAGGAGTTTTTTTTAAAAATCATTTTTGCAACACTTCCATTAACTTGAAATTATTTCACAGCAAAGCTAGAAAAACAACCCTCTTTTCTTCTAAAATTGAATATCCCTATGACCCAATTCACATTGAATGCTCTACTTACCAAGAAAAAAGTTTTTTTTTTTTTAAAAGCATCAGATTGATGTAAAGGTGAGCTTAAATATTTACACAAAATAGAAGAATGGAAAATTATGTCTTGAATATGTTGAGGTCAACATGAGACATGTTGATATTTTAAATCTTGAAAAAAATACCCTGCACTCCAAAATGCATAAATCATTTCCAAACAGAGATGAATTGAGGAAAAATAGCATCCTGGAGGACAAAACACCTCAGGCATTCATCCCCTGACCTAACCAAATGACAGATCTTGAAGCAACTTCAAAGCTGCAAAAATAACTGGCTCTAACACGTACCAGGATCGGGAGGATGGGCGGGAAATACTTCCCACAACCTTGAAATAAATGATTAGTTCAAAGAGAATAAAAGAAAATGTTGTATCATATTTCATAAATGGAATTTAACAGTTGAAGAGTTCACATTACTCATTTGTAATTTTATTATTCCTTGGCAAAAGCTCGTAAAATTAAATCAAGCTTATTTTTATATCAGTTCTTCCTCTCTCCCCCTTACAGTGGTGTGGGGAGAACTAAACACTTAAAAAATACTGTTGCTTTCCCCAAGTGTCAGTGAGTCTGTTGGATGCTTTTCCTTCAGTGCCATCAGGCCCAGAGAGGTTAAATTTCATTTCATAATTCTTAGTTTGGCATGCAAGGCCTTCTGTAGTTTAGTGGTAACCTATCTAACTTTTCTTAACTTCACTGCTTAGTAGAAATCACCTTTAGACACACTTGTATTTATTTTACGCTGAAAACAATCTTTGGTTTTTATTATGTGTGATTCTCTTATCTCTGTTATTTTCTAAAAGTTTGCTACTCATCTGACAAAACACAGGTTCTATTCCTTCCAAGAAGCTGTTTCTAATCACTGCTGGTCCCTAATGATTTCTCTGTATTAAGTGATTTATAGCTTTTTTGTTAGTGCCTTTTATTTGGCATTTAGTCACACATTTCCTATCAAATATCCTGTATTATTGTTCTGCTGTTTGTATCTGTGTCCTTTGTCTTCTCAACTAATTTGTAAACCCTAAAAGAAGAGATACCCAGCATCACGCAATATACCCATATAACAAACCCACACATGTACCCCCTGCATTTAAAAGTTGAAATAAAAAAAAGAGGAGATACTGTGTTTATACCTTATAATCTTCCTGACAGTGTCTAGCTATTTTTTAAGTTGAATTACTTCTTTATTACTTTTTAAAATGCAGATATCTTTTAAACACTTGTTACTTAATATGAGAATAAATCTTTAAAAATTGGCATTTTATTACTGCTTTCTGGAATCTTTAAAATTAAATAATTTTTATGCATTAGAGTAGGTGTATATATATCTCTGGGAATAACTGGAATAAACAACATAAAAGAGAAAGAATAGAGAAAATTTATTTTTTATAAGTCTTCATTCTGCTCAGTTTAACAGTGCCCAAATACAGAGTAAATATTGATACTAGTGAAATAACTTTTCACAACTTTTTTTGGGTACTATAATAGAATACTTGGATTTTAAATAGAATATAGAATATAAAATATTGTTTTAAAGAAAGCAGGGCCAAGTGTGGTGGCTCACACCTGAAAATCCAGAACCTTAGGAAGCTGAGGTAGGAAGATCACTTGAGCCCAGGAGTTGAGACCAGCCTGGGCAACATAGTGAGACCCTCTCTCTTAAAAAAAAAAAAAAAGAAAATGAAAGCAAAACAGAATATTCATATTTAGGTTTATACTAGGATAAGAAGATTTAAGAAGGAAAGACTGTGATGGGGATAGGTTAGAAAAGGACAATGACAAATCTGGCACATTATAAAAAAATCACCCTTTTCAAATGGGTGCCTTTTATGTAACAAATAATTCACATATGTGTCTTTGGTTTTAGAAAACAAAAGCATTATGCCAGCATTTTGCTTTTAACATATTTTGAGTCTTATTTGCCTTAATATTATCTAAGAGCAGTGTGTCCAACATGTCCTTGTCATGATAGGAGTCTGTATTAGTCCATTTATGTTGCTATAAAGAAATATCTGAGGCTGGTAATTTATAAAGAAAAGAGTGTTATTTTGGTTCATGGTTCTGCAGGCTGTACAGGAAGCATGGTGCTGGCATCTGCTCCTGGTGAGGCCTCAGGAAGCTTTCAATCATGGTGGAAGGCAATGGAGTCATTGTCATTGTATCACATGGCAAGAGGGGGAGGTTCCAGACTCTTAAATAACCCGATCTCACTTGAACTCAGAGTGAGAACTTGCTATCTCAAGGAGGGCAACAAGCCATTCATGAGAGATCTGCCCCCATGACCCAAACACCTCCCGCCAGGCCCCATCTCCAACACTAGGGATTATATTTCAACATGAGATTTGGAGGGGACGCAATCCAAACTATATTACAGTCATATTTTTTACTAGTGGATTTTTTTTTTGTATTTATTTATAAATGAAAGCTAAGCTAATTTTTCTTGTGGATTAGGAAAGTTTATATTGTACATAAGAAATGATGAATTTGAAGGTCTTCATTTTTGAAATCTTGGAATAAATGCTGATATTTCAGAGAAGAGATTTAGATCATTTTGAAAGACATTTATAAGGTAGACTTTAGTGGGTAGTGGTTGACTGGATGTGAGTAGCAAGGCAGAAGGAGGACAAAAGACTTATACGTAGGTTTCTGCCTTGAGCAATTGAATGAATGATAGTATTGTTTACTAAAACTGGAATCACAGGAAAATAGACAGGTTTGCCTGGTGAAGAGAAGTTCAATTTTAGTCCTTGGTAAGTAACGTTATAAGGAATTCTTATTTCAGGAGTTGGGGGTAGATGAAAGGGAAACAGCTTGCCTTTCTATGGGTGTGTATATATATATATACATATATATGTACATATGCACATATATATGTGTATATATATACACATACATATGCACATATATATGTATATATATACACACATATATGTATATGTATGTGTATGTATATATATATAATGCTTGAGATTTAATTTTGTAGATGGAAATTGAAGCTGTGGAAGCAGATATGATCACCCAAGGATAGCAGATAGAAGAGGACCTAAGACAGAATTTTGAGGAATATTAGACAGAAACAGAAAAATGGTACTTAAGGAAAAGTGGTCAGAAAGATAGGAAGTAAACTAGTTTGGGAGCAAAGAGAAGAAAATAGTACTAGAAAAAAGAGATGTTAACAGTGTCAAATAATAGGAGAAACCTCAAGTGAGATAAGGCCTGAGAAAGGTCCATTAGCTTTAGGAACAAGGAAATCATTGGTGATCTTAGCGAAAGCAGTTTCCTTTTGTGGTGAAAATAGAAACCATAGTGCAGGGATTGTGAATACATGAAGAAAACTCTTTCAAGACTTGGTTTTTAAACCAAGGAGAATGGTGGTCATTGGAATTAGAGGAAGGGTGTGTGTGTGTGTGTGTGTGTGTGTGTGTGTGTGTGTGTGTGTGTGTTTCTTAAGATGGGAGACAAATATAGTTAATGCTGTTGGGAATGTGTGAGATAAAGAATCTACGCATGAGAACATAGGAGAAGCCAGTATAATGGCAGAACTAAGTTTTATAGAAGACAAGGAGAGAGAGAGAAAGCATTGGTTGATGCATTTGAAGATGTTTAAGACAGAGCGGAAGGAAGTTCAGAGAGTACTGCAGAAAGGTCTGGAGTGGAGGGAAGCAGTGGGAGATGGCCTAGGAAAGAGAGGGAGTGAGCACATTATTACTGCATAAACAACTAAATTTCACATCTCCCTTTCTTACTATTTGGAGCAACAAGATCAGAACCTTGAGTGGAAGTAGCCACTGATGTGGGTGTGTTCTTATGTCCGTCTTCCTAATTCCTGTTTATGAGAATAGTTTTGTTGTTGTTGTTTTTGTTTTTTTGAGATGGAGTCTCACTCTGTCGTCCAGGATGGAGTTGCAGTGGCTCGATCTCAGCTGACTGCAACCTCTGCCACCCTGGTTCAAGTGATTCTCCTGCCTCAGCCTCCCGAGTAGCTGGGATTACAGGCTTCTGCCACTATGCCCGCTAATTTTTGTATTTTCAGTAGAGATGGGGTTTCACCATCTTGGCCAGGCTGGTCTTGAACTCCTGACCTTGTGATCCACCCGCCTCGGCCTCCCAAAGTGTTGGGATTACAGGCGTGAGCCACCGCGCTTTGCTGAGAATAGTTTTAAAATTTCTTTTATGCTAATGACTTGGTAATTTTTTTTTCTAGTTTCCATTACAGTATAAAACAGTTTCTTGACTGTGGTGTTTTTGTTTCTGAATTCATTAATTCTGCTAATTTTATTATTTCCTTCCAATTACTTCAAATTTCCTTTGAGGCTCTTTTTATTTTTAATTCCTTTAGATGGATGCTTAGCACAAATGCTATTTTCTTTTTTTTTTTTTTTTTTTTTGAGACAGTCTCACTCTATTGCCCAGGTTGAAGTATAATGGCAGGATCCTGGCTCACTGCAGCCTCCGCCTCCCAGGTTCAAGTGATTCTCCCTGCCTCAGCCTCCTGAGTAGCTGGGATTACAGGCGTCAGCCACCATGCCCAGCTGATTTTTATATTTTTAGTAGAGACTGGGTTTCTCCATGTTGGCCAGGATGGTCTTGAACTCCTGACCTCAGGTGATCCACCCACCTCTGCCTCCTAAAATGCTGGGATTACAGGTGTGAGCCACCACGCCTGGCCAACAGATGATATTTTCATCACTGTTTAACATACATACTTAAAACTTTTTCTGCCGGTATGTTTCTTTCACCCATGGTTGTTTAGAAGTGTGTTTCCTGATTCTTAACATATAGACATTTATTTTAATTATTTTTTGGTTGAGTTCTAGCTGAATTAGTTAGAAAATGTGTTTTGCTGGGCATGATGGCTCATGCCTGTAATCCTAGCTACTCAGGATGCTGAGGCTGGAAGATCGCTTGAGGCCAGGAGTTCGAGATCAGCCTGGGCAACATGGCGAGAGCTCGGTCTCAAAAAAAAAAAAGGAAAGAAAATGTATTCTTTATGATCAAAGTACCTTAACATTTGTCAAGACTTAAGATGCGGTCCATTTGATTTTTTAATGTCCAAATTGAGTTTTAGAAGAGTACATATTCTTTAGCTTTTGAGTGTAGTGTTCTCTACATGCCAATTGTGACAGATTTGTTAATGCTGTTCTAAAATCCATATCTATTATGATTTTTTTTTTCTGATTGCCATTCAGGAAACTAAGAGTAGATTTACTTCTGTTAGTTTTTGTTTTATATATTTTGAAGGTATGTTATTGGATGCATATTAATTCTAAATTGTTTTTTCATGGTGAGTTGAACCTCTGTCATTATAAACTGACTGTCTTTAGAAATAATTTAAAAAGCCTTTTTTGCTTGATATTAATACAACTGTACCAGGTATCTTTTTGTTAGTATTTTCATGAAAAATCATTTTTCCTTCTTACTTTCAGTCTTTGTGTTTCCTTATATTTTAGATGTGTCTCTTATAAGTATTATGTAATACTTACATTTGCTTTTTAAAAAAATTTGGGATTGCTTCTAGTATTTATTATTTTTGTTTTGAGTTATATGTCTTAAGTTTTTCATTAATATTTTTTATTGATGCATAATAGATGTACATATTTTCAGAGTATGTGATAATTTTGATACATTCATATAATCAAATCAGGGTAATTAGAATATCTCTCACCTTAAATATTTAACTTTATGGTAGAAATATTTGAATTATTCTCTTCTAGCTATTTTGAAATGTGTAATAGATTACTGTTAAGTATAGTCATTCTACTGATCTGTGAAACACCATTTGTATCTATTAATAAACTGCTCTTCATCATCCCCCACCCCACCTTCCCAGCCTCTGGTACCCACAAGTCTATTCTCTATCTTCATGAGAGCCACCTTTTTTTTTTTTTTCTTTTTCTACCTTCCACATATGAGTGAGAACATGTGATATTTGTCTTTCTCTGCTTGGCTTACTTCACTAACATGATGACCTCCAGTTCCATCTATGTTGCTGCAAATGACAGAATTTCGTTCTTTATAATGGCTGAATAATATTTCAGTGTGTGTGTCTGTGTGTGTATGTGTGTGTGTGTGTGTGTGTATACATACCACATTTTCTTTATCTGTTTATCCATTGATGGGCACTTGGGTTTATTCCATACTTTAGCAAATTTTGTATAGGGCTGCAATAAAATGGGAGTGCAAATATCTCTTTGATATATTGATTTCCTTTCTTTTGGATATTTACGCAGTAGTGGAATTGCTGGATCATACGGTAGTTCTATTTTTAGTTTTTGAGAAATCTCCATACTGTTTTCCATAATGGCTGTATTGATTTATGTTCCCACCAGCAGTGTTTAATAGTTGAGCCTACTCTCCTTTTTGTCTACATCCTTGTCAGCATATGTTGTTTTTTGGTCTTCTTGATAATAGCCATTCTAACTGGGATAGGATGATGTCTCTGTGGTTTTGATTTACATTTCGTTGATGATTAGTGATGTTGAGCATTTTTAATATATTTCTTGGTCATTTGTATATCTTTTTTGAGATATGTCTTTTCATCATTTGCCTATGTTTTAATAGAATTATTTGTTAAACTGTCTTTTAAACTAGCTCACTCTTTCATGTTTCCCAGCTCTCTAATCTGGAATTAATTCTTTCTATTGAGTTTCTAATTTCAAGTATTATATTTTTCATTTCTAGTTTATTTACCTTCTCAGAAATCTTTTGTCTTTTTTTTAAAAAAATAGTTTTCTGTTTTCTGCAGTATTTCCAACCCTGTTTTTTATGTCTTTAGATATAAATATAGTTATTTATTTTCTGTGCCTGATTCCAATATATTAAGTTTTTGAGTTTGTTTCTGCTTTCTAATACCTTTACTGGTTCTTTTTCATGATACCTTGTTTTATTGTGTCATTTTTTAAATTTGAAAAATTAAATAAGGCTTTGGGCTCTGGAATGATCTTGTAATTATTCTTCCAAGAGGAACTTTGTTTGCTTATGCTGTGCATTTGAGGTCACTTACAAGCCTGGCACCAGTTTGGGCTAAGTCAAGATTTAAAATGTTTTGAATACACCAGTCAAGATAATTTGGACTGTAACTGTATGCAGTGGCTTGCTTCAGGCTATGGTGTCTCAGGTACAGAATCCCCTGGCCTCCTTTCAGTGCCAAGGCAATTTTAGTTGGAGTTCTCTAGAGTAGGAAAGATTGGGTGAGTTTACTTTTCTTTCCCTTTTATGTTGAGAATTCAAACTTGTTGTTAGAATTGGATTGTCTATTAGATCCCCTACCTTGAGCAGGCCTGGACTCTGTCTTCTTTCCTCTTGAATTTAAAAACTACATTACTGTTTTGCTCTGAGTTCATATTAAAGGCTCTGAGTTATCTATTTCCACATACGTCATGCATAAAATATCTCCTTTTACCATTTTCACTTCATTTTATTCTTTAGGCGGAACAGTAATGAGTGTTACCCCATTTCTCCATTTTGCTGATCAGAGGAGCTAATTACAGGCTAAGGCCCTCCCAAGCGTGGCTCTCATTTTTCTGCTTCAGTGAATATAGTATCCCACAATATTTTTGTAGGTATAGTTCCTTGGTGTGCTGGGTTAGACTTAGGATCCTGAGAGGTATGGCTGTCAGATCTTAGGAGACTGTATTGTTACAGTTGGTCTCTAGGATCATGGGAGCAAGACCCTGCATCAGTCTAGCAAAGATAAAGGTTTTGGTAAGTTTTATGTGAGTCAGGAAAAGCCTTCAATCCACAGGCACATTTCACAGTACTTTTTTTTTTTTTTTTTTAAATCTGAGCGCCTCGTTCAGAAGAAACGAGAGGGGCTGGAAGAGCCCTTTGTAGACCATTGCACCGTTTTTTGCCAAGGAGGTGTGTCATATTCTTGTGTACCTTCAGCCTCTAGAGAATACACTGTGGTCCATGAACACTTGAATGTTTCTAGGTGGATCTGAGTTCTACTTGACATCATGGCACCAAGAAAATCACTTGGATTGTTTTTTTTATACCCTGCTTTAGAGGAACAAATTATATAAATCATACCTCGACTAGAAAGAAGGTGAAAAATAAAATGTTCGGGTAGATTATCACAGGGTGGATAAGAAAATGCATCATTATAGAAGCCTGATGCTGGAGAACAGAGGGTAATAGACACTATCCAAAGAAGATTTGATTGCATACCTTTGCAGTTTAAATGGGAAGCCTGGACTAGTTTTCAATTTGGATTGAAGCCCTCCATTTTCATTCATCTGTCTCTTTTTTTCTTTCTCTTTCTCTCCCTCCTCTCTCTCTCTGTCTCTCTCTCTCTCTCACACACACACACATACACACACATACACGTGCACACACACACACACATTCTACTCACACACTTTAACACTTAGGACTACTACTCTAAGCCAAATTGTATTTGGCTCTCTCCTGGCTTTCAACACTGGAGGTTGGCAAGTTGGAGAACTGGTATACTTACCAGCCAGGGAATTCTGTAATCCATGGCCGTGGCACCCTGCTGCTAGAAAAGGAATAGGATTGGCTCTCCCAAGTGTAGATAATGGATCATAAAGTCTTTGGAAAGGCCTTAGAGTACCTTTCTGTTTTGCCTGAATTCCTCTTTTTCTCCCTCCAGCTTACTTTATGAATTCTTAGTTTTAACTATGTAAAGTCAATGTTGATTCTAGTAATTCACATGAATAGTTTATCACTTATGCCTGATTAAAATGTAGAACTGCAATAATGATTAGTAATAATCAGGTACATTATTAAATAAGTCTCAGGTTAATATTTTAAATTTCATATAATATGGTAATTTATCATTCACAGATGCACATTTAAAAAAGTTATTGCTCAACACTGTAACAGGAACATTAATTTTAAAAAATCTAATAACTATTGAGGAAACTAATAGTAGCATACCTTTCCTTATATACAGCTTTTAAAATATGATTCTGAGTGAAGAACAGGCAAAAGAGCCTACTCTGCCTACTACTCTGTTGTCCTCAGGAAGCCAAAGGAGTAGAGAGAAGAGGAGATATACACCATTATCGCTTTTGCCCATGAAAATGGTAGGCCACCTACCATTCTCATTTTTGTCTATTAATTTTGACATTGAAATACATTCTAGATTTTTAAAAGTGAGTCTTTTTGAAATAATAGAGAATCAGTTTGAACACATTTGAAATATGTATTTCAGTGTACACTCAGAATATTTTAAATAGATTATAATTAAAATCCAAAATTTTAATATATCCCAAACTTAATAGTTTATAAGTCTTTTATAAGTCAAACAAAGTTAAACTTTATAAGTTGAAGATAACAAAGTTTAGATGGTTGATGTAGTATGGTGGTATCATGGTGGTGATGGTAGGGGTTTTTGTTTTGTTTTAAATGCTGAGAACTTTATTAAATTTGTGGAATTACTGAGTAAACACTAGGTGGTGCAGTTGTGCAAGGACCATATAATGAAGTATGCATTTTTTGAAAAAAGGTGTCAGGATGAAATTAAAATTATAGTTTGAAGAAACTCTTTGGAAATAAGAATTATCAAAATACTAAAATAGAATGAATGAATCTTGCTTTGCTATTACTTGGTCTGGGATTTAAATGGGGACCTATCTTGTGATTTACACTAGAAGTCTCAAGCTATTGGTATATTGTTTGTATTGCATTTTAAGCTCAGCTAACCATACCACCCTCCCCAGAGTACAAATAAAGTACATAAAATATAAAAGAAAATACGACAACAAAAAACTGATCCAATTTGGTTTTCTGTAAAATTTAAATATTAAATTGCTCTCTGACTACAATTAAAGAGGCTTACCTTCTACTATTTCAAATTATTCTAAAATGCCCTAGGATTTGAGTAATTTTCTGTAATATTATATCTCATCGAGTAATTGTTGATCAGTTAAAACTTGAAAAGTAGCTTTCCTTTTGGCCTATGTGTCTTCTTTTATTCACTGAAAAAACCCTTGCATTCCTATGTATATTCAAGTCATTAAATTATTAAAGAATCAGCTTCTGCAATGAAAAATAATTATTATTGTTTTATTTATATGTTGAAATAAAGTAAAAAAAAATTATATGGATAATAATTTAAAGCCTTAAGTCTTAATTTGGAGAGGTTTTATTTTCCTTTTAAGTTATTTTCCAATTTGAGACACAATACTTTTTGGGAATTAAAAAGAAAAGCCATCTGTGTTTTCCCGTGATTTTGTGAATAATGTTTCTGTTACATTTGTATTTAAATATTTTTCAATATTTTTGAAGCACAAAATAAGGCTGTCTTATCATTTCAAAGCATTCAATGGTCATCACAGAAAATCAGGATCAATTTAAGTACTTCAGTAGGCTATTATAACTGACAGAATTACACAAACTATATGTGTATTCGTATATGTTATTTTTCTGTGAATAAGATAATGCTCTCTCAGATGCAGAGTCATACAAAACTGATTTTTGTACTTCACTAATGTAGTGAAACAATATAGGATATAAATGATTTTCTTTTAAAACTTATTTTCCATTAACAAACAACTGTACAAAAATCACAGCATTTTTGGAAATCTAGATTTATGTTTTATGAAATTCTTTCACTATAATGTTTTACTACTTCTCTTCAAAACTACCACCTTTAGTATTTTTCTTTTGAATATTTGATATTTTTATTTTGAGGTAATGTTTCATTGCTTATGAATAAATTATTACACATTTATTTCAGAATATGTTCAAGTTTCCTTATATATAAGAATAATTAGATTTTTTACTAGTAATTAGCAGAGGAGGTTTGAAGGGAAGAGGTGTTTTCCTTCTGTTTGTGAAACAGATGTATATGTGCACAGACTCATGGACATACATATGCGTCAGAGACTGCCTGGGATTACTGTAAGTCCAGGTGGCTGGGCCATTGCTCATGGTTTGTTTGATGATATATATTTTCATTTTAAATTTATTTTAAGTTTCCTTTGAAACTTTTGGAATGAAACATGTAATTAATATTTTAAAAATACATATTTAGTATTTGAG